>NC_000001.11:191934587-192559587 GCF_000001405.40 Homo sapiens | reverse complement strand
ACAAATGTTCTCAATGGCATCTGGAATAGTGAATCCTTTCCACAAGGTTTTCAATTTACTTTGCCCGGATCCACCAGAGGAATCACTGTCTAGCTGAGATCCAGAGGAGTCACTTTCAGCTGAGATAAGCTGAAAGCTAGGCCTCTTGCACCAGTGAGCTAAGTTGTAAATGCAAAGGAAAAGTTCTTGAAGGAAATTAAAAGTGCTACTCCAGTTAACACACAAATGATAAGAAGGCAAACCAGCCTCACTGCTGATGTGGAGAAAGTTTTAGTGGTCTGGAGAGAAGATCAAAGCAGCCACAACATTTCTTTAAACCAAACCCTAATCCAGAGCAAGGCCGTAACTCTTCAAATCTATGAAGCCGAGAGGTGCAGCTACAGAGGAAAAGTTGGAACCTAGCAGAGGTTGGTTCATGACATTTAAGGAAAGAAGCCATCTCTATAACATAAAAGTGCAAGGTGAAGCAGCAAGTGCTGGTGTAAAAGCTTCAGCAAGTTATCCAGAGCATCTACTGAAGATCATTTAAGAGAATGGCTACACTAAATAATAGATATTCAGTGTAGACAGAACAGCCTTATATTGGAAGAAGATGCCATCTAGGACTTTCCTACTTAGAGAGGGTAAGTCAATGCCTGGCTTCAAAGCTTCAAAGGACAGGCTGAGTCTTTTGTGAGGGACTAATGCAGATGGTGACTTTAAGTTAAAGCCAATGCTCATTTACCATTTTGAAAACCCTAGGGCTTTTAAGAATTATACTAAATGTACTCTGACTGTGCTCTAGAAATGGAAAAACAAAGCCTGGATGACAGTTCATCTGTTTACAGCATGGCTTACTGAATAATTTAAGCCAACCATTGAGACCTAGTGCTTAGAAAAAAGATTTTTATCAAAATATTACTGCTCCTTCACAACGTTCCTAGTCACCGAAGAGCTCTGTTGGAGATGTACAAGGAGATTAATGCTGTTTACATGCCTGCTAATACAACATTTATTCTATACCCCATGGACCAAGTAGTAATTCCAATTTTCAAGTCTTATTATTTAAGAAATATATTTCACAGGACTATAGCTGCCAGAGATACTGATTCCTCTGGTGGACCTGGACAAAGTAAATTGAAAACATTGTGGGAAGGATTCACCATTCTAGATGCCATTGAGAACATCTGTGATTCATAAGAGGAGGTTAAAATATCAGTAATAACAGGATTTTGGAAGAAGTTGAGTCACTGCAGAAGTGGTGGAAATTCCAAGAGAACTAGAATTAGAATTGGAGCCTGAAGATGTGACTGAATTGCTCCATCTCATGATAAAACTTGAATGAACAAGGAGTTGCTTCTTATGGATGAGCAAAGAAAGTGGCTTCTTGAGGTAGAATCTACTCCTAGTGAAGATGTTGTGAACGCCGCTGAAATAACAACAAAGGATTTAGAATATAACTTAAGCTTAGTTGATAAAGCAGGAGCAGGATTTGAGATGACTGACTTGTAAAAGAAGTTCTACAGTGATAAAATGCTATCACGTGCTACAAGGAAATCTTTCATGAAAGGAAGAGTCAATCAATGCAGCAAACTTCACTTTTGTCTTATTTTAAGAAATTGCTGCAGCCACCTCAACCTTTAGTAACCACCACCCTGGTCAGCCAGCAGCCATCAGCGTCAAGGCAGGACCCTCCACCAGCAAAAAGATGATGACTCACTGAGGGCTCAAATGATTGCTAGCATTTTTTAGCAATAAAGTCTTTAAATCAGAGTATGTACATTGCTTTTTAGACATAATGCCATCACACGGTTAATAGGCTCCAATATAGTATAAACTTAACTTTTGCAATGCACTGGAAAACAACAAATTTCGTGAGACTCTTTTTATTGTGATACAGTCTTTATTGTGATATTCTGGTACTGAACCTGCAATATCTCCGAGGCATGCATGTATAGTCTACTGTTGTTATATGGAATGTTCTATAAATGACAACTCCAGTTGGTTGATAATGTTAAGTCTTTTATATTTTACTAATTAACTATTTAATTAGTCATCCAATTACTTAGAGAAGATATTGAAATTTCCAACTATAATTGTAAATTTGTATCTTACAGTTTTATCAGTTTTTGCCTCCTTTATCTTGAAGCTCTCTTATTAGTGGCATACATATTTTAATTTTAGCCCCTTTGGATCAAATCATCTCTATCATTATGAAATGACCTTCTTCATCCCTGTAATATTCTCTGCTCTGAAATCTGCTTTGTCTGACGTTAATATAGCCAGAACTGTTTTCTTTAGGTTGGTATTAACATGATATTTTTCCTGTATCATCTTATTTTTACCCATTTTATGTATTTATTTTAAAAATGTGTTTCTTGAAGGCCTTATGTAGTTGGACCTAGCTTTTCAGTACAATCTGATGGGCTCTGCTTTTTATTTGGGGTGCTTAGATTATTTATATTTAATTCAGTTATTGATATGGTTGTAGTTAAATCTACCATTTTGCTATTTGTTTTCTATTTGTCTCATCTATTTTTTGTTCTCTTTTTCTGGCTTATTTTGGATTAATTCTGCCTTTTTTATGATTTCAACATCACTTCTTTTGTTGGCTGCTTAGCTGTAATTCTTTTTAAAAAAAAAATCAGTGTTGACTTTAGGGTTTATAGTTAACATCCTTAACATATGAGTGTCTGCCTTCAAGTGATATTATATCACTTTATGGTCTTATACTTTTAATCAAATTTACAAAATTTTTTACCAATTATTTCTTCAAATATTCTTCCTGTTGCCTCCCCCCTTCTCTCCTTTAGAGACTTCAATCACATATATATTTGGTTGCTTAAATTTACTCCACAGATCACTGCTAGTTGGTTTTTTCAAAAATTTTCTTTGTCTTTCCCTCCCTCCCTCCCTTCCTCTCTCCCTTCCTCTCTCTCTTTCTTTCTTTCTTTTTCTTTCTTTCTTTCTTTCTTTCTTTCTTTCTTTCTTTCTTTCTTTCTTTCTTTCTTTCTTTCTTTCTTTCTTTCTTTTTTTGAGTGATTTTTCCCTCTGTGTTCCATTTGGGTGGTTTCTTTTGCTGTGTCTTCAAGTTCTGTAACGTTTTCTTCCGCAGTGTCCAATATGACATTTATCTTATCCAGTGCATTTTTAATTTTAGACGTCGTAGTTTTCATCTTTAGAAGTTTGATTGTGTCTTTTTATATCTTCCATTACTTTACTTACCATGCTCAATCTTTTTTTCTAAATTCTTGAGCATATGAGATGTAGTTATAATAACTGTTTTAATATTCTTGTCTACTAATTATATTATCTGTATTATTTCTTCAGAAGTTTCAGTTGATTGATTATCCTCTTCATTATAGGTTGTATGTTCTAGGCTTCTTTGCATGCCTGACAATTTTTGATTGAATGGCAGAAATTGTGTATTTTATTTTTTCAAATACTAGGTACTTCACATTCCTATAAATATTCTTGTCCTTATTTCTGAGATAAGGTTCAGTTACTAGAAAATATTTTTATTTTTTCAAATCAAGTTTTGTGAAGTGGGATCAATGCAATATTTTGTCAAAGGTTAATTTTCCCAGTAGTGAGGCAAAGCCCTTCTTAGTACTCTCCCTAATACTTTTTAAATTTTAGGTTTTTCACTCTGGCTTTTGGGATTAATCCCATCCCTGTGTGATGTCTAAGCATTGTTCCTTCTGATTCTTTCTAGTCATTTTTTTCCTTGGCCCCTGGTAGTTTTGTCACAAACAAATGCTAATCAGTATTCAACTGAATACTGAAGTGGAACCCTCTACAAACTCTACAGTCATTTATCTCTGTAGCATGTTCTTTTCTTGAATTTTTTCCTGCAGATTCTATCTGCTTTAGTTTCCTTGAAGTCCCAGCTTTTGCCTCTTCAACTTACAGAGACTGCTGGACTCTCCCTGGGTTTCTTTACCCAACACAGTAGGCTAGACACTCTTCCCAGGCAGTAAATTGTGTAATCATAGGCTCACTTTGGTTGTTTCCTATCTCACAGGGATCACTATTCTTTATTATCTAAAATCTTGTGAGTCCTGGAAAGTAAGTCTTTGAAAAGAGAAATCTTCAGCTTGGTGACAGCCTACATTCAGTGACCATAATTTTTGTGTCATTTTTATGTTGATATAATTCTTTTCTAGCCATAAGTTTTTCCTGCTTTGATATTACATGTTGACAGCTCATTCATATCAAAATTTATTCTTCATTTATATGTTTATTTGACTATAAATTGACTTGCAGAGCACTAGTATGCTGATCTTATTGCATTTCTTCATGAATATAATATAATGATTATATAGATTATCAAATAACTTTGATTTGTAGTTTTAAAGTTACACTATTAGACTTTGTCTTTAGAGTGATGGCATTTGAGGCTGAAAAGAAGTAATTGAAATAAACGGATTGGCTCATAGCTGGTCAACCGTCTAGTCTAGCGTCAACCAGTGCGTCACTGTCAGAGCAAGAGACAGCTCTTGGGAGCATGACTTCCAACCACTTGTCCTAACCTCTAGACCACACTTTCCATTATTCAAAACCCTAAAAATGATTAAGGAAGTACTACTTGCTTTGTTAGCATACTTATGTCAAATGATAACTTTCAAGTTTGGTTGTGTCACAGACAGATCTAGAAATTCATTAATATTGTTAACATATACCAATTTCCCCTTCTTACATGGTTGGAAATAACACATTATGTATTGCAGTGGTTTGACCAATTAAAAAGAAAAGAATCTTACTGTAGTACAGGCATCTGAAAATAAAAATAACTTTCAAGAGACTGATTTAATATAGTGACCCTTCGAGGGGTAATCTAGGAGGAATAAACTAGGGGAAGTAAAGTGATCTAGAACAGGCTGATTATCAGGAGACTTCCTGCTATGCTCATGCAGGCACAACTCTCTGTGCCAGTTTTTCATTTGTCATACATGCCAGTGATTAAAATCACCCTTGGAAGCACTTATGGCCAATGTTTTCCTTCAGACTTGGTGTAGAAGCATTTTTTTTTTTTTTTGAGATGGAGTCTCACTTTGTTGCCCAGGCTGGAGTGCAGTGGCACGATCTTGGCTCACTACAACCTCTGCCTCCCAGGTTCAAGCCATTCTCCTGCCTCAGCCTCCCGAGTAGCTGAGACTACAGGCGCGCACCACCACGCCCCACTATTTATTTATTTATTTTTTGTATTTTTAGGAGAGATGGGGTTTCACCATGTTGGTCAGGTTGGTCTCCATCTCCTGACCTTGTGATCTGCCCACCTTGGCCTCCCAAAGTGCTGGGATTACAGGCATGAGCCACCGTGCCCGGTCCTGGTGTAGAAGCATTTTTACACTACTGATAAAGGTGATAATCATAGCTAATAATAAATACGCTAAGATAACAAATATAAAACCATCTTAGATGTTTTAGATTACTTGGTCTAATCTTTACCGTAATCCTTTGAGACAAATTTCACTATCCCCATTTAACAAATTTGACAACTGAGTTTAAAAGAGATAAACTTTTCTAACTAGAAGTGTCAAAACTTGGAATAGAACTTAAGCCCGACTTCAAATTCATGCTTGTTTCATTGTTTTAAGCTGCTTCTCAAAGTTGCTGCTTCATATGACTAAAGCTATCATTACTTCAAGGTGCCATTTCCTCTAAGTGTATTGAGCATGTTGCACCTAGAAGAACTCCTTTCCACACAGAGAGAACCTTTCTCATTCAAATCAAGTTATTCCCCTATTTTGGTCGTCACAAGAGTTACCCTTGTGGCTTCTTTTTTTGCATTTGT
This sequence comes from Homo sapiens, assembly GCF_000001405.40. Classification (NCBI taxonomy): domain Eukaryota; kingdom Metazoa; phylum Chordata; class Mammalia; order Primates; family Hominidae; genus Homo; species Homo sapiens. Next base: position 192,553,811 of record NC_000001.11, on the reverse strand, counting down.
GTCTTTCCCAAGTTGAAATCTGATTTGGAACTTCTCTCACGTTTATGGAGCCCATAGCTCATAATCAAAGGTCTTTCCTGGTAAATTATCTTCCAGGGCTATACATTTTTTGTTTGTTTTGTTTCATTATTTCTCCCTCCATCAACTTAATCAATTGCTTTCTTTCCCTTGGCTGTTCTTCTCACAGAAATTTTTATCAGTGTATGAAGACTGTAGCTTTTAACAGCATATTAAGGCATTTATCTCATTTTCAAGTATGATTCAGAAGGTAGCCTTTTCAGTTCGAAATTAGAATGACAATGTATCATCCTATGAGATTTTTGGGACTTGGCTTGTGAGTTGAATGCCTCATTGAATATCCCTGTTTAAAAATAACTCTAATTTTTGGATTTCAAAGTCATCTATTATATGATTATTTCAAGTGCATTTTGTAAATTTTGGTGTAGAGAATTGGGTAATAGTTTACAGAACTATTTAAGGGTTTTTCAAGTTAAAATGTTTCAAGATCACTTCGTAGTACAACATTTTGTGCCAAAGTGAAAAATGTGAAAAGAGACTTTGAAGGCAGTAAGCTGGGTAAGAAGTTATGTGACTGACTTTAATAATAGAATTCCAATGCAGTTTATAAGAACCCTGCATACCATGGGGGTTTCCATTAGAAAAATACTAAAATTTACTTCTGTGAAATCTAGGGGCTTTTCGATGTTCAGCTGTCACATATGTGGACTGAAAAATTAAATCTTGTTTCATAAGCATCCTGTGTCAGTTTCTTTGCAGTGCAGGAAATAGGTTCAGAAAAGATAAGAAAGATATACAAAATAGCTGTGCAGGATGCCCTGCATACCAGTTCGTACCAATGTGGCCATTTCCAGGAATCAATGGTTGATTATTTTTCACGTGATATACTTAAAACATAGTGACGGGAGGATATCCACATTCAGTCAAGTTCTCAAGCATGTTTGCCGATATCGTCATATGTTCTTGTATTTATTATTAATGCTGACAGGTGGGCCCAGGCAACTGTATGGTATCTATGCTTTCTCTCTGTTTCTCTTTTCATATGTCATTTAGAAAACAGCTTAAAATGATCAACTTCATCTACATTTCACTCTTGACATATGATGCTTCTCCTCAAGAATATCAAAATATCTTTACTAGACAGGTACATAGGTTCAAACATGTATATTATAATATGTGTATCACAGATCCTTAGAAAATACACATTTTTCACGTGTCAATTCTCGTTAATACAACACTATGAGATGGGTATTATTAATTTAGAATGAAATGTCTAGCCTCAGAGATTTTTAAAAACTTAAGTTCACAAATCTAATAAGAGATACATATATTCAGAATTCACTATGTGCTATCTTTTCTGTGTATTCATCCATCCTCACAATGACCATAGGAGGAAGGAACTGCTTAATTAACTCCATTTGACAGATGAGGCAACTACAGGTTTGAAAGGTTAAGTAATTTGCCTGAGTTTACACAATTAGCAGGTTTTAGGGCTAGGATTTTTAGCCCTGGTTGTCTGATTTGATCCCCAGTGACTGTCCAGTTTACCTATTTTCTTTCCCTGGTCATTGGCTCCGTCATGACAGAACCACAGAACATACCCAGGGCTTCCAATGGGGTATCCATTCTAAGATGTGCTAAAAATTTATAAGTATCAGAATTTAATTTATATAAAATCATCGACAAATTGATGGCTAGGGATAGCAATAATTTCCACAACTAGAATTCTTTTTTTCACTTTATCTATTTATTTATTTATTTATTTATTTTTTACCCATGAGAGTAAAACCATAGAAACATCTGCCCCTACAATATATCCTTGAGTAAAAGTGATAGAAAATGTTTTATTTTATTATTTATTTATTTATTTTGAGATGGAGCCTTGCTCTGTTGCCCCAGGCTGGAGTGCAATGGCGTGATCTCGGCTCACTGCAACCTCGGCCTCCTGGGTTCAAGCAATTCTCCTGCCTCAGCTTCCCAAGCAGCTGGGATTACCAGCGCCTGCCACCGCACCCAGCTAATTTTTGTATTTTTAGTAGAGACGGGGTTTCACCATGCTGGCCAGACTGGTCTCAAACTCCCAACCTCAGGCGAGCCGCCCACCTCGCCCTCCCAAAGTGCTAGGATTACAGGTGTGAGCTACCGTGCCCAGCCTAGAAAATGTTTTAGTAACTTGGCACAGCAACTAATGTGTGGAAGAACCTCTTATCAGTTAAAAGGGTGCCCCCAAGAGTGATCAGTTGTTACTAAAAGTATTAACCATAAATAATATAAAACCTCTGTAGGGTATTTCCCTTAACTATTTGAAACATCTACCTTACGTGCATGGCAAAGCCTTAGTTTTGAGTCAACCAAAAAAACCCTGCTGGAGAAGTGGTGGTGAGTTTTTCTGGAGTACTACCCCCTGGCCTTCCTGTCCTGTAAACTGAGGTAAATTCCCCTGCAGTGACCTTCAGAGCTGTGCTTATGAGCAAATGTGCATAGTAACCAACTGCTTTGTCCTCAGAGGTCAATTCTTCTCTTGAACTTCCCCAAGTGACATCTGATATGGGGGAAGTCTTCCAGTTTCTCAAGTTCTCTTTCAGAGCGGTGGTGACTTTTAGCACCCTTTCTCTTTGTTGAAATAAATGGCTCTAAAACTTTGAAAAATGCTGGCAGGAAAGCTAGTAACCACAATTAGTCATAAACTGCATTGATATAGACAGATCCTTGCTCTTTTACTTCCATTGGAGCATTGACTACTCAGAGTAGAAGCCTTAGCTCAATGCTCAAACAGCCTCAAGTCAAGGCTCACACAGTTCTTGAAAATGACACTGTGGCTGCAGACACAAGGCTGCATCCTAAGTGTATGATTAATGCTTGGAAGTTATGTCTTTCTACCAGGGAGGAAATGCTACTGCAAACCTTAACCTTGAAAATTCAGACTGAAAAATTCCAACATAAGTCATAGATACAATTATTAATTAAATGAAAATTGATGTGTAAATCCCCTGCATCTCTCTGGATGACCTTTTTCTAGTGCTCTTGACTACACTGTCTCCAGCGAACCTCCTGGGTAATTGCATGATTATAACATGTATTCCCTGTGTATTTTAATCAGTTACTGGGATGGTTAAAGGGAGATACTTTTGGGCACAGTTATCACTTCCAAGCTGTATTAGCCCCTTATAATGCTTACTCTAAACAGTTGCTAATGTTTTGACCTTTGCAGCTCATCTGAAAAACAGATTTGGCCGGATATGTTGGCTCATGCCTGTAATCCTAAAACTTTCGGAGGCTGAGGTGGGAGGATCATTTGAGGCTATGAGTTTGAGATCAGCATAAGCAACATAGTGAGATCCCTGTCTCTACAAATAACAATAATAATAACTTTTAAAAAAACTATAAAATTTTGAAAAGTGATTTACTTGGCTGTTTGTTATTAAAGTGAGTTCAAATTGAGAATTTAAGTGGAAGCTAAATTAGCATATGAATGATAAGTACTGATTAAAGGCTACTGGAGGAAGAATAAAGAATGAGGAGAAAGTACAATTGGTTAAAGCTCTGTAGGCGAATCTCAGTTCTGGAAATGGCACTGGCATGGGTGTCCATGCTTAAAGCTCAAGAAAAAAACACAACTTACTCTCAGAGGGCTCTCTGCCTGTCCTCACAGCAGCTTTCTGTTGGCTTAAAAGAGGCTTGCGATTTCTAAGTAACTGTAAGTAGGGCAGCAACAGAAGCAGGTTAGACGTTTTTGTTTTTTTTTTTTTTTTGCTTCTTTCTTTCTTTCTTTTTTCCTTTTAGTTAAAACCTTTAGTTACTAAGAAGCAACCATGAAGACTTCTGAGGAATAATGTGGGGAAAGACAAAATTTTATGTAAAGACCAGTTCAAGTGAAAGGAAGAATCTATTACTTTAACTTCTCTAGTAAATTCTTAAGGGTTGGAATGTAACTTTCATCATCTATTCAATTTAGGGCATTTGGTTAGTACATTATGCACACTATTGAAAGCAATGCAGAATTATTATTGTTTTTACTGTTTACCTAGTAGAGAAAGTGCCGCATGCTAATTGCAAAATTATGTTTAAGACACAGCAGAATAAAATTGGTGCTATTAGACCAGTACAGAAAAGTGATATAACATTGAAAAGATGCAGAACTCACAATAGCAGTGTCAAGTTTAATTCCCAGAGGCTACCTTGCTTCCAGTATTCACCGACACAAAATTGTCTGGTGGGTCTTTCATTATAGATGGAATTAAATGAGAGTAGTATTAGTACATTCTTTCATCTACTATTGTAGTTTAAATAAAAACGCTTTCAGTTAGCATATAAAAAACTGTCCTTTGGAAAGCCTGAAGTAGTATACCTGTAATCTGTAGGAGGAAATGAAATTCAAGTTCAATTAGGGGGTGACTTTTAAAAACTTTCTATTTTGATATAATTTTAGACTTATGGAAACCTTGAAAGGATAGTACAGAACTTTTGAATAACTTTCACTCACTCCCCTTAATTTTGGCATCTTCTATAATGATTTTTATAATTAGTGAAACTAGGAAATTAACATTAGTTAATACTATTAACTGAACTACAGACTTTACTCAAACTTCCTCAGTTTTTCTACTAGGGTTCTTTTCTGGCTTACCCTTCAGATTGGCAAAATACTGAAGATATCTGATAGACCAAATGTTGATAAGGATGTCCAATTGGAATGCTCACACATTGGTATCAACACTAAGGCAAATAATTTAGTAATATTTAGAACTACACTGTTCAATAGGGTAGACACTAGCCACATGTGGCTATGGAGCACTTGAAATGTGTTGAACTATGAGCTGGGCATGGTGGCTCACACCTGTAATCCCAGCACTTTGGGAGGCTGAGGCGGGTGGATTGCCTGAGGTTAGGAGTTCGAGACCAGCCTGGCCAACATAGTGAGACCCTGTCTCTACTAAAAATACAAAAAATTAGCTGGGTATGGTGGCAGGCATCTGTAATCCCAGCTACTACTACTAGGGAGGCTGAGGCAGGAGAATCACTTGAAGCCAGGAGGCGGAGGTTGCAGTGAGCCAAGATCATGCCATTGCACTCCAGCCTGGGCAACAAGAGCAAAACTCTGTCTCAACAAACAACAACAACAACAACAACAACAAAGAAATGTATTGAACTAAGCTGGGCTATAAGTATAAAATACACATTAATTTTCAAAGAATTAATACAAAAATGTAAGCTATCACATTGATAATTTTTATTTTGGTTATATTTTGAAATAATATTTTGAATATATTGTATTAAATAAAATTTATTAAACGTGTATAATATATTTTTTTAACATGGGAACTAGAGAATTTAAAATTATATTTGGAGATCACATTATATTTCTATTAGACAGCACTGGCTGTCTTGAATGTAGAAAGAATATTTACCCTGAGACTCAGATACATTATGTTAGATGCACCCTGGAGAAATTCTCATACTTTTGCATGAGGAAACATATGCAAGACTTTCATTTTATTCATTTTTCTAATAATAAGAAATTAGAGAAAACTGACATGTTTATCAATAGAGGAATGCATTATAATCCATTTATAGAATTAAAAAACTAGTAGTAAAAACTAGTATAAATTTAATGATCAACTTAGGTAATCACTGCAAACAAAATGATTAAGAAAGTCAAACTGCACAAGGTTAAGAAAACATATCATTTTAATGTGAATCTTAACAATTAAAAATATCATTAATTATTATAGATATAGACATAAAGGATTAATATAAAAACATGAATGGGAGTTGAAGTTGATTGCGTTTTTGGCCCTAATTTTTTACCCCCTACTGTATTCATCCCCTTTGACTTGTAACTTATATGCCCTCTCATTACATGTGGGCTGCCTCTTTCCCCCTCTTGACTTTGGATTTGGCCATGTGACTTGCTTTGGCCAAAAGCATGAGATGGAAGTGGTAGTGTGACAGTTTTGAGCCTAGGCCTCAATAGACTGGTATTTCTCCTTGCTTTTTTGTGCCTCTGCGTTGTTAGGAAAAAAGAACATACCTAGGCTAGTCGTAAGGGAAGATACATGGAACAGAGTGAAATGGCCCCAGCCAAGCCAAAACTTAACTGGCTGTCTTCCAACTAGCCCTCATATGCATGAATGGGCTCTGATGAGATCTGCAGATCTTTCATTCAGATCCATGAAAATAAAAGATTATAGTTTTAAACCACTGAGTTATGGGTAGTTTGTTATACAGCATGTTTCATAGCAATAGCTGATAGGTGAGATGGTATAATATTTCTGTCTGGGATGGAGGAAAGTAGATGTTGTATATCCAAATATTTTTTATTTTAAAATTGTCATATAAATATGAAAAAAATGAACATTTATTGAATTTGGATAATAAATATTATTTTGTTATAATTCAAGTTTTTTTATGTTTGAAAATGCAGTTTTTAAAAGATAAAATATTTTAAAAAGTAAAACTAGAGTTCTAATTGCCCACTTTTCTATTTATTTCATTTATGATTTCATGCCAATATTAATTTTCTGATTTTTTGGTTCATGTTCATTACTGGCTTGCTTAAGATAACTGTGGTTCATGCTTTATGTACAATCACCTCTTCTAGTTTAGCTTATGTCCCATAGTTTTTTTTTTAATAAAATACTCATTAATGTTTGCATTAAAATAAAATGGAATGGATTTGGTGAACCTTTAATTTGTATTTCCAGTTTCTGTCATGATCTTATCTATTATAGTGTGAATCACATAGCAGTAAACAGACTTCTAATTTCAACACCTGGTTAAATCTGATAAGTGATGAGTGATAACTCGGCTCTCTTTTTCCTATGTTTTTTAGAAGTAATGAGACATACACAGCTAGAGACGGCTCAATTCTCTGCTTGTGGATAAGAGGAGCATTTGAAGCTTTTTGTCCCAACTAGTGTCTTTTTTCACCAGCCATTTGTGCTGTGCTTATGGTGGTATTGTGATATGTGAGATAAAAAGAGCTGAACAAACTTATGTTGGTGGAGTCATGGGGAAATGCGGGAAATGAAAAGTCAATTGCACACGAAGCATTGCCAGGAAATAGAAATTGAGCACTCCTGCCAAAGAATGTGTATAAGGCAATCTGAATATTCTTGCAAAAGTATTTTTTTAAATTTATCGTACACCGTTATTATATATCTATTCGTTTATTTTTTTTAAAATTTGGCAACAAAACCCTTTCCACAGCAATAAGCTAAAAAAGTTTATGTTTAATTAAAAATAAAGTACATATTTCTGTTACTCAAGGAAATTAATGATAGGCATGAATTTGCACAGAACATTTCTCAACATTTTCCATCCACTATGGGGTGTGTAGTACTGTCACTGACCACATGAAAAAGAGAAGACACAAATGTACCAAAGAAGTACCAGCATCTACTTCAAAAGTGAGTCATTATTTTATGAAGACTGCAGAGATTAGGTACATCAGTATTTCATGCATTAATGAAAGTCTCTGTGATATTAGTTAAATGGAGCCTGGAAACCATAAACTGCTAAGACCCATTAGAAGCCACCTTAACATGTTGAAATCATGTTTCGTACTTAATGGTGGGTGGTTTCAAGTTCCCTAATGCATGCAGTTACCCAGTATTCTGAGTCCTCAGGCAATCCTCACACACAGGTCCTTCCTCAGCCTGCATCTGCTCCTTCCTGCCTTGGATACCATCTCAGCTCATGATTTTGATACAAACCTCAGATATGACTTTCAATAGGGATTGCATCCAGAAAGGCATTCAGCTTATTCCATCTTCTATGCCCTCTTATTTTTGACTATCGTACAATATTTTTGTGCATTTATGCTTTCTTCAGATCGCCTTTACTTTAAAAAGAGGAAGTAGTAAGAGTGAAGTTGTTAGTATTCTCAGTGAAATATTCTTTAAAAGTGGGGATAATCCCATCAGCTATTTTAGCTAAATTTCTTGGAATAGCCAATATTGGGATTATAATGGTAATTATTTGGAAAAATAGTATTAAGTTTTATAATACTATTTTTCCAAATAATTACCATTATAATCCCAATATTGTAGCCAAAAATATTAATGTCCCTCAAAGAATTCACATATTTTGATACAGATTCTGTTTTTTAATGTTTGTGCTATTTCTATGAGGTTACAAGTTGAAAAAATTACCATTTTATTTTAAAGGTGGGGAAATTTTCCAAGCTTCTCTAGGAGTGAATGCAGTGGAGATTAAATGAGACTACTCATTCACAATCTATAGCTCTTGATTCCAGGTTGTTTGCATTTTTCATTCACAGTCTATAGCTCCTGATTCCAAGCTGTTTGCACTTCCTCATTAAAAATGATTAGGAATGATGAGAAAAATGGTAATAAGTTTACTGTTGCTGGAAATTTTCAAGTTGTCCATGGAGGTACTTTCTTTTTAGGAAGGAACATACAGTGTATCACAGTTCTTGCATGAACCCCTTTAGAGGAAAAAAAAAGTTCAAAGGGGATGTCCAGAGGCGATCGCTCTGGGACTACAGTGAATTGATACTTAGTCAACAGGGGAATTTCTCAAGCTTTCTTAAAGCTTAACCCACAACCACACCTGTCAGCAGTTTCTTCCAAGTGAGAAACATTTACAAGTATATTACGCTTAAAATGTGAAGAATCTTCGAGTCCCTCTTAAACAACTGTTTTTATCCCTTCAAGAGAACTGAATCTAAATAATGGGACTCTGCATGTTTGGCAAATTACTCATTTCCTGAAAATGCAAAACCTAAGTAACAGAAATGAGGATAGCAACACGCTGTGCAGTATAAGTGTGTTTCAAAGGATTCAAGCTCCTCTGAAATATTTCTGTTTAATCGAAGGCCAAAGAGAGTAGAACTCTTACAGTCTTTCTCTACTCCAGGCAATTTCTCTTTTAAAGCATCAGTTGGAATTTCCTTTTTTCATCAATTGACAAAAGCAATTCTTTTTTTTTTTTTTTTTTGAGATGAAGTCTTGCTCTGTCACCCAGGCTGGAGTGCAATGGTGCGATTTAGGCTCACTGCACCCTCTGCCTCCCGGGTTCAAGCGATTCTCCTGCCTCAGCCTCCCGAGTAGCTGGGATTACAGGCACCTGCCATCATGCCCAGCTAATTTTTGCATTTTTATAGAGATGGGGTTTCACCATGTTGGCCAGGCTGGTCTTGAACACCTGACCTCAGGTGATCCACCCACCTCTGCCTTCCAAAGTGATGGGATTACAGGTGTGAGCCACTGTGCCCAGCCAAAGAACGATTCTATTAATGTTAATTTATTTTGTAGTTTATAGTTCCTACACTAAATTGTAGTTTCTGCAGATGAATTTTGGAGTCATGTTGTTTATTAGTGTTTACTTTGAAACTATATGTGGACTAGAAAGTTCTAATATTTATGGGATTGGTTCATAATACTGAGTAGTACTTGAAGTATTTAGTCTGTCAGACTTTAGGTAAAATCACAGGTTAAATATTCTGGAGAGAGAACACTATCTCTCCATTAAAAGATATATAGAAAATGTGGTTTCATAATAAATCATTATGATATTTAATGATCTATATTGTTTAAAATGAACCAATGTTATATTTTTATAGAAATAAAAAATTATTCTTATAATCTAATTGGCTATCAGTTGACCTACAAAAGTTGAAGAAAAAGAGCAGAAAGAATAAGTCTCTCTTGTCTAAGATAAAGCCAGACATTACAGCAGTGAAAACAGATTTTCTTCAGAAACGACTGACAACAGGAGAAAGAACTGATCCCAGTGCTTTAGGAGGCCGAGGCAGGAGGATTGCTTGAGGCCAGGAGTTTGAGCTCAACCTGGGCAACATAGCAAGATCCTGTCTCTAAAAAAGTTAAAAAAAAAAAAAAAAAGAAGAAGAAAGAGCTGAACTCCATTCTGATTTGTGCAGAAGTGACTGAGTGCTTTAAAGGGAAAATGAGGGAGTAGGGACAGGGAGCGAGTGAAGTCGTAGGAGCTGCATATATATCTCCAAAGGGAAAGAGACAGGATTCACAATTATAATCCTTTTTTAATAAGTGCACTGAGAAGGAAATATCAGGGGCCTATCATCAGGTATTAGCCAGAACAAACAGGAAATGCTTTTGACACCCATGAGCTTTTGAAGGCAGAAATTCATGAGATGGTTGGGTCATACCAGGGGTGTGAACTTAGGCCGCTTAGAAACCATACTAGCTACTGTGGGTCAGGTCTCTCAGTGCAGGGATTGAAATTAAGTTGTTATATGCCGAGACTTCTTTTTCTCTCTTTTCTCTCCTCTCCTTCCCTTTGTTCCCTCTTATTTTGTCAGGATGCACTAACGGAAACAGAAATTACCACTATAGGTATTTTAAGCAAGAAGGATTTTAAAAATACGGGACATGATGTACTTAAACAATTATTGAAATGTTAAAGGAGAGGATAGTAGGCTGGGTGTTCAGGACTGACCCCAGATTGACTCCACTAGGAAGCTACTGCCTCTGAGGTCTTCACTAAAGCTGTAAGTTTAGGAACAATTCCTGGAGCTGCTATGCAGTCGTTAGAATGCTGGAATTAAGAAGTGGGGCACTGCTACCATTGCAACTGCCTTCCAACACTAATAACACCCGAAAGTGGATTCTCATAGCTACAAGCTAGGTATTGACTCTTGACACCCAAGAACCTGTGGAATAGGTGCCGGCAGTTTACTCTAGAAACACCTTATGTTTCCACAACTTTACATGCAAACAGAAATAAGAAGATAGCTTTGACCTTGCTGCTTGCTTCCAAATCTTCTAATAAACAGAAACTAACTTGCATCAGAATACTAGCTACTCAAGTATCTTCATGTCTTTTCATTTTCCTCCCCTCCTTTTCTCTCTTCATCTTTTAAATGTATGAATACATGCTTGTTCCATGAAAAGTGCTAAACATTGCTGAGCTTTAAAAATTATACATGAAATAGGTGAACTCCATGCTTTTATGTAGTCACAGTCTACACAGGGGAAAAAAGAGGATTTACTTGTTGTAAATAAATAAAGTTAAGTGCTGTACTAAAACTGTGCATGCAGGGTTTTGGAAGCATGAAAGAATTTATCTCTAGAAGGAATCAGAAAAGTGGTCATAAACATGGCCCTTATATTGTCTATGAAAAGATGAATATGAGGTTGTCCAATAAGGAGTGTGTTGGGGGCATCCTCTTAGATAGAGGACACAGTCTATTTGAAAATACAGGTTTAAGAAAGTTTGGTGGGCTATGACTGGGTGCAGTGGCTCACTCCTGTAATCCCAGTGCCTTGGGAGGCTGAGACAGGAGGATCACATGAAGCCAGGAGTTCAAGACCAACCTGCTCAATGTAGCAAGACCCTACTTCTAAAACAATTTTTTAAAAATTAGCTGGGCATGGTGGCATGCGCCTATAATCCTAGCTACTTGGGAAGCTGAGGCGGGAGGATTGCTTGGGCCCAGGAGTTCCAGGTTACAGCGAACCCTATGCCACCGCACTGCAGTAGCCTGGACAAATAGAGTGAGACCCTATCACAAGAAAAATAAAAAATAAAGAATAAAAAAAAGTTTGGTGAGCTAAAGGAATAGCAAAATGTTCAATACAGTTCTATTATAAGGATAAGTCGCTCCAATTCTAGAAAATAGTGGAATATAAGAACTTACCTCTAAGTATAAGGCCGTGACCCCTGAAAGAACAATAATAGCTAAATAAATTGCTACTTTGTCTTTCTCCAACATTGCTTTATTGTTTGCTATAGGAATTAGATCTAGGCCAATGAGAGTCAATATCTGCTTTCTTGATAAACATTTTCCCTCTAAGCTTCCAACTCCGTATTTATTTATTAAGCTTAAAGTAACACAGAATGTCTTCATTATTATGCAAATAAATATTTCATTTTTGGATTTATTTAACAAATATCATGTGCCAGTTTTGTCCTGGGAATAGTACTTAGTACATAAGAAAAGCTGATGACTGTGTCTATGACAAGGAATCTTTAGTGAGGAAACAGACATGTAGACAACTTCAATATAAATCAGATAACTGGTTTGAAGGAGTAATGTACAGAATGCTATAGGAACTCAGAAAACAGCTTTCCTATGTCACCTAGAGACAGCAGGGGCCTCATGGAGGAAGCAGCATTTAAGCTGAGAAGCAAAGCCTGAGTAGGAATATTCTAGACAGTTTAATATGTGAGAGTGGAAGGATATTCTAGGAAAAGGAAATAACATTTCATATAACAACTGTTCTCAGTGAGGAGAACATGGGAACGAGATTAGACAGGAACATAGGACCAGTTGGCCACTGACCTCAAAGGGATTTGCAGGTATGAGATCTGTGTGGTAGAAACTACAAGTACTGCAAGAAGTCGGAGAAGGGAGGTTTCTTGAGGTACAGAGATGCCAGCTCTGTGCAGGGAGTAGAATTTGACTAGGACTTGTACTTGGAAAGACTGAAGGGAACATTGCTCCAGGTTTGGTGAGCAATGTGGACCACTGTCCAGAGGTTGTATCAGTGTGGTCCCCCTGTTGGAAAGTGAAATGTATAAACCTGTTTTTAGCAGAGGCACATTTTTGAGATGGTAAAATTAAAGCTGGACATGTTACTGGGACATGTTATCAAAAGCTAAAAATTCTGGGGGTCACTTAAGGCAGTAAGACAGAAAAGTGTAGCAGAAAATGCTGTAGCTGGGAGTCAGTGGATTCAAGAACTGGTGGGGTCTATCGTTGGTTCTGTAATGTTGGAAATATCACCCAGTCCTCAAGCTTCTGGAGCTATAATATATAAAATGAGGATTGTTAAACCTCATACTCTGTAAGGCCACTCCACTTCTAAGTTGCCATATGTGTTTAATAAATAGGGACCTGTTGAAATTTTTAGCGGGTTTTATTGTGCTGTTGTTATTTGGCCTTAAGAAGGAAGTATTAAGTTTAGGGAACTGGGATTTAGATTCAAGGGTTTTGAGTTCAAGTTTTGTTTCTGTCTCTTGCTACCTTCATGACATTGATTAAGAAAGTCATTTAGTCTTCTTGAGACCATTTTCTTATCTGTGAAGCTGGGATGATGTTTGCTTTGCTTAAAACATAGGTTGAGGATCAAATGTGATGAATATATAAAATATTGTGTGTTCTATAAGGTGCTACAGGAAATATTTTAAAAGACATAAAGTGGTAGACTATTATGGTAATCTTATGCGAGGAGATATAATTTGGAGATAAGTAGTACCTATGAGAATAGAGAGCTACAAACGTATAAGACATTTTGAATGAAATATAGATAGAAAATAGATAGTGACTTATCTTACAGGTTGATGAAAATGAGAGATGGAGAGAGTGAAGATGGCAACAGTGACTAAGGAGTGTCGACCACATTTATTTAAAATCTCTGTGCTGGTCACTGTAGAAATTCTATTTTAATGTGAATGGATAGTGTAATAAAGTAAGTTTTTGTGGTCTGGTTCAAAAGTAGGCCAAAATGAAAATTTTACTTGCAAATTTCAAGAAGCAAATGGAAAGAGAACCAGGCCTTAGAATATATTTGCGTTTCTGTATTGCCCACTAATATTTTTGTATAACACATTTTAAGTAATAAAAATCTGATAATTTATTTGTCCACCCTGGAAAGGAAAAAAAGATAAGCTATAAAGCAGTCTAATTTTATCAAACCATTTTTGGATACCTTATAAGTAAAGTCAGAAAACTAGAAGTGAAAAGGGAATGCTTCTAGAAACTGTAGTGAGGTCTGCATCAAATCCTAAGACATGTTTTTGCTCCAGGTTTCCTGCAATTGCTACCATAAAGGGAGCATTTCAGACCCAGTGCTCTGTAATGTGGTTTCTTTCCTCTGGAATTCCTCCAATCCTTCATGAATAGCTGGAGGAATGCAGACCTCTGGAGGCTGTATTTTACAGGTTGCTATGGAACTGTCTAAATATTATGAACAGTGCAGTGGTATATGACATACGACAGCCCAATGCCATGAAATTAGGGCAGCTAGAAATCATTTCCATACCCTTGAAATGTAAGCTTCTAGTTTAAAAGAATGGCATGAATGTTTTTCATAAATAAATTATCCTTTATCACACTAAGTTAGATCCTGGGTGGAGATAGGAAGTCTGGGACTTCAAAAGAGCTTTAGTTCAGAGAGAGGCCTGTAGACCCTAAGAAGCAAATACACAAGCAGGCCAGGGGAGGCCTAGTGAGGGGAAGGAGGAATATAAAACTTCGTAGTTTTCAGGATATAGATTGTAATGTTGATGTTACAAAGAGAACTGCTTTAAAAATCTCACTCCAAAGGTGTGCTTGGAGGTAAACAAGCTAACATAACTTCGGGATCAGGCAAGTCACTTAGAGCAAAAACGGGGCTTCCTCTTTCAACACCCTTTTTTTTGTGCTGTGAGACCCCCAAACTCTCAGCTACTCAGGGTTTGATGCTTGACTTTTTCTCAGATTCCAATAATTGTTTATGAAACCTGATTCAAATTTTAAGTCAGAAGTTACCCACCATAAAACATACCTCCCCCTCCTCCCTGGTTCTACTTAAGTTTCATTTAAATAAGAAATATAGCTCTCTGGGTACAATTTTTTGAATAACAGTTCTGTGAATGCTATTTGCTTCTGCAGGTTATGCCAAAGGCAGTTTCCTCTCTGAATGAATGTTTTTAATGTGCAAATTCAAAATACAACGAGCCTACGTCATAAGCTGCACTAAGTGAACAGAAACTAAGTGCAGCTGGGCTTTGTGGCTTTTCTTGTTTTCTTTCCTTTTTTCTCCCCTTCTTCAGACAGTTGCTATTGAATAGTTTTTTTTTTTTTTAATGAAAGAGGGTAAAACATTTCTCACAAATCCTTTTGCCTGCACCAAGAAATTCAAATTAAGCAATTGAAAATGTAAAAGGAACAAATAAGTTTTGCTTTGCAAGATGTAGGGGAGCCCATCTGTCTTGAGTATCTGGTTCAGTTTCATTAAGAGTTGCAAGTATCCACTTCATGTTGCCTCTCTATTTTCTTATCTACCCTGCCTGGGAGGAGAGGACAATCGCCTTCCCATTTTTCTTTTTTGGTTTCTTATTTAAGTAGCATAAAATATATTTTAAAAATACATTTTTGTTTATGTAAGGTTTTTTAGATATGCCACCACCTGAATATCCCTGTGTAGAAAAAAAGGATAAACTCCCACTAACAGTGGAAAAACATCCCTATTTCTCCACATCCTCTCCAGCACCTGTTGTTTACTGACTTTTCAATGATCACCATTCTAACTGGCATGAGATGGTATCTCATTGTGGTTTTGATTTTTCTAATGACCAGTGATGATGAGCATTTTTTCATATGTCTATTGGCTGCATAAATGTCTTCTTTTGAGAAGTGTCTGTTCATATCCTTTACCCACTTTTTGATGGGGTTGTTTGTTTTTTTTTCTTGTAAATTTGTTTAAGTTCTTTGTAGATTCTGGATATTAGCCCTTTGTCAGATGAGTAGATTGCAAAAATTTTCTCCCAATCTGTAGGTTGCCTGTTCACTCTGCTGATAGTTTCTTTTGATATGCAGAAACTCTTTAGTTTAATTAGATCTCATTTGTCAATTTTGGCTTTTGTTGCCATTGATTTTGGTGTTTTAGATGTGAAGTCTTTGCCCATGCCTATGTCCTGAATGGTATTGCCCAGGTTTTCTTCTAGGATTTTTATGGTACTAGGTCTTACGTTTAAGTCTTTGATCTCTTCAGTTGATTTTTGTATAAGGTGTAAGGAATGGGCCCAGTTTCAGTTTTCTGCATATGGCTAGCCGGTTTTTCCAACACCATTTATTAAATAGAGAATCCTTTCCCCATTGCTCGTTTTTGTCAGGTTTGTCAAAGATCAGGTGGTTGTAGATGTGTGGTGTTATTTCTGAGGCCTTTGTTTTGTTCCATTGGTCTATACATCTGTTTTGGTACAGGTACCATGCTGTTTTGGTTACTGTAGCCTTGTAGTATAGTTTGAAGTCAGGTAGTGTGATGCCTCCAGCTTTGTTCTTCTTGCCGAGGATTGTCTTGGCTATGCGGGCTCTTTTTTGGAAGGATCTAGAACTAGAAATACCATTTGGCCCAACTATTGCATTACTGGATATATACCCAAATGATTATAAATCATTCTACTATAAAGACACATGTATATGTATGTTTATTGCAAAACTATTCAGAATAGCAAAGAGTTGGAACTAACCCAAATGTCCACCAATAATAGACTAGATAAAGAAAATGTGGCACATATACACCATGGAATACTATGCAGCCATAAAAAAGGGTGAGTTCATGTCCTTTGCAGGGACATGGATGAAGCTGGAAACCATCATTCTCAACAAACTTGTGATAACAAGAACAGAAAACCAAACACTGCCTGTTCTCACTCATAAGTGGGAGTTGAACAATGAGAACACACGGACGTAGGGCAGGGAACATGACACACTGGGGCCTGTCAAGGGGTGGGGGCTAGTGGAGGAATAACATTAGGAGAAATACCTAATGTAGGTGATGGACTGATGGGAGCAGCAAATCACCATGGCATGTGTATACCTTTGTAACAAAACTGTACATTCTGCACATGTACCCCAGAACTTAAAGTATAATAATAAAAATAAATAAATAAATTGAGGTGGGCAAAGTGAACAAAAAAAGAAAAAAAGTAGAATAAGTAGGGGAAGTTTAAAAATATCTGTTAAATGTCTCAGGTTTTACATCATCAAACCTTCCAATTTTCCTTTCTTTGTGAGGCTCTTGGTGTACAGTGGAAGAAAGTCAGCAAGACAGGATTAAAGTTCAAATACAATCAAGAGTAAACATAGTAAACTCATAGAACAAATCAAATTCTGTGACTTCCTTGGTAGTATCCTTTATATATTTTTTGAAATAAGTGGCTCATTCATCTAGTCTTGAAAGTAAGTTTTGCTATTGAGTTTCTCTTCATATATTCCACATAAGAAATGCTTTATATGCATGAAGCCTGTGCGACTGAGTTTTTCTTCAAGCATCAAGCAAGAGATGGGAGTGTAATGGACCAATATGAAAAAATGCTTGGTTTTGTTTATGTTCCATTCAGAAGTTTCTAACCGTTGCTTTTCCCCTTTGAAATGGAAATCTACACAATCAACATATAACTTTAAAAAATGCCTGACATGAAAGATAATTGTATTAAAAGATACTAGTATTAGAAGTGTGCACAAAGGTAAAAGCTGTTATCTGTAAACAGATTAAAAACCAACAGAGTTCTCCAGTACCGATCTGTAATCTTTCTGCCCGTTGCCCAGCTTAATGAGACATAGACTCTACTGAGTGGACAAAAATCACCTGATACTTGCTGTTGTTGAATTTCTGAAGGAAATTGATTAGTCAACTCTGTCATCTATGAGTAGCATGAATATGACACAGAGGTAACTGATATTTTCTATGCTTCATCAAATGATAGTGTACATGGTTTCATTTAATAATTTTGGGGAAATATGATGTCTTGCATTATCTGTTTGGCAAAACTCTGTTGTCTTCCTTTGGTTGAAGACTTCAAATGGTTGCTTGAGATGATTGAATAATAAAATATATTATGAAAATGAATTTATTTCTCTCTTACATGCTGTAAAGTAATAGATTCTTTATGAATGGTTCTCAACTAGGGCACCCCCAGGGGATATGTCACAACTTCAGAAGACACTGTTTATTTTAATGACTTGGGGTGGTGAGGTAGGAAAGTGCTATTGGCATCTAGTGGTTAGAGACCAGGGATAATGATAAACATGCCACGGTGCACTGGATAGCCTCCCACAACAAAAACTCATACAGCCTCAATGTCAACAGCACTGGGGTTGAAAAACTCTATTTTATATGAATAATCAGAATAAATAAATTACCTCATATGTATGTGATATAATTCTAAAGTGTTTTACTTCTTTAAAGATTAGAAAACTAAATGCTTTCTTCATTTTTTTAAAAAAAGAAGTTTATTAAAAAACAAAAAAAATTAGTCATGTTATACCTGGTTTGAAACTATAGGACATACTTGTATATTTAAAGACATGAAAAGGAGACATAATTCTTCTGTTTGTGTGTGAGGATCAATTTACCTTTCTCCACCCATTCATAAACCCCCAAAGAGAGGTCATCTTCAAACTCGAGAATAAGTTGAAAGCAAATTATAGGAAAAAAAGTTCTAGTTCACATTTAAGTTGTAAGCACTGTGTACATTATTATAACTCATATTATGCTGAGTTATTAACTAGTAACATGTCTGGGTTTTCATCTTCTTGTTGGAGTATGAGAGTGGGGTGAGGTATATAATGTCGTTACATGGTTAGATATCACTGTACTTCTAATTATAATAAGCAATGGAAATCTGTATTCGTTTTGAATTTTAATCACAAAAACTCTTTTCCTATCAATCTCTCTCATTGTGACAGATGGCAGGAAAAAGGGGACCTGGCAGAAGACTGGAAAGAATATAGAAAGCAGTTCACTCAGCTTAGAGAAATAGACTGGACTATATTACTTGGCCTTAGCCAATGGGCCATATTGAAAGAAACCTAGTTTCAAAGAAAACAGCTGACAAATATCTCGGTGCCTAACTAGAACTAGTATACATGTGTACATCCAGCTGTTACCAAACTGAGGGTAAAAATGGCATCATACATCAGTAAACTAAATTACAGTAACCCTGACCCTCTATCACGCTACAACTTTCCAAGGAAGTAATTACTGAATAGCAATCCTCTCCTTGCAAAACATTTCCAAGTTTATTTCTGGGCTCTTCAGAGGGTGCCTCACATGCATTCACCATGGGGCCCCTCATTCCCTACTCTTTCCTATACTGCTCCAGCTGGCTGGTGTTTACTACCTCATGCACCTTGAAGGCACCTCTCCTGGGCCTCTTGGTTGACCGGTTGACCAGGATCCTGCTAAGGAAGCACTCTCTGCCAGATTCTCTCAGAGCTGCCACTGTCAGATACACTGGCATTGTGGATCAGGTTCTGAACAGAGCCAGGAAAAACATTCTTCTCTGTAATTTCTTTGAGATAGTCAGACCCTTACACAGCATTGTGTGTACCTAGAGATTCCTAACGTCTTTGCAAAGGCAGCCCCTCTGTTTCATGTTTTAGCAACTCCTAAAACTAACAAAAAATACCCCCAACTCTTTGACCAGGTGCAGGAAGAAGTCCAGACACATTGCTAGTTCTTCTCACCCCTGGATAACTGTTCTTTTTCCCTACTGACAAAAATAATATGCAGCCTTAGCTCAACCTACTAGTTTACATTCCTAAACCAGAATGTTTATTATTATCCAGAATATTTATCTGCATTTAGATTAATGATGATATCATAGATTTTATAGACGGATATTTTCTTTACATTTATGTAACCAAAAGGCCAGTCTGGAGATTGCAAAAAATCAATAGTCTGTTCCAAAATCAAATAGAAAAGTCTACTGCTGGTAGAGAAATCTAATTATGATATTTACAAACAGATTTCCTCAACTTCTTAGTCACATTTTAAACACCTTGGTGTTCAGTTACAGCCAAGGCATACTGTTAAATAATAGAGAAAAAAGGACTTTTTAATAAAAGATGAATGGAGTAGGATGTAAAAATTTTAGTACAGGTGTCATTAGCCAAGAGCAATGGGGTATACAAATAATTCTGATTAGCCTAGAACTTCTGAAGAATCTAGATGTGTTGAGAACTCTACTTTTTGCTGCACTGAAGAAAAAAGGCTTTCCTGATTACTTTTAAATTTATATGTTCAGCCTGACCACTCCCCTGAACACTGGACTCATGTGTCCAACTGCCAACTCAGTCTCCACTTGAGTGTCTTAGCATCTCAAACTCTTGTGTTGAGAATTGAACTCCTGACCCTCCCCCTCCACCACTGCCCCTTTTGGACTCTCTCCCACACTTTCTTATCTAAGTCCATGGCAACACCAGTTTTTCAGGTCCTCAGGTCAAAAACCTTGGAGTCATTCTTTATTCCTCTTGAAATTTCTCTTCTCCCTTTATAAAACCCATCACCAATCTTGTGAGTTCCAGAGTCTGCAACTTCTCACCATTTGAGCCAAGCCACCATCATCTTTTACCTGGATTATTGCAGTAGTTTTCCAAGTGGTCTCCTGCTTCCACTTTGGGCTCCTAAACTAATTTCAACACAGATCCCATACTTGAAATTGCTCAGATCTTTCCAGTTATGTCTCATTTATCTCAGAGTGAAAGTCAAATTTCTTACAAGAGTTTAGAAGGCCCTTCAAAATATATTCTCCTACTTTCTTACCTGTTTGACCTGACCTTATTTCCTACCAAAGCCTGCTTTTTTGGTGTGTGACCTGTGCAGCCACTCAGGGCCCTGTGCTGAGAATGTTTGGGCTTATGCATGATTTAAGGTTCTGCTTTAGTTGCCATGAAATTCTTAAGAAATTTTAACAAAGGCCAAACCAAATCCAGCAGCACATCAAAAAGCTAATCCACCACAATCAAGTTGGCTTCATCCCTGGGATGCAAGGCTGGTTCAACATACACAAATCAATAAATGTAATCCCTCACATAAACAGAACCAACGACAAAAACCACATGAGTATCTCAATAGATGCAGAAAAGGCTTTCGACAAAATTCAACAGCCTTTATGCTAAAAACTCTCCATAAACTAGGTATTGATGGAACGTATCTCAACATAATAAGAGATATTTATGACAAACCCACAGCCAATATCATACTGCATGGGCAAAAACTAGAAGCGTTCCCTTTGAAAATCGACACAAGCAATATCGTGAAAATGGCCATACTGCCCAAGGTAATTTACAGATTCAATGCAATCCCCATCAAACTACCAATGACTTTCTTCACAGAATTGGAAAAACTACTTTAAAGTTCATATGGAACCAGAAAAGGGCCTGCATTGCCAAGACAATCCTAAGTCAAAAGAACAAAGCTGGATGCATCACGCTCCCTGACTTCAAACTATACTACAAAGCTATAGTAACCAAAACAGCATGATACTGGTACCAAAACAGAGATATAGACCAATGGAGCAGAACAGAGCCCTCAGAAATAATACCACACATCTACAACCATCTGATCTTTGACAAACCTGACAAAAACAAGAAATGGGGAAAGGATTCCCTATTTAATAAATGGTGCTGGGAAAACTGGCTAGCCATAAGTAGAAAGCTGAAACTGGATCCCTTCCTTACACCTTATACAAAAATTAATTCAAGATGGATTAAAGACTTAAATGTTAGACCTAAAACCGTAAAAACCCTAGAAGAAAACCTAGGCAATACCATTCAGGACATAGGCATGGGCAAGGGCTTCATGTCTAAAACACCAAAAGCAATGGCAACAAAAGCCAAAATTGACAATTGGGATCTCATTAAACTAAAGAGCTTCTGCACAGCAAAAGAAACTATCCTCAGAGTGAACAGGCAACCTACAGAATGGGAGAAAATTTTTGCAATCTACTCATCTGACAAAGGGCTAATATCCAGAATCTACAAAGAACTCAAACAAATTTACAAGAAAAAAACAAACAACCCCATCAACAAGTGGGAGAAGGATATGAACAGACACTTCTCAAAAGAAGACATTTATGCAGCCAACAGACACATGAAAAAATGCTCGTCATCACTGGCCATCAGAGAAATGCAAATCAAAACCACAATGAGATACCATCTCACCCCAGTTAGAATGGTGATCATCAAAAAGTCAGGAAACAACAGGTACTGGAGAGGATGTGGAGAAATAGGAACACTCTTACACTGTTGGTTGGATTGTAAACTAGTTCAACCATTGTGGAAGACAGTGTGGCAATTCCTCAAGGATCTAGAACTAGAAATACCATTTGACCCAGCCATCCTATTACTGGGCATATACCCAAAGGATTATAAATCATGCTGCTATAAAGACACATGCACACGTATGTTTATTGTGGCACTATTCGCAATAGCAAAGACTTGGAACCAAGCCAAATGTCCATCAATGATAGACTGGATTAAGAAAATGTGGCACATATACACCATGGAATACTATGCAACCATAAAAAAGGATGAGTTCATGTCCTTTCCAGGGACATGGATGAAACTGGAAACCATCATTCTCAGCAAACTATCACAAGGACAGAAAACCAAATACTGCATGTTCTCACTCATAAGTGGGAGTTGAACAATGAGAACACATGGACACAAGGAGGGGAACATCACACACTGGGGCCTGTTGGGAGGTGGGGGCCTGGGGGAGGGATAGCATTAGGAGAAATACCTAATGTAAATGATGAGTTGATGGGTGCAGCAAACCAACACGGCACATGTATACCTATGTAACAAACCTGCATGTTGTGCACACGTACCCCAGAACTTAAAGTATAATAAAAAAAGAGAAAGAAATTTTAACAAGAGTCCCCACAAATTTATTTTGCACTGCAAATTGCATAGCCAGCTGATCCTATCATCTATTCTTCTTCTCATTTCTACTTTTAAGCTGACCTCCTCACACTGCTGCAAACACTCCAGGCGCCCTCCTTCCTCAGAGCCTTTGTACTTGCCGTTCCCGCTGCAGAACACAGATGACTCACAACTGCGTCTTCTCCCAGTCTTTGTTCTAATGTTAACTTTTCAATGAGACTCACTCTGACCACATGATTCACATTGCAAACTCTCCCCAGTCTCCTTACTGTGATGCATTTTTTCTCATTGTACTTATGATCTTATTACATATTAAATTCTTTTCTTAGGTGTTATGTTAATTGTGTACTATCTATATTTCTGTCTCTTGAATATAATAAACTTCACAAACTCAAGAATATCTGTTTATTCACTGTTGCAAACTAGGTACTTGACACATAGTAGTTCTTAACAAATATTTGTTGAATGAATGAATAAACATTGTAGATTGATAGCAGAATTCAAGATATAATCTCTAAAATTAATCATACAGAATATGGAATAACATGCTATATATAGTTTTATTATAGAATGTGACACATTTTATTCACAGAGAATGGTTTTGTTGAGTCCATATGCTATGCGTTTCACTTTAATTCAAAAAGTAACATGTCAAGATCTTCTAAAACACCACTAAAACATGAGAAGATTTTAATTTATATAAAGATAGTCAACTTTAGGCCAATACTGAAGCATGAAATATTTTGTGAGAAGGGGCATCAGTGCCTTTGCAATATAAAGAAAAAACTCTAGTGTTTGGGATTCCTCATTAAAAAACACAAAATATTTACCCCTCCATTCCACATCCCCATTAAAAAACAACCAACTTTAAGTACACAAAGAACTTATTGGTTAGTAAAACTGAAACCTACTGATATAATGTCTGAGTCTGGACAGCACTGAAGGCAGAAGTGAAGAGCCAAATCTGATTCAGTTTTACTGTTTCATTTCCTTTAAGTGAGGCTCTGAGTACGTGGCTTTCCTCATCTCTTCACGATTATGCTGCAGATTTAGACTTTTTATACATCAGCACATCTTGTCCTGTCTTCAGCCCTTGTACAGAAGTTTGTCTATAATGAGATATAAGGTTATTAGGAGGGATCAGTCCTTTCTCTCTGGGCATTCCTTTTGTTTTTTCCTTGAATTATGTTATGAGTTTTATTCTTTTAGCTTTTACTATCAGGTAATAATCTTGTTTCTCATTTTACTGAGAAGATAGAAGCAATTAGAGGAGAATTCCTGAAAACTCCCACTACCTCATCCATTCAACCTCTGGCCTCCATGCCCACATATTCTACTTTCTCTCTTATTCTCAAGGATGAATTATCCATGCTGGAGTCTTGGGCAGCTCCCCAACCTCTGGAAGATATCACTCCAGCCATTCTCCTCCCTCTGGAATTTTCCCCTTGCTAACATGATCTTTCCCATCAGCATGTAAATATGCTATGACTTCTCCCATTAAAAAAAGTGTGATCTCTTTATCTCATTATCTGCCTCAGCTACTGCACCATTTTTTCTTTCTTTATAGTATGAGACAATTATGCTTACCATCGCCAATAGTGAACAAAATAGATTCATTAAAGCTTTCGTTTTCTGCATTCCATAAAAACTGCCCTTGTCTATGTCATTAAAACCAATATCTATCATCAAACCCCTCTTACCTGACCTATGAGTGGAATCAGACAAAATTGACTATTACTTCCTCCTTGGCAAGTTCTTTCACGTGTCTTCCAGGACAAACCTGGTTTACCTTTGACTTCACTGGCTTTTCCTTTTCATTTTCCATTCCTGGTTCTTCTTCGTAACCTCACTTCTTAACTTTGGAATGCCCAAGGCTCAGACCTCAAATCCCTCCTCTTTTCTCATTCTTAATGAATGAGTGATCTTTCATTCTTATGGTTTTGGTACCATTTGTATGCTGAAAATTCCCTAAATTTAAATATTTATCTGAATCCCTACCTTTAATTCAGGATATAGTTGCCCCTCTTTACCTGAATGTTTAATTGGCCTCTCAAAATTAGGATGTCTGTATTTTCCATCACTCTTAACTGGCCTTTGGTAAATTCTTTCTACTCTCTGTGTATTTATAGGAATTCCTTTCTTTCCGGGTGCTCAGGCTACAATCTTTACAGTCAATCTTTATGCCTCTCACATCTAGTCTGTGGTACATCCTGTTAATTTTAATCATTGAAATATATTTCTTGCCATTTCCTCTGGTACTAACCTTCTCTAAGTAAGACTGATTATCCTTTGTTTGGATTATAGCAATGACCTCTTAGCTAATCATCCTTTTTAAGTTTTCCATTCCATCTCACACTTTTAGTCTATCCTAAACACAGCTACCAGAGTGATTCTTTAAAAAAAAGTGTTGATTATTCGTTCCTTTGCTCAAAATCCTCTATTGACTTTCTATTTAACTTAGAGCAAAGCCAAAGTCCTACAGGCTATAAGTAATCTGACCTGTAATTCCTCTAACCGTATTTTCTTTTTGTGTGTTTTACTTCACTCACAAATCTTCCTTTACTGTGCTGGGCACCATTTTTCCCCGCCCCCAAATTGTGACCTCCACCTGGAGGAATATTCCTTGAATACCTGAATAACTTGCTCTCTTACTTCTTTCAGATTTTACTAAAATCTTAGCTTCTCAATGATGCTTTCACTGACCATGATATTTAAATTGCAACCTCTCAAAACCCTTTATCCTCCTTTTCTGATTTATTTTTATTCACAGCAGTTATAACCATATAAATTCTATATATTATTGCCAGTTTTTACTGCCTGTCTCCTCACACTAGAATGTAACTCCCAGCAGGTATTTTTGTCTTTTTGTTCATTAGTATTTTCCTGGTGCCTAGAACAGTGCCTGCTGCATACTAGTGCTCAAGAAATATTTGTTTAATAAATGATGGATATATTTTTTACATACTTGTTTATATGCATATATAATTAAAGTCTTCAATAAGTAGAGGGAAAAGTTATAGATCTTACTTTAGTCCACTGAGAGAAGCTAGGTAAAAAAGAAATCACAGAGATTCAGTGAGATATAATTATTTTTGTTTTAAAAAATGAAATATTATGTTTTATTATATATTTTTATGTATTTTATATATATACACACAACTTATTCAGTTCTGCATAGAATTTTTCTACTACTCTCCTAACTTGACTCATTTTTGTTTGTTTGTTTATCACTGTGACTAGAAGGCAAGTTCTGTAACCACATCATGTGACATCTTGACTCTAATAGTTATTTTCAGCTCTAAAAGTTTGCATGGGTCAGTAGCAGTTCTCTGGTACTGGCCACTCACAGGTTCCCAAGCTGAAGAGGAGGAATCTTCTGATTCTGCTACCATTCAGCCTATGGAATATGAGTGAAAGAGTAAGAAGGAGGTAGAGAGTACCTGATGTTACATCACAACCCTCTTTTCCATGACTGAGTTTTCCCAAATTGTGCAAATACCCTAATTTCCAGGCATGTCTAATTATCCTTTCCAAAACATGAAAATGACAATAAGAAAAAAAACTTAGAAGAATACATGCATGACCCATGTATCTTTGGTAACCTCTTGTCGTATATCTTTGTTAGCATATGTCTATATATATTTGCGTGTATGGATGTGTATCTCTGGGCACGTGCCTAGTTTTAAAATATATTTGAAGCTGCTCAAGAGAAGGAAACTATTCCTGAGAAATCCCCAATATTTTGTCATGGAAGCTGAGCATTTGACTTTACTCATGACTTCCTTGGCCAGAAGTAAATGGCATAGAGCTCTTGTGAAAGTGAGTAAAAGCGAAAGCCTTTTTGTTCCTGGAATCCAGTGGGAGTCTTAACTTGATATTCATGGATAGTTTCCTTTAGCAAACCTATATTCTATTTAAGGTGTGTGAGTTAGCCTGAGTTTATTCTGTTATCATTCAGTGAGCCTCTCCTCTGACAAATGATTATTCCTGGATCTGGTCACTGAATGGTTTAGTGAGTAGACCTCATACTGTCTTCTGGAAACTCTAGAGAGAGGCAATAAATGACCATAGCAAGTTCTCTTTTTTCCTGTGGAATATATATAGGTTGGTCATGTGAAGGTGAATCAAACGATTTGAACTTGATCTTTTCCTATCATGATTTTGTGACCTCAGGCTGCTTACCACATGAGTGGTACTCATTTGCTTTTTCATTGTGTGGGTTCTTTGTATTGTTTGCAGTGTTAAGTTCTTTGATATTATGTACCTTCGGATTTATTGATAGTATTTTATTAACTTGCAGTTCAATATGAACTTGTTAATATCCAGGTTTAGTTATTACTTTTGTAAGTTACACTTGCATTTAGTTGTGAATGATATGTTTGTTGCTTATACCGACAGAAATGGACAATAGAACTTTGCTATTAGTACCAGGTAGTTCTGTAGAGATTAAACTGAAGGCTGTGTAAAATCAAGATAATTCATTGAGACTGACTAAGTCCATATAAACTTGTAGTTTACTAACAAATAACTTACACATATTTAATTAGTAATTTTTGTATTCAGAATTTTTGTATTCAACAATTATTTACTGGTTCCCATGATCTTTTGGGAATTGCTCTAGACACTGGGAATATAGCAGAGAAGAAAACAAATCAAGTCCCTGACTTCATGAAACTTATATTCTAGTGGTGATGGTGGTGAAGACAATAAGCACATCAATAAATGATATAATGCCTGATAATATGAGCCATGAGAGAGAGAAAAGAAGTAGAGGACAATGTTGGAGAATAAGGAAGGGAAATCAGGAAAAGCCTCTTAGAAGACCTGACATTTTAACAGAGACCTGAGAAAAGTCATAATGCAAGTTATAACAATATCTCAGGGAAGTGCATCTGGACAAAAAGAACAGCAAGGGCCGGGCGCAGTGGCTCATTCCTGTAATCCCAGCACTTTGGGAGGCCAAGGTGGGTGGATCACCTGAGGTCAGGAGTTTGACACCAGCCTGGCCAACATGCTGAAACCCCATCTCTACTAAAATACAAAAAAACTAGCCAGGCGTGGTGTCGGGTGCCTGTAATCCCAAATCCCAGCTACTTGGGAGGCTGAGGCAGGAGAATCACTTGAACCTGGGAGGTGGAGGTTGCAGTGAGCCGAGACCACACCATTGAACTCCAGCCTGGGCAACAGGAACGAAACTCTGTCTCAAAAAAAAAAAAAAAAAAAGACAGCAAATCTAAAGGCTCTGTGGCAGTAGTGTAATGGGTGGTGACAAAAAGATTGATAGGGTTAAAGGTATCAGCTGTTACTAGGCCAGATAAAGGAGGATCTCATAGACCAACCTAATGAGCTTGGGTTTTATTTTGAGTGAGATAGGAAACCAGTAGATGTTTCCAAGAAGGAAAATGATAGAATTTTGTTTATATTTTCAAAAGAATTCCTGTTTTCTTTGGAGAATAGATTAATGGGAGAACAGGGTAGAAAAATGGAAGCAGAGAAACCAGATAGGAGACTATTGCAGGAATCCAGGGGAAAACTGATGGCACTTGGTCTAGGATTCAGATACAGTAAAATTCGGATATAGAGTGGCCAGGGCTTGCTGAAGGAGATGATGTAGGTTGAGAGAGAAAGAGGGGGAGCCAAGGATGCCTTTAGGCTTTTGGGTAGAGCAACAGATGAATAATGGTGGCATTAAGTAACAAGGTGAAGACTGTGGGAGGAAGCATAGGTTTGGATGGGTGGGTGGGAATCAAGAGGTCATTTTGAGAAATGTTAAATTTGCAAAGCCCTCTAAAGATCCGAGGGGAGATATTGAAAAGATAGTTGGATACAGGAGTCTGGATTTTAGGAGAGAGGGGAAGGCCGGGATATAAACTTGGAGGACATCAGCACATAAATAGGACTTGGTGGGAACACCTATGAAGAAGGAGCAATATTGAAAGGTTGGGAAGAAGGGGAGGATCCAACAAAAAGGAGGGGAAAGGAAGAGGGA
The DNA here is from genome assembly GCF_000001405.40 of Homo sapiens. NCBI lineage: Eukaryota > Metazoa > Chordata > Mammalia > Primates > Hominidae > Homo > Homo sapiens. Next base: position 192,525,426 of record NC_000001.11, on the reverse strand, counting down.
GAAGACCTAGAGAGTGAGATCTCTTGGAACCAACTGAAGAAAGTACATATTTTCATAAGGAGGGGGCCTATGTGTTAAATGCAGCTGATAGATTAAGAAAAAGAATGACAATTAATCACTGCAATTTGAAGCATGAAGGTCCTTGGACAATCATTAGCAAGGTGTGGAAACATATTTCAGTCTCTAGAAGATTCTTTTTTTTTTTCACCTCAGATCTCTATTGTCTGGTAATACTTTTCTGTCTTTCTTAGTAGTCAAAATTCTGTGGTCATCTAATTTGCAGTAATTAACTCTTTGTAGAAAGCCTTTTGTTTTCCTTTATAAGCTATATGGAAGGGCCTTTCCTTCTTGGTCGTTACTTAAAATTTAGAATTTAGACTGTTCATCTGTTATTGTACTTTCAAACATATTTTACTGCTCACTCTCTCTGACTTGTGTGTTAGAAATTTTAAGGCAGCTTTTGAAAATAAAATTCAATTTATCTTTTCCTAGGAATGTCCTAATAATGTCCTACTTCACATGTTCTTATTAAACCCACTTGCCAATGTTGCTCCAACTATGTGCTTATTTTCTGGGATCTTAATGTTTCAGAAGTAATGATTTCTCTAGTAGGGAGAGATTGGGCTCTATGTCTATCAAAAGTGTTCCAGGTAAATTTGTGATGAAAATAATATTTCCTAGGGAAGATTTATTTATCCTCCTCTTCCTTCTCAGTATTTCTGTTAGATGTTTGCCTATATAGTCATTGGTTATTCGGTGGGAAAAATTAACTTTACAGTTCTTTAAATGTTGAAGAGGAAAACATCTTTAGAAAGGGCAGAAGGTCAATGAGGTTGTGTTAGGGGAAACCACACGTTTTACCAACACCTTCTCACTAGCTGCCTGGAACATAGAAAAAGGAGGAATTGGGAAAATTCTGTTTTAGTTGGCAGTTGGTAGAACTTTAAATGTGGATTTTGGAATTTGTAGTTCATATTGTGTTTCTGTCTGGGAACTGGGAGGGCACTGAAGGCAGAACAAACTATCCATTTATTTGGCAGGAATTTTTGAGACATGAGAAGTCTTTTCAGGATATGATAAAAATAGCCACTGCTGTGAGCATGAGTTCTACCAGAAGTGCCAGTGCCAGAGCATACTGGCCATTCTGATTTCATCAGCTCAGGTGGCATTTTGAGGACTTACTCTGTATCCAGCACTGTACAAGGCCCTCTTTATAAATATTGTCATATAATATTCCCAACAAGCCCATTAAATAGATATTACTAATTACATTAAATAGAAGAAAACTGGAAAACCAATAGTGTTTATGTAATTTTATTAAATGCCCATAGGAAGTAAATGATGAAGCCAAAACCTTCCGAATTCAAAGCCCATGTTCCTTGCACCCTAACATGCTGACAATTTAAGTGATAGACACATACACAGCTAAGCAGTATACAGTATGATAAACATGGTTCATTGTTGTGAACTAGTGGCAGGAACAAGTAATTATCCATTGAAAACGCCAAAAACAGTCACAGATGTCTATTTTCTGCTGTGCCTTAACACATAAGGATGAGAGATAGTGACATTCCCGACTTTTGGAGAAACACAAGAAAAGGCATAGAATTATCAGTGATGACTTTTGTGATCTTATGCAAAAGATCTCAGTGGCTAATAAATCAGTTGTTGAAAAGTTTTCCAAAGTAGAATTTCAGGTCACTTTGTGTTTAAATATTCATTCATGCTCTTTCAAATTGGGCATAGGCTGGTGGTGATGGGAGGTTGTGGTGGCATACATACCCAGAAGCTTACATGAACAATTATGTAACAATCATTTTCCCCTTTTCATCACCTACATAACTGCCTTAGATGCTTTTTACAAAGCATATTCCAGAGCCCCTCCCAAGATATTGTGATTTAATAATTATGGGGCAGAGCCTCATAATCATGTAAGGCATGTTGGGGATATGTGTTAGGAAAGCTCCTCAAAATTCTGTGCTATCAAGTCACTTAGAGGAGCAAGAATCGAAATATAGAGAAAAAGAGGGAAGGCAGTGGGGCAGGTTATTCCCTCTTCAATCCTACACTTGCTTCTGAGCATCTCTTTTGTCAATATTTGTTGCCCTTAGAATATAACATCAGAAAGTAATATTATTTGGAAGGCCTGAAGTCAAGTCCGGCAAAATTAAGCAACACAACAATGAGTTAAGTGCATGCAGGTTGGGAAATCATAAAATTCAGTCCAGACCAAGTCCCATAAACCCTAGAGATTAAAACATGAAAGAAGGATTAGGCATCCAGGTAAAAAATCCTGCTTAGCAAAGTACCTGACTCTAGGCAGCAATTTGGGAAACAGGGATGGATAATGACAGTTAAGTTTGTATGTTGTTTTATCCTAAACCAAAGTCTTTTTGGTGCAGGTTGGAGCCTATATCCTTTCCAAGGCTGTAACTGTCACAGGGGTGGGCAATTCTGATTTCATAATTGAAGGCTTTTTTTACGTTTGGCTGGAGTGGGAGAACGAGGCCTGAAAAAACGGGTTGAATTCCTAGATTATGAATTTGTAGTGACTCAGATCACCTCTCCTGAATCGGTTTTCACATGGGGAGAGGGTTGAAGATACAGTCCTGGCATTCCTGTGCTCTATCCATATGTGTTTTGCACTATCCTTTACATTTCCTAGGATAGTAGTTGAAGAAGTTGGACAGGACTCTGCTGCACAAAGATTTCCGCAATCATGACTAGAACTTCTAAAATGTCACTTGGTCTTTCAGCAAAGTATCCCAGCTAATGCTTCTTCATGCATTTCATAGAATTCACAGGGTTCTGGCCTCATTTTTGCCTTATAGTGTGTACCCTAGGAGGACATCTAGTTGCTGCAGCTAGAAGCTGCTATTTTCATTGATCTCTCATGCCTGGACTACTAAGCCATTTATGGGTTCCATTTGTCTGGGCATGTATCCTGACAAGTTACTGTGTTAATTATAATTTCAAGTGTATATGTCTTATCACCTATCAGCTATATTTTGAGTACCTTGTGGTCAGAATACATGAGTGTCTCTTTTGATATTGTATGTAACACCTAGTTTAGTGCCTAATCCAGCATTTTTCCCATTTTATCGCCTACCATAATTGCCTGAGATGCTTGTTACAAAGCATATTCCAGAGCCCCTCCCAAGATATTGTGATTTAGGAATTATAGGGTGGAGCCTCATAATATTTTTTTAAATCAATTATCTCTATGGATCATTACTATACTTCGAAAAATACTAGAGTCAGTCGTAAGAGTTCAAAAAACACATATTGACTGATTATTGATGTTCAGGGAATAAGTGAAGAACAAAGAAAATTAGGAAGTGTGACTTTTTGTTTTCTGTAATAACTACTGGCTCTCTTGGTTGTGCACACTGTTGAATATTTCTTCTTAAATGGCTGAGTTCAAAATGTTCCTTAGTGTGAAGTCACTCATTCACACATTTAACCCATCTCTCCACCCCACCCCCATGCTTGATTCACTCTTTCCTGTCCTTCCAATTTTGGCATAAATGTCACTTCCTCAGAGACTCTGCTGAACTTCTCTAAGCCTGTTAAGTGGACCCTCCCTTAACTCAGCTTTTATTCTGTCGTAGCACCTATTACAGTTGTAAATTTTGTGAATACACATATACAAATACATACACACACAATTTCAGTTATTGTCTGTATGCTTTTTCCATGTAGGCAGGAACTCTGTCTATTTCATCACCAATGCACATTTGGTGTCTGATATTCCTAGTATTTTATTAGTTTTAGCAAATGTTTAATAAAGGAAGGGATGATACACTTGGAAACCCGTATGTTCATGTGGATAGAACTTTAAAATTGATTCTGAAAAAACAACAAAACCTTTGAAAATTCATGCTGCTTTATAGTTTATTCTGGTGTATGCTATTTTATTTGGTTAGTGTACTGGTGAGGTAGATAACATTATCTTTAAGGTGCAGATGAAAGTGCTGAGATTTAGAAAACTAAGTGTCTATCTCCAGGTGTCCTAGGTAATAAATGGCAGTGCCCACACATCTTCTCATGGTGAGTGTTGTGTGTGTTCTTCTGTATTACATTAGATAGGCAAGGTAATCAAACCCAAACTATAGCAAGATTGTGTTTCTGCAATAAGGAAAGGATCTCATAATTATTATTTCACAAATGCACAGTTTTGGAACTATGTCTTGGGAAAATTATATATTTATATACATATTTATATATATATATAGTCTGTATATATAGACATAGTTTTATATGTATATATAGCCTATATATATAGACATAGTTAACTGTATATATATGTATATACACAGTTTGAATATCCCTTATCCTAAACGTTTGGGGCCAGGAGTGTTTTGAATTGCAGATTTCTTCTGATTTTGGAATATTTGCATACAGATAATGAGGTATCTTGGAGATGGGACCCAAGTCTAAATACGAAATTTATTATGTTTCATATATATCATATACACATAGCCTGAAGATAATTTTATACAATACTTTAAGTAATTTTGTGCATAAAACAAAGTTTTGATATTACCCTTGTGGTTGCGCTTGTGTGGGGGAAACTGGGCATGTGTGAAAAAGATGTATTTAAAGAAAGAGGGCAGAGTGGGTGTCTTTTTTTCCTTGGGGAAACTGAATAAACTGTGTTGGGCCCTTGTGTTTTCACACTGACCTGTTAAATGAGCTCAGGGGTGAAATTTTCCACTTGCGGCATCATGCAGGTGCTCAAGAAGTCTTGGGTTTTGAAACATTTTGGATTTTGGAATTTTGGATTAGTGATGCTCAACCTGCACTTCAAAGTGTATTTCTGTTGACAGTAGGCTTCACTGCAGACCCTCAGACAGCAGCAGTTGGGGAAGATTCTTTTGAGGGAGAAACAGCATCCCTTCTCCCATATACTCAGGATTATGTGGACAAGAGTTTAATCTTGGGGTTGAAAAGTATGACAATACTTGAAGAGAATTAATATTCCTTTTGGCATGCAGGCTCACAGAAGTACTTCTCATTGGTTCTTCCCTAAGACTGTTAACTAGGTCTATACTTTCAGCGGTGACGTGGGTTTTCTCATATTCATCTCTGGCGTGTGTGGACAAAAACACCAATGTATTCCCCACAGCTGACAGAACACTACGCAGACAGAATTGCGACTTGTTTGTCACAATATTCTACGCATATAATACATGCATATGATCAGTTTTGAAACCTAGAATAGTTTTATACATTGTTTATGATGGCCTCTTAGAGAACTAAGGTTTCTAATTATGATAATGTTTGTATATTTTTATGGCCTTAAATAAGAATCCTTCTTTAAAATGAAAACACAAAACAAAGCCTGTGTTAGTCTTTCTGTTTAGAATTTTGTTTTGTGAATTTTACTTTTTGGAAAGTTTTTCGTTTGGCCATGGGTGTGAGAAAATGGGTAGGTATATTTTAGAGTATTTTGATTTACTAAAGTAGCCTACTTTTTTTAAAAAAAAAAAAAGGTGGCAAATTAATTCTGTAAAGCAAGTTACCTTATTACTTATGGATTTCACTTCTCTTCAAATGGTTCAGTGTTACAGAACTTTACAGCCTAATAAAGGTACTGTGGGTCATGTGGTAAAATCATGTAATTTGGGGCTGGGTGCTGTGGCTCATGCCTGTAATCCCAGCGCTTTGGGAGGCAGGCAGATTGCTTGAGCCCAGAACTTTGAGACCAGCCTGGGCAACAGAGCAAGACCCCATCTCTATAAAAAATAAAAAATAAAAAAAATGTAATTTAATGTTGAACCCAAGAAAGATGATTCTGCTGCCTTCCTGCATTTTTAGCAGATAAGAGTAAGAACCCCAAAGACAACTTAATAAATTCAGGACCAGGCCAGAGATGTCAAACCACTCCCAAATTGGACCTTAAGCTTGGATGATCCTATGGAATATAGTTGCACAAATATAAACTCTAGTGTGTGGCCTACTCTAGTTTCTGATAGGATATGCAGCAACCATTTCAGAGCTATTAAATAGATTGTATTAAACTAATTGTTAAAAGGGGAAGTTTGATTTGTCGTAATCATATTCAGGTTAAGAGGAGGGCTGGTCAACCAGATATCTGGGCTATTTATTTATGTGACCTTATAATATCTATATACTAAATCTATATAATCTATATAATAAATCTATATAATAAATTTATATACTATAATGAATATATCATATAAATATATAATATCTATATAATCAATGAAGTGCCAGGTCACTCAGTTCTCCAACTATACCTTTTTCAAACTTGGCAAAATGAATCTTGGTCTTACTCTAGCCAAAGGAAGCAATGCCCAAGGCTGAAAATACATACATAGTAAAATATATAAAATAAATACCTAATATAAACATGTAATGAAAAATGAAAAGTACATAATGAAATCAAATACATTCTCACTGACATTGACCCATCTTGGCTTAGTATTTGGGGAACATACATGGAAGCTCTATGGTGCATAAAGGCCACACCACTAACTTGAAACTAGTCAGCTGAGAGTCATTCTCAGCTTGTGAGGTGGTGGGTGGTTAAGTAAGTACACTGAAACTCTGAAAATGAATAATGCATGACATAGCACTATTTACTGAATATAAATATTATTTATATTCTCAAATCTATGACAAGTAGCCAAATGTTACAAGAAATCACAGAGGAAAATAGAAGGAAAATATGAATTTTGAAAAGTAGGAAACAACCTGAAAACCAGAAAATTCCAAAAGAGTGAAAATGCTATATACTATTCATGCTAGGGATCGTACACTTGGAAATCCATATGTTCATATATTCATATTGATAGAATTTTATAATTGATTCTGAAAAAACGACAAAGCCTTTGAAAATTCAAGCAAAAACTTCTACGCAAGGCTAAGTCAACACAATAAATCTGTTTTTAATATAAAGTGGAATATAATCTACACTAATAGAAAGTTAGTTTCTCCCAGGCTGGACGTGGTGGCTCACGCCTGTAATCTCAGAACTTTGGGGGGCCGAGGCAGGCAGATCACAAGGTCAAGAGTTCAAGACCAGCCTGGCCAATATGGTGAAACTCTGTCTCTACTAAAAATACAAAAATTAGCTGGGCGTGGTGGCACGCACCTGTAGTCCCAGCTACTAGGGAGGCTGAGGCAGAAGAATCACTTGAACCTGGGAGGCAGAGGTTGCAGTGAGCTGAGATTGCTCCACTGCACTCCAGCCTGGGTGACAGAGCGACACTCTGTCTCCAAAAATAAAATAAAATAAAATAAAATAAAATAAAATAAAATAAAATAAAATAAAATAAAGCTAGTTTCTTCTAATCCTTCTAAAGAAATATTGAACATTCTATTTAAAGAATATATATATTTGAAGAAATGTCAAGTTGTTAGCCTGATGAAGTTCTTACATCTCTCTCAACATACCTAGTTCTAACTATGACTCCTTGCCTTTTTCCTTCATGCAGCCTCCAGGTTCATCACATGACTCAGCTAAGAGAAAATATCCAGTGGCTCATCGTTACCTGTGGGAGGAGGTCTGAACTCCATGGCTTTGCATTCATGTTCTTGTTTGTCTCACTTCAACCTTCATTCCCTCCAAGTCCTCGTTGTCCTCCCAGGGTTCCTCTGCTACAGCCGGGGGAGTCTGATCCCTGCTTCCTAAATTTCTCTGAAGCTTATCTACACCTATGTTTTTGCTCCACTCTTCTTTCTCCTTTATACACCAATTATTCTCCTGTTTTATCCAAATTATTCCCTTCTGCAAGACTCACATCAAGTACGATTTCTTTCTAGATGGCTCTAACTCAGTTATTGTTATCTAATTGCACACATATCTCTGATTATTGGCATTAGTCATTTGGAAATTTATTGTATGCTGCTTTGTTTTATTATTTCTCTTTTTCACCTGCCTTGTGCTTACTTCCCCAATTGGACTACAGATTCTTTAAGGATTAGAAGGCTAATATACCTACTTTTTGTCTCTATAGCATCTAAAACAGTAATCTGCAGATATTAGGTATTCAGAATATAATTCAATCTAGAATCATTTGGGAAGTTTAATTTTTAAAGAACTCTGAATCATTTTTCTCAAAACTGTCATATAATGCTAAATTTTCATTTCAGGTTCTGAGAGATTCTTTTCTTTTAAGCCCAGCATTTATGACTTTCAAATTTTAATAAATAGAACGCCCAAAGTTAGTCAACAGAAACGTCCTAAGTTAACGTGGGTGACCTAAGTTCCTTTGCTGTATTTTGTACACGTTTTATATATTGCATCAAGAAAAGCAAATGATTGCTGAAATGAGTAATAAGGAGCTTCACTGGCTAGTCAATCTTATTCCGGAAGCAAAAACTTCCACGCAAGGCTCATTTACATGTGCACACTGCAAAAGGAAGTTTTGGGCAAAATGTCTGCAGACTCTGTTCAACATGCGTGTCCCACTTAACCACATGATCCTTATAAAACCACCTATATCCGTTCTCATACACAGTGTCTAGCCGTTGTGTTAATCACTACTGACAGCTGCACTTTTTTTTTTTTAAGCTTCTGAGCTCTTTTGTGGCAATGTGGCGGGTTGTAAGTAAAGCAAATGCCACTTTAAAGCTAATCATGCTCGGTATAACTTTTACATACCATCATAAAGAGTTATTTGCTTACATATTCAGCTCTTGCTCTACACTAGGAGTTCTTCGAAGGCAGGGACTATTTGTTATTTATTTCTTCATCATCTCCAGCACAGGGCCTGACAGGTGCTTAGTGACTGTTTATTGAATGAGTGTTTGCAGAAAAAATAAATCAAGAGATGGAGAAATAAAGAAATCTGAGAGGTGGAGAAATTAATAGTAGTCCCACAACCAATGAATTAATTGATAAATGTTTACTAATCTCCTACTTTTGAGCCCTGAACTTCAAAGAGAGTGAAGGGAAATATGATAGAACAGACTCATTCAGGATCACTTTTTACTCAATTTAAAATGCAGGCAAGTGAAAACAGAAACTGGGAGGAAAAAGAGTTCTCCTCTATTCTCCCCTAATTCCTTTATTGAGAGGAGAACTTGCATGGATGTTCTTGGATTATCCAAAGCTTGTTTCCTCCATTCTAGACATTATCATGAAAGGCACGAACTGGTGGTTTATTTTGCCTTCTTAATGTTAAAAAAAATAGAAAATTTTACACTGATACTCAGATTTACACTGATACTCTGTTCTTGAAAAATATCTAGCAACCGTAGGTCAAAATTTCTGCATAGCAATAATTTTTTGAAACTAAACAGTGGCTGCAACCTTTAAACAGGGTACATGGGTAGTATCTCCAGGTTGCCATTGTGTCCATTTTTGAGGCACATGGAACTTTACAAGCGCTATCTGTAGTAAAAACCTGGGTGCTGAAAAATTCTTGATTGAGTTTAGAATGGAAGGGATTCTGGAGGGTGGGTGAAACATGAACTAACTTAATTTAGCTATACACATTATCTAGATAGAGTGAAAAATACATTGAACTTGGGATCATTTTTTAGTATATTTGCCACTGCTTAGCTGTGTTTATATCTTTAAACACTTGGACCTTATTCTCTTCATTTTTTAAAAAAGGCCACTACAGCCGCTTTCAGCTTTACCATTTTCGATTTTATTTTTTAGTTACCTATCCAACATAAGTGGATTATAAGACAGGAGAGAAACCTATAGGGAAAAAGGAAGGAGAAGAAGAAGGAGCACGTAGAAGAAGTAAACTGATGTTAATTTAGTCCCTACTTCATAGCTACTCTTTTACATTGTCTCTTGTAACCATCACCAACCCATCATGAGATAGTTATTATCCCTGGTTTATAAATGAAAAACAAGGATTTGGAGTTTCAGAACACACTGTAGAGGCAGAATGTGTGTCCTGGCTTCTTTGGCCCTAAACAGCGGATACTTTCAACAGGACTTGTTGATTTTAGTGCCTTTCCTTTCATAGAAAATTAGATTCGTGGGCCAAGTATGGTGGCTCATACCCGTAATCCCAGCACTTTGGGAAGCTGAGGTAGGTGGATCGCTTGACCTTAGGAGTTTGAGACCAGCCTGCGCAGCATGGCAAAACCTTGTCTCTACAAAAAATGCAAAACTTAGCTGGGCATCGTGGTGCACAGGCCTGAAGTCCCAGCCACTAGGGAGACTGAGATGGGAGGATTGCTTGGGCCCAGGAGGTTGAGGCTGTAGTGAACCATGATTGCACCACTGCACTCCAGGCTGGGGGACAGAGCAAGACCCTGTCTTAAAAAAAAAAATTGGATTGGCTATACGATAGCTTCACGTCAACTCTGAATCATGGGGTTAGATTTAGAATGCTATAAAAAATTAAACAATATAATAAATATAAAGCATCTGGCATGAAACCAAGTATATAACGGATGCTTAATAAATATAAATCTTACTCCTTGTTGGTTGCCTTAGAAATCATTGCACTGGCCGGGTGCAGTGGTTCACGCCTGTAATCCCAGCACTTTGGGAGGTTGAAGCAGGTGGATCACCTGAGGTCAGGAGTTCGAGACCAGCCTGGCCAACATGGTGAAACCCCATCTCTACTAAAAATACAAAAATTAGCCAGGTGCAGTGGTGCACACCTGTAATCCCAGCTACTTGGGAGGCTGAGGTGGGAGAATCACTTGAACCTGGGAGGCAGAGGTTGCAGTGAGCTGAGATAGTGCCATGCACTCCAGCATGAGTGACAGAGTGAGACTCTGTCTCAAAAAAAAAATTGCATTTGTATATTTGATGAATTCATAACCTTAGACATTTAGTGGTTGAAAGAGTTAATAGCAATAAAATATGAACTATTTACAGTGGCAAATATATATCTATATCTAGTGGTATGTATCTGTCTATGTATGTACCTATAGATATATATATCTTTGAGTTTTAAGACTTGACCATAGCCTATTTAATTCAAATAATATAGGAGATATTTCACAATCACTGACTGGAATCTTCCTAGCATAGTATATGTATCAGCAGAAATCACTATAACAAAGAGAATCTAATGTAAATCTTGGCATACTGGTTACTAAATGTAGTTTTATAAAGGGCAATCTAATAAATGTCTTTGGTTTCCAAGGTGCTAACAACAGATTGGAATAATAAACCCTTCTGTTCTCGGAAACCAGAAATGTCTTTAGGAATCCTGGCAAAGGAAAAAAAAAATCTCTGTAATCTGATCAAGCCCAAACATTTGCAAAAGAAAATTAACTTACATAACACTGGCCCAGATCTTATTATTTAGAACCATTTTTGAGATCATGAGGCATATATTTTGCTTTACACTCATAAACATGTAGCCAAAGTGAATTAATTATGAATAATTTAAAAATGATCAAAGTTTGTTGGTTAATAATGATGAATCAACTTGAGTTGATGGTGGGTTCTGGGATGAAATGAAAGGGAAAGGACCAGGTAGAGATGAGGAGTACTTTGACTGATTTGATTACACACTCAATGGTGTGTAATCCTACTTCCATACTGAGAAGGCCTGTGCCGGCCCAAAGAGCCAAGCTTCCTGCCTACCAGTGGAAGTCAGGAAAGCAGTGGTATGCTGAAGAGCAGCCAACAGCTTACCTTATAGTACAAGCATCCTGTGTAGGGTAAATTAAAAAACAAGAGATGTCTTGTTTGTTTTTTTTTGTTTTGTTTTGTTTTTGCCTGGTTCTATTTTATTTTTGGTCCAAATCACACTAAGAAGGAGTCTTAAGATTTTGAAGGGATAAACATCAGGAAAATTGATTCTTTTCTGTAACTTTAAATTATTTAAAGTTAGACAGCATCTTTCTGACAATACTTTATTTATGTATCTGTATCAACGCTTAGGGAGAAATGAATGTGGTTTTATTTTTGTATTTCATTTAACTTGAAACTAAAATGAAGCTAGCTATTTTCTCCCTCCTGCCCTTCCTTCCTTCTTTCCTTCTTTCCTTCTTTCCTTCTTTCCTTCCTTCCTTCCTTCCTTCCTTCCTTCCTTCCTTCCTTCCTTCCTTCCTTCCCACTGAAGCCCCATCATTAATGCAAATCCACCCTCTCCTCTCCCCTACTTCTCTACATCCACACAGCTGTCTTTTCCCTGCTTTGAAAATATGTACATTAGCTGAACTAGAGAGCTAAGGTATTTCACTATTCAAAGAAGAGTATTTCTTACATATATCCATATCACAAGGCTTTTAAACTATTTTTGACTCCTATAATTTCTATAACTCTTTACAAGTCTGATGTAGACACCAATTGGAGAACTTGAGAATTAAGTTTAATGTAAAGGATATCAAAGAGATAAAAGATAATAGAATTTCAACAGTGAAGTGTCAGATTCATTCTTGTGTGACAGTGTGTGATTGCTGTCATTTCTGCCACCCACAAGTATTATAAGTGAGATAGAGAAAAAAGGGCAGTCCCTTCTCAAGTTTAGATAAGGAAGTTGATCCTGACCTAAGACAGCACATTGATGAATGCTGTTTACAGTGAATGCTAATGGCTTTTTGTGGACTAACCATTAGGAAGTACAGTTGTTCCCCTTATCTCCTCCATTCTTGTTATTCAAACAAAGCATAAATTGAGAAAGTAGGAATGTAAAAGGTGGAAGATTAATGTTCTTTACTTTGCAAAAGACAAGATTTTACTTAAAGTACTAGGTTACAGATGAGTAATGTGGGATAAGGGAGAAGCCCTGACAGGACTAAGGGGCTATTGAACTCCCTCTGTGGCAAATGACCTCCAGGCCAGCAGTGCTTCCTCTGAGTACTATGATCATTCTTCTGTAGCTTCGGAAATGAGGAAAGCCCCAGCTGTGGGAAGTGGTTTCTCTTCCTTTTCCCTGTGGGTGGTTCTGGGGTGGGATCAGCTGGAAATCCAGGGTTAGAGTCACTTGAGCTGTGCACTTCCCCAAATGTGTATTTCCTCCATGTATAACACCATGGATGGGGTGGAGGAGAAGTTATTTCCTACGTTAGTTCTAGGGTTTAAGAAAGAGGTTCAGAAATAATATTCACAAATTAGAGATGGAGGAAGGGAACACAGATCTGTTGAGTACTTCATTTGTGCCAAATACTATGCTATTATTATAGTGTCTTATTTATTTATCAGATAAGAAATCTGAGAAATGAGATAAGGAAACTGAGGCATGGAGAGTTTATGAAACATGTCTGAGATTGCACAGCAGAATTGGATTTTGAACTAATACCTATTAGTTCCTCAGGCTTGAGCTCTCTCCACGTCATTACTCTGAACAACAGGAGGCAGAAAAAGCTGAAAAACAAAGCCATTATAGATGATCATCTGTCTGGGTTAAAAGATTAGGCAACAAACAAATAAATCTTGTTTATATTGTTTCACTTTGTATAATAGTTTTCTTAGAAACAAGGAGCAAGGCCTTCTCAATCAGGCTGCTTCTGTCTTTTGCTTTTTGGATTCATTCATAAAGAGTATCTAGGAATATTAAAAAAGTTCTGGAATAATACAGCTATTCTAGGCATAGTTTTGCTACCTAAGGCTGTGAGGTGACTTCCAGTGTGGAAAAATGCCTGAGGCGATTTTACACACACACACACACACACACACACACGTGCACACACACACAAATTATATATAAATTATTTAGTAACCCATAGTCTGGTCCAGGAACCACACTTGGAATATCACTGGCCAAGAAATTCAGCAGGACAATGGAAGAATCTAGACCAATTCTAAACATTTTATTTTTTGATATTCAGTCTTTAATAGATACAGGGATAAGGCTAGAATTTATTCTTTTTCTTTGATAATTTTTAAGTTTCAGTTAAATTCAGTTCAACACAGGGAGTATTTCCGTGCATCTTCTTTGTTCCAAACATAGCGCCACACACTCAGTGAAATTTAATCTTAATGCCTTGAAAGAAATAGATGCTAAAGGCTCTTATATTTTTCTAAACTGTAACTTTAAAACAAATCAGCAAACACATCTTAATCATAATATAAAAGGAAGAAAACATTAAATATAATCTAATACAACTTTATTTATGGATGAAGAAACTTCTCAAATAAATAACCTGCCCAAATTCACACAACTAATTGTGGACATGGCATGGATTGTAATTCAATATTTTTAGTAAACAACTCAGAACCAAATTCTCTCCTGGATTTTGAAAAAAAAACTCTGGGAAATATGCTGACATGTACCTTTCAATCCCTACTTTTACTAGTTCTTATTACCTCATATATAAATGATCATGTTTCTTTCTTGCTATTCTACTTGCCAGATCTCTACTGCCCCCAGCTCATCTTGTACCTGGGAGCCAGATAATCTTAAATTAATTTTTCTTGGCTGTGTGCCGTGGCTCATGCCTGTAATCCCAGCACTTTGGGAGGCTGAGGCGGGTGGATCACAAGGTCAGGAATTTGAGACCAGCCTGGCCAATATGGTGAAACCCTGTCTCTACTTAAAATACAAAAAAATTAGCCAGGCGTGGTGGCACATGCCTGTAATCCCAGCTACTCAGGAGGCTGAGGCAGGAGAATTGCTTGAACCCGGAGGTGGAGGTTGCAGTCAGCTGAAATGACGCCATTGCACTCTGGCCTGGGCAACAGAGCAAGACTCCGTCTCAAAATAATAATAATAATAATAAATAATAATAATAATAATTTTTCTCCTTCCATGTTCATCTTAGATTCCCAGGCTCTCCTGGATACAATGAAAGCTTTTTTGGCTAGCTCTGGAGGACTTCTAAAATCTGTTTATACTTTTCAGTCTCCACTATTTCTTTTATTGTTCCCCAAAATGAACCTTCTGCTCCAGACCTGCGATTCTCATGCACACACAAAACATTTGAATTCCTAACCTTCACTCACATGGATTCACCCACTGAGAATGTCTTATTTCCCCCTCCACCTATATGGCAAATCAGAATAGCGTGTCAGTGTTGAGCTTGGGCTCTCATGAAAGCCAAATCATGACGAAATTACAGCTATGTCCTTTGAACAACTTATTAACCTTTCCAGACATTCTTTCTTTGATTTCCTCTTATAGCATATAGGAAATGGGACAGTAGCAGCAACTTATCATAGGTTTTTGGTGGAGATTAATTGAGATATCACACGTAAGGCACTATGCCTGGCACCTGGCATGTAATGAACACAATGAATGTCAGCAATTATTATTTTTATTAAAACACTATTAATCAGTCACCTTTCTGTCACATTGTTCAATTTGCTTTTCCCAAATCACTCTTAAATTTGTAATTGTACTCATATCATTTAGCTTCTAACGATTTATTTCTCTCTCTTTTTAAAAAATACATTAAAGTTTCCCAGACTTTTTCTCCTAACTGGGCTGTAAACAATTTGACAGTAGAGTTGAGGATCCAAACACTTCTCACAACATTCACTGCAACCATCCTGGTCCAAGCCCCTATCATCTCTTCACCTAATTGCAATGATAACTTTATAACTATTCTCTCCATTTCACCAGTGACACCAGCCAGAATAATCTCCTACCATAAACAATAATTTCATTTCTCTGGTCACGACCTTCTAATGGCTTCTTACCTTAGTAAGAGTGAAGACAACGTCATTATAAGACGCTGTGCAGCTTCACCCTCCTTGCCTCTGTGTCTTTGTCTCCTATCATCCTCCTCTCACTCATGCCTCCAGGCACACTGCTCACCTGGCTGTTTCTCAAACACAACAGGCCTCACCCCCGTCAGAACTGCTACTGATGTTGTTCTTCTACCTGAAATGCCGTTCCTCCAAATAGTTACATGTCATTGTTCCTCACCTCAACTCTCAGGTCTTTGCTCAAATGATACCTTTTCAGTGGGGCTGTCTCTGGTCATCTAAATTGAAATTACAATTCCCCCCACTAACCCATAATTTCTATCTCTTTTCCCTGCTTGTGCTTGTCCTTAGTAGTTATCAACATGTACCATACTACATATTTTGTATTTATTGCCTGCCACCTTATGATATGTATTTATGAACACATTTTTACTGGTATGACAGATAAAGCAATCAAATATTTAATGAATGTAATACTTCATAAAAATTCTTACCTTAGTAAGAGTGAAGACAACATCATTATAAGATGCTGTGCACCTTTGCCCTCCTTGTCTCTATGACTTTATCTCCTATCACCTATGTCTCCTATCATCAAATACTTGATGTTATGTAATACTTTATAAAAATTCTTCCATAATTGTTAAAGCAAACTAAATATGGCCTGAGAAGGACTCTATACTATATTTGAGTCCTTGTGGAGGAACTGCAGCCTAATCTAGTGGGTAGACAAGATTGAAACCCTAATTTAGGAGTATGGGCCTATTAACAGTGGCTGAGTCTTGGCCAGTCCCAGCAGCCATACTTCAACCAGTCATTCACTGCTGAGTGTTCAAGCTGTATTCAAATAAGGTAAATGCCAACCTGTAATCACTCCAGCTGTTCTGTACCTCACCTCTGATTTCTATACGTCACTTTTCTTTTTTTTTGTCTATAAATCTGTTCTGACCACGAGGCATACCTGGAGTCCTTCTGAATCTGCCATGATTCTGGGAGCTGCCTGATTCACGAATCGTTCATTGTTCAATTAAACTCCTTTAAATTTAATTTGGCTGAAGTTTTTCTTTTAACATTATTAAGCATAGGACTAGAAATGTTGTGGATACTCATCATGGTTGCAGTGTCTCTTTCTATGTGAATTTAGAGGTTTTTTTACTTCTGTAAGCCTGTTTTCACCTGGTCCATTTTAATTTCTTTTTTTTTTTTTTTTTTTTGATGAGTCTCGCTCTCTCACCCAGGCTGGAGTGCAGTGGTGCAACCTCCGCTCACTGCAAGCTCCGCTTCCCGGTTCACGCCATTCTCCTGCCTCAGCCTCCCGAGTAGCTGGGACTACAGGTGCCTGCCACCACGCCCGGCTAATTGTTTGTATTTTTAGTAGAGATGGGGTTTCACCATGTTAGCCAGGATGGTCTCGATCTCCTGACCTCGTGATCCGCCCGCCTCGGTCTCCCAAAAAAGTGCTGGGATTACAGGCATGAGCCATCGTGCCTGGCAAATTTCTTACATACATAGTGGATACTTAACTCTTCTTATATATATTATTATTTCATTTGATATTTAAAACATTCATAGGATGTTATTAGTTGTGCTGTGTAGATGATAAGGAAATGTATCTCAGAGCACTCTTCAATTATTCTATCCTTTAGATTTTAAATAGCCCTTATCGTCCATATTATATTTAAGGCACCTGATTATTTTCCATCTCACGTTGTTCTCTGTTTCAGTCTTCTATGCCATATTTCTTTATAAATATTATTCACTCATTTATGGATAGGTAGCATTCAGGTACTAAGAGAGTATTAGGTGCATAGTAAGGGCTCAATAAATATGTGTTGAGTCAATCATAAAGAGTCATAATATCTTAAATCGAATATACTTTTTATTTTAGTTGGAGCAACAGGTCTGTGATCCTAGGGAGAAAGAGCCACTCACTTATATATTCGTCTCCTACTAAATCCTTTGAAAATAAGTACCACTCAATTTCGTGCATAAGAATATATATGTATCTATATGCAAGAATATCATATATATTTATATTACTGGAATTCACTAAATATAGTGGAATGGCATCCACTGGGTTGAGGATGAAATAGTACATTTAAAAGAAATTCCTGTAATTTTTTCCCCTTGTTTAGAAATTAAAATCAAAGCAGACATTTTAATTAGGGATAATTGAAATATAGAATCAATAAACCATAGAATCAAGCTTTATATTGATTTTTTAAGTCATTCAGAGAGATGGCGTTTATGCCTAAGAATTTTGAGGATAAAACCAGTCTTTTAAAAGATTCCTGATTTTGTGTACTTGCAATTTCTACATTTCTTCTTTATCCTCATCATCTCTTCCCCCTCCTCCTCCTTTGCTTTCTTCATTTTCTTTTTCCTCCTCCTCCACCATCTCCCTGTTGTCCTCTTGCTCCATATATTCCCTTTTTAAATTGTATTTTATAATAATTTTGAGAAAAAATTTCACAATGAATCAAATGCTTCCAGAGAGCTGAAATCAAACTTATGGATTTACTCAATGGTTTTATTCAATGGTATAGAATAGGATAACTCAGTGGAGGGTCGGGGGGAGTGTGGGGAGTGGCTGGGGAAGGGAGCCTGAAGTGAGTTAACTTATTTTCCCCGGGCAAAGCCAAAACAACACACCTAATTTATTCATCAATCCAATTGCCAAATATATATATCTAGGCTGTCTTAGCTTTTTGGGAGACACAGAAAAATATTAAAACATGATCTTAGCCTGTGAGGAATTTATAGTACAGCTGGGAAATGGATATTTAAGTGAGCTAAGTAGTTAACAACACATGATACACATGAATATAATTAATGTGTGACATTTTAACTGTAATCTGTACCAAAATAACGAAGAGATTAATTATAACTTTCACTCCAGTTAAAGTTTCCTGTTGTAAATATTGACTGAGTTACATTGAACCTGATTGGGATGAACTGATCACCAACCTGAAATTGGATGTCTAATAAGAGTAGTCGCACACTGCCTGCATGACCTGAGGGGTCCCCCTAATGGTTAAACAAGTCTCTGAAAGATGGCCAGGAAAAGGAATGTAGACAATGGTTAGAAGGTTAGAGTTAATGTTAAGTCACTCCTAAACATCCACATATGTTTTATTCAGTGTAGCTACATCTACAGTGAATAAAAAACTTAACATTTGAAAAATTTATATTTGAAATATATTTGAAATAAATATATATACATAATTGAAATTTAAGGTAATATGTAATTTTTCATATTGTTTTTTTTTCTTTTTTTTTTTATTATACTTTAAGTTTTAGGGTACATGTGCACATTGTGCAGGTTAGTTACATATGTATACATGCGCCATGCTGGTGCGCTGCACCCACTAACTCGTCATCTAGCATTAGGTATATCTCCCAATGCTACCCCTCCCCCCTCCCCCCACCCCACCACAGTCCCCAGAGTGTGATATTCCCCTTCCTGTGACCATGTGATCTCATTGTTCAATTCCCACCTATGAGTGAGAATATGCGGTGTTTGGTTTTTTGTTCTTGCGATAGTTTACTGAGAATGATGGTTTCCAATTTCATCCATGTCCCTACAAAGGACATGAACTCATCCTTTTTTATGGCTGCATAGTATTCCATGGTGTATATGTGCCACATTTTCTTAATCCAGTCTATCGTTGTTGGACATTTGGGTTGGTTCCAAGTCTTTGCTATTGTGAATAATGCCGCAATAAACATACGTGTGCATGTGTCTTTATAGCAGCATGATTTATAGTCATTTGGGTATATACCCAGTAATGGGATGGCTGGGTCAAATGGTATTTCTAGTTCTAGATCCCTGAGGAATCGCCACACTGACTTCCACAATGGTTGAACTAGTTTACAGTCCCACCAACAGTGTGAAAGTGTTCCTATTTCTCCACATCCTCTCCAGCACCTGTTGTTTCCTGACTTTTTAATGATTGCCATTCTAACTGGTGTGAGATGGTATCTCATAGTGGTTTTGATTTGCATTTCTCTGATGGCCAGTGATGATGAGCATTTTTTCATGTATTTTTTGGCTGCATAAATGTCTTCTTTTGAGAAGTGTCTGTTCATGTCCTTCGCCCACTTTTTGATGGGGTTATTTGTTTTTTTCTTGTAAATTTGTTTGAGTTCATTGTAGATTCTGGATATTAGCCCTTTGTCAGATGAGTAGGTTGCGAAAATTTTCTCCCATGTTGTAGGTTGCCTGTTCACTCTGATGGTAGTTTCTTTTGCTGTGCAGAAGCTCTTTAGTTTAATTAGATCCCATTTGTCAATTTTGTCTTTTGTTGCCATTGCTTTTGGTGTTTTGGACATGAAGTCCTTGCCCACGCCTATGTCCTGAATTGTAATGCCTAGGTTTTCTTCTAGGGTTTTTATGGTTTTAGGTCTAACGTTTAAATCTTTAATCCAACTTGAATTGATTTTTGTATAAGGTGTAAGGAAAGGATCCAGTTTCAGCTTTCTACATATGGCTAGCCAGTTTTCCCAGCACCATTTATTAAATAGGGAATCCTTTCCCCATTGCTTGTTTTTCTCAGGTTTGTCAAAGATCAGATAGTTGTATGTATGCGGCGTTATTCCTGAGGGCTCTGTTCTGTTCCATTGATCTATATCTCTGTTTTGGTACCAGTACCATGCTGTTTTGGTTACTGTAGCCTTGTAGTATAGTTTGAAGTCAGGTAGTGTGATGCCTCCAGCTTTGTTCTTTTGGCTTAGGATTGACTTGGCGATGCGGGCTCTTTTTTGGTTCCATATGAACTTTAAAGTAGTTTTTTCCAATTCTGTGAAGAAAGTCATTGGTAGCTTGATGGGGATGGCATTGAATCTGTAAATTACCTTGGGCAGTATGGCCATTTTCACGATATTGATTCTTCCTACCCATGAGCATGGAATGTAATTCCATTTGTTTGTATCCTCTTTTATTTCCTTGAGCAGTGGTTTGTAGTTCTCCTTGAAGAGGTCCTTCACATCCCTTGTAAGTTGGATTCCTAGGTATTTTATTCTCTTTGAAGCAATTGTGAATGGGAGTTCACTCATGATTTGGCTCTCTGTTTGTCTGTTGTTGGTGTATAAGAATGCTTGTGATTTTTGTACATTGGTTTTGTATCCTGAGACTTTGCTGAAGTTGCTTATCAGCTTAAGGAGATTTTGGGCTGAGACGATGGGGTTTTCTAGATAAACAATCATGTCGTCTGCAAACAGGGACAATTTGACTTCCTCTTTTCCTAATTGAATACCCTTTATTTCCTTCTCCTGCCTGATTGCCCTGGCCAGAACTTCCAACACTATGTTGAATAGGAGCGGTGAGAGAGGGCATCCCTGTCTTGTGCCAGTTTTCAAAGGGAATGCTTCCAGTTTTTGCCCATTCAGTATGATATTGGCTGTGGGTTTGTCATAGATAGCTCTTATTATTTTGAAATACGTCCCTTCAATACCTAATTTATTGAGAGTTTTTAGCATGAAGGGTTGTTGAATTTTGTCAAAGGCTTTTTCTGCATCTATTGAGATAATCATGTGGTTTTTGTCTTTGGCTCTGTTTATATACTGGATTACATTTATTGATTTGCGTATATTGAACCAGCCTTGCATCCCAGGGATGAAGCCGACTTGATCATGGTGGATAAACTTTTTGATGTGCTGCTGGATTCAGTTTGCCAGTATTTTATTGAGGATTTTTGCATCAATGTTCATCAAGGATATTGGTCTAAAATTCTCTTTTTTTGGTTGTGTCTCTGCCCGGCTTTGGTATCAGAATGATGCTGGCCTCATAAAATGAGTTAGGGAGGATTCCCTCTTTTTCTATTGATTGGAATAGTTTCAGAAGGAATGGTACCAGTTCCTCCTTGTACCTCTGGTAGAATTCGGCTGTGAATCCATCTGGTCCTGGACTCTTTTTGGTTGGTAAACTATTGATTATTGCCACAATTTCAGCTCCTGTTATTGGTCTATTCAGAGATTCAACTTCTTCCTGGTTTAGTCTTGGGAGAGTGTATGTGTCGAGGAATGTATCCATTTCTTCTGGATTTTCTAGTTTATTTGCGTAGAGGTGTTTGTAGTATTCTCTGATGGTAGTTTGTATTTCTGTGGGATCGGTGGTGATATCCCCTTTATCATTTTTTATTGTGTCTATTTGATTCTCCTCTCTTTTTTTCTTTATTAGTCTTGCTAGCGGTCTATCAATTTTGTTGATCCTTTCAAAAAGCCAGCTCCTGGATTCATTGATTTTTTGAAGGGTTTTTTGTGTCTCTATTTCCTTCAGTTCTGCTCTGATTTTAGTTATTTCTTGCCTTCTGCTACCTTTTGAATGTGTTTGCTCTTGCTTTTCTAGTTCTTTTAATTGTGACGTTAGGGTGTCAATTTTGGATCTTTCCTGCTTTCTCTTGTGGGCATTTAGTGCTATAAATTTCCCTCTACACACTGCTTTGAATGTGTCCCAGAGATTCTGGTATGTTGTGTCTTTGTTCTCGTTGGTTTCAAAGAACATCTTTATTTCTGCCTTCATTTCGTTATGTACCCAGTAGTCATTCAGGAGCAGGTTGTTCAGTTTCCATGTAGTTGAGTGGCTTTGAGTGAGATTCTTAATCCTGAGTTCTAGTTTGATTGCACTGTGGTCTGAGAGATAGTTTGTTATAATTTCTGTTCTTTTACATTTGCTGAGGAGAGCTTTACTTCCAAGTATGTGGTCAATTTTGGAATAGGTGTGGTGTGGTGCTGAAAAAAATGTATATTCTGTTGATTTGGGGTGGAGAATTCTGTAGATGTCTATTAGGTCCGCTTGGTGCAGAGCTGAGTTCAATTCCTGGGTATCCTTGTTAACTTTCTGTCTCGTTGATCTGTCTAATGTTGACAGTGGGGTGCTAAAGTCTCCCATTATTAATGTGTGGGAGTCTAAGTCTCTTTGTAGGTCACTCAGGACTTGCTTTATGAATCTGGGTGCTCCTGTATTGGGTGCATATATATTTAGGATAGTTAGCTCTTGTTGTTGAATTGATCCCTTTACCATTATGTAATGGCCTTCTTTGTCTCTTTTGATCTTTGTTGGTTTAAAGTCTGTTTTATCAGAGACTAGGATTGAAACCCCTGCCTTTTTTTGTTTTCCATTTGCTTGGTAGATCTTCCTCCATCCTTTTATTTTGAGCCTATGTGTGTCTCTGCACGTGAGATGGGTTTCCTGAATACAGCACACTGATGGGTCTTGACTCTTTATCCAACTTGCCAGTCTGTGTCTTTTAATTGGAGAATTTAGTCCATTTACATTTAAAGTTAATATTGTTATGTGTGAATTTGATCCTGTCATTATGATGTTAGCTGGTGATTTTGCTCATTAGTTTATGCAGTTTCTTCCTAGTCTCGATGGTCTTTACATTTTGGCATGATTTTGCAGCGGCTGGTACCGGTTGTTCCTTTCCATGTTTAGCGCTTCCTTCAGGAGCTCTTTTAGGGCAGGCCTGGTGGTGACAAAATCTCTCAGCATTTGCTTGTCTGTAAAGTATTTTATTTCTCCTTCACTTATGAAGCTTAGCTTGGCTGGATATGAAATTCTGGGTTGAAAATTCTTTTCTTTAAGAATGTTGAATATTGGCCCCCACTCTCTTCTGGCTTGTAGGGTTTCTGCCGAGAGATCCGCTGTTAGTCTGATGGGCTTCCCTTTGAGGGTAACCCGACCTTTCTCTCTGGCTGCCCTTAACATTTTTTCCTTCATTTCAACTTTGGTGAATCTGACAATTATGTGTCTTGGAGTTGCTCTTCTCGAGGAGTATCTTTGTGGCGCTCTCTGTATTTCCTGAATCTGAATGTTGGCCTGCCTTGCTAGATTGGGGAAGCTCTCCTGGATAATATCCTGCAGAGTGTTTTTCAACTTGGTTCCATTCTCCGCCTCACTTTCAGGTACACCAATCAGACGTAGATTTGGTCTTTTCACATAGTCCCATATTTCTTGGAGGCTTTGCTCATTTCTTTTTATTCTTTTTTCTCTAAACTTCCCTTCTCGCTTCATTTCATTCATTTCATCTTCCATTGCTGATACCCTTTCTTCCAGTTGATCGCATCGGCTCCTGAGGCTTCTGCATTCTTCACGTAGTTCTCGAGCCTTGGTTTTCAGCTCCATCAGCTCCTTTAAGCACTTCTCTGTATTGGTTATTCTAGTTATACATTCTTCTAAATTTTTTTCAAAGTTTTCAACTTCTTTGCCTTTGGTTTGAATGTCCTCCCGTAGCTCAGAGTAATTTGATCGTCTGAAACCTTCTTCTCTCAGCTCGTCAAAGTCATTCTCCATCCAGCTTTGTTCCGTTGCTGGTGAGGAACTGCGTTCCTTTGGAGGAGGAGAGGCGCTCTGCTTTTTAGAGTTTCCAGTTTTTCTGTTCTGTTTTTTCCCCATCTTTGTGGTTTTATCTACTTTTGGTCTTTGATGATGGTGATGTACAGATGGGTTTTTGGTGTGGATGTCCTTTCTGTTTGTTAGTTTTCCTTCTAACAGACAGGACCCTCAGCTGCAGGTCTGTTGGAATACCCTGCCGTGTGAGATGTCAGTGTGCCCCTGCTGGGGAGTGCCTCCCAATTAGGCTGCTCGGGGGTCAGGGGTCAGGGACCCACTTGAGGAGGTAGTCTGCCCGTTCTCAGATCTCCAGCTGCGTGCTGGGAGAACCACTGCTCTCTTCAAAGCTGTCAGACAGGGACATTTAAGTCTGCAGAGGTTACTGCTGTCTTTTTGTTTGTCTGTGCCCTGCCCCCAGAGGTGGAGCCTACAGAGGCAGGCAGGCCTCCTTGAGCTGTGGTGGGCTCCACCCAGTTCCAGCTTCCCGGCTGCTTTGTTTACCTAAGCAAGCCTGGGCAATGGCGGGCACCCCTCCCCCAGCATCGCTGCCGCCTTGCAGTTTGATCTCAGACTGCTGTGCTAGCAATCAGCGAGATTCCGTGGGCATAGGACCCTCCGAGCCAGGTGTGGGATATAGTCTCGTGGTGCGCCGTTTTTTAAGCCGGTCTGAAAAGCGCAGTATTCGGGTGGGAGTGACCCAATTTTCCAGGTGCGTCCGTCACGCCTTTCTTTGACTCGGAAAGGGAACTCCCTGACCCCTTGCGCTTCCCAGGTGAGGCAATGCCTCGCCCTGCTTTGGCTCGCGCACGGTGTGCACACCCACTGGCCTGCGCCCACTGTCTGGCACTCCCTAGTGAGATGAACCCGGTACCTCAGATGGAAATGCAGAAATCACCCGTCTTCTGCGTCGCTCTTGCTGGGAGCTGTAGACCGGAGCTGTTCCTATTCGGCCATCTTGGCTCCTCCACATATTGTTTTTTAAAGATACAATTTACACAGAATGAAATGCATAGATCCTGACTATTCAAGTCTCTGAATTTTGACAAAGGTACGTATCCATGAAAACACCACTGCAAACAAGATATAGCACAATTCCATCCCTCCAGGAAGGTCCCTTTTGTCTATTTTCAGTCAATATCTATCCTCATTCATCTACCCCAGACAGCCATTTTCTTATTTCTATCACCATAGATGAGTTTTGCCTGTTCTTGGGCTTCATATAAATGGGATGATGGAGTATGCATCCTTTTTTTGTCTGGCTTTTTTTTTTTCCACGCAGTATAGCATTTCTGAGCATTATCCATGTTGTACGTATGTATGAATATTTTGGTCCTTTTTATGACAGTAGTTTTCCATGCATGACTATAACATGTAGAATTCTCCAGAGAAATAGAACCAATAAGATTTAAGAAATTGGTTCAGTCAGTTGTAGGGGCTTGGAAAGTATAAATCCATAGGGTAGGTCAGCAGACTGGAAACTCAAGTAACAGTTGATGTCCCTGTCTTCAGTCTGCAATATGCAGGGCAGACTAGTGAGCTGGAAACTCAGGCAGGATTTCTATGGTACAGTCTTGAGGCAGAATTCCTTTTTCTCCAGGACATCTCAACCTTTGCTTTTAAGCTATTCAAGGATTGGCTGAAGGAGATGCACATTAGAGTAGGTTGCCTCCTTTACTCAAAGTCAACTAATTATATATGTTAACCACATCTATAAAATACCTTCATGGCAACATCTAGCCTGGTGTTTGACTAAACACCTGGGCATGGTAGTCTAGTTAACTTGTCACATAAAATTTACCCATCACAATGACTGCCCATTCTGAAGTTAGTGGTCTCTTGGGTTGTGTTATGGGCTGAATCATGTCCCCAGAAAATTCTTCTGTTTAAGTCCTAACTCCCAGTACCTTAGAATGTGACAGTACTTGTGAGAGGTGACAGCGTGCTGGCAGCCCTCACAGCCCTCGCTCGCTCTCGGCACCTCCTCAGCCTTGGCACCCACTCTGGCCGTGCTTGAAGAGCCCTTCAGCCCCCCGCTGCACTGTGGGAGCCCCTTTCTGGGCTGGCCAAGGCCAGAGCCGGCTCTCTCAGCTTGCAGGGAGGTGTGGAGGGAGAGGCGCCGGTGGGAACCGGTGCTGCGCAGGACGCTTGCGGGCCAGCGTGAGTTCCGGGTGGGCGTGGGCTCCGCGGGCCCCGCGGCCCCGCATTCGGAGCGGCCAGCCGGCCCACCGGCCCAGGGCAGTGAGGGGCTTAGCACCTGGGCCAGCAGCTGCTGTGCTCGACTTCTAGCTGGGCCTTAGCTGCCCCCGCAGTGGGGCAGGGCTCGGGACCTGCAGCCCACCATGCCTGAGCCTCCCCCCACCGCCATGGGGTCCTGCGCAGCCTGAGCCTCCCCAGTAGTGCCACTCCCTACTCCACAGGGCCAGTCCCCAGCCCAAGGGCTGAGGAGTGCGGGAGCACCACGTGGGACTGGCAGGCAGCTCCACCTGTGGCCCCGGCAGGCAGCTTCACCTGTGGCCCCAGTGCAGGATCCACTGGGTGAAGCCAGCTGGGCTCCTGAGTCTGGTGGGGACTTGGAGAACCTTTATGTCTGGCTAAGGGATTGTAAATACACCAGTCAGCACTCTGTATCTAGCTCAAGGTTTGTAAACACACCAATCAGCACCCTGTGTCTAGCTCAGGGTTTGTGAATGCACCAATCGACACTCTGTATCTAGTTAATCTGGTGGGGACTTGGAAAACCTTTTTGTCTAGCTAAGGGATTGTAAATGCACCAATCAGCATTCTGTGTCTAGCTCAGGGTTTGTAAATACACCAATTGACACTCTGTATCTAGCTAATCTAATGGGGAGGTGGAGAACTTTTGTGTCTAGCTCAGGGATTGTAAACGGACCAATCAGCTCTCTGTAAAACAGACCAATTGGCTCTCTGTAAAATGGACCAATCAGGAGGATGTGGGTGGGGCCAAATAAGAGAATAATCGCAGGCTGCCCTGGCCAGCAGTGGCAACCCACTGGGGTTCCCTTCCACACTGTGGAAGCTTTCTTCTTTTGCTCTTTGCAATAAATCTTGCTACTGCTCACTCTTTGGGTCCACACTGCCTTTATGAGCTGTAACACTCACCTCGAAGGTCTGCAGCTTCACTCCTGAAGCCAGTGAGACCACGAACCCACCGGGAGGAACGAACAACTCGCTGCCTTAAGAGCTGTACCACTCACCGCGAAGGTCTGTAGCTTCACTCCTGAAACTGGCAAAACCACGAACCAGAAGGAAGAAACTCCGAACACATCTGAACAACAGAAGGAGCAAACTCTAGACACACCGCCTTTAAGAACCGTAACACTCACTGCGAGGGTCCACGGCTTCATTCTTGAAGTCAGTGAGACCAAGAACCCACCAATTCTGGACACATTTGGAGATAGGGTCTTTAAAGAGATAATTTAGTTAAAATAAAGTAATTAGGGTAGGCCCTAATGTCATACTGAGCATTGCATGCACACACTAGGGGAATACCATGTAAACATACAGGGAAAAGATAGCCATCTGCAACTCAAGGAGAAAGGGCTTCGGAAGAAACCAGCTCTGCTCACATCTTGATCTGGGACTTGTAGTTTTCAAAATTGTGAGGAAATAAATTTCTGTTGTTTATGGATCCTAGTCTGTGGTACATTGTTATGACTGTCCTAGAAAACTGATACAGGTTGTTTCCAGTTTTTGGCAGTAATGAATTAAGCTTCTGTGAATATACACATTTGCTTAATGAACAAATGTTTTATTTTTTTTAGAATGAAATTGCTGTCTCGTAGAGTAGGTGTTTGCTTTTATAATCCACTATGAAATAGTTATGTAAAGCAGTTCTACTATTTTACAATTCCAGCAGCAATATATGAGAAGCGCAGGTGCTCTCCATCCTCAGCAATATTTGATTTTACCCATCACAGTGGGTCTGAAATATAGATCACTGTGGTTTTAATTTGCATTTACCTGATGAATAATGATGGTGAACAACTTTTCATATGCTCATTTTTACTAATACCTCCTTTATGAAGAAGATTCATTTTTGTATGAATACATTTTTCCATTATTTTTTGCAAAAGCTTGATAGTTTAAGCTTTTATGATTAGGTCTGTGATTCATCTTAATATACAATGTCTGGTCAAGTATTTGCTCATTTAAAAAAGTTTTAGATTTAGAGGAGTTCTTTGTGTATTCTGGGTATACATCTTTTGCTAGTCATATGTGTTGCTGTTTTTGCCTTGCCTATTTATTTTCTACATGGTAACTTTTGATGAACAAAAACTTTTATGAAGTGTATATTTATGAAATACATATATTTTTTCTTTGGTGCTTTTCATATCCTGTTTAAGAAATTTTTGCCAAAGTATATTAGTTTTATAGAGGTGCTGTAACAAAGCACTGTGAACTGGCTGGCTTACCAAAACAAAACTATTCTCTTATAGTTCTGCAGGCTAC
The DNA here is from genome assembly GCF_000001405.40 of Homo sapiens. Classification (NCBI taxonomy): domain Eukaryota; kingdom Metazoa; phylum Chordata; class Mammalia; order Primates; family Hominidae; genus Homo; species Homo sapiens. The sequence goes on along the minus strand of NC_000001.11, from coordinate 192,497,080 downwards.
AAGTCTGAAATCCAGGAGTTTTCAGGGTTAGTTTATTTTGGAAGTTCTGAGGGAGAATCCATTTCATGTGCTTCTTGTAACGTTAGTGGTTATTGGGAATCATTGGCATTCCATTGTAATTTCTGCCTCTGTCTTCATAAGACATTCTCCCCTGTGTGTGTCTGTGTCCGTTCTCTTCATCTTATAAGGATCCCAATCATATTGGATTAGGGCCTGCCATACTCTAGTATGACCTCATTTTAACTTAACTAATTATATCTGAAAAGACTCTATTTCCGTCTAAGGTAATATTTATAAATATTTGGGGTTAGGACTTGAACATGTCCTTTTCAGAGATACATTTTAACTCACAAACTTAAGGTTACAAAAATATTTTTTTTCATTTTTCATAAAAGCTTGATAGTTCCAGCCCTTATGAATAGGTCTATGATTCATCTTAATATACAAACATTTGTACTGAATGTGATTGTGATAGAAATCAAAGTTTAATATTTTTCAAATATTTGTCCAGTAGCTGGAGGACTATTTGTTCTTATGCCCATATTAATCTGTCATGATCACAGTACCTTTGTATTAAGAACTATTTGTTCTTATGCCAATATTAAACTTTGTTCTTATGCCAATATTAAACTGTCATGATCACAGTACCTTTTTATTAAGTTTTGAAATGGAGTAGTATAAGTCCCCAACTTTATTCTTGTGTTTTAAGATCAATCAGACTAGTCTAGATCCTTTGCACTTCATATAAATTTTATAATCACTTTCATAATTTCTTCTAAAAAGCATACAGAGATTTTGATTGGGATTGTGTTGAACAGGTTAATTAGGGTAGAAAAAATGTATTAACAATAAGACATTTTCTATGTTACATATATAAAATATCTATTTATTTAGGTCTTTATTTTTTCTCAGCTAGGTATTATTTTCAGTATAGAGATCTTTTCTATTCTTGTTAGATTTATTAATAGATATTTGATTTTTTATTTTATTATAAACAGTATTTTATTACATTTTATTATAAACAGTACTACTATCTATAATAGCATGGAAAAAATCAAATATCTACCAATAAATCTAACACAAAATATGAAAGATCTCTACACAGAAATAATACTGTTTACTGCCAATATATGTCTATTTCCTCCTTTTTTTACTGCTATTGAAAACTTGTATTTTCTGTCTTTTTCATGGTCAATCTTGAGAGAGATCAATCAATTTTATCAATGTTTTCAAAGAACCACTTTTTGACTCTAATTATTGTTAGTTTTCTATTTAATTGGTCTGATTTAATTTTTATTATTTCCTTTCTTCTACTTTGGTTTTAATAGGGTCTTTTTTCCTAGCTTATTTAGATGAAAGGTTAAATAATTGATTTAAAATTTTTAAAAAATTCTGATATCCATTTAAAGCTAAACATTTCTCCTAAGTACGTTTTTAGCTGAATCCCATAAATTTCAACATATTATATTTTTTATTATCAGGTCTAAAATATTTTCTAATTTCTGCATGATTTATTTATAATCTCTGTTATAGGATTGTTGTTTCATTTTTAAATATTTGGAGGCTTTTTTAGACTTACTGTTACTGATTTATAGTTTAATTCCATTGTGCTCAAAAAAACATTCTATAAGTCTTAAGTTTTTAGGATTTCCTGAAATGTATTTTATAGTATTTCACATGGTCTCTCTTGATGAAAGTTCCATGTGCACTTGAAAAGAAAGTGTTTTATAAATGTCAGTTAAATCAAGTTAGTTGAGAGTATGGTTTAGACTGTCTATGTTGATACTTAGTTTTAAAACTCTACTTGTTCTTTTATGCACAAAAAGATTTTATAATCCCCAACTATAGTTGTTGGTCTATTATTACCTCTATTTCCATGATTTTTGTTTCACGTATTTTGAATTCTGTCATTAGATCCATATGCATTTATGATTGTTAAATCTTCATGATGCATAGTCCCTTTTATCATTACCAAATATCTCTTTTAATATCTATCTCCTTCCTTGCTTGCATTTCTTATCTGATATTAATATAGCCACACCGAATTTCATGTGCTCACCCTTTGCTTAGCACATATATATTTTTTCCTTTAAGCTTTCACTTTTTATATTTTTATTTAAGCTACAAGACTGGGTGTGGTGGTCGATGCCTGTAATCCCAAACTTTGGGAGGCCAAGATGGGAGGATCACTTGAGACCAGGAGTTTGAGACCTGGTGGGATCTTGGCTCGCTGCAACCTCTGGCCCCCAGGTTCCAGTGATTCTCCTGCTTCAGGTTCCCTAGTAGCTGGGATTACAGGCATGCACCACCATGCCTGGCTATTTTTTAAAATATTAGTAGAGATGGGGTTTCACCACATTGGCCAGGCTCGTCTCAAATGCCTGATTTCAAGTGATCCACCCACCTCAGCCCCCCAAAGTGCTGGGATTATAGGCATGAGCCACCGAGCCTGGCCTCCATACTATTTTCTATAGAGGTTGAACTAATTTATATTCCCACCAACAGTATATAAGCATTCCCTTATCCCCGCATCTACACCATCTTTTGTTTTTTGACTTTTTAATAGAAGCCATTCTGACTGATGTAAGATGATATTTTAATGTGTTTTTAATTTGCATTTCTCGGGTGATTAGTGATATTGAGCATTTTTTCATGAGTTTGTTGGCCATTTGTATTTTTTCTTTTGCGAAATGTCTGTTCATGTCCCTTGCCCAGTTTTTAATGGGGTGGTTTCCTTTTTTCTTGAGTTATTTCAGTTCCTTGTGAATTCTGGATATTAGTCCTTTGCCAGGGACATAATTTGCAAATATTTTCCCCCGCTCTATAGGTAGTCTATTTATTTTGTTGGTTATTTCTTTTGCTATCCAGAAGCTTTTTAGTTTAGTTAAGTCCCATGTATCTATTTTTGTTTTTCTTGCATTTGTTTTTGGGGTCTTTGTCATAAATTCTTTGCATAGGCTAATGCCCTGAAGAGATTTTCCTAAAATTCTAATATTTCTTAAACTTAATTACCTCATAAACTCTTAACTCAATCTTTTGATTTGGTATTATATGTAGAGTAACATTAAAGATGTAAATAATTATTAGAAACTTATTTTGGAACATTTTAAATGTGTACTAAAGTTGACAATATAATGAATTCCTATCTACCCATCACCCAGCTCAACAATTATCAACATTTTCCCATTCTTATTTGTCTATACCCTATCTTATATATGAGTTTTCTCTAGATTATTATAAACCACATAACAGATATTGCATAATTTCACATATAAATATTACAATATACATCTTTAATAGATAATTATAAAAAAGGCTTAGCTTAGCAGTATTTCATCACGAATAACAACATTTTACAAATAATGTCACATCATCCAATAAGTGGCCCAATGTTCTATTTTCTTCTTTTATCTAAAAACATGTCTTTTTACAGTTTTTTGAATCAAGATCCAAACACAGACCACATATTGTATTTAGTTAATATGTCTCTAAATGGCTTTTTAAAATAATGTCATATATTTGTTGAAGATACTAGTTTATTATTTTTCTACCTCTAGGTATGGTGGTTGTATCTCTATCACCCATATTTCCTGTAAGTTGACAATTGATAGACTTGATTAGATTCAGATTCAACTTTGGAAAAAATACTTTATAGGTGGTGCTATACATAGCATCTTTCATTGCATCAGGGGCATGTAGGGGGCATATTATTGAGTTTCACTTTTAGTGATGTTAAGATTGATCAGTAGGTTAATGTGTTGCTTGTTATATAGTGATGAGAGGCCAGATAATTTCATTACAGTTTGCCAATGGTGATTTACTAATTCTATAATCTTTTTACATTTATTAGCTAGAATTCTTCCATGGAGAAGATTTTCATTAGGTATTTGGTTACTATGGCAGATTGATTTTCCTGAAAGGCAGACATTGAGATGGAGATAAGTGGAGGGCATTTAGTAAGCATTGCTTTTGGGATCAATATTTTTTGGAAGAGAGTTCAAGATGTTCAGATACACCAACCTAGCTCTCCCTACCTCATGTGTCAAGATCATACTTTTTTCCCAGACAGAAACCTGATGTTGGTGTTGCAGACCTGCCTTGGTTGGAAGTTTAACCTTTTTTGGAGTTTTGCTACTTTTATAGGCCTCGTCATCAGCTTTTTCTGTACAGTCTGCCTTCCCACCTTAGGAGAAAAGACATGACTCCTCTTCCTCCAGTCTCTCTCTCTCTCTGACCAAGGTGACCTATGACTTTTACACTTAACTTTTATTTGTAAATTAATCACTCTTAGTTTTCATCTTTCTTCCCAGAGTGTTACTTGAGCTCACTCAAGTCTCCTTATAATTACTACTCCCCCATGTTTCACAATTTGACACATTGCACTAGCTAATGCATTTCTCTTCAGCAGTGCACCAACCTAGTGAAAATATTACCATTTGCATTGGTATCTTGTGCCAGAGGCTATTTGTGCTCCACCTGCCATCAGCGGTAGGCTCCTCATTGCCAGCTCTGGAGCAGGTTAATTCAGCTCTAAAACCTTATTTTAGGTTTTGCTTTCTTAAACCACACATGACAATAACTGCTTGCAACAGGTTAGATTTCTTGGGAAGCAAACTGTCATGGAGGTTAGCATCCAGGATACTGACTAGGGAGTGCCCTTGGGAACAGGAGTGGGCAGAGGGAGGAATTGACCTGTGATACAATTTCAGCAATGGCTTCAGCTGATCCCACAGAGAGTTCAGTGCTCTGGTAGATTTCTGAGTCATCTTCAGTTGAGAAAACAGGATTTTATACTGAACAATTACCTTGGGAAAACAGCATGAAATACACTACACACAGGAAAGACAGAACAAACAATCCATAATGCTTTCTCTTTTTAAAATCAGTATTTGAAATTTTCTAGTAATTATCAAAGGTGACCAATGAGTGTGTATGTGCGTGTGTGTTTTGTTTTTGTATAATTAGTAACTTATGGATATATATGACCTTTCCAGTCATTTTTATTGTTGCTCCAACTGTTCCACAGTTTCGCCAGTGGGAGCTGCTCTAATTGGGTTCTCTGTCTCTTTGACATGTTCCCTGTAATCCTTGATTGCTTTCTTGCTTTTCAGCACAACAAGATGTTCCAGACTTATTCAACATATTGTCCAGCCAGTCCTGGAAACAATCAGTTCCCTGAGGACAGAATTAAAGTTTAGAGACCTGAATCTGGGCCCCAGGGGTGGTCATTACTACTGGTTTGCCACTGCTTCTGTAGCTTTTCAGTGAAGAGGTAGTTATGTAATATGTATCTAAAAAAATAAATTCAAGTTATGTATTTTAAAAATAAATTCAAGGTCTATATATTTTAGAAAAAGGAAAAATCATGTGTTCATGTTAATATTTATATTTAAATATATAATTACATGTCTTAATTTATGTTGTTCTACCTTGATAATTCTATACCTCTATTATTTTGCTTTTATACCTTTTCTCCCCAAATTTTCTTAAATTGAAACTCTTGGTTCCTAATTACATGTACATACTTATTTATCTTATACCATATACATATAGTAATTTCAAAATAACAATACAAACATTATTATCATTAACAATAATGCTGCCGAATAAAGCTTGTGATTTCTTTGTGGAGATTTTCATACTTGGGATATATCTCACTAGTGATACTAAAAAAAACCTGCGTTTTAAAGTCACTCGAAATAATTTTTCCCTGTGTGGTTTTGTCAACAATTTGATATGCAGTTAGATCCCTTTACTTCAAAAAATTTTGAGTAACTGCTTAGCTTTTATTTTTGAAATAATCACAGTTTTTGATTACATAGATAGAGCATAAAGCATTTACAGGGTTCCAAAGTGTGTGTGTATGTGTACATATGTATACAAATATGTATACATGTCTATGTAAATACACATACACACACACACACACACACACACACACACACACACATATTCAGAGACATCCATCTTCTGTCCCTGTGTCTTTTGCCATAAGTAACCATCCTAATAATTTTTATTTTATCATTCTATGGTTTCAAAATAAAAGCAAATTTATAGTTATAGTCTTTATTTGAAAGTATTTCTTTAAATTCAAAAATCAGAAAAACTTTCAAACATTGTCTTATTTTGCTTGACCTGGACTTGTAATTAGATGACTATATCAGATAGAAGATTGCTTCATTTTGCAGTATTTTAGAGCCAGAGAGTAGGACAACTTTTAATCAGAGACAGCAAGTACTATAAATCCTGAAGGAAATGTAAGCGGCATCTTATAAATGGAATATCAACTCATATTCATATAGTGATTTTCATTTTACACAGTAATTTCACTATGCATTTATTAATTTAATTTTCACAATAGCCTTATAAGTTTATCTCCATTTTACAAATTTAAAAATGAGACATGGGATAAAAATGACTTTCCCCAGGCCTTCCCAAGTTCACACAGCTAATTCTTGACAGAGGTAAGAGAAGAATTCAGGTCTTCTGCCTCTAACTCTGCATCATATGATACTGCATCTCAAATTACTTGCAAATACATATGGAACTCCTGTGTGTCTTAAACCATATTTTCTGTAGTTGCCATAAGTTACTCCAAATGAGTGTTAGAATTATAAAATTCTCTATTCCCTTTTAGGAGAGTCATGATACAAATTGACATTAATTAGTCTCTAAAACTTTATGTATTATTGGAATATGTTTAATTTTGTATTTCTTAATGCTTCCCAATTTTACAAGACCACAGAACATCCCTCTACCTACTCCCGCCAAATCTGGACTAAACCTGAAAAGATATCAAAGGAACATAGCTTTTTATTAAGTGTGAGTTAATCCATGAACGATAGCTTCAATCAGCAGTAATTTTCTTAACATAATTCATGCCTGAGGATTATATTCAGTTTAGCTGGACATCTATGGCACACCATAAGCCAAATTTTGAAGATTATTCATGTTAGAATTGGATTCAGTCGATCCTTAGTGACTTAACAATCAGGCCTTAATTGAAACACACACACACATTGTTATTGACAGTGTAGAAATACTGACTCATAGAAAAATTCACCCATATTTAGTTAGCAGACTAACAGGAACAGCAGCAGCAGCAGCAGCTGGTCATGCTTCTGTGTGTTGCTAGCAACAAGAAACCATGACAGCAAGGCCCCAAACAGGAACCTCCTGCATTTTCTCATCTGTGATGAGGCACACTGATGCTGGGGATTAATGAGCCTGAAGATATAAAGCAGTGTTTACCACTGGAAAATGTCTCCTACACTAAAAGCAGAGGTAAGTATCAATGCAAACCGAGTGCAGCTATAAAGCCTTGATTTCTCTGGAAATTTATGTACAAACTAATACAAATAAATACTACATTTACTTGAAATAACATGATATTCTTTATTGTCTTAATTTTTGTCATTTTTATTATGATTATTTTAAGTCAACTTGACATATTTTTAGAAAATAGAGAAAACTGTTTTGAAGAAAGAATAGGCACTTAGTAAACTGGATTTTTTTTTTTCTTTCTTAAATTCTAAAAATTTCCTTAAGAATTAAAAACTTTTAAGAAGTAGTTTTATAGAGAGGAAGAGAAAATCTCTGGAGAGTTACATGACACTCAGAGGGTAAGGGGTAAATTAAAAACATGTGTCATGGATGAATTCTTATAAACAATGGGGCAATTAATTATAGGATTGATTTTTTTCCTAAGGTAATTTAAATTTAGTCATCCATCAAGGACCATCAAATTATTGTTTACTGAGTGCACAGGATCCTGATGAGCTCTGTGGGAAATGAAACCCAGATGTGGGGAATTCTAGGTCCATAGTTGCTGCTCTCAGTGGGATGGCAGGCCAGCAGGATCACTAGGCATATGGTAATTATAACATTAGTATCTATACACGTGTAACTACCAAGTCATTCATTAGATTAAAGCACTGAGTGCATGTGTTTGCTTGATAGGGCTGCTGTAACAAAGTATACCACAGACTGGATGGCTTACACAATAGAAATTTATTTTCTCACAATTCTGGAGGCTAGAAGCCTTAGATGAGGGTGTTAGCAAGGTTGATTTCTTAAGAGGCCTCTCTCCTTGTCTTCACCTTGTGTATTCACATGGTCCTCCCTCTATACATGTTTATGCCCTAATTTTCTCTTCTGATTGGACATTAGTCATATTAGGGCCCACTTTGCTTATTTATTTTTAATTATCATCGCTTTACAGACTCTATTTCTAAATGCATTCACATTCTGAGTTTTATAACTTCAACATGTGAATTTTGAGGGGACCTAACTCAGTCCATAATAGTGTATTTAAAAAACTAAAAGACGTTTGAAGAGGGAGATATGATGCAACTTGAGGGAGTATAGTATCAATTCAAATATCACCCCTTACCATAAAATATCTATGCTATGAATAGGCCAGCAGGCATGCAGGCTAGCAGGATGACAAGACATATGACATTGGCATGTTTGAAGTCCCAGACCAGTTTTCCAGAATAACAATTTGAATAGTATTCTATACAAATATGAATAGTATTCTATTCGAATATGAATATGAATAGAATACTATTCATATTGTTATTTGAATAGTATGCAAATATGAATATGAATAGAATACTATTCATAGTATAGAATATTTTATGGTAAGGGGAGATATTTGAATTGAGCAGTGAACAAATGGAAGCCTTGAAAAGTTAGAGAAAAAGTGGAAAGAGGTTTTTCTAAAGGGAAGCCTGTATCATCAGAGGCCAAGGAAAATAAAGCCCCTGATGGATTCAGGAGATGGGTAATACCACAGTTTGCCTACAGGGGACATAGAAGGGAAGTAGGAGGTGAGAAACTGATATCAGTTGCCCCTTCTGGGATATACCAGGAAAGACACACTTTCATCTGTACAGCATTCTTGTTCAGATTACATAAACTTTATCTGATTATCTAAAATATCCAAATTGTTATTCTGGAAAACAACTGGTCTGGGCCTTCAAATATGCCAATGCTATGAAAAATAAAAGAGTCTGGGAAACTCTTCCAGGATAAAGGAGACTAAAGAGGCAACTAATTGCAGTGTGTGATTAGTGATTGAATCTTAGGAAAACTTAAAAAAAATAAAAAGAGGCTGGGTGCAGTGGCTCATGCCTACAATCTCAGCACTTTGGGAGGCTGATGCGGGCAGATCACTTGAGATCAGGAGTTCGAGACCAGCCTGGCCAACATGGCAAAAGCCCATCTCTACTAAAAATACAAATATTAGCCAAGTGTGGTGGTGTGTGCCTGTAAAACCAGCTACTCAAGAGGCTGAGGCAGGAGAATCACTTGAACCCAGGAGGTGGAAGTGCAGAGAGCCGAGGTCGCACCACTGCATTCCAGCCTGGGCAACAGAATGAGACTCTATCAAAAAAAAAAAAAAAAAAAAAAAAAAGAAAGAAAGAAAGAAGGAAAGAAAGAAGCAAAAGATACAAAGGACATTATTGGCATAATTGGGAAAATTTGAAAATGAACTCTATATTACATTGTATGTTGTTTCCTCAATGAGATCATTGTATTATTGTTATATAGGAAAAATGCCTTTTTTCTTAGGAGATATACACTTTGGTATTTAGGGATGAACTGCAAATAATTGTTAAATAATAATAAATAACTGCAAATAATTGTTAAAGGGTTCAACACACACAAACACATACACACTGTAAGAAAATCAAATATAGGAAAGACTTGGAACCAACCCAAATGTCCATCAATGATAGACTGGATTAAGAAAATGTGGCACATATACACCATGGAATACTATGCAGCCATAAAAAAGGATGAGTTAATGTCCTTTGTAGGGACATGGATGAAGCTGGAAACCATCATTCTCAGGAAACTGTCGCAAGGACAAAAAAACAAACACCATATGTTCTCACTCATAGGTGGGAATTGAACAATGAGAACACATGGACACAGGAAGGGGAACATCACACACCAGGGCCTGTCATGGGGTGGGGGGAGGGGGGAGGGATAGCATTAGGAGGTATACCTAATGTAAATGGTGAGTTAATGGATGCAGCACACCAACATGGCACATGTATACATATGTAACAAACCTGCACATTGTGCACATGTACCCTAGAACTTAAAGTATAATAAAAATAAAAATAAAATTAAAAAAGGTTAACATTGAGGAATCGAGACAAGGAGTCTATGGATGTTATATTATTTTTGCATCTTTTCTGTTGATTTCAAAACTTTCAAAATAAAATGTGAAAGGAAAATGAATTTTATGCTAACATTTGGATGCTCACAATTTTAAATTTTACAATTTCTTGTATTTATTTGATCCTCATTGAGCATCTGTTAGTAAATCACCTTATACTCACTTCACTCTAAGTTTGTGGTGATTATTTTTGTGGAAGTATTGCTTTATGATCATCATTAATAAATATGTTAATATAGTGTGATCTCATCATTTACCCTAAAAATGATTACTGAGTTTGGATAACTACATGCCAATTTATTTTCCTCTTAGGTAACAGTGTTGTGTAACACAGTAGTCTTCTAAAATGGTCTCAATATGTACCACCATTATAAAATATTTTCTTGCAAACTTATTTTTTAAGTTCTCATGAAATTGTGGTAGAATTTGTCATGATGTAAAATTCAGTAAATATTCATTACATATGTATGATATGTCTATAACTTCACCAGGCATAGTTCCTGCCCTCAAGGAATTTATGCAATTACCAATATACAACTGGTCAGTTCACTCTAGGAAATATAAGGCAATAATGGGATGACATTTCTCATCTGCCTTAGGAATGAGTAATATGGTGTAATTTACTGGTAACAGTGAGATTTGGGGAAAGACACTTTGATAAATTACATTGAGGCCAAAGATTTGAGTTGTTCCTAAGGAATATGGCTTCCAGAAACTTCTAGCAGTAGATAATTCTTTTAATTTAGAATGTAGTAAGTGTTTTAACCTTTAGTAATTCTATAGGAAAAGTTTTGGCCAAATCAGTTCTTTGGTAACCTATTTTCTGCTGGCATCTAGAAGGAATTCTTTTTTTAAATAAGCTTTCCACCTACTAAGTTGATTAATACCTGGTCAGACAGATATTTGTTTATTCTAGAGGAGTTAGTGGACATGCACTGACTCACTCACCCACTCATATTCTTCCCTAATGTGACCTTCAGCATGTGTTTTCAAGAGCACTGGTTGGGTCAGTGCCAGCCTAAACCATGGAATAAAACCAAGTAAAATGTTGCACAATCTTAAGAGCTTGGCTGGGGAAACACCACACTCCAAATAATAAGTCTACTATTTTCTATGAAAATTATTACAGTTTATTTAATCTAGTTTTACTTTCATGGGGACAGGGGCGAATTAGCATTAATAGAAAATTCATCTCACCATTCAACAGGGTACAAATAATGCCGCCATAAAATTGAAGCAAAATTGGCACTAATGTAAATTCAAATCACTGTTTAACTTTCAATGCAAACCTGTTAACCAAAGAGAGTTGATCAGAAAGCAGACATAGTGGAATTATTTCTTAAAAATATTGTGGTGGTCCTTTCAAAAAACCTTTCAAAAAACCAGCTCCTGGATTCATTAATTTTTTGAAGGTTTTTTTTTGTCTCTATTTCCTTCAGTTCTGCTCTGATTTTAGTTATTTCTTGCCTTCTGCTACCTTTTGAATGTGTTTGCTCTTGCTTTTCTAGTTCTTTTAATTGTGATGTTAGGGTGTCAATTTTGGATCTTTCCTGCTTTCTCTTGTGGGCATTTAGTGCTATAAATTTCCCTCTACACACTGCTTTGAATGCGTCCCAGAGATTCTGGTATGTTGTGTCTTTGTTCTCGTTGGTTTCAAAGAACATCTTTATTTCTGCCTTCATTTCGTTATGTACCCAGTAGTCATTCAGGAGCAGGTTGTTCAGTTTCCATGTAGTTGAGCGGTTTTGAATGAGTTTCTTAATCCTGAGTTCTAGTTTGATTGCACTGTGGTCTGAGAGACAGTTTGTTATAATTTCTGTTCTTTTACATTTGCTGAGGAGAGCTTTACTTCCAAGTATGTGGTCAATTTTGGAATAGGTGTGGTGTGGTGCTGAAAAAAATGTATATTCTGTTGATTTGGGGTGGAGAGTTCTGTAGATGTCTATTAGGTCCGCTTGGTGCAGAGCTGAGTTCAATTCCTGGGTATCCTTGTTAACTTTCTGTCTCGTTGATCTGTCTAATGTTGACAGTGGGGTGCTAAAGTCTCCCATTATTATTGTGTGGGAGTCTAAGTCTCTTTGTAGGTCACTCAGGACTTGATTTATGAATCTGGGTGCTCCTGTATTGGGTGCATATATATTTAGGATAGTTAGCTCTTGTTGTTGAATTGATCCCTTTACCATTATGTAATGGCCTTCTTTGTCTCTTTTGATCTTTGTTGGTTTAAAGTCTGTTTTATCAGAGACTAGGATTGAAAACCCTGCCTTTTTTTGTTTTCCATTTGCTTGGTAGATCTTCCTCCATCCTTTTATTTTGAGCCTATGTGTGTCTCTGCACGTGAGATGGGTTTCCTGAATACAGCACACTGATGGGTCTTGACTCTTTATCCAACTTGCCAGTCTGTGTCTTTTAATTGGAGAATTTAGTCCATTTACATTTAAAGTTAATATTGTTATGTGTGAATTTGATCCTGTCATTATGATGTTAGCTGGTGATTTTGCTCGTTAGTTTATGCAGTTTCTTCCTAGTCTCGATGGTCTTTACATTTTGGCATGATTTTGCAGCGGCTAGTACCGGTTGTTCCTTTCCATGTTTAGTGCTTCCTTCAGGAGCTCTTTTGGGGCAGGCCTGGTGGTGACAAAATCTCTCAGCATTTGCTTGTCTGTGAAGTATTTTATTTCTCCTTCACTTATGAAGTTTAGTTTGGCTGGATATGAAATTCTGGGTTGAAAATTCTTTTCTTTAAGAATGTTGAATATTGAAAGGATCAACAAAATTGATAGACCGCTTGGAAGACTAATAAAGAAAAAAGAGAGAAGAATCAAATAGACGCAATAAAAAATGATAAAGGGGACATCACCACCGATCCCACAGAAATACAAACTACCATCAGAGAATACTGCAAACACCTCTATGCAAATAAACTAGAAAATCTAGAAGAAATGGATAAATTCCTCGACACATACACTCTCCCAAGATTAAACTAGGAAGAAGTTGAATCTCTGAATAGACCAATAACAGGAGCTGAAATTGTGGCAATAATCAATAGCTTACCAATCAAAAAGAGTCCAGGACCAGATGGATTCACAGCCAAATTCTGCCAGAGGTACAAGGAGGAACTGGCACCATTCCTTCTGAAACTGTTCCAATCAATAGAAAAAGAGGGAATCCTCCCTAACTCATTTTATGAGGCCAGCATCATCCTGATACCAAAGTCGGGCAGAGACACAACCAAAAAAGAGAATTTTAGACCAATATCCTTGATGAACATTGATGCAAAAACCCTCAATAAAATACTGGCAAACCGAATCCAGCAGCACATCAAAAAGCTTATCCGCCATGATCAAGTGGGCTTCATCCCTGGGATGCAAGGCTGGTTCAATATACACAAATCAATAAATGTAATCCAGCATATAAACAGAACCAAAGACAAAAACCGCATGATTATCTCAATAGATGCAGAAAAGGCCTTTGACAAAGTTCAACAACCCTTCATGCTAAAAACTCTCAATAAATTAGGTATTGATGGGACGTATCTCAAAATAATAAGAGCTATCTATGACAAACCCACAGCCAATATCATACTGAATGGGCAAAAACTGGAAGCATTCCCTTTGAAAACTGGCACAAGACAGGGATGCCCTCTCTCACCACTCCTATTCAACATAGTGTTGGAAGTTCTGGCCAGGGCAATTGCCCTGGCAGGAGGCAGGAGAAGGAAATAAAGGGTATTCAATTAGGAAAAGAGGAAGTCAAATTGTCCCTGTTTGCAGACGACATGATTGTGTATCTAGAAAACCCCATTGTCTCAGCCCAAAATCTCCTTAAGCTGATAAGCAACTTCAGCAAAGTCTCAGGATACAAAATCAATGTACAAAAATCACAAGCATTCTTATACACCAATAACAGACAAACAGAGAGCCAAATCATGAGTGAACTCCCATTCACAATTGCTTCAAAGAGAATAAAATACTTAGGAATTCAACTTACAAGGGACGTGAAGGACCTCTTCAAGGAGAACTACAAACCGCTGCTCAGTGAAATAAAAGAGGATACAAACCAATGGAAGAACATTCCATGCTCATGGGTAGGAAGAATCAATATCGTGAAAATGGCCATACTGCCCAAGGTAATTTATAGATTCAATGCCATCCCCATCAAGCTACCAATGACTTTCTTCACAGAATTGGAAAAAACTACCTTAAAGTTCATATGGAACCAAAAAAGAGCCCACATCACCAAGTCAATCCTAAGCCAAAAGAACAAAGCTGGAGGCATCACACTACCTGACTTCAAACTATACTACAAGGCTACAGTAACCAAAACAGCATGGTACTGGTACCAAAACAGAGATATAGATCAATGGAACAGAACAGAGCCTTCAGAAATAATGCCGCATATCTAAAACTATCTGATCTTTGATAAACCTGGGAAAAACAAGCAATGGGTAAAGGATTCCCTATTTAATAAATGGTGCTGGGAAAACTGGCTAGCCATGTGGAGAAAGCTGAAACTGGATCCGTTCCTTACACCTTATACAAAAATTAATTCAAGATGGATTAAAGACTTAAACGTTAGACCTAAAACCATAAAAACCCTAGAAGAAAACCTAGGCATTACCATTCAGGACATAGGCATGGGCAAGGACTTCATGTCTAAAACACCAAAAGCAATGGGAACAAAAGCCAAAATTGAGAAATGGGATCTAATTAAACTAAAGAACTTCTGCACAGCAAAAGAAACTACCATCAGAGTGAACAGGCAACCTACCGAATGGGAGAAAATTTTCGCAACCTACTCATCTGACAAAGGGCTAATATCCAGAATCTACAATGAACTCAAACAAATTTACAAGAAAAGAACAAACAACCCCATCAAAAAGTGGGTAAAGGATATGAACAGACACTTCTCAAAAGAAGACATTTATGCAGCCAAAAGACACATGAAAAAATGCTCATCATCACTGGCCATCAGAGAAATGCAAATCAAAACCACAATGAGATACCATCTCACACCAGTTAGAATGGCAATCATTAAAAAGTCAGGAAACAACAGGTGCTGGAGAGGATGTGGAGAAATAGGAACACTTTTACACTGTTGGTGGGACTGTAAACTAGTTCAACCATTGTGGAAGTCAGTGTGGCGATTCCTCAGGGATCTAGAACTAGAAATACCATTTGACCCAGCCATCCCATTACTGGGTGTATACCCAAATGACTATAAATCATGCTGCTATAAAGACACATGCACATGTATGTTTATTGCGGCACTATTCACAATAGCAAAGACTTGGAACCAACCCAAATGTCCAACAACGATAGACTGGATTAAGAAAATGTGGCACATATACACCATGGAATACTATGCAGCCATAAAAAAGGATGAGTTCATGTCCTTTGTAGGGACATGGATGAAATTTGAAATCATCATTCTCAGTAAACTATCGCAAGGACAAAAAACCAAACACCGCATGTTCTCACTCATAGATGGGAATTGAACAATGAGAACACATGGACACAGGAAGGGGAACATCACACTCTGGGAACTATTGTGGGGTGGGGGGAGGGGAGAAGGATAGCATTAGGAGATATACCTAATGCTAAATGACGAGTTAATGGGTGCAGCACACCAGCATGGCACATGTATACATATGTAACTAACCTGCACATTGTGCATATGTACCCTAAAACTTAAAGTATAATAATAAAAAAAAATGAAAGAAACATGAAAAAAAATATTGTGGTGGCAGGCGCCTGTAGTCCTAGCTACTCAGGAGGCTGAGGCAGGAGAATCGCTTGAACCTGGGAGGTGGAGGTTGCAGTGAGCTGAGATTATGCCACTGCACTCCAGCCTGGGCGACAGAGTGAGACTCCGTCTCAAAAATACACACACATGCACACACACACACACACACACACACACACACACACATATATATATATATTTAGAACCCTGACCATTCCTAAATTAGAACACAGAGAAAGATAAATAATACTTACAGTTGTGAGGAGAAACTTCATAGACCGCATAAGTTTTCAGAAGCAGACTAACTGATGGGTCAAGTGTATTCTGTTGACTGCAGAGGAAGGGCTAGACCAGATGTAGCCCTGCCATGGAGAGTCCCAAAGCTAGATTGGTAGTGAAATGGGAGAGTTCCCTGATCCCCCTCATAGTACTTGCAACACGGGTGTGGCTCGCCTGTTCCATTGCCACCACTGTTCACTGCTTAAACCCCTGACAAGACGGGGAGCATGCAGATGGGCATGTGTAGGAGCCGGGGTGAGTGCTTTGGGCTCCAGTCCCGTGGGTGGGTGCCTCCAGCTATTTTTGCCTTGCCATCTGCAGATGGCTTAAGTGTTACCAGCTCAATGGTCCCTCTGCCTTTACAGAAGGGCAGAGGGCCAATGTGACAGCTTTCTGTATCCCAAGCTTTTGCCCAGCATCCCAGGAGAATTGAGCCTTCCCAAGCCATGAATGTGGGGTTTTATTGAGTGGTGGAGGTGGCTCTCAGCAGGATGGATGGGGAGCTAGAAGGGGGATGGAGTGGAAAAATGACCTGACCTGGGAGTTTGGCCATCCAGCAGCTGAGCTCCTCTTCCACCATCCCCAGCCAAACTCCTCTCAGTGTTCAGAAATTCCTTCTCTTTGTTTTCTCTGCTGTGCTGTTCCACTGTTTGTGTTTTTATCTCCTTGTCTCTTTGTCTGCTTGTCTGCTTCTGGAGCCTGGGGTTCGGAGTTTTTGTGGGTACAGGATAGAGGGGCATGGGGGGCCAAAAGGCAGCTTTTTGGGTACAAAGACAGAAATGACTGTTCCCACTTAGGGCTGTGGGTCTCCAGGCTTAAGGGTGAAGCCTTTGCTGGGGAACTGCCCTCTTTTACTCAGTATTTCCC
Organism: Homo sapiens; assembly: GCF_000001405.40. Taxonomy (NCBI): domain Eukaryota; kingdom Metazoa; phylum Chordata; class Mammalia; order Primates; family Hominidae; genus Homo; species Homo sapiens. The sequence continues at coordinate 192,479,997 of NC_000001.11, read as the reverse complement.
TATCTCCTGTCCATATCAGTAGCAAGTGCATCAAACGTGTTTTGAGGTGAAACATTACACACCAAGGAAGAGAAGAGATATGGAAGACTAGAAAAGGCACAGTCTAAGGATATAGAAGGATGATTTTAATCTATATAATATTGAAAAATTACTAAATAATTTAATTTCAGAATGAAGATGCTGGGACTTCAGGTGGAATAATTATAATTTATTATTTTCAACTCAGTTTTTATACTTATGTGTACCAATTATATAACTGATCTGTCCTGCTTCACCAACAACTTCTACAAAACAAGGTTATATTTATCAAGATATGCTGTATAAACACATTAATATCAGACAAAATAGACTATAAGGCAATACATATCACTAGAGATTAAGTAGACTACTTCATAATTACAAGAAGTTTAGTTTAGCAAGTGGCAATATAAATTCTAATTTGGAATGGACAAACTATATGACATATATATGTATAAAAATGAGCAGAACTAGATTGAGAAATAATTAAATACACAGTGATATGGGAAGATTTCAAAGCAGCTTCCCCTAATGGTAATACAAACTTTGAAACTGCAAAATTCATATCCCTCTATCACACATAAACCATCTATAAATTTCAGTGCATTTAAAATAACAGTGTGTTCTCTGACCACAGTAAAAATAAAGTAAACCAGACCACAAAAAAGAAAACCAAACTGGAAACAGCCTGTATACTTGAAAATTAAAAAATGTGTTTATATAAAAACTATGAGAGAAGAAATCACAATGAAAATTAGGAATATCATGAAATACATAATAAAAGTACAACATGTAGAATTTGTGGGACTGTATTAAAGATGAGTTCAAAGAGAAATTTAAATTGAAAATCCTATATGTCTATATTTTACAGGAAAGTCTAAAAATCAATCAACTAAACCTCCATTTCATGGTGTTGAATGTAGGAAAAAAAAGAGCAAATTCAATCCAAAGGCTATAATAGAAACAAAAACAACATGGCAGAAAAAAAGGAGTAGAACAAACACATAAACAAAGGCATCATCAAAGTTGCTAAATTTAAAATATTAATAAAATTGATAAAACCTTTAACAAATATTATGTATAATTATAAATAAGTTCTCCATCTGTTTCAATAAAAAGGCTAGGAGACTACTGTCATTAATTTAATTCTTCATATACTGGAGGATATGTAGCAATGCAGTAGGAAGAAGAAATAAAAATAAAAATATAGCAAAGTAAGAAAATTGATATTATTTGCAGAACAGAGGATCATATATATGGAAAATTCAAGAGATTCTACACATAGTTAATATCAATTAATAAAAGAATTTAGCAAGTTAGATAACTTCAGCCATGTACAGAAATTGTATTTATATGTAACAGTAACAGAGTTAGAAATTAAAATTAGGATATTATTTAAAATAGTATAAAAATATTTACACACCTAACTCTAAATATGTTCAAGAACTCTGCATAGAAAAGTGTAAAATATCATTTAAAAGAATTAAAATAAGACTCAAATAAACAAAGAAACAGAAGGACGTACTACATTCATAGGTTGTAAGACCCAATATTGTAAAGAGGGCAGTTCTATGAAAATCATTTATTACCATTCAATCAAGATTCCAACATGTTCTTACTGTTTTGGGAATATTGCTCGTTAGGTTGTGTCCATATATGTGCATGTGTGTGTGTGTAAATAAAAAGTCTTCATTTCAAAGTCTGGAATCAATTATTTTACAAGTTTCAAACATTTTTCTAGCATCTTGAAAGTTTGTCGGCCCAAAGCACTGTGCCTACAACAACTAATAGGTAAAATGACCCATTTGGAGTTTGGGTCTTTGTATTCCCAGATTCATGATCCTCTTACTATGCTACCTTCTCTCTCTGTTCTAATGAATATATATCATTTAATTATCTTGTTAATTTTAAAAATTAATGTATGTGTTGTTGAATGATTTTACTTTAAAATTTACATAAGTATGAGGTAGAAAATTGTGCTTACTAATTTTATATAACAATGAAGTTAAAATAAACTTATAAACTTTTAACTGATATTTGTGTCCTTACATAGTAAGTATCTTTGTTCTTCTATTTTCATGTTTGAAAAATAACGGTTTCTACCCATATTCAGAAAGCTCATTAAGAATTTACTGCTTTAGCTGGTACTGATTATTCACTGTATTTGTCTGCCCTCTAGTGATTGCAGAATAAAGTCTAAGGAAAAATTACCAGAGGTAAGAGTCAGTCGATTAGTTTTGCAGAAACTCTCATTATTTAAGTTTAACCTGGCTTCTTGTATAACACATTTCTAAATCATTTAGAAATCTACTACATGTCAATAACATAGACATTGGCATACAACAGTTTGATGCTGTTATAGTGTTATACTATGTGTGGATTAAGCTAAACGACTAATAAAATAATTTATATGTTGAAAAAATGAAAATGAATAAAAGGAATATATAATTATACACAAAATTTACTGGGCACCTACTCTCTGTGCTAAGCTCTTTTCATACATTATGTTATTTTATCTGTACAGCAGTTCCTTAAGAAGTCCCTGTTTTATAGATAAGAAAATTCAGGCTTAGTGCGGTTAAGCAACTTGATTAAGGTCAAATACCAGATAATAATAATAATATTAATAGCTATATTTATCAAGCATTTTTTAGTGCCACAGAAAGGTGCTCTGTTAAGCACTTTGTATGTCTATATTAGTCATTGCTCAGAATAGGAAACAAACCACTCTAGAGACTGAAAACAGAAGTGGGTTAATACTGCAAGTGAGATCCTGACAATCAGTGGGAGGGCCAGAGAAGTCGGTTTTTGAGTGGATATTGTGGGATGACTGCCAAAACAATGTGCAACTGACTCATTAGGAGTGCCCGCTCTGAGGTCATTACTGCAGTGATGTCACAAATCTCAAAACACTGAAAAGTCTGAAATACGCATGCAAACTCCGTTGCACAGAAACCTGTTCCTACCACGTTGCTAGCCAGCAGGAACAGCCAAGCGTTCGCGTCCAACTTCTCCCTCTGGTTGGCAGACACAATTCACACCCAGAGCCCTTGCTGCCAAGGAGTCTGCTAAATGTAGCGTTTATCTCCTCAGCTCCTATGTACAAAAAAGGAACATGGAAACGGGTGGGGTTGGCTGCTGGGAGCCAGTCAACCACACCCAGCATAACGCGTTATCCAATTTAGTCCTCATAGAGATTCATAGGATTGTTTCTCCATTTCATAGAGGAAGAAATAGATGCACCGGCAAGTTAAATAATCTGCTAAATAAACAGGATAGGAACCTATGTCTCTCTTATTCCAAAGTGCAGCACATCTCACTATCTCAATATGACACTATGTTATCATTAATTCATTAATTCTATGTTAGTGTTGAACATCTCTCCCTCAACCCCAACCAACACGCACACACACATTTTTTTTTTTCACATGCTTCTTATCAGGATACAACCTAGATTCCAAGAAAAGTGAATTGAAGGTGCTGCTCTCCAGTTGTCTCCTGAGTGAGCTGTCCTCCTAGGCTTGGGATAAAAATATGCAGAATCAATGTACAGCCCTCCTGCATCTCATATTCTTGCGGGAATAATAAATATATTCTCTAATACATGTGATTTGGCCTGAAAAAGGGAGCTAATGGCATTGCTGGCACTGGAATGTGACTGTAGCCAGCATACTTGGAGAAATCAAGGTGTGTGATCTCCTCAGAGCAGAGAAACATCATGTAGTGGTAAGGAAAGATGCCAAAACAGTAGATGCTATTCTTGTCTGTGCAGCTTGACTCACATAGCACCCCTCCCAACAGGCACATGCCACTGGCCCTCCATGACACCTGCTCACCAGACACTGTCCTTCCACTTCAGAAGGATACCGGATCCTCATCAGGCCGTCTGACTTCTTACCTTGGGAATGAGAACCTTGACAGAGGAAGCCTCAGAACTGAAGGTAGTCAGATAGAAAAATTTAGATGGCAGTCCTTGGGGCAGTCATATGCTTTAAGGAAATGCCACGATGCCTGCAGAGATTCCCAGAGGTGCCCTGGTTCTTGCCTTTTCTGAGATGCAATTGTTCACAACATTTTCCATCTTGAAACTGAAGCTTCGTTATCTGGGGTAAATACCAGCAGTTCATTGTCTCACACCAAGAAAATTTGGGACATAGACACACATGAGGATTTTAGGAGCGAAGGTTTAATAGACGGAAGAAAGAAAGAACAGTTCTTTTTCTAGTGAGAGAGAGAGGGGCTTCCGAGGGGAAAAGGCCAAACCGTGGCAGTTTGCTGGATTTATAGGCAGGCTTGAGGAGGAGGTGTCTGATGTACGTAGGGCCCAAAGATTGGTTTGATCAGGTGTGACATTTATGAAGTGGGCAGGGAAGGCTGGTCACCCAGCCCTAACCTTGTTATGCAAATGTCCTTTCCATTTTGACCAGCGCCATCTTGGCTGCTCCTTACTGTACATTGGCTGGCAAAAAAGAAGAGAAGATGAAGCCGCCATTTTGAACACGAATGGCACAACTGCTGGCATCTATGCCTGCAGCTCGAATTCACAGGCTGATTTTTGTTAGAAAAGAAAATGATTTGGGGCTGCTTTTCATTAAAAGCAAAACCTTACCAAAGACTCCAGTACCCTCACTATTTGCCTAAGTGATTTCTTAACTCCTATATCAGAACCACTCTTGATTCTTCCTAGAAAACGTCTCTTCTTGTTTAAGTTAGAGCCAGTTTTTAGTACCTGTTAGCAAAGGTGGGAGACCATGCTGGTAAAGGAGGTAAAGAGATGAAGTGGTTACTTTTTTTTCCTGATGGTTCGCAGATGTGCTTTTCTGAGGAGTCCAATGAAAGACAGGCTATTTTATCATTATGCTTTTGAAGAGCTCACCCTCGCAGTTGGAATAACATGAAAATTGTCCAGGTATCACAATCTACTTTTTAATATTTTCTAGCTGCCTATGACAAAATTTAGGCCAGTTTCCTTCTCTGTGCCACCACAGCTGAGCATATTACTCTAGAAAGCGAATGTGAGCAACGCAGAGCTGCTTAAAATGAGGTGGTGAAGGTGGAAATGGGGATATAATTCTTTCCTTTACAGGGAGCTGGAACAACAAAAAGCAACCAGGAATCTAGGAAGAATAAGAACCCAGGAATGGAGTAAATACTTTTTTACTTTGTGCTCAGATTCTGTGGGTAAGCAGAAGGAGTTGTATGGATTTTTTATTATTATTATTATTATTATTATTTACATGGCTGGTTGGAAACATTGGCCCTGTCCCTTGTTCTCATCCAAGTTATGTATCAGAAGCACCTGGGAAGCTTTTTTAAAAAAACTCTTACACTGATGTTACGTCTTTGATGGTTGTGATTTAGTGCATCTGAGTGGATCAGAGTGGCGCTCAAAAAGGCATATTTTGATAATTCTTCCACATGATTCTAGTATTCACCCTAGTTGTTGATCATTAGCCTAAAATGGATACTGCTGTGTTCTCTTCATGAGCGAGCAGACAGAAGACAGAGTTGTGATAAGAAAGTTGAAAAAGATAATGCCATAAGTGAGTAATGTTGATATCTTGAATTAGTAGTAGCTGATTTGAATTTTAGGAATTTGAGATTTAAGTGTCAGAATCAGGGATATAATATTAGGGAAAGTGATTTTTGCCTCTCTGAAAGGAAGCTGGCTTTTTTTTTCCGGAGCGTTTATAAAGGAGCTAAAGTGCCCTCAAGTGGCCAATCTCTCAATTACATCTTAGTGAAAAAATTTTCTGTGAAAAAGATGAGCAGAGAAGAAAAATAACCTTGGAACCCAGGATTTTTAATTTCAGATATTGGTAGTTGTGGCCTGAGAAGGAAATATGGATACAGTGAGGTGTGACTGTTGTCTGAAATAACCTGCAAAAATTGGTGGTGAATTTTTTTCCATACCCATACTTCCCGTGTGCTAGGGATATATATCACCTTAGAAGATCCACATTTTACTTTTAACTAGGTTTCTTATTGTAATCTAGACTATATTGTTACATAGACTCACCTCCTTAGATTTACTTGCCATCAAAATGCACAAGGATTAGATCTTCTGGGTTGATATTGAAAAATAAGGGTCTTTATTTGTTTATAATGAAGATTATTCATTAATTTATCCAACAAGTACTAATTCAGCAGGTTTTTTTGTGCTAGTACAGCTCTGGGCATTTGGGTAACACTGGTCAACTAGACCACAAGTACCTGTGACCTCAGTGATATGTATGGGGTGTATGTGGAGCATGTTTAGAGAGAAAACAATGCCCAATTACTGCCCAGCCTAACTCATCATCACTCCTCAATAATAAGCAAAATCAATATATATCGTTTTAAATGTTTTGAAGGAAATAAAACTTGGAGAATATAGAATCTGATGTGTGTGCTGGCAACTTTAGGTAGGACTGACACAGACTGAGGTGGCTTGAGTTGACATATGAAAGAAGAAAGGTAGACTGTAGGAAAAATAGGGGAAAGAGCAATTCAGGTAGAGGAAAAAATCAGGGACAAAGATTCTGAGGAGAAAAAGAACTGATCATGTTTACAAGAAGAGAAAAGAAACCAGAAATGCCAAGCACAGAGAAATGGGGCAAATGGATCAAGCTGAGGTAGACGAGAAGAGGAAAGAAACCAGAAATGCCAAGCACAGAGAAATGGGGCAAATGGATCAAGCTGAGGTAGACACAAAGAAGAACCTGCCCATTGTGTTTTATTCCAAGTTCTTTAGGAAGCCATTGAAGGCTTTTAAGCAATGAGGTATGAAATGAGTCAATCAATCAGATAACATTTTTTTAAAAGTCACTCATATACTGAGGGCAGTGTTGATTGGGGTGAAACAAGAAAATAAACAAAGAGATCAGTTAGAAGGATATTGCACTAGTCCAGGCAAGACTAGATGCCAGCTTGAACTAGAATGGTAGAAATGGGGATGTCAAGAAATGGATATTTATCCAATATAAATATTTGAAGAAATGGATATTTGAGAATTGGTTATGTATCCAAGATAATATTTGAGGGAAAAATTGACAGGTCTTGTTCATGAATTAAATCTAAGGGATAAGGGAAAGAGGGAATGATGATGACTGCAGTATTTAGGTAGAGCGTGGTGCTGTTTATTGCTATAGGTAAAACAGAAACAGATGAGGTGGGAAAGTGAGAGTTCCCTTTTGGACTTGTTACTTTTAAGATGCATGCAGTGTATACACTAAAATGTCAACAGACAGCTAGCTCTAAGAATTTAGAGCTCAGAACCGATGAAGAACTAGAGCTATACATTTGGCAATCAAAATCTATTCATATCATGTTATTTAACGCTATGGAAGCTAATGAGATTATCTAGAAAGAGCTTAGAAAAACAAAAATAACGTGAATTGAGCCTGGGGAATTCTAACTTTTTGAAGTCTGGTGAATACAGTGAAGTCATCGAAGTAGATTGAAGTGAGATACGGTAAAACAACAACAACAACAACAACAACAAAAACGAAAAACAGAAGGTGTGATCTCTCAGAAGTAAAGGATAAAATTTCAAGGAATGAGTGGCCACTTATGTGGATGCTACTGAATACGAAGTAAGAGAAGAATTGAAAAAGGCTCTCTGAATTTGCCAACATGGAATTTTTTGAGATTTTGACAAGAACAATCTTAGAGGAGCGGTGTGGAGGAAAGGCAGACTGGAAGGTGTTTGAAAACACATTGGAACATCATCAAGAAGATAGATCAAGTACAGACTTCCAAGAATTTTGCCCTAATGGGCAGCAAAGAAATAGGTGATAACTTGACATTTTTCAAGTAATCTTTTCCCAAAAGGGAGTTAAAAAAGATTGTTTTCATAGTCAGTGGACCAGCATCTCAATAAAGAAAAATATCAACAAAAAATTGATGATGCAGGAATGAGGTCATTGAGAAAGTTAAACTAGGTGATAAGCAGAGTCAAGTGGGATAGCAAGCCTTTAAACAGAAACAGGACACCTTTTACACACTACGAGCAGAAGAGACAGAGATTTGGGGTATATATGAAGATCATATTCATCTTTAGCTGATGCCACTTGACTATCTTTAAAAATCTTGTATTTTGAATTATAAGAGATCACATTCTTTGCTAACATGTCTTTGTGCTATCCAAAATTTGGGAAACACTGGGCTAAACAATTTTTTTTTAAACTTAAAAGGGTCTTCAGACCCTTTAATTTGTGCATGTGTATTGTGAATTTCCAAAAGAGAGTTTATAACATAGAGCATTTCCCAAACTGATTTGATCATATAAACATTTTTTCTTGAACTATCCATTATTCTTGTGGGAAGAAGTTTTCCAAGAAACATACTTTAAGAGATTCTAAATAAACAAAATGACTAGTGTTTATTTTCTTAAATTTAATTTTTTAGAGAGGACTTTCTCTTTATATGCTTTGTCGTAAATCTCATTTTTCTAGCACTCATACAAAATAAAGAGATTGGAGATAATATGGTAAGCCTGTAGACATATGTTATTTATAGTAATTTCTTAATCTTCCCTTAATAAACCTAACACTAATAGCAAAAGGACTACTTTTTATCTGATATCAAAAAATAAATAAAAATTTCTTTATTTACAAATAGAACTAAACATGTATCACAATTGCATATCACTTATGCTTTGAATATAGTAAGATCTGGGAAATTCTCCTGCCTAATATACTATAGCATCTTAGAAAGAGAAGTCATTTTATACGTACTTAGTAAATAAGTAAATAAGTGTATGATTTCCCATTTACCTTGTCCATTTATTATTAAATAAAAGAGACCCAGTTCACATGTGCAATTTACAAATTTGAAGTATCTATCTGCTCTATTGCTATATTAAAATGGTAGCAATTTTTTTTTTTTTTTTTTTTTTTTTTGAGACGGAGTCTCTCTCTGTCACCCAGGCTGGAGTGCAGTGGCGTGATCTTGGCTCACTGCAAGCTCCGCCTCCCAGGTTCACGCCATTTTCTTGCCTCAGCCTCCCGAGTAGCTGGGACTACAGGTGCCCACCACCATGCCTGGCTATTTTTTTGTATTTATTTTTAGTAGAGGCAGGGTTTCATCATGTTAGCCAGAATGGTCTCGATCTCCTGACCTCGTGATCCACCCGCCTTGGCCTCCTAAAGTGCTGGGATTACAGGCATGAGCCATAGCAATTTTTTTATGGTCAGAATATATTCCAGAATGGGTGAGAAGGAGAAAATAGCATTTTCCCTTCTCTAGATCAATCAAGAACCTTACTTCTTTTAAATGAAGAATTTAAGGAAGGCAGAACAAGATGGCCAAATAGAACTCTCCAGAAATTCCCCCCGCCATACCCCTTGTAAAGGGACACCAAATTGCACAACTATCTATGCAAGAAAGCAACTTTATAAGGACAAAAATCAGATGAGTGATTATAGTGCTTGGTTTTAACATTGTATCGAAATAACAGACATTGAAGAGAGTGGGAAAGACAGTCTTGCATTGCCAACACCACCTGTCCTCAACCCCAGCAGTGCCATGGAGAGAGTATATTGAGTGCTTGGGGGAGGGAAAGTGAAGTGATTGTGGGAATTTGCACTGGAACTTCGTTCTACCCTTTCACAGTGGAATACATATTACACATGGCAAAATTCTGCCAGTGCCCATGGAGGGAACATTTAAAACAGCCTCAGTCAGAAGGGAAACTCCTGCCCCAGGAGTAGGGGCCTGAGCTCCAGCTAGTTCCACTACTGGCTGACTAAAGTGGCATGGGGTCTTGAATACATTTGAAAGGCAGTCAGACTACAAGGGCTGCAGTCCTTGGGCAAGTACTGGTGCTGTGCTGAGCTCAGAGCCAGTGACTTGAGGTGCACACTTCCCAGTAAAACAACAGCTAGGGTGACGAGGAGAGTTTTTGTATCACCTCACCCCCAATGCTAGGCAGCACAACATGGAAAAAGAGCTTCCTTCAGTTTGGCAGAAAGTAAGGGAGGAGAACAAGATACTCTGCCTGGTAATACAGAAAATAATCTTGTATCTTACCTGAGCCCATTAAGGTGGTACAAGTCTGCAAGATTTGCAGCATTATCAGGTTTGGGGTGCACCCAGTACAATATGGGTGCAGTGACCAAAGACTTAGATCACAATACTCAATTTCCTTTGAATACCTGGAGAACCTTCTCAAGAAGGATGGGTACAAACAAGCCCAGACATTGATGAACTTCCAGAAGCATCAAGACCATCCAGAAAACATGAGCTCAATACACGAACTAAATTAGGAACCAGTGACCAATCCCAGAGTGACAGAGATATGTGATCTTTCAGACAGAGAATTCAAAGTAGCTATTTTGAGGGAGCTCAGTGAACTCAATATAACACAGGAAAGGAATTCAGAGTTCTATCAGAGAAATTTAACAAAGAGATTGAAATATTTCTTGAAAATCAAGGAAAAATTCTAGAACTGAAAAATTCAATTGAGAAACCAAAAAATGCATCATAGTTTATCAACAGCAGAATTAAGCAGAAGAAAGAATTAGTGAGTTTTAAGACAGGCTGTATGAAGATACACAGAGAAGAAGAAAGGAAAAAGAAAAAAGGAAATGACGTGAAGCATATCGATTAGATCTGGAAAATATCCTCAAAAAACAAATCTAAGGGTTATAGATTTTAAAGGCAAGGTAGAGAAAGAGATTGGGGCAGAAAGTTTATTCGAAGAAACAATAACACAGAAGTTTCCAAACCTAAAGAAAGATATCAATATTCAGAGATACAAGAAGGGCATAGAACACCAAGGAGATTTAACCCAAATAAAACTATGATAAGGTATTTAATGATGTAACTCCCAAAGATCAAGGATAAATAAAGGATCTAAAAGCAGCAAGAGAAAGGAAACAACATATAAAGGAGCTCCAATATGTGTGGCCACAGACTGCTCAGTGGAAACCTGTAAGCCAGGAGAGATTGGCATGATATATTCAAAGTGAAGGAGGAAAATAACCTTTATCTTTTATCAAAGAATATTATATCCAGTGAAAATAGCCTTCAAACATGAAGAAGAAATAAAGACTTTCATAGACAAACAAAAGCTGAGGGATTTTGTCAATACCAGACCTGTCCTATAAGAAATTATAAAGAGGGTTCTTCAGTCTGAAAGAGAAGGACATTAATGAAAAATAAGAAATCATCTAAAGGTACAAAAACTCACTGGTAACAGTAAGTATACAGACAAATACAAATATTCTAACACTGTAATTGTGGTGTGTAAACTAAGAAGACTAAAAGACAAACTTATCAAAAATAATATCTACAACAACTTTTTAAGCGATAGTATAAAAAGATGTAAATAGAAACAAAAAAAGGTAAAAAGTGGGAGGGGAGATAGAGTTAAACTGTAGAGTTTCTATTAGTTTTCTCTTTGCTTCCCTGTTTGTTATCATTTTGTAATCAGAGTTATGTTGTCATCAGTTTAAAATAAGATGGTTCAATATATGCAAATCAATCATTGTGATACATCATACCAACAGAATGAAGAACAAAAAGCATATCATCATTTCATTAGATGTTGAAAAAGCATTCAATAAAACTCAACATTCCTTCATGATAAAAACTCTCAAAGAACTGGGTATAGAAAGAACATACCTCAAAACAATAAAAGTCATATAGACAGACCCACAGTTAGCATCATACTGAACAGGAAAGCCCAAAAGCCTTTTCTCTAAGATGTGGAACAAGACAAGAATGCTCACTTTCACCACTGTTATTTAACATAGTACTGGAAGTTCTAGCTAGAGCAATTAGACAAAAGCAAGAAATATAAGACATCCAAGTTGGAAAGTCAAATTATTCTTGTTGCAAACAATATAATCTTATGTTTAGAAAAACCCAAAGACTCCATCAAAAAATTATAAGCACGGATAAATTCAAATATAGCAGTGATAAACAAATAATCAAATGCTACTGATTATTGCATGTTAATTTTGTTGATCAACATACAATAATCAGTAGCATTATAATATGCCAACAGTGAACACTCTGAAAAAGAAACTAAGGAAGTAATCCCACTGACATAATATCTACAAATAAAATTAAATACCTAGGAATAAACTTAACCAGAGAAATGAAAGATACCTTCAATGGAAACTATATAACATTGATGAAAGAAATTGAAGAGAATGTGAAAAATGAAAAGATATTCCATGTTCATGGATTGGAATAATCAACATTGTTAAAATGTTCATAGTACCCAAAGCAATCTACAGATTCAGTGCAATCCCTATCAAAATACCAATGACATTCATCATAGAAATAGAAAAAAATCATAAAATTTATATGGAAACACAAAAGATCCAAAATAGCTACAGTCATCCTGAGCAAAAAGCACATTACCTCCTGTTGTAATCAAATTATACTGCAGCATTATAATAACCGAAGCAGCATAATTTATAAAAACAGACACGAAGTCTAGTGGAAAAGAGTAGAGAATCCACAAATAAATCCAGACATCTACAGAGAACTCTTTTTTTGATAAAGGTGCTAAGAACACACATCGGTGAAAGGATAGTCTCTTCAATAAGTGATGCTGGGAAAACTGGATATCCATATGCAGAGAAAAAAAACTAGATCTCTATCTCTTGCTGTATATAAAAATCAAATCAAAATAGATTAAATATTTAAATCTAAGACCTTAAACTAAAGGAAAACATTGGGGAAACTCTCAAAGACATTGATCTGGGTAAAGATTTCTTGAGTAATGCCTTAAAAGCACAGGAAACTAAAGCAAAAATGGACAATAGGATCATAACAATCTGAAAAGCCTCTGCACAGCAAAGGAAAGAACAAAGTGAAGACACAAACCACAGAATGGTAGAAAATATTTGCAAACTACCCATCAGACAAGAGATTAAAACCAAAATGTACAAGGAGTTCAAACAACTCAATAGAAAAAGAACAACTAATCAAATTTTCAAATGGGCAAAAGATCTGAATAGACATTTCTCAAAAGAAGACATACAAATGAGCAGCAGTATATAAAAAATGCTCAACATCATTAATCATCAGAGAAATACAAATTAAAACTACAATGAGATTTCATCTCACCCAGTTAAAATAGCTATTATCCAAAAGACAGGCAATAATAAATGCTGGCAAGGATGTGAAGAAAGGGGAACCCTTGTAAACTGTTAGTGGGAATGTAAATTAGTGCAGTCACATACGAAACAGTATAAAACTATTTATAAGAACTAAAGCTTATGAAACTCCTTAAAGAACTAAAAATAAAGCTACCATATGTTCCAGCAGTCACACTGCTAGGTATATATCCAAAGAAAGGAAATCAGTATATCAAAGAGTTATCTGTACTCCCACGTTTATTGCAGTATTATTCACAATAGCCAAGATTTAGAATCCACTTAAGTGTCCATCAATAGGTGAATGGATAAAGAAAATTTAGTATGCATATGTACATTGGAATATTATTCAGCAATTAAAAAGAATGAAAACATGTCATTTGCAACAACATGGATTGAACTGGAGGACATCATGTTAAATGAAGCCAGGCACAGAAAGACAAATTTCACACGTCTTCATTCATTTGTGGGAGCTAAAAATTAAAACAACTGAACTCACTGGGATAAAGAATTGAATGATAATTACCAGAAACTGGGAAGGGTAGTGGAGACAAGGGGTCGGGGGAAAGTGGGAATGATCGATGGGTACAAAAATATAGTTAGGTAGAATGAATAAGATCTAGTATTTGACAGCATAACAACATTACTATAGTTGACAACTGTTTATTGTGTATTTCAAAATAACTAAAAGAGTAAAATTGGAAAGTCCCTAACACAAAGAAATGATAAATGCTTGAGGTGATGGATACCTTAACTACCCTTATGTGATTATTATACATTGCATGCCTGTATCAAAACAGCACATGTATCTCTTAAACATATACATCTATTATGTACGCGTAATAGTTAAAAGTTAAAAATAAAAAAAACTAAGAATTGAATTAATTAAATAGTAGATGTGCAACTTGAGGTCTTGTTTTTAGATCCAAGGTAGAACCTCACAAATTGATCTGCACTTAGTAAAGAACCCAACAAATATTTGTTGAATTAATTAAACTTTTAAAAGGATCTGCATTACATTGGCAAGGACTTCATGACTAAAACACCAAAAGCAATGGCAACAAAAGCCAAAATAGACAAACGGGATCTAATTAAATTAGAGAGCTTCTACATGGCAAAAAAACTACCATCAGAGTGAACAGGCAACCTACAGAATGGGAGAAAATTTTTGCAATCTACCCATCTGACAAAGGGCTAATATCCAGAATCTACGAAGAACTCAAACAAATGTAAAAGAAAAAAACGAACAACCCCATCAAAAAATGGCAAAGAATATGAACAGACACTTCTCAAAAGAAGACATTTATGCAGCCAACAAACACATGAAAAAAAAATGCTCATCATCACTAGTCATCAGAGAAATGCAAATCAGAACCACAATGAGATACCATCTCATGCCAGTTAGAATGACAATCATTAAAATGTGAGGAAACAACAGATGCTGGAGGGGATGTGGAGAAATAGGAATGCTTTGACATTGTTAGTGGGAGTGTAAATTAGTTCAACCATTGTGGAAGACAGCGTGGTGATTCTTCAAGGCTCTAAAACTCGAAACACCATTTGACTCAGCAATCCCACTACGGGGTATATACCTAAAGGATTATGAATCATGCTGCTATAAAGACACATGCACACGTATGTTTATTGTGGCACTATTCACAATAGCAAAGACTTGGAACCAACCCAAATGTCCATCAATGATAGACTGGATTAAGAAAATGTGGTACATATACACCATGTAATACTATGCAGCCATTAAAAAGGATGAGTTCATGTCCTTTGCAGGGACATGGATGAAGCTGGAAACCATCATTCTCAGCAAACTATCACAAGGATAGAAAGCCAAACACCGCATGTTCTCACTCATAGGTGGGAATTGAACAATGAGATCATTTGGACACACAGGGGGGAACATCACACAATGGGGCCTGTTGTGGGGTGGGGGGCTGGGGGAGGGATAGCAATAGGAGAAATACCTAATGTAAATGATGAGTTATTGGGTGCAGCAAGCCAACACGGCACATGTATACCTATGTAACAAACCTGCACGTTGTGTACATATACTCTAAAACTTAAAGTATAATAAAAAAAAGAAAAAGAAAAAAATGCAAAACCACGTCTGTGAACTTACATATCACCATCATGGGAACAACTTTTCATTAAAACTTTAAGGATACTGAACAAAAAAAGGACCTGCCTTAATTAAACTTAGCACAGAAAATTACTTATATTTCTTTGATTTCAGAAAATCCAGGAAGACTCAATCACCCCAAGTAATATTCTCGAGAAGATCAGTAATATTTGAAATGCTACTTCAGAAAATCACTTATTTATTCATCAAATCTAGATGCACTATTTATTAGGTACAAGTCACTCTGCTTGGTGCTGGGAATACAAAAAATAGTGGTTTACAGTCTGGTGCAGGGAGTCAGGTGTGCAAATAGCAATCACTTATTTTGTTGTATTTATTTTTTGACCAATGATCATCTGCCTTTTGTTTAGTGAATTCCTCTCCTCATCCTTCTTCTATTTCTTTCTTTATTTCCTAAGTATTGCTCATTTTGGACAACCGGTTAGTTTTGAAGAAGAGTTGGGAGAGGTATCAGAGAGGAAGGTGGGCTTGCGGTTTAAAAATTCAGACAGATTTCTCCAAGTGTTTTGTTATACTCTTCCATATTTTAGGGTAGCAGGAAGGTCCCCTGGGGGGCTCTGCGAAGTCCACTGTGTCACCCACATACGTGTTTTTCCAAATGTACACGCACAGGAGTGCTGAGATCTTTTCTTCTTTTCTAGCTGGTACAGGACTGCTTGCTATTTATATTTTATTTTCTATGCCGCCACTCTCACAGCAAAGGCAGTTTTCTATATATTTCCTCTTTCAGTTCCACCTTCCCGGCCACTTCTTTGTAATACAAAGGCATCAGGGAGGCTCCCAATGCCTGTCCACCCACTGGAATCTTGCTATTCTAGCAGGAGACCACTGTTTGCCCCTTAAGGTGTGATGCAACTAGAGCAAGCCCTGCCCTGAGCACTGTACCAGCGCTCTGCTCAGATCTCCTACAAGCAGTCAATGCCCTGGTCCAATTTTCATTGTACTTCAGAGC
Source organism: Homo sapiens (assembly GCF_000001405.40). NCBI lineage: Eukaryota > Metazoa > Chordata > Mammalia > Primates > Hominidae > Homo > Homo sapiens. The sequence goes on along the minus strand of NC_000001.11, from coordinate 192,463,781 downwards.
TCATCTTTGTATATTTCCATTCAGGGTTATGAGCTTTTGTTAATTTTACTGAAGGTGTAGTGGTCTTTTCTGTTCTTCCCCTTTCTGTTCTTCCCCTTGTTACTTTTGGATAGTTTCTAAGAAGAGAAAAGAAGAGTCAGAGACATTGGCTCAGCCTTCTTTTCCCAGAATTTTCTCAAAAGACTTAAAATGTAGTCTTAGTGAGAGGGAGGGAAAGACGGAATGCTGAAAATTGTTGGTGATAGGAAATTAAAGTTTAAGATTTAAGAGGTGAAGGAATTTGAGATGGTGACACGTTCTAATTTCATCTCCATTCTTTTTTTTTTTTTTTTTTTTTTTTTTTTTTGAGACGGAGTCTCGCTCTGTCGCCCAGGCTGGAGTGCAGTGGCGCGATCTCAGCTCACTGCAAGCTCCGCCTCCCGGGTTCACGCCACTCTCCTGCCTCAGCCTCTCGAGTAGCTGGGACTACAGGCGCCCGCCACCACGCCCGGCTAATTTCTTTTTGTATTTTTAGTAGAGATGGGGTTTCACCATGTTAGCCAGGATGGTCTCGATCTCCTGACCTGGTGGTCCACCTGCCTCAGCCTCCCAAAGTGCTGAGATTTCAGGCGTGAGCCACCGCGCCCGGCCTTCATCTCCGTTCTATCAGAGGTAGAATGGAGATGAAAAATAAAGGAGATGAAGAAGTGAGGAAGCTGAAGAGCAGGGATTTTTACTCCATCATTCAGGTAAAAATGGAAGGATAATTGCAGTAATTGGGATTGGAGGAAAGATTGCGGATTATATAACAAAGTTTTCAGATAATGTGCATTAACTGAAAGCTAAGTGGTGAAAGAATACAAATACAAGCATTATAATGCTGTGTTTAAGAGAGAAGCTGCAGCCCATGGCAGCTTAAGAGATAAATCATTGTATAACAGATGTAGTGAGAAAGTGCAGGCTTAGGGTGGCAATGTCTGCCTGCATCAGCAAGAGCTGGCTGGAATTTGAGAGGATAACAGATTACTGAAGATGCATCTCTGTGTTAGAAGAGATGGTTCCTGCTTTTGCTTGAGTCACAAGAGCGTCAGCAGAATCTGGGCTCACGCTTTTCTAGGTATTTTTTATGATACCCAGAAATTCTGCTAAAACCTGTGGGGGAATTTCTGATTTCATTAAATTTTCACTGTTGTATTTTTGCTGCTTCTTAATTAAGTAATAATAGAGTATGAAGAAAAATGCTATTAAAAAAAAGATTGTGGCTGTTTCCTCCTAATGGAATTGCTTAGTTTATCTCTGGGGTAGATGGTTCTTTTGTTAATAAAAGCACGGGGTAGGATTTGATATCATTTTTGCTTGAGAAATGTAAGGCTAAGGATGTAGTTTGGATGGAGTAGCTGGCAAGAAGACAGACAATATAAAGTTAGAGGTATTTGGAGTTACCATGAGTAAATGAGAAGATAGCATTAAAAAGAAAAGTCAAAATAGAGAGGAGGAGCTCCTTAAGAGCATGTCAGAAGGAAAAGACTTACGGACACATCTAGACAATGATGAACATGTCTGTGGCAGAGAAGTGATAACAAATATCTAGAAACAGCGATGACCTCTATTGAATTTGCAGTATTTCCTTCCTATTCAATACTTCCCCATCTGTTGCCATCAAGTTTCCACTGAACATTTTTTTTAAATTTAAAATAGGCTTGTGTTTCTTATAATTTGTGGAATTAAAAAAAAGATGTCGTTTTGGTTATGACCAGATGCAGCTCTGTATGGCAGAAAGCTTGAAAGAACGTGGCTTAAATATGATGGGAAGCTTATTTGTTTCTCACATAAAGAATTCCAGGGAAAAGCAGTCCATAGCAGGTATGGTGACTCCATGGTCAGTCATCAGGAACCCATGCTCCTTCTAGATCTCCACTCTGCCACCCTGAGGGCGAAGCTGTCATCCTTGTGGCTCCCCATGTAGTCACTCCCACAGAACTTCTCATCTGTATTTCAGGGGATAGTACAGAGAAATGGATGAAGAACATATTTTTTCTTTCCTAATGAGGCTTTCTGGAAGTTCCACAGAACACTTTCATTTATGCAGAACTTTACACACATCTTACTGGCCAGTACGTAGAGATAAAGAAAATTGGAAAACATAGACTTTCAGCTGACTGCAATTTGTGAAGGTCAAAATTAGGACTCTATTATTTTGAAAGATAAGTTAAGAATGTGAATTTGAAAGGTGACAATGTGCCTCTGTCACAGAAAGATGAAATCCAGTATGAAGGGACATGGTGGGCCAAATGGGAACTGTGGTTGGGTGAGCTGGACAGCAGCAGGAAACCAAGCTGTGAAGTGAACTGACAGAAAATCAGCCCCACTCCAGCCCTAACCCCTCAACCCCACCCTTGAGAATGTGCAGGAATTTATTGGAGGACAGTGGTACAATTGCTATAGGATGCACAGCAAGGGCTCAAGCCATTCTTCTTGAATATTCTATTTGATCTCAATAAGACTTACCTGTACCCAGGAGGCAGACATATGAATCATGGGCTAGGAAGTCCTCTTGTCCACTTCTTAGACTGTAACAGCTTAGATTTTACTTCACTCTCAGAACTCCTCTTTATACCCACCCATCCCACCTCGGATTTATACTTCTATATTCTGTCATCTGAAACATCTGTTTTGGTAAAAATATCTGATTAGGTACCTTTTAAAGTATTTCTAACAAACATCGTCTCTTTTTTATTAAACAAATATGTGTTATGTGAATTGAGAATTATTGCCAACACCTCGGCCAGTTATATAAGTGTTGATCTGTGAATCAAATTTCTGATTTTTATTGTTGATACCCTATTTTCAGGCTTTGCTTGGGCTATTCTGGATAAATATGAAGGGAGCATCAGGGTTTGTGTTAAGGTCTCTATATGGTTAAGGTTCCCAAAGGAAGGAGAAAAATACGTGCAAAAATTATCATCTCAGGCTCCTAAGCTGTGCTTCCAGAAAACAAAAGAAAAAAACTCTCTCTGAGGAGGAAAAAAGTCAAAAAACCTGTTTTTCAGTTTGGGCCATGACAATAAAAATTGGTGTACGTGGTGGGTTGCCAGTACAATATCGGTGCAAAAGTCCCTTAGGCCTACTTCCGCAAGACTTGTTTTGCAGTTTTGACAAAATGGCGGAAAAAGAGAGGGGTCCATAGATTTTTAATTTTATTACAATGAGATGTGTTTCAACTCTTTTGCAATAAAACGTGAGGGCCAGATTTTTTTTGACTGGCATAAATTGTAAATTAGTGGTACTATAACATTTAAAATTAAATAAATTTATTTATGGATATAATAGAAATCATGGTTAAAGGTAAATTTTGCTCAACAAAATCAGAAATTATCAAAACTTTTGGTTTTAGGAACCCCTTTATGCTCTGAAACTCTACTAAAGACATCAAAACAATTTATGTATTTATATTTACAATAATAGAAATTAATGTTTAAAAAATTTATATTAATTTATTTAAAAACCAATAATAATCCCATTACACACTAGCTTAAATAATATATTTTAATGAAGTGACTATATTTTTCAAATAAAAGTTTAGTGAGAAGAAAAGCAGTGTTTTACATTTTTGCAAATCTCCTTAATATTGGGTCTAATAGAGGACTGCTGGATTATTGTAACTGCTTCTACATCCAATCTTTTTTGATATGTTGCTCTGTTTGAAGTAAATGAAGAAACTCCAGTCTTGCATACATGTATGTAGTTTAAAATGGAGGAATATTTTAATAGCTTTTAAAGATAGCTGTGAATAGTCTTCTTTGGAACTACATCCAAACCTGGCTATAGTAGTTTCTTCAAGGTTAATTGTAATGTAGAATCTAAAACTATCTCAATAAACTTCTCATGACATTAAAATCCACTGGTCTATTGTGTGATGTGAATGTTGATTCTGTAATATGATGCATTGAACACTTAGAGAATATTGTTATGCTGAGTTATACAGGTCTTCCAAATGTTGATGAACTTCATTACACAATATCAAAAATTTCATTCATTAATATCACTACCAAAATTCATCAGGCAACTCTTTAAGTGTTGGAAAGCTGTCAAGCTAATGGAAGCTTTCACTTGAAGCTTAAATTGTGCTATTGGCAATAAATACTGTCAGTTGTTTTCCTTAAGTGACAGGCTCATTTTGTTCATTTTTGAGGAAATGTCTGCCAAATATCCAAGTCTGAATAACCACATTTATCTACAAGTTTTTCTTTTCAGTAAAAATTGTTTCACAAAATAGCAGCTAGTTCAGCTCATAACCTAATTGCACAATTTTTTTTTTTCTCACAACAATCATACTTCAGTATGCAACAGCAGGGCTTTATGTGTACTTTCCATTTTATCACACAGAATGTTGAAAAGATAAGTACTCAAGGGTCCAGATTTAATAACACTAATACTTTTTGCTGTTTCACCAAGGACTTTTTTTAAAATTTATTGTTTTATTTTTATTTTTTGGCAGAGTTTCGCTCTTGTTGCCCAGGCTGGAGTGCAATGGTGAGATCTCGGTTCACTGCAACCTCCACCTCGCGGGTTCAAGCGATTTGCCTACCTCAGCCTCCCGAGTAGCTGGGATTGCAGGTGCCTGCCACCACGCCTGGCTAATTTTTTTGTATTTTTAGCAGAGACAAGGTTTCGCCATATTGGCCAGGCTGGTCTCGAACTCCTGACCTCAGGTGATCTGCCTGCCTTGGCCTCCCAAAGTGCTGGGATTACAGGTATGAGCCACCACGCCCGGCCAAGGACATTCTTAAGTGAAAGTGGATGTATTGGCAGTGAGGAAAATAATAAAGAGATTAATATCAAACCACTATACAGTTGGTACCACTGCATTGATTCATCTTAAAATGTCAGCTGTTGGACTCATCATTGTTTTGCACATTCAGTGTAAATCTCAACACAGTGAAAACAACAAATAATCTTATTGTTAAAATGGCTCTGAGTTTGCTGACCCCCTGAAATTGTCTTGGGGGACTCCCAGGGGTCTGCAGATCACATTTTGAGAACTGCTAAGCTGAAGTGTTCAAAGGATGATTCCCCATAAACAGATACCATTGGATTTTAGTGTTCAGTTCTTTTTTCGAACTCCTTGAAAGTTAATCCAACACAAATTAATTTTTGTGTTCTTAATCGCAATCAAATAAATAGTTTACTGAGCAAACTTATTTTGGTAATTGAAAATGTCTACTAGTGACAGAAATAGTTGAATATTATGTCTTCCCTGCTAATCCTCTTCCTTGAAGAATATAAATTATGGAGCAGCAGAAAGTAGATGATACTCTCTGAGTTCTATCTTGAAAGATGATAGGTTAAGGAAAAAAACGCTGTTAATATATTATTTAAAATTATATCTGAATAGCTATCACATTTTCTTCAATGACTCGATCCCTTATTCTTTTTAAAATTTATTTCAATCATTCATTATAACTATTAAGCCTCATTATCCAGTAAGATAGATTATTTCGATGCAGTGAATATACATTACATATAGTAGGAATTTATTTTTTTTCTTCTAGTTATCTGTGTTTCCCTTTTACTAGCCACAGGGCGCAATTTTATCGGAGCGTCCATCGAGCTGTCTTTCAGCTTCCTTCATTCACCTTCTCTTCTCTCCTGGAAACTTCTCTTGCCATTCATTCTTCTTTGAGGTTGTCAGCTTCTTTCTGCCTCTTAGGTTTTCTCTCTCCTGAAGTGTGTTTGCAGAGCATACCCCAAACACCCAAGTCCTTTCCTGCCTAAGTGAAAATAAGCCTACAGACCTTTATTTACTTTTCGATATTAACTGAAAGTCTACATGGGAGATATGAAACATTACATAGTTATCTCACTGCATCTTTCTTCTCCCCTGTTGGAGCTGAGTTCTTCCTATTCCATATGTTTTCTCACCTCCTTGGGGTGCCATCACTTTCTCCCTTGCATTGCTGGTCTGTACTTCCTTTCTCGTTCATTATAGATTCTCATGGTCCAGCTCTTGAACTTTTTATTTTTTAAATCACATATTTATTCATCATTCTTTTTTTCCCATCTCCTATGGACTGAATGTTGAACTCCACTCCCAAATTCATATGTTGAACCCCTAATCCCCAGGGTGATGGTATTCGGAGATGCGGTCTTTGGGAGGTATTTAGGGTTAGATAACGTCATAAGGAGGGGGACCTCATGATGGGGTTAATGCCCTTATAGAAAGAAAGATCAGAGAGCTTTCTCTTCCTCTCTCTTAGCCATCTGAGGACACAGCAAGAAGGTGGCTCTCTGTAACCTAAGGAGAGAGCCTTCCCCCAAAAGTAACCATGCCAGCAGGCTGATTGCAGACTTTCAGCCTTCAGAACTGTGAGAAATAAATACCTGTTGTTTAATCCACCAAGTTTGTGGTATTTTGTTATGGCAGCCTGGGCTGACGGAGACATCGTCTATCTGGAAAATGCTCTTCCAATCTGTCAGTTCGACTTCTTACTTTTCCCATGTCCACACTTGATCGAGCTGCTGAGCAAATCTCACATTTCCAAATGACCGGTGATACAATCTATTTCTACTCATCTTCAGCACTATCTAGCAGCCCTTGTAATTAGAATGTAGTTAGAATGGGAGAAATTAGTGGCTATTTTGATCCTTTTCTACTCTCTTCATACTTGTCTCTGTTTCCTGGTCCATTCTCAGAGCAGAGAACGGCTTCTGTCTTATTGGAGGAACTGTAAGTAAACATATGGTGTGGAGAATCTGGACTGTTATCTTTGACTCTGTCACATTCTGACTGTGCGATGTTGGAAAAAGTATCTTCTCTGAAGTATTTTTTTCATCTGCAAACTGGGGAGGTATCAGTGTCAATGTCACAGGAAGTTCCGAGTATTAGATAAACTAATCACACTGGGAAGTAAAATATAATCAATTATTATTGATTGCTACGTTTGTTCATATTAAAAAATTGAAACCCTTTTAGGGGAATTCTCTCAAATTCTTGCCACTGCACCTTTAAATTTATCTATATTTATGTTTATTTTTTAACTTTCTCTTTCCATTATAGTGCAATAAGAGTCCTTCCTCAACTTAAACACTCATTCTGCAGCAGTGCTATGCCTTCACGAGGTATTTACTCTGTTAGTTTTACCCACTGCCTCCTCTCTTATTCATCTTCTTCCTCAACTGGAGCCTTCCCCTTAACCTTTAAACCTGTACAGGGTGGCTAATATTTTAATGTAAAGGTATTTGTTTCCAACTCTCATTGCTCTATCTTGTTCTTTTTCTTAGAACCACCAATCCTCCTTCATCTGGCTAATGGCTCATCACTAAAGATTCTGTTTAGATGTCACTTTATCGAGAAATACTTCTCTAATTACTGCAATTCTGCCTAGATGCCTTTCTACTGCGTGCGGTTCCTTAGAAAACTGCTCCTTCTTGTTAAAGCATGTATCATGCTGGAATTGCCTCATTGCTTGCTGGTGTCTCCAAAAATATTGCAAACTCTTTCAGGGTAAGGAACCTGTATTTATCTCATTTACTATCATATATTCAATACCGTGCACAGTGCTTGGGATTTACTAGGCATTCAATAACCATTTATTAACTGCATAAAGAGAAACAGGTAAAGCTTATGAAACACAAGGAAGTTGAAAATGTTGGGGATATTTAAATATCATTATTTTGACTACTTGCTAACTTACATATTATCCTGGAGCTCTGTTAGAATTTGTAAGATATATTATAAAAGTTAGCAAAATAGAGACCTGGTGGTAGAGAGGCCTAATGCTAATCCTATGTCAAATATAATTTGAGCAATTAAATGGTCAGTGCAATTTTATACTTGCTGAATTGCTTCTGCGTTTCTATCTGCAGTCAGACTTATTTCATCCAACGTAATAATGGTGAAAGGATTTGTGCAAAGACATTTCTTCTTATTTCCAAATAATCCACAATAATATGTTTAAATTCCCCATATTCCAAATACAACTCACCTTACTTATAAAGGGATTTTGGGATGTTCTGAGTATGATGCAGAATATATTGATGATGTTAAAAATGTTGGACCATTGAAAGAGGCAATAAGCCAAACTGTCCCACTCCTTTTGTTTTGTCATGAAAATGGGAAGAGCTTCTGACAGGGAGCATCTTGAAGAACACAGTGTACTACTTTGACTCAGAAGATTTTATGAAAGCTGTGCTCTCTGAGTTAAATTATATTGCCTGACTCCTAGGACACAGAGGATACCCTGTGACCAGTAAACTGTTTTAACATTTTTTCAGTCATGGTCTCTGCTTCCTTTTTGAAATTATACCAGTCACAAAAAGCCATGATGACTATCATAAAAAAAAAGTGGTGGGCTGATAGTTATATGTAGCCACAAACAAATAGCTCTCCCTGTTTTTATACATAGGGCCAGACCTTAATTATTACAACTTTCCATCATATAAATCTTAGCAACCTCAATGTTAAGGAAAGTTTTTCTTCCAGGGAAGAAGTATTGACATAGCCATTAGAGGGGAAAAAAGAGAAATGCTATAGCTTGATCAGGACCCATGAAATGCTCTCTTACTCAAGTGAGTCATTTGCAATTCAGTGATCCACATTCTGGTTTCATCCTAATCTTCTTCTCCGCCAGATACTCTGATAATATCACCTGTCTATCCTCCTACATGCAGGTCTTTTCTCCCCCTCCTCTTGAGAATAAGGGGAAAGAAAGAGAGATGTAAGTCTCCTTATTTGCTGTTTGTGGGAAAGTTGCAGAGGCACAACAGATAAAAAATGAAGAGGCTGGACCGATGACCATTGTCTTAGTGTACTTCCTTACAGTTCTCTGTCCTGACTTAATAATAAAATCATGGGAATGTTATTTTTAATATTATCCTATTTATGACAATCTAGACACATGCATATAATATCTATCAACATATAAAATTCTTGACATTTAGAGATGATCAAGAGTTTTACTGAAAAAGATCCTGAATATATTGAACATTTTTCTTGTAAGGAAACACAGATCAGAATAATTTTATACAGGGATCACTACGATGAGAAATTGCTTGGGGAAAGAAAAAGAGATACAGAAATAACTGGCAGTAAAGTCAAAGCACATGAAAGAACGAATAAAATCAAGACCTTTTGTATAATTTCAATCATCTTACACTTTTCTTTGAATTTTCTTCTTGGTTTGATTTTACTAAAATGACTATCAATGAATGGCCATGCCAATATTAACAGTGAATGAACTAAGCATAAATAATCAATTTAATTGCTGTCTTCCCATCACTCACCATGGACACATATTCATTTGGAATAAAATCAGGGCCAAACTAACTGAGATTTAATGCGATTTCTATATTTAACACCCCCCACTACAACAAATACATACAGAAAATCCTGAGAATATATTTATTCTCTGCTAGAAGAGGGCAGAGAAAAATCCACCATCTTTTTATCATGAAAACTTTACTGATGAGTTCCGCAAACAGTTTTGAGGGCCTAAGATGTGATAATGGAGTGCAAATTTTTTACAGATGCCTCAATTAGTTTTTTGACTGTGCTTTGGATTTATCATCTCTGTGGCTAGACAAGATAGAAATTTAATTGTTCCCATGTATTCACCAATTTTGCTCTCTATTTAGTTGGGCAAATGTTGTGTTGAACAATCCAGAGAACATATACTTTCCAAAGGGTCTCTAAGCACAGTTTGTTCACAGTCAGTGATGCACTTTAGCCAGCAAGTGTTTAATTTCTAACTTAATAAAATTACCAAAATGTGGATCTTAAAATAGAGAAGTATTTAAGAAATGTCTCTTTGGGGAGTGATTGCTATCAACCGCACGTAAAGCACAATTGGATATTGCAATAGTACTTACTGTAAAAGAGCATCTGTTCCTGGGCCTATTAATCCTCTTGCTTATAAAAACCGTCCACCCCTGAGTGCAAAGAGGAGAGTGGGGGTGGCAGAGCTCACTGCTGGAATCCTCAGGTGGGGAGGGCGCGGGCCATTGAGAGCATCCCTTAAAGCCACTTTAAGGCACTAAAGTCCAGCATCTGTTTGTTAATATTGTGTTTTCACTCTGCTAGGCCATGTCCAGTTTATTCAATCTAATGTAGATAATGAACATGAAATCTTTAGGGTGGCTAAGGACATTTCCTAATGAATATAGGAACCTTAGAAGGGGAAATGATGATAATGGATGGAGCAGTGTTCTTTGAATCACTAGACTAAATAAATTGGACATGACATAATAGCTTCCTGTTTTTGCCAGAGACTCACTCTGGCTCCTTAGAGAGAAATTCAATCATTTCTGTTTCGGTCAACTCTTTATCAGCTGTTAAACTATTTGATGAATAGCTCCAGCGAATATCCCGGGGCCTGGAATTTTTATGAATAGCTTAAGGTGCTTGTCTATATAACAGAAGAATTTAGAATGTTTTGGCTAAGCATATTTTCCTTGCCAAATCTTGTATCCAAAATTAATTGTAATCAACTGATGTGCCTAATTGGTGTCTTTTGAGAGTTGCATTCATTTTCATTTTTATATTGCAGTGGACTAATAACAATGAAAACACGTTGGGGGTGAAGAACACCACCAGTTTCCACAAAGCTGAATCATCCTCTTTTAAGTAGATGATGCTTTTAAAAAATGAGAATATAATCTTCTGAAGTTCAAATTAGGTTCCCATTTAAATAACAGTAAAATAATAAGTAGTACTTATACAGTGCTTATTATCTGCTGAAGTTCTAAATGCTTTACATATGCTAATTCATTTAATTTTCCACAAAAACTCTAGTCACAAAAACTCTATGAGGTAGATAAAATTAGTATCTCTGTTTTACAGATGAGGAAACAGATCCAGAGAGGTTTAGAAACATATCCAAGATCACAGAGCTATCAGGTAGTGAAGTTATGATTTGAATTATAAAGCTTATGCTTTTTAACACTACGTTAGTACTTCCTCTCAAAAATTTATAATACCAGTTAGGATTATTTAGTGTTGCTGATTTACTGTCTGGTAGCAGAAAGGATAAGTTGGAAAATATTAATGTCATTACTAAATAGAGGAATTAGCACTGAAATCCAGTGATATTTAACCCTGTTGATCACTTCCAATTAAAGATGTTTAATGCACATGACCTTATGCTTTTTTGAGGCTGCAAGGAACAGAGATAGGTTTGGTTACAGTGTGCAGTGAGGATTTTGATGAAGGAAGAACAAGAAATAGACTGAAAAGCTACAGAGGCCCTACATTGAGAATGTAGGTGTAATTCTGTAGTCGCACCTTGAGAGCAGTGGAACTTTGTTCAGCATTCAGCATTACTCTGGTAATAACCTGGTTATCTTGTGTTGCCTCTAGGAGGATGAGCCCATCATGCTCTTCTCTTGAGCTCTGCTAGTTAATGCCTTTGTCTTTGTTTTAACTGCTTTTCCTTCTGCTGCTGCTAGCTGACTCTGTATTTATTTGTTTCATATTCAAACTCCCTGAGAGAGAGTATTTGTTTTAGTTGAATTGTCACCATCCAGTCTAGGGGCATTTCTTATGAACAGAATCCTGTGACAATCCCCTGCAGATGGCTGCCTTAGGGTCCAACATCCACTCCTGCGTCAGACAGTTGCAGCCAAAATTGACAACCTATGCCTTAGAAATTCCTGGGGCCAATTCCCTCAGAAGAGAGCCAAGGGCAGTTAGACATTCAGCATATTACGTCGAAACTGTGCTTACATATATTTTCCCCCAAATTACATAAATGCTAACCAGCCTAATAGCTTTTCTCAGTTAAGCTTGATATCAATTATAGTTAATAAAGTTCCTCTTTAAAATAAATGAAAGTAGTGTTTTCTAAACACATAATTCAGGTAAAATTATTAGCTAAGTATTAAATCTGAAGAAATATTCTACAGTTTGTATGAATGTAAATCTACACAGCCAGCTTCCTAATCCTCACACTTATTTTCTTACAAAGATTTAAGAACAGAGAGCAGATGTGTCTCTCATTGAAGAACTAGAAGTTTAATGTTGAAGTAAATTCTTTCACATAAGCCTTAAATTATTCAATTCTGTTACTATTGGCTTCCTTTTATTTGGTTGTTAAAAAAAAGAAAGAATTACTCTGAAATTCTAGGGCACTACATGTCTTTCAAATTTTAAAGATTGCCAGCTCAAGTAATAAGATACATTAAACAGAAAGGATTCAGTCCCTGCGGATGTTTATGTGTCCTCCTACGTGTGTTATTCCCTTGACTTAGTGATGGCACTTCCTGATGGATTATTCACCTAAGCTTCTCTCACTAGCAGGCATCTTGTATCCGCCCGTATTTTTGTGACAGTTTCATATGGCAGACCTCCGAACTGACCCTCATGTAGTAAGGAAAATGATCAGTTGGGAAAAGAGGAGAAAATGAAAATGGGAATAAAAATGAGTTGTGGTTAGCTGGAGTTTTCTCAGAAAACTGAGATACCCAGGTCAGAATTTTTTTTAAAAAACTTTCTTTTGTTAAAATTTGATATGTTTTGAAGTAACAGGTCTTCATTGATTTACTTCTTCTTTATTCTTTACTTGATAGACAGATTCCAAACTCAATATGCCACTTCTTTTTTGTTACAAAGCATTTTATTTTTATGTTTGCCATTAAAAAATGTCTTCAGTACACTTTACCTGAATGCAGAATTGTGTTGTGCATATTTTCCCCCTGCTGATCTCTGGCAATGTGTTGTGAATTGTCTATTGTACTAAATTCTGGCTGAACTTTGGTTCAAAGTAGCTTAGAGACAGCTCTGTGCTGCTCATTAGTGGAGATGTTTTTAAGCCCATGGTGGCAGGTAACGGATAGGCTCGTGAAATATTTATAAGAAATAGAATAAACTGGATTAGGAGTTGGGAGTGCACCACTAAATTGAACCACAAGTTGAGGTGAGTCGCTTAACCCCTTTACCCTCAATGTCTTCATTGGTAAAAGGGATAGATTCGTATTTGTCCTCAGAGGTGGTTGTGAGTTTGAAACATTAGTACCAGCTGTTGGGGACATGATGCCATTTCTGGACCATTTGAAAATACTGTTTTTATTAGTTGAATATAATTCCCTAAGAAAACTCTATTAGCTGAATAATGCATTGTTGGGAGAGAAATAGTCCAGTAAAACAGCTAACGTAGAGAGAATTTATCTTGAATTTAGCCGTGATACCACAGAATATTAGACTTTTATAGACAGAAAGGACTTTTGTAACTGAGTATATGCAGATTTTTATCTTAGATGCTATGGAGTTTTCATGTAGTTTCCTCAGAGACCCCAGGGATGTTATGGAAGAAAGGAGGTTGGATGTTTTCCTTCTCCATTTTTAAAAATGGAATTCAACATTTTTTCACCAATTCTGTGTCTCCAAAAGATTTCAAATGAAGTATTTTGCCAAAAAATATGTGAAGATCACTAATCATAGATCATGAATCATATTCAACATCCTCATTTACAGAATAAACTGATCTCCAAATCTGTCCCTAAATTATGCCAGTCTGTCATTTTAATTGACAAAAGAACTGTAGAATTTTTTTAAAATTTGCTTAAGATCCTAGAGTGGTGGTTTTCAACCTTGGCTGCACATTGGAATCACCTTGAGAGATTAAAAAAAAAAATCTCAATGCCCAGGTGGCTTCCAGGCCAATTATATCAAGTCTCCACAGATGATTCCAACGTGCAGCCAAAGTTGGAAACCACTGGCTTGGCAGGAGGGAGAGGTGACTTTGACTTAAGTTGGTAGGGAAGTGTTTATGGAGAAAGTAGTTTCTGAGTAGGATTTGAAAGATGGGCTGAATTTTGATAAGAAAAAACTTAGAAGCATTTAAAGTGATATAATAATACCGGTTTCAGAGACTAAAGAGTAGTTAATACAGAGGGAGAGCGAATCAGAAGTATAGGATGACATTACAAATCAGAAATAAATTTAAATTTCAAATTCTGGCCCTATCATCTACTACCTGCATAAAGGTGGCCAAGTTACCTCATCTCTAAATCTTTTTATTTCCATCTATAAAATGAGAAATAAAAGCACCCACTGATAAGGTTTAATAAAGGTCAAATGAAAAAATTCATAGAAAGCACTTCCATCAATGTCAGGTAATAGAAAGTGCTCAATACATGGCTAATACCAAAACATTTTTACCAGCTGAGTATCATTGAAAGTTAAGGAGAGCCACTAATGGAATTAAAGCATTTAGGGCCAGATTGTGGGAGCCTTGAATGCCGAGATAAGCAGATTTTTCTTTTCCCTTTTCTTTTCTCTGTCATTGAAGCCTATTTTTGAGCACAAGGCCAAAGCAACCAAAGGAATATATTGAGATCTGTCCAATGGCAGTGTGCAGGAATGATGGAAGAGAGCAGAAAGTGGAGGCTGGGAAACCAGCTAGGGAAGGTGTACAGTAGCCTAGGAATGGGCTCCTGAGTTATAACAGTTGAAATCTATGAGGAAAATTTGTAGATGAGATATTGTTCAAGAAAATTCAAGTAGAAGACAGTAACTGGCAGTAGGGAAATCTGAATGAAAGAAAAAAGTTAGTGACTTTAATATAGAAATAGTGACAGAGAAGCCAAAACCTAGTTCAGACGAAGAGATAAGGAGTTCATTATAGACCTTTTAAGTCTGAGGTTGGGGCAGAACTGTTAAAAACATGGGGAGCAGAGAGTGGAAATGTCATGTGAACATCAGGGGAAGGGTCAGGCATGACAAGAGAGTTTGGTATCACTCGCCCTCATAGGCATTATGATGGGACGAGAGTAAAATCCCATAGGAGGATTGGAAAATCAGAGGAACACAAAAATCGTTCATATTTCACAGGTGGCTCAAAATTTGCCTTTTACGACTCTCCTTTTCATTCGCTTTTCCCCTTTCCTGCCATTTAATATCTTCTCTTAATCACTCTTCCAAAACCTATTTATTGTTTCAGTCCCTCTGGAATGACACTCGCTATTTCTAATTTTCTTCTATACAGCTGAGATTTTGCGTATTCTATTCCTCGTGACTGAAATGTTCTACTCTTCTTCTCTTGGGCTATTCTTCTAGGTCCTTCAAAACTGAGGTAATATTTTTTTCATCCTCTCTATAGCCTTCTCTAATTTTACCAGTAATATTTTTTTTATTAACACTTTGTGTGTATAAGTTACATAAGTGAAAGTGTGATTTCATGTTTAGTTTGTTGTCTCTCCAACTAGATAGTAAGTTACCCCTAATATGTTAATTGATTTATAATCACAGATGTTTGACAGACTTATTGAATAAATGAATGAGTATTTCCCTCATATCTGTGTCAGTACTCATGCTCTAAGCCTCCAGGGTGTCATCTGAAAATGCATGAAAATGTTTTGTTTTCTAATAAAGGCTGATAAATCCTGCTGGTATTTGACACATAAGACCCAGGAATGCTAAATATTCTGCAATGTATAAGACACTGCTTCACAGTGAATAATTATTTCTTTCTAAATGTCAAAAATGGATGACTGGGAATGCTGATCTAAGGAGTGCTAAGTAGCCACTACCAAGTAAGGCAACTGAAGTGGGCAAAGTCTTCCTCAATTGACAGCATAGTCTGGTATGTCCCTACTTGAGAGGCAGAAACAGGTGTGTGGTAGTTTTTAAGTACTCTGGGCAAGAGAGAAAAACACTGGGGGTAGGGAGTGATAAAGGAATTTTAAATGAGTTCTGCTCTTGATACTATCATTAAATGACACCAGTATGCTCTTTTTTACTCTAAAATGACAATTATACAATTTGATTAAACATTGGAAAAGATGGTACTGCAGATCTCAAAATAATCAACTGCTTGTTTAAATTCTTAGCCTCTTGACAGTTGCAAGAAGAGGCAGTCAATATAATTTTTTAACATCCTCAGGATAGTGAAAGTCCTCAAGAAGTGTTTTCTAATTAAAATTGTTTTGATTCCTTCTGAAATATAATTATTTAATGTATTTGTGTTGTAACAAAATTATATTGAATCAATGTCAGATGATCCCAAGAGCCAAAGAAAAATGAAAGAAAAAATGTTTTCTGTTTCATGAATTGTCTTAATTTGGATAGAATCATAGGATTATTCCATGGAATTTCATTGTCTTTTCACAGAGTTGTTTACCCAGTACCCCGTCAGACCTGCATATTTACTAAGTGGCTTTCTATGGGGCTATTTCCTATCCATTCATTATGCATCTTCCCAAGTTCAAGGCAAAGGTTTTTCCCCACTCTGAAGTCATTTAGTAAAAACACAGTATGAGCCAAAACAGCCTGTTTCTAAGAAGTCTATTATATGGTATCTCACAGAAAGACGGAACTGCTCTCAAGAGCACTATGAGAAGTGGGATATGCAGTCAGTGGTCCACTCTTGTGTGCCATAGGATTTCTGACGTGTGAGTGCAGAGAAATGATCTACCTCCTAACAGTGCTGAACCATTGTTGCTGTGGCACTCTGGAAAATTCAGTGAGAAAAATAATTCATTGTATAGCCTTTTTCCAGGAACTGCTTCTAAAGCTTTCTCAAACAGATGATATCATTCAGCTGGTCACCAAAAGGTGACTTTTTTAAAAAAAAATCTGCTACAAAGATGATAAAATACAGATATGTTCTCACTTCTAGAAAGGGTAATGTAACAATATATTGTGTCTGTATCTCAGCCCTAGGCCTGTCTTCAAAATACATACCAGAAATTAAGCCCCTTAAAAATGTCCACTTATTATTTGTTTTGTAAACCTAGTGGCGAATGATATTTCCGATCCCAATATAATGTTTAAGAAATAGTTGTTGAACAGATGCTGGGGTATAGTATTTTTTAAATTTTATTTTACTTTAAGTTCTGGGATACCTGCGCAGAACGTGTAGGTTTGTTACACAGGTATATGTGTGCTATGGTGGTTTGCTGCACCTATTTGACCCATTCTCTAGGTTTCCTCCCCTCGCCCCCACTCCCCAACAGGCCCAGTGTGTGTTATTCCCATCACTGTGTCCCTGTTCAACTCCCACTTATGTGTCATTGTTCAACTCCCATTTATGAGTGAGAACATGCGGTGTTTTGTTTTATGCTTCTGTGTTAGTTTGTTGAGAATGATGGCTTCCAGCTTCATCCATGTCCCTGAAAAGAACATGATCTCATTCCTTTTTATGTCTGCATAGTATTCCATGGTGTACATGTGCCACATTTTCTTAATCCAGTCTATCATTGATGGGCATTTGGGTTGGTTCCAAGTCTTTGCCATTGTAAATAGTGCTGCAATAAACATACGTGTGCATGTGTCTTTATAGTATAATGATTTATAATCCTCTGGGTATATACCCAGTAATGGGATTGCTGGGTCAAATGTTATTTCTGGTTCTAGATCCTTGAGGAATTGCCACACTGTCTTCCACAATGGTTGAACTAATTTACATTCCCACCAACAGTGTAAAAGTGTTTCTTCTTCTCCACAGCCTCACCAGCATCCATTATTTCTTGGCTTTTTAATAATCACCATTCTGACTGGCGTGAGATGGTACTTCACTGTGGTTTTGATTTGCATTTCTCTAATGATCAGTGATGTTGAGCTTTTTTTCATGTTTGATGGCTGCACACATGTCTTCTTTCGAGACGTGTCTGTTCATATCCTCTGCCCACTTTTTGATGAGGTTATTTTTTTCTTGTAATTTTTTTTAAGTTCCTTGTAGATTCTGGATATAGTATTTTTAAAGTTTTCTACAGCAAATTAAAAAAATATTTACCGGGACAGTGTCATATGAAAAGAAACCACAAGGTGGCGCCAGAGTACCTAAAGTTACTGTACTGTTTTATTCTCTTCTAAGAAAACGATAGGGTAATGTTCTTTTAAAGGATATTTTTAGATTTTCATGTAAATGACTTAAAAACAGGATTAAAAATTTAAATTTCAAATATTTTCTGGGTCTGGGTACTATTTTGCTGTCAAATGTGAGAGCACACCTGGTAAGCATTTTAAACGACTAAACTGAGGAGCAAATCAGAAAGGGAGGGCCGAAGAAGGGATGTGTGATCATAGCATTCCAGAGGCTGATGAAAATGTGACTACTTTGCTCTAAACAACACAAAATCCATATATGTATCTATTGACGTGTGTATATGTATGTATATACAGACAACCATTTATTGTGTATATTGATTTTATAAATATATTTACGCATATTATGGATGTGTGTCATGTATAAAACATATAGTAGTATCTGTAATATATGTCATATGTAATGTTATCTATATATCATATAGCACACACACACATGAACCCACACAAAGCAGTAGATTATTTTCTTCAGAGAAACCTTGCTGGGTTATTCTGTGTCTCCACGCCTTTCCTGGAATTGCTCCCTGTCGCACATTCCTGTTCAGAGGCCACTCAAAAATTCCTTCCTTACTAAAGCACTTCCTGATGCCTGCCCAGGTAAAACCTGTTACTTGCTCTATAGTTTGTGCCCCATTGTTTCCTTACACAGTTTTATATCAGCATCTATGCCTTTTCAGTGGACATATTTATTTTCTAACCTGCCATATTTTATTTAATTGTACATCCTTTGAGGAAAGAACTGTATCTTGTTTGCTTTTGCCTCTGAGAGCCTGGCACATAATGGGAATCTAAGAAATGCTTCATGAATGAATGTCAGGCATTTCATACTGACAGAGGAGAATGAAAAAAAAAAGCCACACAGAACACAGAATGTACTTTAAATAATGGTCCCAAAGTGAGCATTTTCTAGTTAATATTGTTATCAATCACATTTGATCAATAACAGTGAGTATAAATTCATCATTAACTTGCTAATATCACGAATGTGAATATTATCATGAAATGATTACTATTCTTCCTATTTCTTGGGGTGTGGAGTAAAATAATTTTAATAGATTAGAGAGATAAACATTATCTTAACCACTTTGCATATTAACATTAACTTGTACTTGCAAAACTCTCCATCTCCTCACTCACCGCATCTATAAACTGAACCAAATAAAATTAGACTCAACACTGATCTTTCCATACGCTGGTTGGCACTCCCTCATCAGCTAGAAGTTTAAGTTTTAAGTTTTTTAAACCCCCTGTTTACAAACCTTCTGCTTATTTCCAAATAATGCTGCAATGCTAACATCTGAGCCAACAAGACTTACTTTTCAAGAACCAAATGCTCAGCTAAATAAAGACACAGTATCTTGGAGTTATGTGGGTTAATGAACACTTTTGTGAGTAGTTTAGTTTCTTCGAAGGAAAAATGTTTCAGATAAATAAATTTGTATTGTATAAAATTGGAATAATATTTTCAATGGCAACATTGTAACAAACAGTGTTTAAATTTCCATTGTAAAGCTGGAAAATGGAATTGACTGAGATCTCATTTCTGCTACATATCAATATGCTAAAATAACCCATACACACACTCACACCTGCACACACTTTCTATCTCCACTAATTAAGATCTTAAATGAGTTGAGATTAAAGACAGGTAATGATAATGCATTCTGACCAAACACAAAGTCTCCCATGATGTTCACTGGACAAACTGAGAGGCAGCATAGAATCTGGGCACTGCAGCTCTAACTGCCATTTTCATGGACTTTTTCATGTTTTCTGACTTAAAAAATGAGCTATTTAACATTGAAAGTCTAGAAGAGATATGAACATTTTCTGTGTCTTCAAAGGTGATCTTTATTCTTCCCAGGAATATGAGAAAAACTGTTTCTCCTTCACAATCTATGTAGATTTTGTAGAAAGATATTTAAAAAATATAGATAGTAGAATCCTAAATCTATGCATATAAACCATTGCTCTAAACATGCACAATGCTAACTGCCACACATTTATTCTTTGCAGAAACAATCCCATGCATACTCTCCTCTCTGTATCTCTCCTTTATTTCCTCTCCCATCCAGGAACATACATACATATTTTGGTTATTTCTTCCATACTTTATGTACTCTTTTAAAATCCAGTTTTCTGTGCATGAGTCATGTATCACTTTGATGAATCATTTCCACAAACCTTTAACAATACAAATCTGTTTCTTTTATTAACAAAGTGTTTCAGATACCTTACTTCCAGAATAGAGGACAAATGGGTGATTTGTGAAAGTTCCCTCTCTTTCATTACACTACTTTTTGTTCTCTCTGCCTATACCTTTGGCTGGTTTTCTGATTAATACAATGTTAGGCACCCAGGGGCCACTTATTGAAAGTCTGATTAATGAATAAATGCACCATTTGCCCAGTTGTTGAATTAAAGATTTTGAGATAAGAGCAGTTGTCACATATATGTGTTTTGACTTCTTACATTGTTTACAGAAATCTCAAAATATGGGTTATTTTATATATTCTTTTCATGTTTATTCAGTGCCTACCAGAATTTTCTTACCCAAAGGATGTATAATAATGCTGTCTTTACAATTTCCAATTCTGTAATTGTGTTTGAATGGTGGCTCTATCATTTATTAGCTGTATTAATCATTTTATTTTCAGGCTGGGTTCCCTTTGTAAAATGCAGAGAATAATAACTGGCTAATAGGTTTCTCTAGAAGATTAAATGAAATTATATGATAAAAACTGTTAACGAACTTTATCCAGTCATTTATTGCTGCTTAATAAACCACTTTTAAAATTTAGTGGAATAAAATGCAAACTATTGTATTATGCTCATAGATTCTGTGGTTTAGGAACTGGGGATATCTGGTACCTCAGCCCAGAAGGCTCAAATAGCCAGGGATGCATCAAATGCTGGTGGTGTAATCATGTGCAGAGTTCCTTATATACACACGTAGTTGTAATGACTTGAATAGCAAGCTCCTCTGTGGTGTCCACTGGGGATTACACATGTGTTCTCTCCACTTGGTGTGTGCTTCTTGCAGCATGGTGACTGGGCTCCAAGAGGGAGTATCTTCAGAGAGGGTATGTGGAAAGCAAGCATTCCAAACAACGAGGTAGAAGATGTGTGGCTTTTCTGACCTAGCCTCAGATTTCACAGGAAGTCACTTTCCCTATGTTCTTTTAGTTACCAGCTGTTCACTACATCCAGCCTAGATGCCAAGGAAATGGGAACTAGACTTCATTTAAGAATGGGCAAGGTCACATTGCAGGAGGACCTATGGGTGGAAGATATTTTTGTGGTCATCTTTGTAAAATGCAATCTGTGTAAATAGTGCTTGGCATATACTAAGTGATCAAAAACATTTTGCTATTACTGTAAAGGGTCCTATATAATTATAGTGTATACTTACGGATATATATATATTTGAGATGCAGTCTTGCTCTGTTGCCCAGGCTAGAGTGCAGTGGTGCAATCTCTGCTCACTGTAACCTCCACCTCCCAGATTCAAATGATTCTCCTGCCTCTGTCTCCTGAGTAGCTGGGATTACAGGTGTGTGCCACTGGGCCCGGCTAATTTTTATATTTTTAGTAGAGACGGGGTTTCACCATGTTGGTCAGGCTGGTCTTGAACTCCTGACCTTGTGATTCTCCTGCCTCGGCCTCCCAAAGTGCTGGAATTACAGGCATGAGCCACCGCACCCGGCCTACTTATGGATGCTTTTGCATTTGTAGTCTGAGAAATAGGCTCTGAATTTAATAAGAACTCCGAATTCATCACCTGGGACAGTGACTTACATACCTGGCTCTCAGTCATTATTCGTTGAATGAATATGAATGTTTTGGTGACTGAACTAGTTCTATCTCGTGATCACACATTTGAGTTATTGATCTTCAGTGTAACCTGACACCCTTTCCTGGAATGAGCTAGAAGAGTTTGTCCACTGAGATGACTGGAACATGTAGTTTCGTGTTTCTTATAAGGTGAGACAATGGTGCCCAGTTCTAGCCGGGTGCCTTCCCCTTATCTTTGGGTAACTTATGGCAACATTGTGAAGATGTTTCAGCCCTTTGAGGTTAGGAGGGACAGAACGTTTTCTTGTTTGGGCAATTTTTTATGTATATGTGTTGTAACTTTATCTTAGTTTTCTTTGCCATTTCCTCATCTTAACTTGCCTTCCTCTACGACTCAGTCCTTGCTTTTGTTTTATTTGCTACTTAAACTTCCTGCCTTAGTAATCTTATCCAGTAACATGACCTTAAAAACCTGTCTGTGTGTATCTGCCTATCATTCTGCCAATCAATCAATCAATTGATCTATCAAAAACTGTCACATACACATAATTTCTAGTCCAGGCTGTCTACTCTACATCTTCACTTGTCTATGTAATAGCAATCTTAAATTTCACGTTTCCAGAGATAGATTTTCTGATTTTCCACCGCCCTCAGGAACCCATCAACCTGCATCCAGAGACCTCCTTCCCCTTCTGTCTTTATATTTTCAGTTGCTCTAGTTGAAAATTGTCTCATTATTTCTGCCTTCTCTTTTTCTCCTACTGTCTGATTCAATATGCATGGTAATTCTCTTGGCTCTGCCTTTAAAATACATTGTCACCTTTCTCACATTCCACGGCTGTGGCTCTGATCCATTCCAGTATCACCTCTCTCTTGTATTCTATTTTCTTAGCCTCCTCATTGGTCTCAGCACTTCTGCCTTTTCTTCCTGCATTCTATTTTCAATGAAGTGGTCAGAATGATTTTTAAAAAATATAAACCAGTTCATGTTACTTCTTTAAAACCCTCCTATCTTGCTCAGTGTCTTTTTCTATCTAACTCAGACCTCAAGTCAAAGTTCTTACAATGGCCTAAAATGCCCGAGAAATCCACACCTTGTCCTCCACCACACACATCCCCATATGACTTTCTTCTTGGTTTTCTTCCCCATTCTTCAGCGTATCTACACTGACCTTTTACCAAGCATGCTCCTGCTTCGGGGCTATTGCAATTGCTCTTTCCTCATCCTGAATTTCTCTTCTTCCAGGTAGTCCCAAGACTGGCTCTCTCATCTTCAGGCCATTGTACAAATGTTGCCTTTTCAATGAGTCCATCCTGATCATTCTACTTAAATCATAACTACTCCAGCATTCTACATCATCCCTCTCTGCTTTATTTTTCCCACAGTGCTTTTTCACCATCTGACATTTATTTTAATTATTTTGTTTCTTGTTCATTCCCTTACCAGAAAGCAAGTAGGATTTTCATCTTTTTTTATTTAACTTAATCTCTCCCAGATCCTAGCACGATGCCTTTCTCAGGGACTCAGGAAATATTGGTCAAATCAATGAGTAAATTAATAACATCCAAAATATAATTATATGTTTATATTCAAATGAAATAAACTTTGTCATCTATATTTATCAAAAATAATACCCATCAAAAACAATATGTATTTTTTCCACAAGTTAGGTTTTTTTAGTATTCTAAGTTTATTTCATGTTATTTTGCTTTCCTAAGAGTCTTGACAGGCTATTGGTCCTTTATTAAATGTTTTGTGCTTATTGATGCAACTTTTCTAGTTAAATAACTTATGAATTTAAATTCCAGGAGAATCCGACTCAATTTGTATCTTCATTTAAATATATTATTATTAAAAATGAAAATGATTTGCATCATTTGGGAACTATTGTTATGTATTTTAAAAATATGATTTTATAAGTTATTTTTTAACAAACACAGGGAAGTAGTGATTTCATCTGTAAGACAAATTGAGACCAAGCGTAGGCAATATTATAAAATTATAAATGTTATGGTCTTATAAATATGTTTAATATAAAAATACTTGGCCAAGTGTGGATTGATTCTTCATGCTTAAAAATAAGATCAAGAAAATAATTTAGCAATCTTCTAAACCAAGGGTAGTAACAATTCTGAATTATATGTATCATGAAATTTAGATGGGTAGTCTGGCTATGTGACCTGCTTTTTAAAAGCTTATATGAAGAACTGTGTAAATACTGCTATTTACTGAGCTTTCCAACGAATGCGGTGCTTTACCTCTGTGGATTTCTCTTAACAGCCAGAGAAAACATTATTTGCCTTTCCCTTGCCTTTTTGTTCCATCTGGGACCTCAGCTGATTGGTTGCTGTCCACCCGCATTGAGGGTGAATCTTCACCACTTAGTCCACTGATGTAAATGCCAGTCTCTTCTGGAAACACCCTCATAGACAACCCAGGAATAATGCCTTAGCAGCTATGTGAGCATTCGTTAATCAAGCTGACCCCTAAAATTCACCACCACAAGCAGAATAACTAATGTAGTTGGACTACAACACAATCTAAACTGGGATTCAGACTGTGTAAACATGAGTGGAGAACTGATGGGGGTGAATCATGAATGAATCACTAGGTGTTTCATTGAGCGGGGAACTCTGAAATCCCCTAGATGGTCCTAATAAGCAGAGACAAAGCCAGTCATGATGGGCTGTACTTCCCAACAAAGCCTTGGTCGTTGTGGAAAGCAGTGGTCCTGAGTTCAGAGTGGTGGCTGGCATATGAGTTCACTCAAGGCTAATTGCTTGTGTCTGGGACTAGAAGGAAAAGTAAACAAAGACTTAACCACTTTTTTTACTAAAGACATTTTAAAATCTTGATAGAAAAGCAACATTGCCTTGGGATTTCTTACACAAAAGGGGTTGAGAAATATTGGCCCATTTTACCAGAGCCCACTCTACAGCTTTGACATTTGAAGAGCCCAGATGCAGATTTTGCTGCCCCATGAGAAAGAGTAAAGCAGCATCTCAGAGCTTCTCTTTGAGTATAACCTTCAGAACTCTCAAAAATATTTTGAAAAAGAAGCCTTGGCAATTATTTCGGATCCTGTGATGTAAGTGTTAACAAGAGCATGAGAATTTGAGCTAATATTGTTTATATGACTTTGTTTGTTCCTGTGATGGTTAATTTTATTTGACAACTTGACTGGGCTAAGGAATACCCAGACACGTGGTGAAACATTATTTCTGGGTGTGTCTATGAGGGTGTTTTCAGGAGAGATTAGCATATGAATTGATGTGCTGAGTGAAAAATCTACCCATACCAATGTTGGCAGGCATCCTCCAATCTTTTGAGGGCCTGTGTAGAAAAATAGGCAGAGAAACGGCAAATACAGGCTTTCTCTGTTCTGGGATAGCAACCTCCTCCTGCCTTTGGGCATTGGTGTTCCTGGTTCTTAAGCATTTGGGCTTGAACTGGAGCTACACCACCAGCTTTCCTGGGTCTCCAGCTTGCAGTTAACAAATGGTGGAACTTCTCAGCCTCCATAATCCGGTGAGCCAATTCCTCATAATAAATCTCTTTGGATATATTTATGCATATTCTATTAATTCTATTCTTCTGGAGAATCTTGACTGATACAGCCCCCATAAGCTGGTGAGGTCCGGGGAGAATCATATTGCACTAAAATCACAATAACAATTTCTGCTTTATGGGACTACACACAATAGCTGTATGGCTACTCATGTCTGGTATATAAGTTACTCAATAAAAGTTTACTCAATGAGTAAATATTTAGAAATAATAGAATACTACCAGAGGGCTAAAGAACAAATCTACCTTCTTTGGAATGCAGGATTTATATTCTAAGGACTGAGTGTGAAATCCATCAATGAGACTAGTTCTGTGATCTTGATAAATCGTCTCCCTTCTTCATGCTTGTTTTTCCTCGAGAGAGTATAAAATGGAGACCTTGTTAGGATCAGATTAGGTCATCGTTTTGCCACCGTGTGATGTAATAGGAAAAATGCTGCAGAATGTTCCATGGTAACATCACTTCTCTTTTGTGTTCTTTCTTTAGGTCCCAAGTGTCAATTTTCATAAATTCAGGACTCTGACTTTGTATTTCTCTTTCCTTCAAATCCAACATTAATTTATGTATATTAATATATTTATATTTATTGAAATTTAACAGTAATATACATTTCCCCCATTTTTATGCTCTCTTTTTAACAGCTTTATTGAAATACAATTTACATACCATAAAATTCGCATTGTAAGATTACAATTCAGTGATCTTAGTAAATTTATAGTGTTGTGCAACCTTCATTACAATCCAATTTTAAAACTTTTCTATTTTTCCCAAAAGTTCCCTTGTGCCTGTTTAGTTAATCCCCTTTTCTGCTGAGTGATATACAGTTAAGCACACGTATTACATCTTTCACAGATAATTACATTTATCCTCCACTTTAAAAAAGCTTCAGATATTAAAGAAGAGATATTGAAAGAATAAATTATTGTTAACCAAGCAGGCTGAAATCAAGTAGCACAAGTGACTACTTAAAAAAAATGTTTCCACAGCACAGCAGCTATAAGTATCTAATGTCTGATTTTTCTGATAATATCTAATAGGTATCTTTAACTCTCTGTCTGAGGTAGTATTCTAAGGTGTCAGTAGTGTTTGGTGGAAGTGATCTACCCAGTAACAATTCTGGTGTGGATTTCTAAGAATGCTTCATATCTGCATAGAATGTCAAAAGAAACACACATATATTTTACCTCTCTCTTTGACGTTTTCCCAACTATGTGATGTTGAATAAGCTATCTGAGGTCACTGAACTTGTTCCTCATCTGTAAAGTGGGAATAATATTGATTTTTCTTTTGTTGCTTCGTAGTGTCATTATAACAGTAAATAAAATGTCTATGAAAATATCTTGTAAACAGTTCTACACATAGGTTAGTTTCCCCCTCATTATTAATAAGGACCAACTGTGTTTACAGTGAACTCATTTTACAAAGATCTAAAACTGAGTTGATGAATAAATGAGGTAAAGTATTTTTCATCTGTGTGTTTATAGACTCTGGTTCATTAAGTACATGGGTTGAAAGTAATTAACATCCATCAGAATTACATTTTCGCATAGCTTAAATGACTGAAATCTTAATATTAGTAGTGCATGTACAGAGTTTATTGAAATTTTAATATAATTCCGTCTTTAAGTCCCAGAAATCTAATGTTTGACTTTTCTTGATGAAATTTGCCAAGAACTTTCATCTTTCCACTTGAGCAAGAATTTTAAGTTGCTAGTGGCACTCGGTGGGAAGCCTCCTACACAATGAGATTGCAGTTTCACTCTCCGTCAAGGTTAAAAGCTCAATAGTATCTTATCATATAGGGCAGAAGCAAGCTATTAGAATTGTCTTTAAGTGGAAAGAAATGAAACGAGAAATTTATAAAATTCTCCAAATCCCACTTCTCAAACATCTTTTCCGTCAGATTCCTCTGCTTTTGAATGGAACCCATTGTTGATAAAGCCATACAAGCCTTGTATTGCAGAGGTTTCTTTATCTTGTGCTTGACAGAGAAAAGACTCATTCTTTGCAGGCGTACATGCACAGCTTGACAGTATTGAACATTGTAGATTTTAAGTTCTATTTAAGTATTAGTTCCCATTAGGTTGCCATATTTAGAGGGTCAGCCGTCTTGGTATTGTTTGCAAAGAATATGCTCATTCAAAAGAACTCAATTTAAAAGTACATGAAGACATCAACAAGAATTTTTCAAATACTCATTTATCACAATCATTGTCTCAGTAATTCTTTCATTAAAACTAAATCATAGATGAATAATGAATAATAAATAATTATCCCTTTTGTTTATTGCTTTGACGAGAGAAACTTCCATTTTTCCCTTTTTCAGGTATTTTTAATTCTCTGGGTAAATATTTATTTGCATGTTTTCATCTTTACTTTGGATTGATTTTTATTGATTTTTAAAATATTAATTTAAAAGTAAAATATAACTCATTTTCCATCACATTGAAAAATCAAACATTCATATCCTGGCTTACACAGCCTACATGATCTAACACTGGCCTCCCCCAGCCTAATTTTCTGACCTCGAGTTAAGCCATTTTTCAGTACAATTAAACTCTAGCCCTTAACTCTTTTTTTTTTTTTTTTTTTTTGCTTGTCCTTCCTACTTGAAAAGCCTTAGCAGCCCTAGCACTACCAGTCTCCTCTTCCTGGAATGTTCATCGCTCTAATCATGCCATAGCTACTGTTGCAGATAAGTTTCCCAGGAAACAGGCTCTGAGGTGAAAATTAAGATGCAGAGAGTTTATCAGGGAGTGCTGTCAGGGTCAATGTTTTGCAAGACAGGAAAGCAAGATTAGGCACAAAGAGAAGTTGGGCTTCAACACAACCTCAGTAAAGTCCTTAAGTGGCCTCATAGGGAAATCGAGAGCCCTAAGCGTTGTCTGGAATTGGATCAAGGAGGTCAGGACTTTATTCTGCATCATTAATTGTTAGGGAATGCAAGATGCTCATGGAAGTAGTGTGATTGGGCAAGAAAGGTCTTTCCAGTAAAGAACATTTCCAGAGGGGCCTAATGACTGAGAGTTCTCAGTCATCATTACTTCCAGCAGTGAGCGGAATATCCACTCTAAGTGGATCTTCATAGGGTCCAGTCGGCTGCCTTTTTCTGTCTTTTTCAGATCTCAGCCTAAATGTCATCTATTCAGAAGGGCTTTTCTTTTTCACTGTGGAAGATCCCCAGTGAGTTACACCCTGTCTGCCCCTCTCCTTAGCTGTGAGTGTTCTCATCAATAGGACATGGCAAAGGTGATGGGCTACCACTCCCACGATTATGTTCAGCCATTCAAAGCTTTGCTTTAGCTGGCCAGGCAGGGTGGCTCATACCTGTAATCCCAGCACTATGGGAAGCTGAGGTGGGTGGATCATTTGAGGTCAGGAGTTCGAGACCAGTCTGGCCAACATGGTGAAACCCCAGCTCCACTAAAAATACAAAAATTAGCTGAGTGTGGTGGTGGGCACCTGTAGTCCCAGCTACTCGGGAGGCTGAAGCAGGAGAATCGCTTGAACCTGGGAGGTGGAGGTTTCAGTAAGCTGAGATCGTGCCAATGCACTCCAGCCTAGGTGACAGAGCGAGACTCTATCTCAAACAAACAAATAAAAAACAAAATAAAACCTTGCCTTAGTTGACTGGAGTCAGAGAGTCTCTTGCTGGCCTGGAAGAAACAAACAGCAATGGTGTGAACTGCCTATGAATATGAAGCCATGTGCATATAACTACAGGCTATCTCTAGGATTTGAAGGCTGCTTCCAGCTGATAGCAATCATACCATCAGGCCATCATGAAGGCCTCCCAGTCATACCATCATAAGGAAATGAGTTCTACCAATGAATGGTCTAGTGAGTTTGGAGAGGGGCCCTGAACTCCAGAAAGAATGAAAATCAAAACAGTGAGATATTACCTCATACCTGTTAGGATGACTATTGTCAAAAAGTCAAAAGATAATATGTGTTGGTGAAGATGTGGAGAAAGCTAACCCTTATACATCGATTTTGGGAATGGAAATTGGTACAGTCATTATGGAAAACATTATGGAGGTTTCTAAAAAGTTAAAACTAGAACTACCATATGACACAGAAATTCATTTTCTAGGAAAATACCCGAAGGAAATTAAGTCACCACCTTTTAAAAAATATATCTGCACTGTCATGTTAATTGCAGCATTATTCACAATAGCCAAGATTGGAAACCACCTAAATGTCTATTGACGGATGAGTGGGTAAAGAAAGTGTGTAACACATACATACATACATACACACACACACACAGATACGCAGTGGAATATCATTCAGCATTCAGAAAGAAGGAATTCCTGACATTTGGGATAACATAAAAGAACCTGGAGACATTATGCTAAGTGAAATAAGTCAGTCACAAAGAGACAAATACTGTGTGATGTCACTTGTATGTGGAATCTAAAAAAGTTGAAGTCATGTAAGTAGAGAAGAGTGGTTGCTAGGAGTTGAGTGTTGGGGAAAATTAGGAGATATTGATTAAAAATGCAGTTTCAGTGATAAGATAAATTCT
Source organism: Homo sapiens (assembly GCF_000001405.40). Taxonomy (NCBI): domain Eukaryota; kingdom Metazoa; phylum Chordata; class Mammalia; order Primates; family Hominidae; genus Homo; species Homo sapiens. Next base: position 192,434,092 of record NC_000001.11, on the reverse strand, counting down.
GGAGTCCTAATGTACAGCATGGTAACTATAGATAATAATAATGTATTTCATACTTGAAATATGTTCAGACAATAGATCTTACGTATTCTTATCATTCAAAACAGTATCTATGTGAGGTGATGGATATATTAATTAACTTGACCATGGTAATCATTTCACAATACTTAAGTATATCAAAACAAAATTTTGTACACCTTAAATATATACAAATCTTAAAAATTATTAATACATAATATTTGTACATTTTAATGGGGTATACATGATATTTCATTATAAGCATAAAATGTACAATGGGCAAGCCAGGATAGTTAGGGTATCTAGCACCTCAAATATTTGTCATTTCTATGTGTTGGGAACATTTCAAGTCCTCTCTTCTTGCTATTTTGAAATACACAACATATTGTTGTTAACTATAGTAACCCTATTCTGCTATCAAACATTATAACTTTTTCCTTCTATCAAACTTTATGTTTATTTAATCAACGTCTCTTCATCCACCCTCACCCCCCACAATGAATGCACTATTCCCAGCTTCTTGTAACTATCATTCTACTCTCTTACTTCTATGAGATCAATGATTGTAGCTCCTGTATTAGTAAGAACATGCCTGTCTTTTTATGCCTGGCTTATTTCACTTAATATAATGGATTCCAGATCCATCCATGTTGCTGCATATGACAAGATTTCAGTGTTTTTTTATGGCTGAATAGTATTCTATTGTGTATATATACTACATTTTCTTTATCCCCTCATCCATTGATGGACACTTAAGTTGATTCCATATCTTTGCCATTGTGAGGCTGCAATAAACATGAGGGTACAGGTATTACTTTGATATACTGATTTCCTTTCCTTTGGATAAATACCCAGTAGTGGAATTGCTAGATTGTATTCTAGTTCTAATTTTAGTCTTTGGAGAAATATCCATACTGGTTTCCATAATGGTGCTACTAATATACATTCCCATCAGCAGTATATAAGAGTTCCCTTTTCTCTGTGTCCTCATCAGTGCCTCTTATTTTGTGTATTTTTTGTAATAGTCATTCTAACTGGGTTAAGATGATGCTTAATTGTGATTTTGATTTGCATTTCCCTGATGATTAGTGATGGTGAATGTTTTATCTTAAATACCTGCAGGCCATTTGTATGTCTTCTTTTAAGAAATGTCTGTTCATGTCCTTTGCTTCTTTTTAATAAGATTATTTGTTTCTATTTCTTTGCATTGTTTGAATTTCAAGTATATTTGGATATTAGTCCCTTTCCAGATGAATATTTTGTAAATGTCATCTCCCATTCAACAAGTCGTCTCTTTACTTTGTTGATTGTTTGCTCTGTTGTGCAGAAAGTTTTTAGTTTAATATAGTCCCATTTGTCTATTTTTGCTTTTGTTGCCTTTGCTTTTGAAGTGTTAGCTATAAAAATCTTTGCATAGACCAAAGTCCTGTAGTGTATCACCTATGTTTTCTTCTAGTCGTTTTATAATACCAGGTCTTATGTTTAAGTCTTTAATCCATTTTGAGTTGATTTTTGTATATGGTGAGATATAGAAGTCTAGTTCCATTCTTCTGCATATAATATCCAGTTTTTCCAACATCATTTATTGAAGAGGATATTCTTTCCTCAGTGTATGTTCTTGGCAGTTTTCTTGAAAATGAGTTGGTAATTAAGTGTGTGGGTTTTTTGATGGGCTTTCTATCCTGTTCCATTGGTCTTTGTGTCTGTTTTTTTGTGCATTTTTTTTCCCTTTACTATATTGTTTTGGTTGTTCTAGTCTTGTAATAAATTTTGAAGTTGGGTAGTATGATGTCTCCACCCTTGTTGTCTTTGTGCAAGATTTCTTTGGCTATTTGGGTTCTTTTTTGATTCTGTATCAATTTTAGGATTGCTTTTTCTATTGCTGTGAGAAGTGACATTGGTATTTAGATAGAGATTCAATTGAATCTGTAGATTGCTTTGTTAGTATGGTCATTTTAACAATATTAGCTCTTTTGATACATCATCATGAAAAGTTTTCCCATTTGTTTGCATCCTCTTCAATTTTTTCATAATCTTTTACAGTTTTTCTTGCAGAGGTCTTTCACCTCATGATTATATTTATTCCTAACTATTTTTTGTAGTTATTTAAAATGGGATCACTTCTTGCTTTCTTTTTCAACTGTTTCATTATTGCTATATAGAAACATTACTGATTTTTGCATGTGGACTTTTGTATTAGTCTATTTTCACACTGCTATAAAAATACTACCTGAGACTGGGTAATTAACTTATAAAGAAAAGAGATTTAATTGACTAACAGTTTTGCATGGCTGAGAAGGCCTCGAGAAACTTACAACCATGGCAGAGGTGAATGGGAAGCAAGGCATATCTTACATGGTCACAGGTGATAGAGAAAGCAAGCAGGGGAAAGGCCAGACACTTATTAAACAATCAGATCTCTTGAGAACTCCTTCACTATCATGAAACAAGCATGGGGGAACCACCCACATAATCCTATCACCTCTCACCAGGTCCCTTCCTCAACATACGGGGATTACAATTAGGGATGAGATTGGGTGGGGACACAGAGCCAAAACATATCGTTCCACCCCAACCCCTCCCAAATTTCATGTCCTTTTCACATTTCAAAACCGATTAGGTCTTCTCAACAGTCCCCCAAAGTCTTAACCCATTCCGGCATTAACTCAAAGTCCAAGTCCAAAGTCTTATTTGAGACAAGGCAAGTCCCTTTTGCCTATGCACCTGTAAAATCAAAAGCAAGTTAGTTACTTCCAAGATACAATGGAGGTACAGGCACTGGGTAAATATTTCTATTCCAAATAGGAGAAACTGCCCAAAACAAAGGGGCCACAGGCCCCATGCAAGTCTAAAACCTGGCAGGGCAGTCATTAAATCTTAATGCTCTGTAATGGTCTCCTTTGAATCTATGTCTCACATTCAGAGCACACTGATGCAAGTTGTGGACTCCCACAGCCTTGGGCAGCTCTGGCTCTGTGGCTCTTGGGGGTAGAGCCCTGCAGTTGCCTTCACTGGCTGGCATTGAGTGCCTGTGGCTTTTCCAGGGGCATGGTGCAAGCTGTTGGTGAATTTACCATTCTGAGGCCTGGAGGACCGTGATCCTCTTTCAAAGCTCCACTAGACAGTGCCCCAGAGAGGAGTCTGTATGGGGGCTCCAACCCCACACTTTCCTTCCATACTGTCCTAGCAGAGGTTCTCCATGAGGTCTCCGCCCATGCTACAAACTTCTGCCTGGACATCCAGGTGTTTCCATACATCCTTTGAAATCTAGGCAAAGGCTCCCAAAGCTCAGCTCTTGTCCTCTGTGTACCTGCAGGCCCAACACCACGTGTAAGCCACTAAGGCTTGGGACTTACACCCTCTGCAGGAATGGCCTGAGCTGTACATTGGCCCTTTATAGCCACAGTTATAGCTGGAGCAGCTGGGACACACAGCACCAAGTCCTGAAGCTGCAGAGGGCAGCTGGGTCCTGGGCCTGGCCCATGAAACCATTTTTTCCTTCTAGGCTTCTGATAGGAGGGGCTGTCATGTAAGTCTCTGGCATGCCTTGGAGAGATTTTCCCCATTGTCTTGGCTATTAATATTCAGCATCTCAGTACTTACACAAATTTCTGCAGCGGGCTTGAATTCCTCCTCAGAAAATAGGTTTTTCTTTTCTATCACATGGTCAGGCTGCAAATTTACCAAATGTTATGGCTCTTCTTCCATTATAAATATAAGTTCCAATTTCAAAACAACTCTTTGTGAACATACATAACTAAACACTTTCATAATAAGCCAAGTTACCTCTCGAATGCTTCGCTGCTTAGAAATTTCTTCTGCCAGATACCCTAAATCATCTCTGTCAAGTTTAAAGTTTCCCGGATCTCTAGGATTTGGACAAAATGCTGCCAGTCTCTTTGCTAAAGCATAGCATAAGTGACCTTTACTCCAGTTCCCAGTAAGTTCTTCATCTCTATCTGAGACCACCTCAGCAGAGACTTCATTGTCCCTATCGCAATCAGCATTTTTGTCAAAACCATTAAACAAGTCTCTAGGAAGTTTCAAACTTACCTACGTCTTCCTGTCTTTTTCTGAGCCCTCCAAACTGTTCCAACCTCTGCTGTTTATCCAGTTCCAAAGTTGCTTCCACATTCTCATGTATGAGATCTTATAGCAATGCCCCATTACCTCAGTACCAATTCTCTATATTAGTCTGTTTATACACTGCTACAAAAATACTACCTGAGACTGGGTAATTTACAAAGGAAAGACATTTAATTGGCTCACAGTTCCTCTTGGCTTGGGAGAATTCAGGAAACTTACAATCATGGTGGAAGGGAAATGGGAAGCAAGGCACATCTCACTTACACGGTGGCAGGTGAGGGAGAGAGCAAGCAGGGGAAAGGCCAGAGACTTATTGAACAACCAGATCTTGTGAGAACTCCCTTACTATCACAAGAACAGCATGGGGAAACCACTCCCATAATTCAATCACCTCCCACCTGGTCTCTCCCTTAACACATGAGGATTACAATTTGAGATGAGATTTGGGTGGGGGCACAGAGCCAAACTATATCAACTTTGTATCCTACAACTTTCCTGAATTTGCTTATCAGCTTAAAGAGGTTTCTTTTTTGTTGAGTGTTTAGGTTTTTCTAATTAAAAGATAATGTCATCTGCAAAGAGGGAGAATTTGACTTCGACTTTTCCAACTTGGATGTCTTTTAATTATTTCTCTAATCTGATTGCTCTGGCAAGGACTTCCAGTACTATGTTGAACAGGAGTGGTGAAAATGGGCATCCCTGTTTAGTTCCAGATCTTGTAAAAAAAGGCCTTTAAGTTTATCCATTTGGTATACTAGCAAAGGGTTTGTCATAGATAGACTTTATTATGTTGAGATATTTTCCTTCTGTGTCTAGTTTATTGAGAGTCTTTATCTAAAATGGATATTTGGTTTTATCAGTTGTTTTTTCTGCATCTATTGAGAGGGCCATAGGATCATTTTCCTTCATTCTGTTGATGTAATGTATCATGTTTATTGATTTGCATATAGTGAATCAACTTCGCATCCCTGGCATAAATCCCACTTGATCATGGTAGAATCAAGTGGGATTAATGTCAGGGATTTATTGATAATAAATTGATAATTAAGAAAAATAATTATCTTATAATTATTACATTATAAATAATTCTAAGAATAAATCAAGTGGAATTTATTATCTTTTTGATGTGGTATTTAATTTGGTTTGCTAGTATTTTGTTGAGTAATTTTGTGTCTGTATTTATCTGAGGTATCATTCTGTAGTTTTTTTTTTTTTGTTATGTACTTGAATGGTTTTGATATCAAAGTAATGCTATACCTGCAGAATGAGTTAGGAAGAATTCTCTCCTTTCAAATTTGAAATAGTTTGAGGATAATTGGCATTTGTTCTTCACTGCATATTTGGTAGAATTCATCAGTGATGCCATCTAGTCTGGGCTTTTCTTTGTTGGAAGACTTTTTTATTACTGATTTAATCTCATTACTCATTATTGGTCTAAACAGGTTTTCTATTTTTCCCTGATTCAATCTTGATAAGTTGTATGTTTCCAGTTATTTATCCGTTTCCTCTAGGTTTTCAAGTTTGTTAGCATGTAGTTGTTCATAATAGTCTCTGATAATCTTTTGTAATTCTGTGTTGTCAGTTGTAATATTTCCTTTTTAGTCTCTGAATTTATTTGAGCCCTTTCTCCTTTTTTCTTGGCTAGTCTAGCTAGTGGTTTTCTGACTTTATCTTTTCAAAAAAACCAAGTTTTTGTTTTGTTAAATCTTCATATTTTTTAAGTCCGTATTTCATTTAATTCTCTTTTGATCTTTATTGTTTCTTTCCATTATTTTTTGTTTGGTTTGCTATTGCTTTTTTGTTCTTTGAGATGCATTAATAGATTGTTAATTTGAAATCTTTCTACTTTTTGGATGGAGGCATTGATTGCTGTAAACTCCCGCTTCATTTTTGCTGTATCCCATAGGTTTTGGTATGCTGTGTTTTCATTTTCATTTGTTTCAATAGTTTTAAAAATGTTCTTCTTAATTTCTTCATTGGATAAATGGTCATTTAGAAGTATGTTGTTTAATTTCCATGTATTTTGACAGTTAAAAAATTTCTCTTGTTATTGATTTCCAGTTTTATTCCATGTTTGTCTGTGAAGATACTTGGTATGATTTTAATTTTTAAAAATTTGTTGAGTCTTATTTTGTAGCCTAACATATGGTCTACACTGGAGAATATTCCATGTGCTGATAAGATGATTGTGTATTCCACAGATGTTGGATAAAATGTTCCATAGATGTCTGTTAGACCCATTTGGCCTAAAGTGCAATTTAAATCCAATATTTCTTTGTTAATTTTCTATCTTGATGAGCTGTCTAATTCTGAGACTGGGGTGTTGAAGTCCCCAAATATTATTGTATCAGAGCCTATTTCTCCCATTAGCTCTAATATTTGTTACATATACATATACTAATATATACTTATATTACTTATATATAACTTATATATACTTATATTACTAATATATACTTATGTTATATACTATATACTAGTATACTTACATATACTAATATATGTATATGTAACAAATATATTTGTATATTTTGTGTGGGCACCAGTGTTGAATGTATATATTTAGAATTGTTATATCTTCTTGCTGAATTGATCACTTTAATATTATGTAATGATATTCCTTGTTACTTTTTACTGTTTGACTTAAAAACTGTTTTATCTAGGTATAGCTACTTTTGTATATACATATAGCTGTTTCTGCATATACTTCTATATTTCTGTGTATGTGTCTTTACAGGTAAAGGAAGTTTTGTGTAGGCAGCATATAATTGGTTGGTATTTTTTTCTCTTTTCAGCCAGTCTATCTTTTAAGTTGAAAATTTAATCAGTTTACATTCAAGGTTATTATAGATAGGTGAGAACTTATTCTTGTCACTTTGTTAATTGTTTTCTTGTTGTTTTTAAAAAATCCTTCGATAGACAATAACAGAAAAAATGGAACAATCATTGTGGTTTGATCATTTTGTAGTATTGACATTTGAGTCTTTTCCTGATTTGTGTATTTGTTCTACCACTGAGATTTATATTTTTGTGTGTTATCAGGATGGTGGATATTTACCTTTCCTTTTCAGGTGTAGTACTTCCTTAAATATTTCTTGTAGGGCTGGTTGAGAGGTGATGAATTCCCTCAGTTTTTGCTTGTCTGGGAAAGACTTTATTTCTCCTTCATGTATGAAGGATAGCTTTTCTGGGTGTAGTGTTCTTGGCTGGCAGTTTTTTGTCTTTCAGCACATTGACTATATCATCCATTCTCTTGTGGCCTGTAAAATTTCTCCTGAGACATCTGCCATTGGTCTAATGAGACTTCCATCATAAGTGACCAGATGCTTTTCTCTTGCAGTTTTTAGAATTATCTCTCATTTCTGAGTTTTTACAGTTTACTTTTATGTGGAGAATAATGTTTTGGGCTGTATCTATCTTTTGGGTAGCTGTGAAGAAGACCTTTTTGGGTTGCATTTATTTGGAAATTGATGAGCTTCCTGTATCTGGATGTCTAAAACTTTTGCTAGAGTTGGGAAGTTTTCAGCTAGTTTTTAAAAATATTTTTTAACTTTGGGCTTCTCTTCACATTTTGGAACACCCCAAATTCAAATATTTGGTTTCTTAACATGTCCCATATGTCACTTATGCTTTGTTTGTTCTTTTTTATTCTTTATTCTTTAATTCTTTCTTCTGCTTGATATAGTCTATTGTTGAAGCTGTCAAATAAATTTTTAAAAATTTCATTTATTGAATTATTTAATTTGAGAATTCCTGTAACGGTTCTTTTTTTTTTTTTTTCTTTTTTTTCCTGAGATAGGGTCTCTCTCTGTTGCCCCAGCTGGAGTGGAGTGGCGCAATCTTGGCCCACTGCAACCTCTGCCTCCTGGGTTCAAGCAATTCTCCTGCCTCAGACTCCCAAGTAGCTGGGATTACAGGCATGCACGACCAGGCTCAGCTAATTTTTGTATTTTTAGTAGAGACAAAGTTTCACCATGTTGGCCAGGATGGTCTAAAACCCCTGACCTCAGGTGATCCACCCACCTTGGGCTCCCAAAGTGCTAGGATTACAAGCATGATCCACCATGCCTGGCCTGTTTGGTTCTTTATTATGATATCTGCCTCTTGGGTGAATTTCTCATTTATACCCTCAATTTTTTTTTTTTTATTTCTTTGCATTATTTATCTCTGTCCTCTTGTATCTCACCAAACTTCTTTAATATCATTATCTTGAATTCTTTTTGTGGCATTTTAAATATTTCTTTTCCATTGTAATCTGTTGCTGGAGAATTATTGTGTTCCTTCAGAGGTGTTTTGCCTTTTTATGTTTCTTGTGTCCTTTATTGATACCTGCACATTTGGTGTAACAACTGCTTCTTCCTATTATTTGAATTGGCTTTCATAAGGGAAGGTTTTTCCTGAAGATGTATCTATGATATTGGTTGGGTAGAGCATTTTAGCTTTGATTCTGTCTGTGTGCAGAATTGTAGTCTTTGTATGATTTCTTCAGCTGCAAACAGCATTAGTGGTATCTGTTATTTTCTCAGTGGATTTTGCTATGGTTGTTAGTGGAGGCTGTGGTGAGGTTTTCCTTGGGACAAGGATGCCAGGTGGTTCAGTCTTTGGGTCTCAGTGGTGGCAGTGGCAGGCTGAGTGTTCCTGTCTTTGTGCTGTTGCACAGCATATGCATGTAGCAGTATTAATGATTCCAAGCTGGCCAATTCTTGGGCCTTCAGGTAGCTTGCTTAGGAACTGTCAGTGGCAGTGGTAGGCCAAGTAGATGGTCAGGTTTTCAGGCCCCTGGGCAGTATGTGAGATGTGATCAATAGCCATAGCAGTGGAGGGAAAACCCTTTGGCTCCTAGATGGCACATGCTTACGTTAACATTGGCTGCAACAGTCTGGGTAGGCCAGTCCCTAGTGGTGCATGGATGTGAGTACTGGCTGTGATAATAGTGGTCATCAAGGTGGGTCCATCCCTAGGTACCCGGGAGGAGTGCACAGATGCCAATAGTGGTGGACAGGGCAGGTTAATCCCCAGGCCCCTGGGTGGTGTGCTCAGGCACTGAGGATGTTGGTGCCAGAAGTGGCAGACCTGTCTTCAGGATCCCCATTGGTGCATACAAGTGCAGGCTGTGTTTGGTAGAGTGAGGTGATTCTCAAATGTCCTGGTAGAGTGTTCAGGTGGCAGTAGCATCAGCGTGTGATCAGGGAGAGCCCATCCTCAGGACACATGCAAGTGTATTGTGGTCCTGCTGCTGGGGGGTTGACAGCATTCATGTTAGTGGCAGTAGCGACAGGTAGTAGTGGCAGTATCATACTTTGGGGAGCATGCACTTTAGCTCCCAGCAGCAGCATCAGTGACTGTGGGCATGGAGAGCCTGTCCTAAGGGTGAGTGCAAGTGCACTTCAGCCCTCCTGTTGGTGAAGATGGGTTGCTGTCAGTGGCAGTGGCCACAGGCAGGCAGGTTTCAAGCTCTGGGGAGCACATATTTTGACTCCATTCATTCTGGGGGCAGCCTCATGGTTTGCCGCGCTATCTATTCTCTGTGTGTGTTAAAGTGCTGGGGACCCCATTGCTCTGCTGGGTCCAATAGGCCTTGCTCCACTACAATCCTCCAGGTATATATGACTGGATGTCAGTGGGGCTTCAGGGGCATAGAGATTCAGAGGCTATTGGGCTCTGGGGCAGGATGCAGTCTGGTGGGGGCCGGGTTCTCAAATTGGCACTGTGCTGCAGCTGCTTAGGACTTGGGGTGTGTATGGGACCCAGTTTGAACTCCTTTCCTGGAGGAATGTTATTGTGCGGTCTCCAGGAAGCTCCTTATAGTAGCCTCATGACCCACAACGGTTGAGGGCAGTAGTCCATGGTGGGAATGTGGACCACTGGGGATTACTTACCTAGCCTTTCTCCATGCTGGAGAAACTCTCTGGGTTCCCAGCCCATCCCAGCTGAGCTGACTGCCTTGCTTCTCTCTCCTTTTGTGCCTCAGGTATTTCCTGTCATTTTTTCATTAAATTCCCAGTGATCTCTTAGATGCTTTATTCAATGTGTGAGTATTTATTTACTATTGTGGTTCTTTGTAGAGGAGGCAGGTCCTGAATGCCTCTAGTCAGCCATCTTGAAGTGCCTTCTCATATTCAACTTACGTTTGTCTATTGTAACTCAATACAAATAGGGTTTAAAAAATCACCTCCACCAACACCTTGATTGCAGCCTTGTGAGACCTAGGTGGAGGATCCAGAAAATATGGTCATTGAACTTCTAATCCGTGGAAACTGTGAAATAAGAGGTTTGTGTTGTTTTGAGCCACTATATTTGTGGCAACAGAAAACTAAAATATCAGTAAATTATTCCTTCAGTAAAATATCAGTAAATTATCACTCTGTTTTAATTCTCTGCATAATACTTATATCCATAAATATTTTATTTATCTACATATTACTTTTTATTTGTTTCTCATTACCAGAATGGAAGCAACATGAAGACAGTTATCTTGACTTTATTATGTAAAGTTTTATTTCCTTTATGTAGATCAGTGTTGACTGACATGAATAAATGCGGAAAAAAAAAAAAGGGAAAATGCTACTCGTATCCTTCTCTGTACTTACACCTTTCCCAGAGTTTACCTCTACTGATATTCTGGTATGTACCTCCCATTTCTAATTTTATTTATTCATGTATACATACAAAAATATATACTTAAAACATTTTATGAGATTTTTCTTTATGTCTTGATCATTGACTTTCCATTTAACACCAAAATATTTAGAAATATTTCGTGTCTTAGAAATATTCCAGATATTCCATGTCACCTCACATCAGCTTAATTCTGTCTTTTAATTATGGGGTAACACTGCATAGTATGGATGCACCATAACTTACTTAACATTTCATTACAACAGGTAGTTTTTATTTTTTTAAACAAAATCACTGTTTTAAAACAGTTACACGATTTCTCTTTACATATATTTTCATGTAAATATATCCATATTTGTGTATAGTAGATCCTAGAAATGGAATTTCTAGAGTAAAGGTTGTGTGCATTTTATTTTAATCAGTTTTTCTTACCTGAACTGTTTCAATAATTTATTAAGAGATCATGCCATCTTCACATCTTCCCCACTCCTCTATTCCACAGACATTTTAGTGTTACACTAACATATCTCTGACCATGCAATCAATAACCTTTCTAAAACTTTCAGTGTTTTCTTATAGTCTACCTAATAACATCCCAACTCCTTGGTTTGGCATTCATCGCTGCTACCTTAATTTCCTAACCTTCCAGCCTCGTATTTAACTCTCTACCTCACATGTTTTGTTAGTGAGCAAATGGGAAAATTTATTCTCCAAACATTCCTGGCGATTTGTCTTCTACGTATCTCATTCTTATTCTTCCCTCCTGTAGAATTCGATTCTTTTCTTACTCGCTATTGCCCCTGCCCTGCCAAGCAGCTCAAGTGCTGTCTTTTCTAATGAAAGATTTCTTGGATTTTCTAGTCTTTGATAATGCTTTTATATCTGTAAATTTCTCATCTGTTTATGAACATTTTACAAATATAACCCATAATCCTCAAAACAACCCCTTGAAATAGCTATTAGTTTGCAGACAAGCAAACTGAGGTTGGATAATTTAAATCAGTGGTCTCCAACCTTTTTGGCAGCAGGGACTGGTTTTGTGGGGGAACCCTGGTTTCAATCATTTACCTAAAGCCACACTTTTAATTTTTAGTGACAGGACTGTAATGCCAACCTTCTAATTCTAACTCCAGCGCATAGTCCACTGTACAATGGCTGCCTCTCCTTTCTTCTGAATCCCTGTAATTCCGCACTTGTACCAGTCTAGTCTTTGGGGCTTATTCAATTCTATTATACATTTTAAACATTGTTCTTCTTATGCCATGGTTCTTTCTGTACTGTAAGCTCCTTGAAGTCAGGCAACTTCTCTTAATTTAACTTAAAAAATTTCCCACAACGTCTTAATTTCTCAGTTATGCTTCACTGGTGAGTGAAGAGGATTCAATTACATATTCATTGTATTTAATGGGAAAAGTCATATTTATGTAGAAAATATAATGAGTCTAGTTAAGGCAAGCTCCTTTCAGGGTCGTGAGCTCAGCTTTACATATGGCCAGCATCTGTGATGCACAGTGTAACCTAGCACTGTCCTTCATGTCCAGGGTCTATGTTCATTAAGTTCTCAGGTACTTATGCATGTGGCTTAACCACTGTTTCTACCAACCAGTTTACAAGTGTCATATGTATTCCATTTCTAAATAATGCCTAATTATCAGTAATCAATCTAAGGAACTCAGTAGAGTTCTTAGCCATGCTGAGACTTTGCATCACTTCCAGCAGATTGAAGGTCAAATTCTCTCTCCATTCCCGTGCCAGAGGTTTTTCTTGGGACAAGCTAGGGCTAGGTCATTCCTGGCTGCCTGGGTTTCTCCTTCTGTTTTAAATGAGAACCAACAACTATCTTGTTTACAAATAAATCTGTGAAACCACCCATGCGTACTCAGGGACAGAACCACTGATGAAAATGAAAACTGAAGATGATGTTTATATATTTGCTTGCATACATATTTTAAATATTGATTTTCTTCATTCTCTTAAGAATTCTTGACACCTAAAATGTAATTAATTCTCCCTCAGTACCATGCTATCAGGATGAATAATCTGATAAGAAAACTGATTCTAAGTAAAATTAAGTAATCAGCTAATTACTGCTTACATCTAGACCAATATGTTTTCTGTCTTTCCAGTCCCCAGTGCTCTGCTTGATAATTAGATGAAATACATTGCTGGAGACCAAGACCAGGTTTCAAAGGTCAGGGCATATTAAAAATTGTCAGACATGTCCCTCTTTTTATCTAAAGGCAACATATGATTTTAAGCCTTCCTCCTGGTGATTTTAATTATTTTATTTTAAGTACAGAAGTAGTTTTGCAAAAATCAAAAAAAGTTTAATAATAGTGAAAATGTCCATTGGTCCACTTTTATTTCCATGAATATGTCTTTCCAGGTGTGTATGTGTGTGTGTGCAGATGTTTAAAATACACTCATGCTAACTCACTATTTTGCAAATTATTACTATTTTTCATGCCAGAATATATAATGGATCCTTTCTGTGTTAATACATAGCCTCCATCTTCCAGATGCCTCAGGCTTCAGGCTGACTTTTTTGCAAAACTTCCTCAGCAAGACTTGCCTTGTTTATATTTATTATATGTTCTTGTCCAACCATCTGGGAAGAGTGTGGACAAAGGTGAAGCAGTGCATGTGGCGATATCTGCTTTACCTGCAGCTCCCTGGTGAAGCATCACGCATTGTCCTTTGACCCATGTTGTATGAGTGCAAAATGATATTTCCTTGTGATAGACTTATCACCTTAATATTAGAACATAAGCTGGAAAACAAACTAGAGCATTTTTCTTTTTAATTAACGATCACTGAGTCATACCAGCCTCTGAATGCTTCTCTGGTGATTTGAAAGAAAACCTCATTAGCTTGTCTCTGTATTTTCATTTTATAACAATAACTAGTGGTTTTTTACCAGCTTATATATTTTTAAAGCCACATATATAAATATAATCAAATTAATTAGAACATTTAACAAATCTTCTGGGTTGATGCTCATTTAACATATTCAAGTATTCTTCTTGTTTTTTTTTTTTTTTTTTGAGGTGGAGTCTCGCTCTGTCACCCAGGCTGGAGTGCAGTGGCATGATCTTGGCTCACTGCAACCTCAGCCTACTGGGTTCAAGTAATTCTCCTGCCTCAGCCTCCCAAGTAGCTGGGACTACAGGCGTGCACCACCATGCCTGGCTAGTTTTTTGTATTTTTAGTAGAGATGGGGTTTCACCATGCTGACCAGGCTGGTCTTGAACTCCTGACCTCGTGATCCTCCCGCCTTGGCCTCCCAAAGTGCTGGGATTACAGGTGTGAGCCACTGCACCTGGCCCATAAATAATATTAAAATTTCCTCTCCACTTGACTAATCAAGATGTGAAGATTTTTCTTTTCCTTCATATCTCCCTACCTACATATGTATATACACATAGATACTTATGTACATAAGTCATTGCTTCTTCAAATTAAATAAAATTTTCTCATGACAGCCTCCTTAAGGTGTAGAATAGAGAGAAAATAATAACATATTCTAGTATGGGTTGAGAGAAATAAAAATGTCTTATAATTCAAATACATATTTCAAATTAAATGGGAAAAGGTCTTTCTGATGTGTTCATTTTCATTTATGTTTTGTCAATTTACCTTTTCTGAAATACAATTTTATATATCCAGGATATAACTTTGTTATAACATTTTTTTGAAGGTCCCTCATGGCTAGTTTTGGAAGATGCTCTGCCTTTCTAAGAAGGAACAGAAATACCTCCCAGATGCAGAACTCATTCATACCCTGAGAAAAGGGAATAAAAAAATTCTCTACGTCTGTTACATTTCACATTGAATACTGCTCAGCTTCAAACCTGAACAACCAATATGATTTCTCTAGAAATATTTAATTCCTCTTGTTATCCAAGTTAGTGAGTCTGGTTAGAATAAATGTTTCTTCTCAAATTGGATAATGGCTTATATCTTTGGGATCCACAAAGACGAAGCCATTTCTCCCAGAAGGTCACACAATAAATATTATATATCTTAACATTCATATTTGAAGGTATTTTATTATTCATGTGTCTGTTTTGATGATTAGTTCTGATTTTCAACTTTCCTTTTCAAAAGCTTGCAAGAAAATACTTGTCCTTGAGCTTGGGGATCAGCAAATATTTTCTGTAAAAGGCCAGATATTAAATATTTTAGGCTTTGTGGACCAGGTGGTTTCTGCTGCTAGCACTTAACTCTGCTTCTGTGGTGGGAAGTAGCTGTAGACAATAAGTAAACAAATGGGCATGACTGTGTTCCAATAAAACTTTATTTACAAACACAGGTGGTTGGTCAGATTTGGTCCACAGGTCTTAGTTTCCTGATACCTGCTTTAGCTCAGTGTTATTTATAGCACCTGGTTCATGGAATGTCTATTACCAGTCTAGAATGTGATAAGGAGCTTTTTCCAGAATGTAAATCTGTATAGTGTTTCTTTCATTGAGGAAGTCTTGCAATATATGTGAAAATGTGAAAAATATGACAGTTGAACTAAATACTTCTTCATGACTATGTAGGTTGATTTATATTCTGCCTCAAGCTCCTTGTGTCTCCATGTACTGCGAAAAGATTTTTTTGGCCAGCACTGGTCCCTGGAGGACACTGAGTAGCACTGCTCAAGCTTATTTTTCTGTATATCCATCTCTGAAAATGTTGCAATTCATGATTAAGTTAAATTTAAACTTTTTCTTCCCCAAATAGAGAATAATTCTTCTACTACTTATTTTGTTGCTGTGGTTGGAACTATAGCTCTGCTGAAGGGCAGAAACAGGAGTTGTGCCAGCCATCCCTTCTTTAGCAGCTGTGGAAGCGCTGTGTCTCCATTTCCTTCATTGAGCTGATATTCATGCTGTATTTGTCTTTAAGGACAACAAATGTTGAATCTTTAACTTTTATAGTAAATTGCTCATTAAAGGAGATAGTTATTGAGAGATAATTTTAACTTTTTATGTCAAATAATAGCAAAAAGGATATTTAGAGAAAACTTATGCACATTTGCCAATTGCTCTGTTTATTTATATCAAAACCAGAATTAAAGATGTTATGATACGTTGCCATTATAAGCACATGTGAAAAGTGTTTCCCTTCACAGTCTAGGTAATTTGGGGGAGTGCTGATCAGTGGATGCATAATATTTGAACAAATATGCAATTCAATACCTACAATTTAAAACTGCTTCTGTGAATGTATTTCCAGCATTCCCAGTCTTCCCAAAACAGTAACAGCCATGAAGATGAGGTTTTCAGTGCATGAAATTAGGAGATGATATTCTTTCTTTCTTCAGTTCTTATCTATATGTGATAGAATTTCCAACGTCTGAAAGCCTGAACCAACTGGTGTTTTTCTGTGCTGCGTAATCTTTCTTAATCATTTAAGCTTAAAATGGCTATACACACTGGCCATTTGGTTTGGAATTGTCTCCATTTTTTTAACCTATCAAATGACAATTTAAAGTAACTATATTGCTTAACATGTCAAATGTGTAACCATTTTGAATTTTTTTACAATTATAATTAATGAATAATTTGTGGGATGTGATGATTTCCTACTGAAAACAAATAATTTTATGACATATACTGCATTTTTTGTTTATGCTTTTAAAGAACTTAGCAATATTCAAAATATGTAGGATTTCTTCTTTGAGCAATACAACACCTTTCCTTGTCACACAAATCACTCAGAGTATATTGCAAGTCTTGGCTTCATGTGGATTTCAGAGATGTGAGAGAAAGTATCACAAAAGATAAAGCATGGTTTGGTAGAACCATATATTCATTCCTTCATTAAGCATTTATTGGGCCATTATTCAGTGTTCAGAATTTCTGCTTAAAGCACTTGAAAATAACAATTGAGTTTGATAGGACTTCATAAATGTGCTTTATAATTTATATTTAGGTTTTCATAGCTTTTATCAATTTAGTCACATACAAGCAGAGATGTTTGATCATATTCTATTTCCTGGCTTCAACGTTTCAAGCCTCTCCAGGGCAGAAATGAAAGATTATGAGTGTGCTACATTTCTATAGCTCTTTCATTTCTACCCCAACCCTAGCTTACTTTCATGTCTACAATAAAAATTTTGATCCAGATCGGATTTATGTGAACATTAGTTTTTTCAGATTGACCTACCTTGTGACTGAATTTTGCAATGAAACCTTATCAGGTTGTTATACACCATTGCAACTGGGCACCTTAAAATTAGATGGAAGAAACAGAATATGTTACCAAAGGATGGGCTGACTGGGTAAAAAGTGGGTTTTACGTTGTTTCATATTTTTTGAGCATATAAACCACTTTAAAAGTTTGCAAGTCTATAAAGCATTAGCTCTAGATATTTCAAATGTGTTCAGGTTAGAAAGTGCAGTGAAAAATATAAAACATCATGTGAAGGAAATTCTGATATGCTATTATATTAAGGAAAGTAGATGGAAGTTCAGGAACATGTTGGAAAGAAATCAAGATAACTAGATTTTCTTGTTTTAACTTCCCTACCAACTGGTTGTTACATGAAGGATAAGTGATCTTTGTGTCATGGATGTCTACAGACGTATTATCAGAATTTGTCATCAGTTAGTGTTGTCACTCCAAACTGTTTCTCAATTTTGAAGAAAGTCAAAGAAACAGTGTTTTACTCAGTTCATCCAAAATAAATAAATGTGCAATATCTGTAGGGGAAATTTGGAAGTGAAAATAGCTCACACAGTCTCCATAACTCTATTGAAAAGTGGTATGCATATTGACTAAAATAGCTGGGTTGCTTGGGTTGAAATTTAAACTCAGCCATTTACCGAGTGACATTGATGAGGCTTCATCAACTCCCCATGCTTTAATATCCTCCTCTGTAGTTTTAAGGACACTGACTTCATACTTTTGTTGTATTTAATAAATGTAAGTGCGTGGCAGAGTTTCCGGAACAAAGTAGGCACACAATAAATGTTACTTCTCATTATTTATCAATGCAATCATTAGCATCACTGTAGTTACATTTGAACTCATTTTGGAGTGAACCCTGGAGTCCAGGGTTCTAGATTGAACAACACTGCTCTAAACTCATAAACTTACAGAACTGAATTTTAATTTAGAAATATAATTTAAATCAATAAAACAGGATTTATAAAATAATATTCTCCTTGTTTATTAAAGTTATAAACTTTTAGGCATTTTACACATGTGGTTAATTAAAAACTGTTTGCCCCATTTTATTTTTATTTTTATTTTTTTATTTTATTATTATTATACTTTAAGTTTTAGGGTACATGTGCACAACGTGCATGTTTGTTACATATGTATACATGTGCCATGTTGGTGTGCTGCACCCATTAACTCGTCATTTAGCATTAGGTATATCTCCTAATGCTATCCCTCCCACCTCCTCCCACCCCACAACAGTCCCCGGTGTGTGATGTTCCCCTTCCTGTGTCCATGTGTTCTCATTGACTTTCTACACTGAGTTGACAAAGAAAAGTTAGGGTATGAGCCTTATTTGCTGAGGAATACACAGAAGACGACTTTCTATCCAAGGCTGACCACAGACTGAAAGCTAAATTGTTCTTTTGATATTGATATTATTTTATCCAAAAGTCACTTTTATTCTTAATTTCTAGCAGTGCTGTTTTGCTTCTCTTTCCTCTTCTTCTTCCTCTTGTTCTTCTTATACTGACAGATATAAGTTAAATTTTGCTGTGCTACAGACAAGGATGGTACATTTGGACTATGTATCTAAGTGCATGGAAGAGTAGAGACGTTTCTGAATTATTTATAGTCATCCATACTATATAAAATACTCTGAGTAAATAGGATTATGTATAAAAGAGTGCATAATCTATTATGATGTTTTATAATATATTAAAATTATTCTAAATTATAGACTGCACCATGTGATATACTTCCACAAAATATAATTCTAGTAACAAACACATTTAGTTTATTGTTTCACTTGTGAATGTTGGTTTTACCTGGGAAATTCTGCTTTAAAAGTAAAACAGGTCTTACCTAGTGAAGCGTCTTATCTAAATGTTGTTTGAAACCCTTTGTGTTCTATAATAACATGACATAAAACAATGTGAATTTAAACAGCTGTTTGGCTTTTCTGCGTTTAGTTTTGAACCATGTAGACATGTGTTATCAAGCTTCAAAAGTTTACTTGACATTATCATATAATAGCATATCATTGGCATGAAATGTTTTATATATAAATCGCATCATTTTACATTTTATTTAAATGTGTAGGTTTGCCAAGGGCCACACTGTCACTTCCTTTTACTAAAATAGAGTGCCTTAAAAATTGCTGTCACAATTACACTCTTCAAGGTCCTATAGAAAGCTCTGGATTTCAAAAAGTTAAATTCTGACACTTTCTTCCAGTGATAAAAAAAAAACCAGTCTCTCTTAAGCAAGGCATATTTATAGGATATCATAGAAATTCAAATTTTTTAATTGAAAAATTATGATTATAGAAAATATTATTATAACTATTTTTAATTAATGCTTATTGTATTTTTTAAATTATACTTTAAGTTCTGGATTATATGTGCAGGATGTGCAGGTGTGTTACATAGGTATACACGTGCCATGGTGGTTTGCTGCACCCACCAACCGGTCATCTACATTAGGTATTTCTCCTAATGCTATCCCTCCCCTAGCCCCCCACCCCCTGACAGGCCCCAGTGTGTGATGTTCCCCTCCCTGTGTCCATGTGTCCTCATTGTTCAACTCCCACTTGTGAGTGAGAATATGTGGTGTCTGGTTTTCTGTTCTTGTGTTAGTTTGCTGAGAATGATGGTTTCCAGTGTCATCCATGTCCCTGCAAAGGATATGAACTCATCCTTTTTATGGCTGCATAGTATTCCTTGGTGTATATGTGCCACATTTTCTTAATCCAGTCTATCATTGATGGACATTGCCTAGTGGAGGTTCTAAATTTCATCTTTAAGAACTTTGTACTTTTTCTTCTTTACACATTTATAGAATTTTTTTAGCTTTCTGACATTGTTGATAAGGAAAAATACCAAAATAAACATAAAAAATGAATTACTAAATAGTTATCAGTTGAGAAATACTTAATTTTAATAGCAAAAATATATATATAATATATATATTTTTATTATACTTTAAGTTCTAGGGTACATGTGCACAATGTGCAGGTTTGTTACATATGTATACATGTGCCATGTTGGTGTGCTGCACCCATTAACTCGTCATTTACATTAGGTATATCTCCTAATGCTATCCCTCCCCCCTCCCACCACCCCACAACAAGCCCCAGTATGTGATGTTCCCCACCCTGTGTCCAAGTGTTCTCATTGTTCAGTTCCCACCTATGAGTGAGAACATGCGGTGTTTGGTTTTCTGTCCTTGCGATACTTTGCTCAGAATGATGGTTTCCAGCTTCATCCATGTCCCTACAAAGGACATGAACTCATCCTTTTTTATGGCTGCATAGTAGTCCATGGTGTATATGTGCCACATTTTCTTAATCCAGTCTATCATTGTTGGACATTTGGGTTGGTTCCAAGTCTTTGCTATTATGAGTAGTGCTGCAGTAAACATATGTGTACATGTGTCTTTATAGCAGCATGATTTATATTCCTTTGGATATATACCCAGTAATGGGATGGCTGGGTCAAATGGTATTTCTAGTTCTAGATCCCTGAGGAATCGCCACACTGTCTTCCACAATGGTTGAACTAGTTTACAGTCCCACCAACAGTGTAAAAGTGTTCCTATTTCTCCACATCCTCTCCAGCACCTGTTTTTTCCTGACCTTTAAATGATCGCCATTCTAACTGGTGTGAGATGGTATCTCATTGTGGTTTTGATTTGCATTTCTCTGATGGCCAGTGATGATGAGCATTTTTTCACGTGTCTGTTGGCTGCATAAATGTCTTCTTTTGAGAAGTGTCTGTTCATATCCTTCACCCACTTGTTAATGGGTTTTTTTTTTTCTTGTAAATTTGTTTGAGTTCTTTGCAGATTCTGGATATTAGCCCTTTGTCAGATGAGTAGATTGCAAAAATTTTCTCCCGTTCTGTAGGTTGCCTGTTCACTCTGATGGTAGTTTCTTTTGCTGTGCAGAAGCTCTTTTTGCTTAGATCCCATTTGTCAATTTTGGCTTTTATTGCCATTGCTTTTGGTGTTTTAGACATGAAGTCCTTGCCCATGCCTATGTCCTGAATGGTATTGCCTAGGTTTTCTTGTAGGGTTTTTATGGTTTTAGGTTTATCATTTAAGTCTTTAATCCATCTTGAATTAATTTTTGTATAAGGTGTAAGGAAAGGAACCAGTTTCAGCTTTCTACATATGGCTAGCCAGTTTTTGCAGTACCATTTGTTAAACAGGGAATCCTTTCCCCATTTCTTGTTTTTGTCAGGTTTGCCAAAGATCAGATAGTTGTAGATGTGTGGTATTATTTCTGAGGGCTCTGTTCTGTTCCATTGGTCTGTATCTCTGTTTTGGTACCAGTACCATGCTGTTTTGGTTACTGTAGCCTTGTAGTATAGTTTGAAGTCAGGTAACGTGATGCCTCCAGCTTTGCTCTTTTGGCTCATCACATCAAAAAGCATATCCACCATGATCAAGTGGGCTTCATCCCTGGGATGCAAGGCTGGTTCAACGTACCCAAATCAATAAACGTAATCCAGCATATAAACAGAACCAAAGACAAAAACCATATGATTATCTCAATAGATGCAGAAAAGGCCTTTGACAAAATTCAACAGCTCTTCATGCTAAAAACTCTCAATAAATTAGGTATTGATGGGACGTATCTCAAAATAATTAGAGCTATTTAATGACAAACCCACAGCCAATATCATACTGAATGGGCAAAAACTGGAAGCATTCCCTTTGAAAACTGGCACAAGACAAGGATGCCCTCTCTCACCACTCCTATTCAACATAGTGTTGGAAGTTCTGGCCAGGGCAATCAGGCAGGAGAAAGAAATAAAGGGTATTCAATTAGGAAAAGAGGAAGTCACATTGTCCCTGTTTGCAGATGACATGATTGTATATCTAGAAAACCCCATCGTCTCAGCCCAAAATCTCTTTAAGCTGATAAGCAATTTCAGCAAAGTCTCAGGATACAAAATCATTGTGCAAAAATCACAAGCATTCTTATACACCAATAACAGACAAACAGAGAGCCAAATCGTGAGTGAACTCCCATTCACAATTGCTTCAAAGAGAATAAAATACCTAGGAATCCAACTTACAAGGGATGCGAAGGACCTCTTCAAGGAGAACTACAAACCACTGCTCAATGAAATAAAAGAGGATACAAACAAATGGAAGAACATTCCATGCTCATGGATAGGAAGAATCAGTATCGTGAAAATTGCCATAATGCCCAAGGTAATTTATAGATTCATTGCTATCCCCATCAAGCTACCAATGACTTTCTTCACAGAATTGGAAAAAACTACTTTAAAGTTCATATGGAACCCAAAAAGAGCCCGCATTGCCAAGTCAATACTTAGCAAAAATATTTTATTCTTACATTTATGGCATGCAATTTATTTCATAATAGATTTATTTGGAAAACTCAGAATGTTTCTTTCTTTATTCTATGATAGTGTTTTTTCATTTACTTATAGTTTGTTTCAGTTAAGGTCGAAGAAAATAGAAATCATATCATAATGTAAATAGCAAATTGGTGTAGATTATATAGGGAGTTTCCATACTGAAATTTATGAGAACTTTAGAATTTTAGATTTATTGGGTTTTGATCAATGAATGTGATTTTTTTATTTATAAAATGATCGTTTATGCCATATTTAGAAATATATTTGTACCTGTGAGTTTTCCTGTATTTGAATCATGTCAGAAACACTTACATAGAAACTCCTTTATAAGAGTTCAACAAACCAGATTCTCACAATTGATTGTTATTGTAATTGAATATTTCACTTAATTTTTCTGTACATATTCTTGACAAGATGGTGCAGAGATGTAATAATTCATATTTGTTTTTTAAACAATACTGGAAAATATATGGTAACAGGAATTTGTCAATTTCTTCATCGTATTATTTATAAACAACACATTTATAATTATTTGAAATCTGTCTAAAATAGCTAAATATTCACTTAGTTTAAGTCTCAGGGAGAAAAGAGTAATAAAAGTGAGACTCTAATATATTTTAAAGATAATGTGGTGATAGTGCCATAATAAACACCTGAAATAAAAGTACTGGTTCATATTTTGTATATTGGATTATGTATTTTAATGTTCTTGTTATCCTTACTCTTCCCCTCACCATTCAAACATCAGTAAGGGTGTTTTATGTCCACTGCCTCAAGCATACAATATTCAAAAGCACTCCTACTTTTAATTGTAAGAATAAAGGGTGTTTGCAGGAGAAAAGTGTTTATTGAATTTTGTAATCTTATTTACAAACATCAACAGCCCTAATGTGAGTGACTCAGAGCATAGGGTTTATACCAATCATAGGGAATTGGTAATGAATCTCAATAACACAAAGCACTGGATTGTCAAAGCAGACTCAAACTAGTAAGAAGTCTTACCCAATAACAAGTGTTGCTATCATGCTGAGAAGATGTAATCATGAGGTGTAGGTAAAACATGGAGAGATCTAGGACCTTCAATACAGTTACCCAGTTTGTTTCTTGTCAGTCAGAATGTGCTCTGGGTTGGCTTACTATGTGAGGCCTCTGTGTGATATTTGTGGCTGCATAAATGGCACAGGAGAGAACCATTTTTCTATGACACACTGTCATAGCAAATTATTTCAGATGGTTGTATAGCTTATGTGACATCTTCTAGAGAGCCATATGCTATAAATTCATAGGTTCCTCGTTCACTTAGTACAAACAATCTTAGACAAACTATGTATATTCTGCCAAAATCTTTTCATACATAAGAACTCTCTAGATAGATAATAGGGAGTCTCCCCATCTGCCTTGTCCGGCCTCAAGGAAGTTTATGTATCACAGAACTTGTACTTAATTATTTTCTTTCTGGGAGAAATTCATGAAGATACATTCAGCTACAGGGCAGAAAAGAGACTGGAGGAAAGGTGCATTCAGTTAACGGCTATTGGGTCTTTGGAAATAAATCCAGTGTTTGCCATATCTTTCAGCTTTGTCCAGGGAAAATGTATGACTGCAGATATCACATAAGTTTGTAGGTATCTCAGTGCTGAATATACCATGGAATAATTTTCCCACGGCACAGCCAGCAAGGTAACAAGAGTCTCTTGGAATATCAGAATCATGAATTATCAATGGTTGCATGAAGGACTTAGTGGACCTGCTTGAGGGTAGTATCATAGCTTTGCACACCCAAGCATGTTGATGAAGGGATTTTAAAAGTTAGTGTATTTACAATGAAAATGGGAAAGCAGATGTGAAGACCAGTGATCTAGAAGAGGTCTCACCATAGGAAGAAGAGGTATATTGAATGTGGACCTGTCAGCTGGATGTCATGGCAGATCAGAGACATCAGTAGCAGATGCAATAGAGGTAAAGGATGATACCTAGACGAGGAAAGATCAGCTGGCCTTGATGATGGCCAATGATGGCAGCATACATTACATGGACAAGACATCCTTGACTCAGTGCCAGGAAAACATGTGAGGCCACTTAGAATTTATATTATTTCAGGGATAGGAGAAGAAGGAGAGAGAGAGAGAGGAAACTTGGTTTGACTCATGTTTATCTTGGAAGAGGCTATATTACCTTGAGTTGGTAAGATAAATTCTTTTAGTTAAAAACGAATGTTGTAAACCAAATTGCATTCAGTTTTAGAAGTAAAAATTACATTTTTTGAAAGACTGAATTCATGACTGTGACATTCAAACATGCTGTTCACCCTTTGCATGCGTTTCATCCTTTGCCGAAGAACAAGTAAGTAATAGAGGGAAACTGAGTAAGAAAACACCTCTGCTCTTATCAGTTGTGTTACCTTGATTATGTTGCTTAATCTCACTGACTTGTAGTTTTCTTATAAAGAATAAGTATTCATACAGTTTCTCTAAAGAATAAATGTGATACTGGTGAAAATACCTAGTGTGTGGCCTGGCACATGTAGATTTCCAATAAGTGCTTGGAAAAGCATAATCTGAAGCAATTTAATGGAGTAATATTACTTCTTACCCTTTCATATGCTATTTAGCTGTTGCTTCCACACTGATGCAAACCTTCTGTGACCCATTGAGATTTTTAAGTCATCATTTTAGTTCTTCTGTTTCTGGAGTCGAAACATTCCACCATTCAAACACAAATGAATTTGCACACCTCAGTGGACATCTTTTGAAAAGGAAGACACTGGTTGACTTTTGACTGCTGCTTTAAAAAAATGCCCTGAGGAATGTCCTAAGTTTTCAATGGTTATTAGAAGTGGAAGTTTCAGTTTTGAATTAGGGAGAAAACATACCAAGTACCCCAAAGTCTCTTTGTATTAGGGTAGTCCTAGATGTAAGCAATGAACGCTTGCAGGTGCTGATCTGAAATAAGCCTTGCTATTCTAGAAGTAATCCTCTATAGCATTCATCCTTATTTTTAAAACTCTGATACTTAATTATCTGAATTTATTGTGAGATTTTTATAGACTCATTATAATTTACATGAAAAGGTGAAGGCATTTGTGATTTTTTATTTATTATTCATGTATTCATTTTATTTTATATTGTCAGTGGTTGCACTGATATTACAGGGATGTGTGCATTTTCAAGAGGCTCTGCTCACTGCAAATGTAATAAATAATACCTGCAAGCTATTTGGGAACTCTTATTCTCCCATGTGATCCAGAATGTACGGGTATAAAAGATGCAACATTTCCTCAGGACATTTTTTTAAAGCAGCAATCAAAAGTCAACCAGTGTCTTCCTTTCCAAAAGATGTCCACTGAGGTTTGCAAATTCATTTGTGTTTGAATGGTGGAATGATAGGCATGAAACTAATTACAGACCAAAGGATACCCTGCCATTCTGTCTTCTTCTGGGTACAGCACACTCTAGGAGTTTTCTGACACAGAAGCTTGAGGGGGAACATATGGCTGAGATACTCATTCTTCAATAAGTCAATACAAAACGAAGCCCAACATTTTGCCCCTAGTTTTTTGAATTTTAACAAAAAGCCTGAAGAAACAAGAGGAAGTTAAAAATATTCTACACAGAACTTTTAGAAGTGATCATGGCGGCAATCTTTAATAAAGTAATAAATATCTTGCTTGGCTTAATATTTTTAAATAAGTAATTTGGACTTTAAATTTCACAACAGCATGTAAATTATTTGGAATTTATAATTATAATAAAATCAAATGTGATTGGTAAAATAATGATATGAAGAAGCAATCTGTCATTTTCTTCCCAGGACCCATGTTCTCTTTTAGCTAAAATGAAGACCTGGTATTAAAAGATCTGTAATTTCCATTGCTGCTCACACATTTTCTGAAACTACTTCATCATTTTTTTGTTGTTGTTGATTTTACTTCTGACTTTCTCAGCACTTAACATAGATGTATGATAGCTTTATCTTTTATAACCATGCTTTTGAGACTATACTCTTGTGACACTGTGGATTAAAATGAGACTCGTTTGGAGAAAAATACTGTAAGAAAATGGACATTATATAAATAGAAAATTAAAAACAAAGTATCATCACTTGGAACCTGGAACTCCAGGTGTTCAGTGAGAAACAGCGTATCTCCTATATGACATTAGGAACTTGTTAGGAAGTCAGTGACAAATTTTGCTCTTTCTTACATTTTTATGACATTATTGAAGTCAGCAGAAACTTAATATAAGTAATAGGGTTAGAATATGACCTTTGCAATAGGTGTCGTTGTTATCTGTAGCCCCGTTCTTGTATCAGTCTCAAAGAGTGTTTTGTCAAATTCAATTTCAAATCAGAAGCTAGTTGCTTTTGCACCTGTGGGCTGAAACAAGCAGAAACAGAGGGATTTCTGTGCAGGATGCATTTTCTGGCCTAGAGCCAGTAATTACAGAGGCTGTGTTGGAGGAAGCTGAAATGCTTAGATGAAAAAATCTGAATGCTTAGATGAAAACTCCTCATAAAAGGAATGCAAGGAACATTTTCATCTAAGAAAACAGTCGAATTTTGAATTAAAAACAATTGGGAGATGGTTATGTAGTAGTTTAAAGTCATCCTAGGTGTTGTGTTATATATTATTGACGCTGGAATCAGTCATGTTGTGAAAGAGTAATACTTAAATTTGATTATATTACTCTTTTCTTTAGAAATCTAGAGATGAGAGAGATAATCTTCATTATGTTGATAACTGACATAAACTGGAATTAGAAATGAGAATACAGTTAAAATTTTTGTGGAAAGAATAGAACATATCTACATCCACAATGACCTGGGATATATTAACATTTTCCACCCACAGTAGATAGAGCCTCTCTTAAAAAATGTTTTTTATTTGGATCAGTGTGGCCAGTTCACAAGAAGTTTTCAAGTCTATCTAACATAATCAAAATAGATAAATAAACAAAACTGGTTTTCATCTATCAGAGAAATTTAAAGAAATTCAAGATGAAACCTAAAGTTTTATGAGATAAAATGTGTTGTTTATATGTAAAATGCTTAATGACATATTTTAAGTTTGATTATTAATTTAATTCAACATAAGAAGGGATTTAGTCTCAAGTTAATAAGCTGTAAACATTTATAAACAGAAGGAAAAAATGCTAAATATTTAACAATATGACAAATAAAAAAATTATGGGATTGTTTTTACCCTTCCAATAGCAAATCATGCTAGTTTAGGTTATATAAGTGAAAAACTCACTTTATATAATCTATTTGAATTCCTTAAAAGTATCTTTGGGATTCTACAAAGAACTAGAGTCCAAATTATTATATGTGTAAAACATAGATAGTTATTTTCTCAGGAAAATGGCTTAGAAGACAAAGGGCAAGGACATACTTACTTTGTATTAAGGAGACATGCCATCATTTGCATCAGTTTAAAATGGTGTCAGGTTAGTTTTATGTTTGGTAAATGGTAAAACACTATAGATTTTTTAAGCAGTTAAATATTTAATAGCTATTGACGTTAGCTCCAGAAAAGCACTGTTGATTCAGAGATGGTATTCTAAGATACTAGTACACAGTGATGCAGCAGCCAAAAGAGCTAGTGTAATTTTTGAAAACAAAGCAATAAATAGTTTACTCAGAATTTTCTTAAGGCTATACAATGCATAGAGACAGGTATAAACTTTCAGGCTCAAAATGCTGAAAATTAGAAAAACTGGATAGAAATAAAATCTAGATACATAAATTCCTTAATGTCATGAATGAAGTAAATAACTTTTTTTACAAAAAATTATCAAATGCTAGAAAAATGCACATATTTAAAATGTTATCAATAAAAAATGAACTTTTACTTGATATAGTCAACAGAATTTCATAAATCTAAAGGTTAATAGTCATAGAGAATACAGTTTAACAAAAGGAGTTAATGATTTTTGCCTTTAATCAAAGAGCCGTATATAACTTATTACAGAAGCCGTGACTAGTTGTCAAGGAGAACATCATATCCTTCCACAGTGTGGCTCTTAAGGCCCCAGAATGCAAATAAATATAAAATTCACTAGGGGCCTACATATGATAGCTTTTGTTTGGATCATTTGAAAAAGTTTCTTCAATAAATAAAATTAAGTTCAATAGAATACATTTTTATAATACATGTAGGGAGAAATCATTGAAATAAATATTGGGCAAAAATGATTAGTTTTGTTAAGTATTGAAAAAAATCCACTAAAATATTAGTGTTTATAATAAGCTAAATAGTCTCAATAGCAGAATATTGTTAAAATTATTCATTGTATTTATGCATTTTAATATTTCTATATACAATTGGACAAATTTATATACCTTTATTTATTATACATGGATATTATCTATAACTATATGCTTTAGTTTTCAGAAAACTTCAAACATTGTTACCAAATCCATTCATATATGAACATGAACACCTGACTTTTGATTAGAAAGTTGTTATGGTTTGTCTGTGACCCTTTAAGATCCAAGGAGTGATGTAGAGTCATGCATTAGCTCTCTCTTTCCCTCTGCTTTTAGAAAATGAATTATTTAGTAGCAACTTTGTGTATGTCATTAAGATTAAATCTCTGTCAAAACTGTCCTGCAGGAATTCTAAATGGTCTGGGAAAATAGCTTTGGCATTAACAACATTGCTAGCTTTTTACATTAAAAATGTTGCTTTTTTCTGACATACTACTTTGTGTATTTATGTGGGGAGGGTGTGTGTGTGTGTGTGTGTGTGTGTGTGTGTGTGTTTGGAGGGCAAAATAAAAATTAACTTAAAAGTGGGTAGACATATATTATTCCATTAGAGATATGACATCATTTTTTTGCACATGCAAGTATTAAAAGTTTTGGAGTGCCAGAGGATGAATGGGTATGATTTGTTAAAGTTGGATATATTGATAGATGATATATTTTTCTATTACATAAATTTAAATGAAGAAATGCTAAACTATGAAGTACTAAAGCCAGTAATATAGTTGTTTAAAATACCATAGGAATGGAATAAAACATATGATGAATTGGGATGTTATTTTTCTATTTCAATTTACAAAATTAGTTTAAAATAATTCTTTAATATATATCAGATGTTGAATATGATTATGGCTGAAAGACAACTACTTTTATCATGGATGCCCTGTGCTCACACACAATAAAAAGTCTTACACCCATAGCTGCTAGTAAGTTTTATTTTCTTCCAGATTTGTTGTTTCCATTCTTTAGCTCATGAAAAGAAAGAGAAAGTCTAAAAGTTACTATTCTGAATTTCTACTTGAGAATTTTTTTGTCATGATGAGAAAAGCCTTTTGATCTTCATATTCTCACAGTTATGATTACACAATGTTTTCTTCTGCATTCTACTTAGTCAACCATAATAGTAGCATACTTAGTCTTATTCAAGAAAACTGTAAAAATGTTAAATTATTTGCAAGCATTGCAGCTTTATTTAATTAAAATCTCACTTTACTCTTAGAATATTATAAGGAAATGTGAGGTGAAGGCAGTTTATAGAAATTTGGCATACTAAATATTATCAGGGAGCGGGATTTAATTCTTGATCTCATATCGCGATAAACTCACATTGACTGGGTTTCCATACTTTATTAATTACTATTCTCATGAAACAGTTTTTGTTCGGACAGAGATGTTAACCTGTGTATTAGTTATGGCATCATACCTGTTTGTGTGTCTCATTGGTGCATAATCTTTCAATTAGTTAAAATTTAGTGTATATAATTTCTTCAAATGGTCATTGTAAAATAAATAGAAGCCCACAGTGTGAGGATATTTGGATTGTGTAGATACTGTGAAGGCTTTCTATCTGAAAAGAAACTCTGTTCTGATAGTCTTATACAAACAAACCAAAGCTCATTTAATTTGTAAAATAATAGACAAGTGATAAAATTTATAATAGTAGTAGAAGTTATAATAATAGTTATCAAAATATCTTATATTTTATTAATAGTTTAATATAAATATGTATATGTATGTCTTTAGAGATATGAAGAATTTCATGATAATTAGGTCAATGTTTATTGATGACCCAGGTGTTCAGAAGGGGAGAGGAACCCAAGAACTGGTGAGCTGCACTGAACACTGCCATGAAGTTAATTTCCACTCTTAACTCTGATAGTACTGGTCTAATTTTGTTTTCTCAGTCACATTTTTATTTACCCAATGTTAAAGGGGGAAATTTTCACCCTGAATTTTTCGAGAGAGTATGTAGCCTAAGAATCAGGCTCTATAGCAGATGGGTCAAAAAAAACCAGAGGTCCCTCTGAAGGGAAAAGAAACAGACAAACAAAGAACAAACAAACAAACAAAACCAACAAACAAAACACGTGTGTGGTTGAAGTAACGGAATGAGGGATTCTGAAGGATAGGAAGCTGTAGAGTAGTTTATTATTTCTTAGGAAGAACTGTTAGGTTATGATGAAGTCGAGGGTGTGGTCATGGAAAAGGGTGAATAAGTAGAAAGGAAGTGAAGTTGTCTGGAAACAAGTAACCAAGATGATGAGAGATGTTGAAGAGCTGTAGACGTGAACACTATAGGGACCTAAGATGATGTCACGATTGAAAGAAGAAAGGACATAAGGAACAAGGATTTGAGTCTTAAGAGCCTCGAATGCCATGCTCAAGCAAGAATTATATTCAATGTCTCTCTTTGTTCTAGCTGAACACCGACTGCATTAGATACCAACCCTGACTATTTAAGTCTGTAATTTTAATGAAATATACCAATTCTTCCTCTTAAAAAAAGAATTGGACTCTATAATATTGAAAATAATATTTACATAAAAGGAAGAAAGCAAAATAATTTAAGTTATTTATTGAGGTCAAAATGAAGTGATATATTAAAGTTGCAACATAAAATGTTAATTATTTTCTTAAAAGCCTCAGTTACATTTCATGAAAAAGACATTGTAAAAATGAGAGCCTACATCAGGATTTTCCAAGTTAAAAAAAGCAACCTTAAGACAAAAGCACCTTAGAGGCTTCACTATGGAGAGAGGGATAATTCCTATAATGTCAACATGGAATTTAGACTGTAATTGCTTTGCACTTCAAACTATGTGAACAAGTCTGATAAGGAGAGGGAAGTATATCCTATAGTTTTTTCTTGATGTGATAACAATGTGTAAATGTTTTTACTGTGCTTCATTTTTTTCTGTTTAGATAAAATTAAAAAAAACAAAATTAATAAGGTTTAAAGTGGTATAGGAACATAGTTTTTTAGTTCAAATAAGAAATTCTGAGTTAATAATCTGATCCATTTTCTTACCCTCAGGTGACAAGTTAAAATAAAACCCCAAAGCCTATTCTATTTTTAGATTCTTTAAGACTATTTTGGAATTAATGTAATTTGGGGGTTACTTTTTACTCATGATTATGAAAAAAATCTAGTAAGTTCACCCTTATCAAGTAAAATCAGGCAAGAGAGCCTGGTGAAATCCTGTTTTTACAATTATCATACATTAAGTAATTATGGTTTGGGACATAATTCTTTTCAATATTCATACCTCTTTAGAACTTGTAATGCTCAGTGCTTGCTTTGAAGTTAAGAAAACTCTGGGTTCAGTTAAGATGCCTAAAAAGTACTGTGAGAGTGTTAAATCAGAACAAAATTGGTGATAAAAGGGAAAATAATAATAGGAAATATTCATTTTGTTTTGAAAGGTGCCCAGACAGTCATGTCAGGACAGCTAATATGCAATTGGTTTTGTATTCATGCTGTTCAATTACATGTGGGATCATGAAGAATTCCCACTGGCTCTGCTACATTTCTTTCCTATTACTGTTCTTATTTTAGAACTTTGGTTTCACTTTTAAAAAATGCATGAAATGCCCGCCTCAGAGCAAACTATCACACCCCATGTGTCTTCTATTGAAATAGCTGCAATTTACAGCATCTATAGATAAAGAGGTCAATTTGTTTTATATAATGTGCTATTATTCAGGAAATACCCTTGATTTTTAGATTCAGAACTTGAGGTTTCAAATATTTGCTGTTCACCTAATAGTGTACCCTGGATATATAACTGTCACCTGTTCCTGGAGTCGCTGCTGCCTTCTGGGTCCCCTGCTCATCATCTCTTGTATTCTCTTTCGCCCATCTTCTCCCCGGAATGTCAGTCCTGTCACTCCTGCATGCCACTCTTAACTACCAAGTGGATTGGAGAGAATGCCTTCCTTGTTAATGTGGAGATTCACACACTTTATAGAGAGATGCTAAATATAGATTAACACCTACATTATGCTTTCTTGTTGATATAGCAGAAGAATTAAAAATTCACAAGAGAAAATTTTCAAGAGAGAAACAAAATATGAACACTAGGCACTTGTCTGAAATGTTTTGTGTCTGGAATATTTCATATTTGCAATTTTGTTCTCTCTTCTCAGGGATCTCTTGTCACTGAGATGAGTATTCTATATAAATGTTTTGTTTGAGTTAGCTAATATAATTATTTATTTACTAATTCTTATTTTATGAAAATTTCAAAGTGACATAAGTAATTAGCACAACAAATGTGAAGCGTGCAGGTAGAGTGCACGACATATTAACTGTCTTAGCTGAAATTCTAGATCTTTCTGTGTAGCTGAAATTCTAGACCTTTCTGTGTCTTAAGTTTGTTTGTTTAATGCTAATGTATTGGTAACTACTAAAAAGCCTAACTAGTAATTGTTAAATAGTTAGTAACTGGATTTGTTCATATACATTGATCACATTCTCTGAATGTTAAAAATTCCTACAGCTAAAGGAAAAATCCAAGTAGCTATTCCACTATTATCCCATGGAAGGTGGGATGAACCCCAATACCAAATTTGGTCTGGATGTTAAGACTAATGACACCACACACACACTATGAAGGTATGTAGAGCTGTGCTACTTTCCTAAGGAGGATTTCTGGTGAAGGCAGCACAGGCTCCAAAGCTGGCCTGAGAGAAGGGACAGGCCAGGATTTTTTATTTTTATTGTACTTTGAGGGTAGGCGAGGTGAAGTTTCCCAGGTTAAGTGGGGCCTTACATAGTTGGAACTTTCTACTGTCACTAAAGGAGGGAACCCACCTGGCTTTCTTATGATCTGCCCAGATAACGGAGCAAGAGAAAAAATGGAAGAGATGGGATCTAAAGCTGTCTGAGGTCAAACACCAAAAATGGAGTCAAACTCTAAAATGACCTTTCTAAAACCAGTCCCTTGATAATGTCTCTTACCTCTGCCTGCACTGTCATCTTTAATTCTCTACCACCTTAGGCTGCTTTATTTATTGATTTTCATGGTGCAGGTCAAACCGACCAACATACAAGTGAGCCTTGGTTCATTATTTGCCTCTTCCAGCTGAAACTGTAGTCTCCCCAAAGCAAAGGTTATGCCTGTTAGTTTACTGTTGTATCCTCAGCATCCGGATACTGCGGGAAGAAAAATAGGCACATGATAATTTTTTGAAAATGTCTATCATGTTTACTAGACTATAAGCCCCATGAAGGCAAGACTATGCCAGTTTCAGCCATGGTTGATTTCAGTGACTCAGAGAGATGCTTCACACCTCAGTAAATATTGGTGGAAAGAATTCATTCTTTCAGTTACTTTAATACAGCACTTTGGCATGGCTCTCCTGTATCTTTTACTTTCAATGGAGACTAAGCTATCTTTAGTGAAATCTTGTCTCATTTAAGTTCCAAAATACAGCAAGGACATGTTAACTGAATCTTGTTAATTTTTAATTAAATCCTGTTGATTTGTTGAAAAGTTTGGGTAGAGCAGCAACTTTATCAAAAAAGTAAAAATTGGGAACTCACTTCCAATGATGAAGTGATGCTAAAATTATAAACAATTTAGGGGTATGTAAACAGGACTATTCTTTTGTTCACAGAAAGCAACAGGAAATGTCTTAATTCCTGAAAAACTAGGTGAATTTTCAATTTAAAATCAATTATATAAACTACAGGACAGCACAATCGAAGTCAGGGAAAATCTAATAAATAACCTTCTGATAGAATATGTGTGCTTATAAATAAACCCAAATCCCCTCAACATAAATGAATAAATGTATAGGTGGATAGATAGATAGAGAGATAGACAGAGAGATAAAAACAAGTAAATTAGATATTGCCATGCTTCTCAGTGTAAGCCACATGAGAATACAAAAGTTATTGCCTTAGGACTAAACAATAGTTTTTTGATTCATTAAATGTTCTGAGACTTAGGCTAGTTAATTTTAGTTCTTCTAAAACGTTCAGTTCACTCTGATTTAGTAACTGTTATTACAAAAGTGTCTAATATTCTGCAACTGTGCAATTATTTGGCTGACAAACTCCAAGATTGACTGCAATGCTGTCCCAGCCTCGAAAAAGTGGCTTAGCTCATACTCCTTCCTGGTGTCCAAACCTTAGGTTTGCTTTCATCTGCCTGCTTTTTACTAGCAAAGGAAGGTGGAGCGCTACAGCTTTTCCAGAGTAGTCTGTTGCTCAGCAACCGGGCTTGTCCTCTTAGGAAACAGGTCAGGAAAAAGGAAGAGAGATGAGGGGGTTATTAAATGTTTGTCTGCCATCTCTGATAAGGCAGATATCCTCTGAATGGAAATTGTTACAGACATATCTCCAACTCACCGGGAAACAAATTAATCTCATTAGGCAAGGGGTTAATATCTATTTGCTAGAAATACTGTTTCACCATCACCTGGTGGGAAATTTTAGTAGCTGTCAATATTATAGCATGGTAAGATAAACAGCATTATATTTGGTAAGGTCCAGAATTTTAGTATAGTATGACTATCATCTCAAGGTCAAAGAAAAATCATTCTGGAATGATAAGAAAGAATGTTTCATTTTATATAGTAGACATTATTTAGTCATTCAGGACACTTTAAATATAACAAAATCTAGGTTCTTTTTAATGACAAAAACTTACTGAAACATCTTCTATTTCTTACTTAAAAATACTGATTGATAGTATTTCTCAGGAAATATTCTAAATACAAAACTGCATTGCAGAATCATGAATACCTCTAATTACAATTTTTGAGATAGGAAAATGCTTCTTTTAAATAAAATTTTCTTTTGTATTGTTAGGACTCTGAAAACAATACCCCAAAGTATGATGCTTTGGCCTGATGAGGACTTTGAGCTGAAGGACATTGGAAGGGCCTCAGAAGTGAAGTCTCTTCCTGATTCTTTCTTGCCTTTCTTTCCCCTGCTCCCCTTCCTTCCCCAAGGAAGGCCATAGAAACTGGAAATATTACTCTCTCCTTCCTCCATCTTTCTGTGTAGGAGCTGGTCATAAAGAAATTATCTGACCTACCTTGTTTGCTGGTAGATTATAAGACCCTCATTCCAGAAGGGTCTTGCCTTATACCCGGGAGCAAGAAATGCCACACAAAGAGGCCAAGAAGAATCTGAACAGAAGGCTTTGCTGGGTTTTCTGCCTCAGTCTATTCCTTTAGCTCATACCCTTTTGTACAATCATATTTGCACAGTCCATTCTTCATCAAACCTAAGAGTAAAAATACACATTTTTCCTTCAGTCTTTGGGTCTTCATTTCAGAAGGCTTCTGCTTCGAGAAAACATTTTGAATAAATACATTTGTTATTCTTTTCTCTTGTTAATCCATCTTTTCTTACAGGAGTGTCAGCTGTGACCCCTATGATGGGTAAGGAAAGGTATCACACCTTTCTGCCCCTACAACACAACATATTCCATGATGTGAGCTTGTGTTAACTACATAGCATTTGGCAGATTTATAACCCTAAGGAATTAAAAATAAGAACAACATATGGGAAAGTAGAGACTGTGGAAAAAGGAAACTATGATTCTTTAAAAGCCCTCTCTTGATACTTCTCTTAAATCAAATTTTCTTTATGTGTACACACATACACACATCTCAGCTGGCATAATTATACACAATAAAAATCAACATTTATTTCCTATATTACTTGACTGGCACACTGTTTAAAGGAGACAATATGTTACTTCAGTTATTTTTCAGTTAAGTTCTTTTTAGTGCTGTTAGGAAAGTAGAGCTTATCAGTTTTAAGCTCAGGGTCAGAAATGAATATAAAGTTTTAGTCAAGCAAGATGAAGAAGCTCTTGAGATATGCTATATAATGTTGTAATATAGTCAAGAATAATGTATTCTACACTTAAACATTTAGGAAGGTAGATCTTATGTTGAGTTACGATAATAAAATAACAAAATAAAATAAAATGTAGGGGATAGTTAATGGAAGGTGGAGTTTCCTCACAGGGAATAGCAAAGAGTCTACCCAGGACACTGTGGGTATTTATAAATATGTCTTGATATCTCTGCCAGAATCTAAAACTAGGTCTATGCATCTCTTTGTTTACAATTCATTTATTCATTCATTTACTATTCAGCTTTTAAAAGGCTAACAAGAAATATGAATAAATTAATTTAGCAATGATTTACTGCCTTTAATCTTGTTTTCTCAGTACACAATCTATTGGCTTTGAGATTTGAAGACAGCTAAGCAATTTAAAACCAATAGAAAAATATGGAGTGAGATTCAGCCCTTTCATATTCATGATGAACTCAATATATTACAAATCCAAAAATCAACCTCCATTTTACTTTGTATTCTATAAAATGGGGTTTTAACATCATCTTACATCTTTAATGAAGTATTGGAGTGCTATATGAGATCTTACTTTTGAAATATTTTAGATCTTAGTTATAGCTAGTTATGTTATAATTAAAAATAATATTGTTCCATGACCAAAAGTTAATAATTTTACTCTTTAGGTATCACTGTATAATACACTCACATTTATATTTACATATATATTTTATGTATTTTGTAGTTTAGCTTAAGTAGTTATGATTTTTAATAATGGAAAATTTTTATCACAAACACATATTATGTGTGTTTATATCTATCTATCTGTCTGTCTATCTATCTATCTATCTGCCATGACCCTGTGGATTTAGCTCAACAGGTTATAATTGTTATACTTTTGGTTAATATCTCTATCTCTATATTTATATTTAGAACTGGAACATTTCCAGTCACGTCATTTTTACTCCTACTTTTTAGGTCTCGTACTTGCAGTAAAACCCCTGAGAATCAGAGAGCAGAGGCATTCTATCCACTTCCAAGACCATTATATGAACCCCTGTATTATTGCTTAACTTTTATCACTAAAATATAGAGGCCACATTCTACATGAGGGATGACATTCCTCATAATTCCCAAAATTTAAGACTGATTTTCCATAGGTATTTATATTTTAACATGATCTGGTTGAATTTAGCTGGGGAACAAAAATGGCAAGAATATGTTATATTATTTAGGCACAATGGACTTTTTAAAAAAATAAAAAAAAACAAGGCAAAGTCAGCTAACTTTTGCAGCGATTTTGAACCTATGGAATCTCTTGCTTTATAAGTTTGTTCACAACTGTAATAGACTAGCAGTGTATCAAACAATTTGCATTTAAACGTGATAATAAGGAAAAAGAGATTCTTTAAAATATAAAGCTCAGATCAAGAATAAATTGTACATGCAAATGTGCTGATTTATATGCAGAGGATGAATTCTAACAGTGGGGCAAGTAAAGAAATTAAGGCTAACGCTTTTCCTGAGTGCCCAGTAATGTTGAATTACAATAGAATACCTATAGAAATGAGTGTGACATCCAAGTGGTTACCAAATGAATATGTTATGCTCTGTGATGGTTCACTGAATTCTAAACGAGTTCAGAATGATGACATACCAAGAGGTGCTGAAGTACTTCAGACACACTCAGTCAAATGTGTGTGTGGTTAAATAAAAGTCCACGGAATGTTCCTTACATAAAATTAGTTTTTCCTATTCAGAGGGAAATTAGAGCAATTTATTTTTTCCTTATAGTCTCATCACAAGTAGAAGTTTAATAAACTCACTTTTGTTTTTAGAGAAACTTGCAATTTGAAAGTTACTTTGCAATGCTTTGGAACCATAATGCACTAAACTTGTGATCTTGCCTTTAGTGTGCCCTACAGCATTAAGTATGCTAACTTCTCTGTTTAATATGAAAATAAGTAGTCACCTGTATAAGTGAACTAATGGCAGGACACTCTCTGCTACCAACTGGCTTTCTAGGGTACTGGGGAATTGTGACATTTTGATTAGTTATATTATTAGTTTTTTTTTTTTTTTTACCATGTTTATATAGGAAATAGTAAATGCTGTAAAATTATATTACAATAAAATACTTATATTCTAAGTTCCTACTCCTTTTGAAAACACTGAATTTATGTTGATAGAATTAATTTCAAGGAGTAAACTTAGAGTGGTCCCTCTGAAGATGATTTCTCTGGGGTGGGATCTGTCCTCTAAGAGTAGTTCGGAGGAGCAGCTGCCTAGACCAGAGGTTCCCAGCGAGTTATAACTCCTCCTGTTCAATTACTGAAGCAGAAGACAGGGCTGAGTCAGAGAAGAAAGCAGAGAGGAGCCTGGAATGGAATCTATTTCTTGGGGCTCCTGGAGAGAAAGATAAGGACACATTTAGCAGGCAGAAAAGGGCTCTTATGTTCCTCTCATGTCTTTCACCAAGGAATCAAATCCAATAATTCATAAAATATTATGAATTCTGATTCTGCCATTTACATACTATGAAGTCTTAGGTCATATCACCTCTCTAAACTCCAGTTTTTCAAGCTGTAAAATGGGGTGAAGGTTAGATTGTTGGGCAATTGAAGATATAACAAAAACATTTGTAAAGCAAGTGGTTTGGGTATTATTGAACCAATTCATGGTTGTTGTTATTCTTATTCAGTTGGGTCTCCCAAGGATCCAGTGCTCTAGGACTTGGCTTTCCAGACTCACTGCATAGTACAAATGCCTTGAGTTGCTGTTCTTCCCATGGTTGAATCCCTCCAATGATCTTCTATGCCCCCATTTTATCCTACTCCCTATTTCATTTCCATCTGTTAGCCCACTGAGATTCTTTCCATTCTTCCTACAATCAAGTCCTTTGCCTCAGAGTCTTTACACCAGCTGTCTCTTGATCTTCAAATGGTCAAGCCCTTCTTGTGTTCTTTTTTTTATTTTTAAAAAATTATTTTACTTTAGGTTCCAGGATACATGTATAGAATGTGCAGGTTTGTTACATAGGCTGGCAAGGATGTGGAGAAAGAGGAACGCTTTTACACTGTTGGTGGGAATGTAAATTAGTTCAACCATTGTAGAAGACAGCATGGTGACTCCTCAAGCATCTAGAACCAGCAATACCAATTGACCCAGCAATCCCATTACTGGGTATATACTCAAAGGAGTATAAATCATTCTATTATAAAGGGACATGCACAGGGATGTTTATTGCAGCACTATTCACAATAGCAAAGACATGGAACCAATCCAAATGCTCATCAATGATAGACTGGATAAAGAAAATGTGGTACATATACACCATGGAATACTATGCAGCCATAGAAAGGATGAGATTATGTCCTTTGCAGGGACATGGATGAAGCTGCAAATGTTCTTAGTTTAATTATTTTACCCTCTGCTAGGTCTTCCCTGAGTAACCAATCTAATTATAAAATTATGAAAACATTTTCTATCAAATCATCCTATTTTAATTGTCTTCAAGCAATTATCATTTCTTAAAATATTCTTGTTTGCTGCATTGATTGACTCTTTTTCCCTCCAATAGAATGTAAGCTCCATGAAAGCAGGGCCTGGTTGATCTTGTTCACTTCTGTATCTGTTCTACCTGCTATGGTGATGGAACATACAAGATACTCAGTACACATTTGTTGGGATGAATACATTTCTAATGTAAGGTGGCTGTGATGTTAAATTTGCATTGTCTAAGTGTATGGAAAATTCTCTCCTCTGTGCAGACAGTAATCCCTTACCCATTTGAAGTAGGTATTTCGTTTTCTTTAGGATATTCTGAGGACATTTTGCTGTCAACTGGAAACTGAATGCTAATACTCTTCTCCTTTTTCTCCTCCTTCTCTTTCTTTTTCTTCATTTTCTCAGTGACCCATGACCAGATTTACCTTAGTATGTCATGAAACTCAACAGAAATTTCCCCATTCAGTGTTAGTGTAGAATATAAGTAGCTTGAGATTCCAGTCAACAAAGAATAAATTTTAA
Source organism: Homo sapiens (assembly GCF_000001405.40). Classification (NCBI taxonomy): domain Eukaryota; kingdom Metazoa; phylum Chordata; class Mammalia; order Primates; family Hominidae; genus Homo; species Homo sapiens. The sequence continues at coordinate 192,393,715 of NC_000001.11, read as the reverse complement.
AATATGATGCTGTGACTTCAGGTTTCTGTGCAGGGCTCTTAACAAAAGTATTGAGCTTCATGTCTGTCCACTGAAGAAGACAGCATCATCGAATAAAAAGAGAAAAATCATTTTCAGCAGACCTTTAATATGACCTCTCTCTTTTTAAAGGGACACATGAAAGCTGTCCAAGTAAATGACACGGTCCCTTCACCAGTCATAGTCTTCAGAATGTGGTAGTGGAAATCTGCCGAAATCCTAAAACTGAATGAGGAGAGCTGTTTACCTGAAACAAGCATTTTATTTTATTCTCTGAATTTCAACTGACTAACTTCCAAGGACAACTGATTCAGATAATCACATATTATTAAATCTTCATATTGAATATAAATTAAAAAGTATCTGGTATTTGCTAATGAGCGAAAGCAATCTCCCCACTCTTTTTCCTTTTAATAAAAAGTTAGAGAGGCGCTGTATGAGTGGTCTGCCCTGAGAGCCTTCTTGCTCTCTCCATTCTGCTCTCAGCCTCCACATGATTCTTAAAGAGTTTCGCCTCCCAATGAATGATAGATACTCTGTTCTTCTTCTCTCCTGTGCTTTCTCTCCCCTGTGATCTTAAAATCCTTTTTCTCTTTGGAATGCTTCTTCCACTGCAGAGTGGAGGGATGTGATAGCTTCCAAAATTATGGAACTAGAACATTTCTGCCATAATCTACCCCTGCTTCTGTTAATAATTTTTTTTTTTTGGTTCTTGTGCTGACAGTTAAACACCTAAGAAACAGAAAGCAGACATGTTCTATCCTCTTCAAGAACTATTTTCTGACCTCTTGTGTTATCTGCTCAGTGCCCATCACTACAATATAGAGATGCCACAATGTATGTGAAGAATGGCGTTCCTCAAGACCCACCTGCTAAATAAATCACACCAAACAAGTTTAACAGTAGTAAGTTAATTTTTTCATTTTTTTAAATTTAAGATTCAAGGGGTACATGTGAAGGTTTATTACCTGGGTATACTGTGTGATGTTGAAGTTTGGGCTTCTACCGATACCATCGTCCAAGTAGTGAACATAACACCTGACAAATAGCTTTTCAACCCTTCATCCCTCTGTCCCTCCCTCCCCACTTTTTGAATTCCCAGTGTTTTTTTCCCCATCTTTGTGTCTGTGTGGACCCAGTGTTTAGTACCCACTTATTAATGAGAATATGTGCTATTTGGTTCTCTGTTTCATTGTTAATTCGCCTAGGACAATGTCCTGGAGCTGCATTCATGTTGGTACAAAGGCCATGATTTTATTCTTTTTGTAGCTGCACAGTATTCTGTGGTGTATGTGTACCACATTTTCTTATCCAATCTACCGTTAATGGGTACCTGAGTTTATTCTGTGTCTTTGCTATTGTGAATAGCGCTCTGATAAACACACAAGTGCATGTGTCCTTTTGGTAGAACTATTTATTTTCCTTTGGGTATATGACCATTAATGATATTGCTGGGTGGAATAGTAATTCTATTTTTAGTTTTCTAAGAATCTCCAAACTGCTTTCTACAGTGGCTGAACTAATTTACAATCCCACCAACAGAATCTAAGTGGTCCTTCTTTTTCTCTGCAAGCTTGCCAACATCTGTTGTTTTTTTTTGTTAATTTTTTATTAATAGCCATCCTGACTCGTGTGAGATGGTATCTCATTGTGGTTTTGATTTGCATTTGTGTTTTTGTATGTTTGTTGGCTGCTTGTATGCCTTCTTTTGAGAAGTTACTGTTCATGTCCTTTGATGGGATTATTTTAAACGGGATAATTTGTGTTTTCTTTTATTTTCTTGTTAACTTCTTTAAGAACTTTATAAATTCTGGACATTAGTCCTTTGTCAGATACATAGTTTGCAAATATTTTCTCCCATTCTGTAGGTTGTCCGTTTACTCTGTTGATTGTTTCTTTTGGTAATATATTCTACTAAAAGAAAAAAAATGAGTTGGGCGTGGTGGCATGTGCCTGTAGTCCCAGCTACTTGGGAGGCTGAGGCAGAAGTTCCTGCTTAATTAGATTCCAATTTTTTTGTTCGTTTTTGTTACATTTGCTTTTGAGGAGTTGGTCATAAATTATTTGCCTAGGCCAATATCTGGAAGAGTATTCCCTAGATTTTCTTCTAGGGCATTATAGTTTGAGGTCTTATATTTAATTCTTTAATCTGTCTAGGGTTCGTTTTTGTATGAGGTGAGAGCTATGGGTCCAGTTTCACTCACTCTCCTTCATACGGTTAGCCAGTTTCCCAGTACCATTTGTTGAATGGTGTTATTTTTGTCAACTTTGTTAAATGGTGTTGTTTATTTTTGTCAACTTTGTTAAAGATCAGTTGGTTGTATGTGTGTCTTTTTTTTTTTTTTTCAGGGGTCTGTATTCTGTTCCGTGTCTATCTATTTTTGTACCGGTGCCATGCTGCTGTGGTTAGTGTACCCTTGTAGTATAGTTTGAAGTTAGATAATGTGATGCCTCTGGCTTTATTCTTTTTACTTAAAATTGCCTTGGCTATTTGGGGTCTTGTTTGATTTTATATGAATGCTAGAATAGTTTAGAAATCAGGAAGAGAACACAGACCAAATCTGGATCCCCAGATCTACTGAAACAAAGGGCAGGGATTTGTTAAGAGCTAGGGTGGAGGAAAGTAAAAGTCATCTGTGTTTGCTAATTGACCTTACCAAGTGGAAAATAAAGTTTTCCTTATCTTTGTGATAGCAGGTAATTTTACAACTTGGAACAAGGTGCCCACCAACGTTAGGCTCCTACCCTCCCATAGAGACTGGGAGGTGAAGGCGCTATCTTCTTTGATGATTACATTTCAAAGGGATGGCTCCCAGGTCCTTGAGAAAGACATTCCTGGGTTGTAAAACTGACAAGAGGCAGCCGGGCATGGTGGCTCACGCCTGTAATCCCAGCGTTTTGGGAGGCTGTAGGCGGGCAAATCATGAGGTCAGGAAATTGAGACCATCTTGGCTAACATGGTGAAACCCCATCTCTACTAAAATACAACAACAACAAAAAAAATTAGTCGGGTGTGGTGTCATGCCCCTGTAGTCCCAGCTACCCGGGAGCCTGAGGCAGGGGAATCACATGAACCCAGGAGGCGGAGGTTGCAGTGAGCCGAGATCCCGCCACTGCACTCCAGCCTGGAGACAGAGCAAGACTCCATTTTAATAATAAATAAATAAATAAATAAATAAATAAATAAATAAATAAACAAACAAACAAACCAGACAAGAGGCTTGTAAAAACATTACCTTCTCAAAGAGGCAGAGAAAGCATTTACAATTACAAGATGTTTTCCAAGTAAATGCTCTAAGAAAAGGGAAGTCAGGGTCTAGAGTCTAAAGTCAAGTAAAGCTGAGGGGAATGTTAAGGCCCTCTTGGTCATCAAACATAAAACTAATTTCCCTTAGGACCACCTAAACTTAGGGGCACTTTACAATGAGAGATTGCTTTTATTTTTCCCATTTGCCTTGCTGACATGTCGTCCTTTTGGCTAGCTTGAAGGTTTGCCTGGCCTAATGGTATATTTATTTTCTCATCTTTGTCTCTAAAATGTCACAGAGTGTGCTTTCCTAAGTTAACAGCACAGTAAGTCATGCAGGCTCTTTGACCATCATCATGGTGTTTTTTTTTATATTAATTTGTATTCCAAAGGTATTGATTTTAATCATTTATTTTCCAGCACCAGCACTACCACTTGATGAATACTTGCATGATATTATTAGAATTTTAAAGAAGATGTAGGTGACTTTATGATAAAGTACTAGCACGGGGTAATCAAAATCAACTGTAGAAGTTCCTATGTGTGTAAATAACAGCTTGAATCACAAGATACTGTAAAACTTTAGAAGTGGAGATTTCTGTTTACCAGCAAAAGTACTTCCTCCATGAGAACCCTACACTTTAACAGACTTTATAATTCATATGCCTGTCAGCCCTGCAATTTTTTTATTATTAACTGAATCATAAAATTATTTCACATTTGTATCATTTCAAACTTTCTCATGAAATTGCTTAACAATATTAATCAATAGCAAATTGTGGGGCCAAACTTTAATTTGCAAATAGCAAATTTGCACCTTAGTTAGCAATGGCTACAATTTTAGCCAGGTAAATTTTCAAAGAACAGATGATCTAATGGCTTAGGGTCAAGTACATGAATGCTTGATAATATGTACTCACAATAGTTTACAACATTTTTATCTGAGTCATCTTTGCAAATATCAATGTGCCAATACTGATGGTACCTGGGCAATAGTTGAGGGGACATTATTGTCTTCATTTACCTGCCAAATGTTCAATCAAGATGCTCATCTTTTAGATGGCTGTGAAATCTTTTCTTTAATGTTCAGTTATTTCCAATTTTATGACCACTATTTTATTTCATAGGACATTTTAATTAAATTATTAAATCACAATAATGAGGTGTGATGTTACATTCTAATATTTAATGAAGATCTGACATGACTTGAATGGTTCTTGTGTTGTTGTTTAATTGATCGATCATGTCTCCTCAGCACAAGAGGTTACAGTTGATATACTTTTTACAATAGCAGTTATAGCAAAGAATGCAGACATTGACTTCATAAAATATATATAAAGAAAATGAACAATGTCTGCTCTGCACCAAGTTTGGTGATAAAACAGTAGAGTTCTGAACTTATGACAACTATATGGAACAATGCTTTTGTCAATCATAAGTATGTTATTTTATTCTTTTAGTTTCAATTAAAAATTTATGAAAGCTATGAAATATATTGGCATTAAGTATATTTCAAACATGAGTAGCAATAAAAGAAGATGAAAAACAGGAAATGTTACCAAATTGTTTAACGTGTAGGAAGTTTTAGATCATGGTGAATATTTAATCTGAGTGCAGCCAAATTTTTTGCCATTAGAAGTAGCTTTATTCATTGTAACTCCCTTTTACAACAAGGTTATCATTTAAAAATAAAGGATTTTATTATCTATCAGAAATACACAAGAATTTGTGGAAGCTCAGGTTAAGGTCAGGGTTAAGGTTAGCTATAGAAGGTGGCACCCCGTATTTTGCTTTTTCCTGGTGATTTGGCATTTAAAAGGACAATTAAGCAATGTCTAAATCTTACTCTTTCATGCGTGAGGTATATATACAATGGGTTTCTCAAATTCAGATATGAAGCTCCCCATCCACCTCCTCCACACCTCTTCCCCTTCCACTCTCTGTGTTCTGGAAATAATATGGAAGAGACTCTGGCTCTTCATGAGAAAATTTTAATTATTATTTTTTACACTATTTCCTTTAAAAAATGTAAGCGCATTCTGAATTATCTGGATAATTATGTTGTAACTGCATATAGTTAGGCCTTTTGGAGCCCATATCTGTTTTATTGTTATTATTATTCATTTTGGACAGTGACTCAACATAAAATTTACCATCTTAACTGTTTTTAAGAATGCATATATGGTGTTAACTATATGCATATTGGTGTGCAACAGATCTCTTGAACTTTTTCATCCTGAAAAACTAAAAATCTATACCCATTGAAAAACTCCCCTCTGATGGTTGATTTTAGGCATCAGTTCTGCTGGATTAAGGGATACCCAGATAGCTGGTAAGGCGTTAATTGTTCTCAATGCTTTGATAGGAACTGAGCTCATCTCTTTTCTGCTGAAAGGCAGGCCCAGGTGATTTGTCTTTTGGTGAGTATGAAGGGCTGCCCCAGGTGTGTCTATGAAGGTGTTTCTGGAGGAGATTGGCAATGGGGAAAATCTGCCCTCAATGTGGGCGGGTACGATCTGTCTGGGGTCCAGGATGGAACAAAAAGGTGGAGAAAGGGCAAATTCTTGCTCTCTTTTCCAGAGCCAGAATGCTCTCTCCTGCTCTTGGATTTCAGAACTCCTGACTCTGTTCTTTAGATTCTGGGACTCACAGCAGTGGCCCACTCAGGCCCTTGAGACTTTGGCTTCGGACTAAGAGACCATTGGAATCTGTAGTTCTGAGGCCTTCAGACTTGACTTGGATTGAGCCACGCTTCTGGCCTCCCCGTTTCTCCGGCTTGCAGACGGCTCATCGTGGGACTTCCCTGTTTCCATAATTGGGTGAGCCAATTCCTCTAATAAATCCCTTTTCATATATCTCTCTCTACATATAACTTATTCATTCTGTCTTTCTGAAGAAGCCTGATTAAAACATCCCCCTTTCCAATTTCCTGCCAGCACTTCCTGGCAAGCACTGTTCTACTTTCTGTTTCTACGAGTTCGAGACTATTTCAGATACTTCATATAAGTAGAATCATACAGTACAGTCATATGCCACATAACTATGTTTTAATCAATGCCACACTCTAATCTTAAGGGACCATGTTTATATATATGCCATATATATATATATATATATATATATATATATATACTCTATGTATTTTTATGTATATGTATGTAAACCATGGTCCCTTAAGATTATAATGGAGCTAAAAATGAATGCCTAGTGATGTCATAGCTGTCATAATTTTACAGTACAATGCATTACTTATATGTTTGCAGTAATGCTGATGTAAATGAACCTACTGCACTGCCAGTCACATAAAATTATAGCACATATAATTAAGTACAGTGAATAATACTGGATAAAATTAATAAATGACTATGTTACTGGCATGTATTTACTACAATATACCTTTAATGTTATTGTAGAATGTACTCCTTCTACATATAAAAAAATTAACTGTAAAACAGTGGCAGACAGGTCCTTCAGGAGGTATTCCATAAAAAAAATTAACTGTAAAACAGTGGCAGACAGGTCCTTCAGTAGATATTCCAGAAGAGGGTACTGTTATCATGGGAGATGACAGCTCCATGCGTCTTATTGCCCCAGAAGACCTTCTAGTGGAGGTGGAAGACAAGGATATGGATGATCTTGACCCTGCATAGGCCTAGGCTAATGCATGTGTTTATGTCTCAGTTTTTAACAAAAAAGTTTAAATAAATAAATTCAAAAATAAAAAAATACTTATAGAATAAAGATACACAGAAAGACAGTGTTTTTGCACTGTTGTAAAATGTATTTGTGTTTTAACGTAAGTGTTATTACAAAGGAGTCAAAAAGTTTTAAAAAATTAAAAAAAGTTTATAAAATCAAAAAGCTACAGTAATCTGTTCTTATTGAAGGAAGAAAACTATTTTAAAATCAATTTAGTGTAACCTAAGTGTACAGTGATTATAAAGTCTACAGAATGTACAGTAATATCCTAGACCTTCACATTCACTCACTGATTCACACAGAGCAGCTTCCAGTCCTGCAAACTTCATTCATGGTAAGTGCCCTACACAGTTGTACCATTTTAAATCTTTCATACTGCATTTTTACTGCACTTGTCTATGTTTAGACACACAAATACTTACCATTGTATTACATTTGCCTACAGTATTCAGTACAGTAACATGTTGTACAGGTTTGTAGCCTAGGAGCAATATGCTGTGTCATTTTGCCTAGATGTGCACTAGGCTGTAGCACTGTGTTAGTGCATTTTCACGCTGCTGATAAAGACATTCCCAAGACTGGGCAATTTAAAAAAGAAAGAGGTTTAATGGACTTACAGTTCCATGTGGCTGGGGAGGCCTCACAATCATGATGGAAAGAGAAAGCTACTTCTCACATGGCAGCAGACAAGAGAAGAGAATTTGTGCAGGGAAACTCCCCTTTTTAAAAACCGTCGGATCTCGTGGGACTTCTTCACTATCATGAGAAAAGCATGGGAAAGACCTGCCCCCACAGTTCAATTACCTCCTACCAGGTACCTCTCACAACATATGGGAATTCAAGATGAGATTTGGGTGGGGATGCCAAACTGTATCAACCACATATAATAAGTTTGTGTAAGTACTTTCACATTGTTTGCACAAAGATTACACTGCCTAATGACACATTTCTCAGAACATATTTCCATTGGTATATGATGCATGACTGTATTTTTTCTTATGTGACTGGCTACCTCACTTCCTATCAGGATTTCTTCTTTTTAAAGGTTGAATAGTATTCTGTTTTATGGATAAACCACATCTTCTCTATCTATTCCTTTGTTGATGGGCATTTAGGTTTCTTTTACTTCTGGGATTTTATAAATATTGCTGCTATAATGCAATGAACATGGGTAACATGTAAATATCTGTTTGAGATCCCTTTTTCAATTGTTTTGGATACCTGCCTAAAAGTGAAATTACTGGATCATATGGCAATGTTATTTTTAAATTTTTGAGAAATCTTCACGCTGTTTTTCATAGGGGCTGCACCATTTTATATTCCCAACAAAAGTGCACAGAGGTTTCAATTTCTCCATGTCCTTAGCAACACTTATTATTTTCTGTTTTGTTTTGTTTTGTTTGACAGTGACCATCCTAACAGTTGTCAGGTTATATCTCATTTTGTTTTGACTCACACTTCTTTAATGTAAGGGAGGTTGAGCATCTTTTCATTTGCTTGTTTGCCCTTTGTATTTTTATTTTGGGAGAAATGTCTATTTTTGTTCTTTGCCCAGTTTTAAATTAGATTTTTTTTTCTGTTGCTGTTGAGTTGTAGGAATTTCTTCCATTTTTAAAGTTGCCTTTTCACTCTGTTGTTTCTTTTGCTGAGCAGAAGATTTTTTGATATACCCACTTGTATTTTTGCTTTTCTTGCCATATACAAGAAATTGCCAAATACAAAGTCTTGAAGTTTTTATCTATTCCGTTTTCTCTTTAGAGTTTTATAATTTCAGGTCTTGTGTTTAGGTCTTTAATGTATTTTGAGTTCACTTTTGTATATGGTGTGAGGTTAGGGTCCAACTTCATTCTTTTGCATGTGGATATCTGGTTTTCTCTACACAATTTGTTAAAGAGGCCGCACCCCTTTTTTCCCCCATCATAGCTTTTGTGTAGCCTTTTCGCCTTTGTTGGAGATCATTCGACCATATGAATCAGTTTATTTCTAGTATCTCTATTTGGTTTTGTGGGTCTATATACCTGTCTTTATATCAGTAGCATACTGTTTTGATTACTATAGTTTTATAATATGTTTTAAAATCAGGAAGTATGAGGCCTCAAGCTTTTCTTTTGTTTCTCAAGATTGTTTTGGTTATTCAGGGTCCTTTGGAATTCCATATGAATTTAATGATTTGTTTTTTATTCCTGCAAAATAATGGCATTGGGATTTTGATAGAGATTTCATTGAACCTGTAGATTACTTCAGATAGTATAAATTTTTTACAAATATTAAGTCTTCTAATCCATGAACATGAAATGGCTTTCCATTTATTTGTGTCTTTAATTTTCGAGGAGCGTTTTTTAGTTTTCTGTGTACAAGTCTTTTGCTTCCTTGGTTAAGCTTATTACTAGGTATTTTATTCTTTTTGATGCTATTATAAATAAAATTATTTCTTAATTTTCTTTTTGAATTGTTTGCTAGTGTATTAAAATCACACTAATTTTTGTGTATCAATTTTACATCTGACAACTTTATTGAATACTTTTATTAGTCCTAACAATTTTCTGTTTGGGGGGGTGGAATTTTTAAAAAATATATAAATAATATAATCTGCAAACAGAAATTTTGCTTCTTCCTTTCTTATTTAGATGACTTTAATTTATTTTTCTTCCCTAATTGTTCTGATTAGGATTTCTAGCACTTGATAAGTAGAAGTGATGAGAGTGGGCATCCTTTCCTTGTTGCTGACCTTAGAGGAAAAGCTTTCAGTTTTCACCATGAGTGTGGTGTTAGGCCCTTGGCTTTTGATACATAGCCTTTACTATGTTGAGGTAATTTCCTTCTGTTTCTTGTTTCATTAGTTTTCTTTTTCTTTTTTAATTATAAAAGGGTGCCGAATTTTGTCAAATGCTTTTTCTTCATCAATTGAGATGGCATGTGATTTTTACATTTCATTCGGCTAAAGTGTTGTATTACATTGATGGATTTTTATATGTTGAAACTTGCTTGCATTCCGGGAATAATTTCCACTTGGTCATGATATATAATCCTGTTAATATGCTGTTGCATTTGGTTTATTAGTATTTTACGGAAGATTTTTTACATCAATATTCATCAGGGATTTTGGTGTGTAGTTTTCCTGTAATATCTTTGTCTGGTTTTGGTACTATGGTATTGCTGGCCTCATAAGATGAGTTCAGAAGTGTTTAATTATCTTCACATTTTTGGAAGAGATTGAAAAGAATTGGTGTTAATTTGCCTTTAAAAGTTTGGAGGAATTCTCCAGTGAAGCCACCTGATCTTCGGATTTTCTTCCTTGGGGGTTTTTTGATTACTAATTCAATTTCATTAATTATAGGTCTTTTCAGACTTTTTATTTCTTCATGATTCACTCTTGGCAGGTTGTACATTTCTAGGAATTTACCCATTTCTTCTATGTTATCCAATTTGTTGGCATAAAATTGTTATTAGTATAATCATAGTAGTCTCCTATGAACTTTTTTATTTCTGTGACACTAGTCCTAATGTCTCTTCTTTCTGTTTTTATTTGAGTCTTTTGTCTTAGATTAGATAAGGGTTTTCTGATTTTATTAATCTTTTCAAAAAAGAATTGGTTTTCCTCTTTCATCAGTGTTTGAAGTCAAGTCAAGTGAGACAGAAAAGAGTCCTTTGGGAAGCCCCTTGAAGAGCCAGAATATTGGACATACATTCCACTTTTCTCCATCCCTCCTAAGGAGGAAACCGTGAGCTGGGTACTTTCTCCCAATCACAGTGGACTTTATCAGCTTCTGTCCACAGTATTACAAGTTCTGTAGTTCTCCCATGAGCCACTAGGCTCTCTTTTGTTGTCAGCGCTCCCTGGGCTTCTAAAGTAAATGAGTTTCCCATTGAGTTGGGCAAGACAGACACCAATCTTTTGGGCAGCTTTCTGAAAAGCCAGAATGTTGGATATACTTTCCATCTTCTCTTTCCCTCCATAGAGAGATGATGAAAGTTGGGATTTTCCTCTCATCCATAAACTGTGCTCTCTTGGGGGACAGGCTGATGCAATTAAAATTAAGTCACTTTTTTTTTACCTACTTCAATGTGATTAGCCTTGGGTTTGGACTTGCCTTGGATATTACGAGGTCTTAATGGGTTTCTGAAGTTCTTAGAAAGGCTTTTCAGACTGTATATTATTGTTAAGTCTTGTTTCTATGGGTTAACAAGGCTCAGGGTTTCCTATTCTGCCATCTTGCTGATTTCACCTTCCCATATCTGGTTTTGTACTTAAGATCAAAATGGTTCCAAAGTAGAAGGTCTACAATCCCTTATCTGAAACCCCTAGGGCCAGATATTTTCCATAGCTTTAGATTTGAGAAAGGTAACATAGTACATACACTGAAAAGTATATAATTTCCCAAGGGAGGATGGGGAATCACTGAAATCAGTAGAAATAAACTTGAATCAAATCAAATTTCTACAATAACATATGTGGCTATTCAAGTAAGTGGGAAATAATGACTATAAATATACTCTTGTTAGATTGTATCAGGATTTTTTTAAATAAAAATCATTTGGATTTCAAATCATTTTGAGGTAAAGAGTGAGGATAAGTAATTGTAAACTAGTAGTGCTTTATTTTCATTGACAAATATGGCAATAATACAGTGTCCTTAATATATAAATGATATGTACATGCAGAGGTGGTGGTAATGATTTAGTGGATGTGGTTATTGATTTATTGCCTCTTAGCTCAAAATTCACCCTTTTTATCTTATTTGTGAAAATGGACCTGAGCTTTTTAGATATTTTTCCTTTGGTAGCTGGCTCTAAAGATTTGCAAATAAAGGGTGTACAGCAACTTCAGTGCCTGGATCATTGAGCACATGGCAGCTAGCAGCTTTCCCTTGATACCACCTTAGGCAGTCCTGTAGCAGAGTGTCTCTGGTCAAATGTCTCTCCATGAGTAGATTTACCTGGCATTACAAAGAATTTGTTTCTGGCAAGTTCTGCTGGTACAGTACTACAGTGATTGCTTTGTCATAAAATGAGCCACTGTTCTAGGTTCTAAATGTCGTTCCTGTGGGAACTCTCAGGAGTTCTGTCTCAACTCTAGAGGTAAGAATAGTTGCACCTTGTATTTGTTAATTTTGGATTTTTAAAGTTCTCTTTACATCTAACTAATAAATATGTTTTTACTCCAATCCAATAGTTAGTAATTCTTTATATTAAATATTTCCTGTCCAAATTGTTCAGTTTCTCGCTCCTGATCAGACTCAGACTGATATAGTAGTCTCTTCATACAAATGTTTAGCCATAGTTCAAATAGAGAAAGCTAGCAGAAAAATAGGAATTATCTATTGGATATACTAAAGTCAAAAGAGATATTACCATAGCTGCCAAAAGCACATTCACATTCTGAATTGTAATTTGACAACAGCAGACTAACTTTTTTTTTAATCATGATAAGTTAGTGATGTTAATTTAAGTTTACCTAATTTTAATATAGTTAAAATTTGGAGGGAGGTTATTTAGTATTATGGGAATTATAAAAAACAGGAATTTATTCAGGTAACATTAAAATGAAAATAATATATCCATATTGGTTATACATTCACATATTTTTCCAATTAAAATAGGTTTTTACCCATTATGAGTTAAATTCTATATCCTTCCAAACTGGTAAGTTGAGGTCCTAGCCCTCTAGGACTTCAGGATGTGAACTTATTTGGAAATAGTATTGTTGCAGATGTAACTAGTTAAGATAAAGTCATAAAAGTGGGAGGCCCCTAATGCAATATGACTTATGTTTTTATGAAAGGAGAGAATTTGGACACAGGCATGCATACGGGGAGAACATCGTGCATACAGGGAGAACATCATGCATATGTGAAGACAGCCATTTACCAGTCGGGGAAAGTAGCCTGGAACAGAGTTTCTCTTCGGAGCACTCAGAGGCAACCCTGTCAATATCTCGATTTCAGACTTCTGGCCTCTAAAACTCTGAGACAATAAATTTCTGTTGTTTAAGCCACCCAATTTGTGACACTTTGTTCCAGCAGCCCTAGAAAACTAATACAATATCTGATGAAGTTATAAAAAATATATAGTTTTATTCTCTTCTGCAACTTTGCTCAATATTCTTAAAGCTTTTATACACAATTAATTACTTAGCTGAAAAAAATTTAATGTATATCTATTTATAAACTTCATTTTCTTTCCTAACTGTTCCAAGAATTTACTTGCAATATTATTTATTGAACTAACTAGAGCTTGAAAGTATCAATTTAAAATAATCTTTATGATGTCACTTTTTTTTTTCTGCCCCCTTTTCTCTGTTTTCATGTTCATGTAATTTTAGAGAATAAAAAACCTTAGGAGCAAATTGACCATCATACAGAAACTGTTAAGGTATAGTATATATAAATGTGATATATAATTAGACTGTAATGACACTTGAATCATAAAGCATGTAAGGTAGAATGCATTGCATTCTTTATAATCATAATTAGTATAGTACTTACATAATATGCCTTTCTCTTTTTGGTCTTTTCCTTTTTTCATGCTTCCTACATGTCAAGGCATTGATGCTTCTTTCTCTATCACTTTTTTTTGGTATTACTCTTATGTAAATATATTTTTCCTGTCTCAATTGACATACATTTTTTTTTCTTGAAAGATGGTAATTATTTAATTACATTTTAGTAATTTTTTTGCCCATCATTTGTGTTCTTAGAGGTAAAGCAAAATGGAAGTCAAGAAATCAGTAATACCACCAGAAAGAAGAAAATTAGCCTCCGGATTCAATCTTTTCCTATAAATCATATTTGTTTGTTTCTATGACTAATGAATGCAGTATGGAAATTATTCACACTTCAGCAGCAACCTGGATAAAAACCCATTTTCAGAATGCTTTGAATAAGAATAAAATTCAGCATTCATTTATTTTAAATGCAAATAGTGGAATCTGAGTAGGATAAGAGTGTCAGAATGGAAGGGCGTGTTTTCAGGCATTGCAGAAAGCTGTCATGGTGACTAGGAGGCATAGCAACTTAATTATAAAAATAAATCTAAAAGAGTGAGTCAGGCACAGGTTTGCGATTTTACTCCTGTCAATGTTAGATGGAGACTATATCCTGAAAATCTCAGTTATCAGGTTCCTGAGAAAAGCATTAGAACAGGATAACAGAAAACCATACTTTTACAAAGATGGAGATATAAAATATATTTATCTGCAGGTTATTTGAGATTCCAGCAACTATTTCTGGAACATTTTCTAAATTACAGTCAAGGAGTAATGTCTTAACTGTGAAACAAAGAAAATAGATAATATGTACTTATTTGTATTATATCACATATCTTGGGTTTTATAATGATAATTTTACACTCATCTTTTCCCACGAGTGTATTTTTCTCTAGCATTTCTCTTGATTATCATAAACTTAAATAAGTAACAAAAACTAGGGCATATATTGAAATTCAGGGCAGAACATTAATTGGAAATCAATCCTAAACAATATGGCATCATTCTAAAGGTACAATATGTCCTCTCTCAGCTTGAGTGTATTAGGGTAAAGTATTACTGAGATTAGTTTGAGAAGTGTGGGGTTGAAACCCTGCTCTGGGCAAAGAAGTCCCTGTAGCCACTGCTGTGAGTTCTGTAGGGGCCAGACCCCAAGGCCCTGGTGTGCAGCAATTAAACTTAATTGGCTAGCTGGACTTCTTTGGGGGATTGTGGAGGAGCCTAATTAGCAGCAAGCAGTTGATTTTCCACCAAGGTGCTCTTTCACTTCCTCCCACATTTAGATATTGAACTGGTTGAAAGTTTAGAGGTGAATTTTCCCTCTAATGGTATGAATTTTGATGTGGAATGATCAGGTAGGAGGTTACTCTCTCCATGATGGAAACATTCATTCTAATTCTGTAACACATATGCAGTTATCTGGCGATTACCTGGAGAGTTTCATGTGTTTAGTTTGTGAAAAGTGGTTTTGTGAGTTGTTTCCCTACTCATGACTCCACCCTTCTAGAGAACAGGACCAAGGAAATAGGCAAGAGAGAGGCTACTTGATATATTTAAGGAACTGGTTACAGACATTTAGTCAAACTTTGATTTTTTTAAATTTAATGTCAACCATGTTTGTAAGCACTTTTAGAGTTTGTGACCAACTTATATATAGTTTACAGGAAGCAAACAGACACTTCCAGCTTCAGTTTGTTGTGTTTTCTGCTTCCAGATTAGACATTACAGGAGTATTTAAAATGTGTTTACTGAATATGAAGCACTGTCAAACTGCTTTGTGAAAGAAATGTTTCATGCCCTGGAGGAGCTTATCACTCATGTAGAAAGAATGTCAAAGAAATAGAATATTTTGGTCAATAGAATTTTAGATGAACATTTTATTTAACATCTGGAAGCAGAAGTTTTCTTCTTTTCCAAGGCATTTCAACACTACATACATTTATCTTTCTAAAAGAAAATTTTGATTTTGTTATTCTGTTGCTCAAACTCAACTCCTTCAAAGCTTGCTCCTTACCCTGTACACAGAATGTTAGATGTTTTTTGGAAAGCTTTATCTGAACCCTCCATCCCTGCCTAAGAACTTGATATATTCTTCCTTGAACCTTGCCCTTGTCTTTTCATAGCAAATGTGTCCTGGCCTTGTTTAATTTTCTCTGTTACTTAACTGTACTTTCCAAAGAAGCAGATATCCTACCTATCCTATGCATTTTTGTATTCCTAGAAACAAACTCACTGTGTGCCTCATCAAGTATTTAAAAAAGATTTCTGGAGTATATGTATATTAATACCTCTAACTGGTAGCACATCAGCAGGCAACAAAGCAAAACCAAAAAGAAAAGTTCTATTTCTCTTTTGTGTGGACACCTACAATCTTGATTTGTTATGTGTAGCTTGTAGAGGGGAGTGGTAGAATATCTAGGCACACCATATCTCCACATTCAGATTCAGCCATAGTAATAAGGAGATCAATGAATGCCAACAGATAAAACTAAATCATTTATTTAAATGTGGAGCTGGCTGGGCATCTCTCCTTTCTTTCCCCATATCTTTGCTTCCAAAGGTATGGAGGAAAGAAAGGAGAGATCACTATGAGTTTCCCCCATTCCTTTTCATGCCCTATCACTCTGTCTGGTAGGTTTTTAGGACCAGTTAAAGCATAACTTTTCCCTCATGTTTCATTTGAGGCTCTTCTATTCCAAACAAACACATAGGCACACACACCCAATCTTTCTCTCTTAAACTTCCCACTCCCCCACTTCATCAATACACATACCCACAGGGCTCTCTATCAGTGAATCCCTGTAATAATTTCCCTATAACGTGATCAGTGAAAGTAATACATTATTTAATCCATTGAAATAAGTTTCTACCTCTTATTTACTTTTCTATCCTTCACAGTTAGGAAACAACCTAACGGTTAGTTATTTCCTAGACTGCTTAATGGTTGAAAGGACCATTTAGATGATTGAGTAAATGGATGAGTGGATGGATGGATACATGTAGAGACTGGAGCAGTAACTCTTTTTTTCATTCATTGTCTGTCAACTTGGATTATTCTCACATTCAAACAACATATTAGGTAGGTGAGAGTAAAAACTCTGCAGGAAGAAAATAATAGCAAAATAAGCAGCAAAATAAAATACACAAAAAAACTTATTGCAAGTACTCATCCTCAATCTTAGATGTTATACATCAACGTATCAATTTACTTAAGACATTTTTGTATTTTGTGGAGATTTTTGTTGGTGTTAGAGTACAGATAGTATAAATTTTAAAATTTTAACACCAAAAAATAAAACTAATTTTAATCTGTTTTGATTATAGTTTTTCTTAAAACTTCTTACTGAAGTATATTTAGTGCATGCATAAATTATATCTGTGTACTGGATAGATCAGCAAATTGATAGGCAGCTGTCTTGTGCCACTTACAGAGGAAAAGGTATTTAATTATTTTCAAAATTTGTATAATACTAGAATTTTGTATCATCCTCAATATACACAAAATGATTTAAACAAAGGGAATTATGGCTTTGTTATACCACAGCAAACGGCTCTCAGGAATACAGCAACACAGTAAATTAAGCTGACTTTGAAGTGGGCAACCTTGCTCATCTGCAATGTTGCATAACTACGATATGGAACCACAAGTAGTGTGATACAACTAAAACTATGTATGGTAAATTTAGGATTTACAATGATGACTTCTTGTTAGAAGACAGCAAACAGTAGATTTGAGAGCAGTAAAGTTTCAGTTGAGTCATCACACTCCTGACACTTATTTTAAATGCAATCTGTTTAGCCCAAAGTATTACCAACTTTAGAAAATACACGCCTCTTTCCCAGGGCATTTCTCTTAACCATTTGTAGGCAGTCTGTTGAAGAGCTTTCAAAGAGAAAAATCTGATCTCATACAAAATAATGTACTTTAATATCTTTTCATAGAGAGTATCTTCTCTAACAAAAGTTGACTATTACCTTTTCTCTATCGATTATTACCTCCTGCTCTCAGGGAATGGCTTCCTGCAAGGTCAAATGTGCCTCTATAGTAACAATTCACACAACAAAATGTCTGAGGATTCTCTCCATGTTCCTTGAAATAAGACTAGTTATTTTCTACTCTTTGGGTGGTCGTTAGGACACAGTTCTTTACAGGCTTTTCACATCTTTGCCCATTTTGCAAGCAGAGGCACTGACTGCTTTCGTTTTGGTGCAATTTTTCGAGAATATTTGTATAGCGAACAACCTTGGAAGGAGGCATAGTGTCTTTCTCCAGAGCAGAAGATAGGCATGTTTACTGCCCACTATAAAAGATTCAGGTACTCTAAGCTTAGATTTTCTCTTTTGAAATGCAAGCTGCAGAGTTTACAAGTATCACCTGGCCCTCTGAGCATCACCCTGTGGAAACTGGGGCTTGAGGTTGCTGATTCTCTGGTTACTATTATTAGTAATACATATTACTAATAGTAATGTATATTACTATTGCTGTGAACTATAACATCTTTTTTCCAGTTCTAGGAGTCTGTATCTTCTGCTAGTATTCATGAAATCGTAGAAGGCTAACTTGTTAGCTTGAAAATAGGGTAATATATCATTCACAGTAATGAAGAATAGTAAGGTAAGATATATTAAGCACTGAGACGTAGAATTAATTATGCTTTGGTTTTAACACATACTTGTAACATATGTTCACTAACGTCTGAGTTGTTATATGGAAGTTTAGAATACTACTAGGAAGAAATGCTTCATTATAATATAGTATGTGCATTTATTCAGTGTTATAGCAAGGGTAAAATTATATTTACATAATGTATTGCATAGCTCTTGAAAGCCAGTACACTGCCTCTTTTTGTCAAAAAGTTGGTACTTAGAATTCTAAGTTTAACATTTTAATCTTGAGAGGAAAGTAATCTTAAATTAAGCATTTTGCATTAAAAATTTTTCAGATACTTCCTACATAAAGTTCTTCAATTACTTCCTTATATTTCATGTTCCTAAGAAATCATATTTTTCCTAAGCATCTATATGAAATACTCATACTTAATAAAATTTTTTTCAATTCAAATATGATTATATATTAGACGTTAGATCATTTATATATGTTTAATTAGTGCTATATTATTTCAAATTCATGAAATATTAAAAATTATAAGTTTGAGATTATTCTTTTAAAACTATTCTGAGGCTTAATTTGAACAACGATTTTAGATAACTCAAATACAGTTTTATAATGCATGTATTTCATAAAATAAAAAAATTAAATACCTAAAGATTTAAATATCTTATTTCATATTATAGATTTAATAAAGTAATTCAGCATAATCATATTGTTATTATATATTCAGAATTTTGAACTACCTGAGAAACACAAATGCAGTGGGATATAATAGTATTCTTCTTATGCAAATTTAGTACATTTTAATGTTAATTTATAATAGTTAGTGTCTGATAATTATAATGTTAATAGTGAGAAATGTGTTTGAAATTAATGAGTTATGTGTATTTCATAGGTTTTCTTTTTTCAATGCCCTGCCTTTGATAGATTAACCTGGATGTGTTATCAGGGACTAGCTATTTTTATTGTGGGAAAATGAAATTTTACTCTGAAGAATCAGTAGTTTAGTAGATTTTACTCTCAAAAAAATGCATGCATTGTGCTTTTTTCTCCCTTGATTCATCTCTGGTTTTTGTTTCCACTACTCTTTTCATATTTACTTCTTCATTTTCCTTTACTCTTCATTCCAGGTTTCTTTGCTTTTTCCTTTTAGCTTTTTACTCTTAGACATTGACTTCTTAAAGAACAGCTTCTGATTGCAACTACCCAACATCACAGTGAAAAACAATAGCAACTGGACTCCTTACTAAATATCTTTTTTTGTATAATGTAAAAGGAATAAGAAAGTGAAATAAATTCTTTGAAATATAGTTCACCAAAACTGTATGTTTGTGAATGTGCTTGTGTGTGTGCATCAATGTGATTACAAGAAATGACAGAGTAAGCTGTTTAAAGTCAAACTCACGTCCCAGCTATGCAGCTTGCTTTGGGACATTTAGCTACTTAACTCTTTTTTCACTTTGCTTTCTCATTTGTAAATTAACAAATTATCCAAAATTTGGAAATAAAGCAAGGGAAAACTGATTTTTTTTCAGTGTCACAATAAAACATTGTGCCACAGACTCACTCAGGGATTATTTTATTGGCTAGGGTAGGTGGTTGGCGAATTTTAACCCACAGGTGAAATCCAGCCCAAATCCCATGCTTGTTCATTCTTTGAGCTAAAAATAGATTTTGCATTTTAAAGAAGTTGTTAAAAAAGATAAAGAAACAAAGACAAATATGTGACAGAGACTTGAAGTACCTCACAAATATTAAAACATTTACTATCTGAGCCTTTACAGAAAACATTTGTCTACCCCTGCTCTAAAGGAATGAAGCATTGTTTGATTTAACTATGTACTGTTGATCAGGATTCAGACTCAGTGAAAGTAGATGATAACCAGTAGATTAATAAATTACAAATGATTTTTGTCTCCTGGTGAGGCAATGATTTCTGTCTGCTTTAAAAAAAAAAAAAAACAACCCAGCCAGGGACTGTGGCTCACGCCTGTAATCCCAACACTTTGGGAAGCCGAGGCAGGCGGAACACCTGAGGTCAGGAGTTCGAGACCAACCTGATGAAAACCAGTCTCTTCTAAAAGTACAAAATTTAGCTGGGTGTGGTGGCAAGCACCTTTAGGTCCCAGCTACTTGGTACGTTGAGGTAGGAGAATCACTTGAACCCAGGAGGCAGAGGTTGCAGTGAGCTGAGATCTCGCCATTGCACTCCAGCCTGGGAGTCAGAGACTCCATCTAAAAACAAAAAACAAAAAACAAAAACAAAAACAAAACAAACAAACAAAAAAACCCTAAAAGACATAATGGTATTACTCTTTAAGACATTAACCATTTTCATATATCACTTTTTAATAATATTTCAGCATCTTTTTAATTGGCCATAACTTCTTCAGTCTGATTCTCTTTTGAAAAAGCTTTACTATCCTGCTGGTTTCCTCATTAATTAAGAAAATAATCTTTTTGACATGTCTTTATTTTATATTTGTATCTGAATCATCTTTTTAACTTTTAGATATTTAAACATCAACAATAAATGGGCAGTCTACCACTTTCCTATTTAGCTATCAGCTCTTTCAGGATTTTAATACAACATGGTCTTAGACAGTAAGTGGACTTTATTTGCTCAGTCTAGATGAGCAAATTATTTATCAGTCTAGATGTTCTTTTAGAAGAACTCCAATTAAGAGCCTCTCAGGGTTATTCCATTCTCTCCAGATTTTTCAAAGACCATTTTTTAGACTAGTTTTAGGTTCACAGCAAAATTAACAAGTACAGAGATTTCTTGCATCTGTCCTCACACATGCATAACTTCTGCATTATCGGCATCCCCAACAGAGTAGTATATTTGTTACAATTAATGAACCTATATGGACACATCATTATCATCTAGAGTCTAGATTTTACATTATGATTCTCCATCTTTTTAATGATCATGTTTGTGGAATAGTGAATTCTTATTGCTAGTGCTCATCTGCTGATACCAGTAGAGTTGTAGGTTTATCAACGACAGTCATGTTTCTCTTTTTCCTCAAGCTTCTTTATGCAAATTTTAATTATTGTTGTTTCATGATTTAATTAAACAATATACAATGAGATGAAATCAGTGCAGGGGGAGATTTAATTCAATGAGGTTGAAATTGAATGCTTTGCTATGTCTTTGTTAAAGACATAACAAAGGTGAAATGCTAAATAATTGCCATGCAATTAAGTGTGGGTGAAGCAATACCAAGAGATTGGTGTGTTTGGCTGTGACCAGGCCTCTACTTGGAAGCATCTAATTTTGAAAACACATGTGCTGCATATAAAGCAAAAGTTTGCCTATCAAATGGATAGTTTTGGAAACATAAAATAAGTCATGCTATTTTGCCTCTATTTTTTATTGTTTAAACAATATCAAAATGGAAATATCAATACAGATGAATCTGTACAAATAAAATGGAAACACGGAAGATCTGCTGAATCTTCACAGCTTCTCATATTGACATGAAATTTTTTCCTATTTATCAAAGGATATTTATTTATAGAAAGAAACAATTTTAGAAGCATTTCAAAATAAATGTTTTTTAAATAAAATTTGTTCGCGTTTCATAAATAGGTTCCAGTGATGAATGAGTACATAAATAATTGAATAGACAATGTTGCTGATTGGGGTTAATTAGTTTAAAAGCCCATTCCCAGGGAGATTCTTCTCTCCTTAATCAACGCAAAGATCCAGGGTGCACTTAGTAAGGCATTCGGAAGGCATGGGGGAGAAGGTGTACCTTTTGCTCTAAATAGCTGAACTCTTCTCCTTTCTCAAGTAAAGAATTCAGGCAACTACTGTAAGATTCTGAGTGCTGACTCCACAACTAGACTGGGGTTTCATATGCTTTTTGCATGCTTTGCCCATGCTTTCTCCTTCTCTTCTTTGCATTTGTTTTCACACATCAATTTACAATTTCTCTTTGTGAAGTCTCAATTGACTCTGGTTTAACTAGTCTATGTCTTTACAATTATACATTGATACATAGTGATATGAATTACCAATATTTATATCCATGTACACTATCCTGCAATTAACATTTATGCTGTAGTTTAGTTGTATATTTTATGTGAAAATAGAATTACTTTTCTTCTGTGAAAATACTTTGAACTATGAGCTGTTATCCAAATACTGTCTTTTCAGCTTACTGTACACTTTTGAAAGACTTATAAAAATCTTTTTTTGTCTTTCCACATTGCCTACCTCAGAAGTGTTAATTCAATGAGAAATTCTTACAACTCAACTAGTCAGGCAGTAGTTATTAAATGCTTAGGCATTTATAGTCATAGTCCTTCAAACTTGAGTTAAGAAGTGTCCATTCACATGTCAGGGCTAATGACTGCATTTTAATCGTGGAATAAGAAGTATGTTTTACTTATATTTAGCCTATTTTTTAAAGTTATTGATTTAGAAAATAGATCTTCTGATTTGATTAACGCTGATTTCATTTTATGTTTTTCTGAGGCTTTAATCCTTTTTGAAATGGAGATATTATGAAATGCAACTTATATAGACTTAAAAATAGCCAGGTGATATATGCCATTAACACTTTCAAAAAACAGAAATTTAAATAGAAACAGAGTTCATTAAGTAAATATATGTGTATATTCATATATGCATGTAACCTTAGATTTTTCAACAAAGTTCTAAATTTACTTTAAGCTACTATGTAATAATACTATTTAATTTCCACTGGCTTCTACCACTTAAAAGCCATTTTCCCAGATGCAGTTTCTATATTATTTAGTTTAAAACACAGTTAAGACTCATGGATTGAAATTTCAACCAATCTTTAACCTTCTAGTGTTAGAGTTTATTTACTCTTTTAAAAGACTGCTTCTAGGTTAAAAACAAACAAACGTGCAAAGGAATCTAGAGAATCACTGGACAGCAAACAATACTTTAAAAGAAAATTTTTAGCAGGTCAGTCATAACTCCAACAGTTTAAATCTCCCTCACAGTGTTCTTGGTCTTTCACATTGGATTATGGTATGTTGTCCTAAAAGATTCATATTCAGATATTAAACGTTACTTTGAGTGATTAATAATAAATTTATTTTTTTCTACCAAGTAATAGGCATTTTCTTTGTCTTTTCCTCATAATATGTAAGAAAAAACTGTTATAACTTTGAATTCATGATTATATCTTTGGGGTAAACATGATATATTTGGAAAGTGCAATAAAAACAACAATTTAAAGGTATCATGACCAAAATATTTACTTCTTTAAAGCTAAAACTGACACTATAAAAATAAGATATTTTAACTAAAATCTGTAAGAAGTAAACACAATAATATTTAATATAATTAAAAAAATTTAACTTTTTTCTTATTAGTTTTTAAAAAGAGACAGCTATTTATTATATTTTATCTCTAAGCCATCATCATTTATAACATTAATGATCTAAATATTACAGCTTATTTTCCTAAATGCACATAAGAAATAAAAGTATTAAAACAAATAACTCAAATCATATTCATAAGGAATTAATTGCTTTAAAATCCTTATTTGTGAAAACAAATAAATTAAATTATGTTTTAAGTGAAACTTCCAGGAATAATTAAACAATCATCACCTAAGAAAACAATGTGCATTGAATAAAGCAATTTTTTTCTTAGAAATACTCATAGCTGACTTTATTCTAGATATAACAAAAATCATAAATACTCAATGGCTACCTAATAATCTGATTAAACTTCATTGGACATATATATATATATATATATATATATTTTTTTTTTTTCTTTTCCACATGTCTAGCTCTGTTTTTGCTTCTTAAACAAAAGAAAAAGAAAGGCTAATGTGATTTCTTAAAAAAAAATGCATTTTTAAGTAAATGTTATTTTCCCCACTTTCTGTTATACTTGGAAACACACTAATATATGTTCATTTATTATTAGAATTAATTATACATATTTCAACACACTCTATAAGTAGTATTTATACAGAACATATAAAAATTTCTCCACAATAGCATAGCCTAGGTAAATAAGTTATCACTTAATATTCATTCCTGTTCGTTGCCCATTAAAATGCAGTGGCAAATCTGACAAAACAATAAGAGGAAGCTAGCCTGTGTGACTCTTTATTCATATAATAGTTGATTACTGCTGTGACAACATCCCACCTTTTTCACAGTTATGAAATGAGTTCACTTTAAATTAATTGGCATCACCATGAAATAAATTACCTGGCCATGTGGTTGGGAAGCAAATCAGGCCCACATTTGATATAATTGGGGTGAAACTGTTATATAGGGATTGTGTGAGTGAAAACTAAAGATATAATTTTTACATAGGAAATAAATGTGCAGAGACTAGCGATACTGAGACCAACTTGTCTGGTTTTGTTTTTAAGGAGAATTTTCTGTTTTTAGAATAAATTTCTTAAGTTTTCTAATAATTATTTATTTATGTTAGGCATAGCCTACATGATTGGGAATATTGGCTAATTATCTTCCATATAGACAAAGAAAAGAAAGTTCAATCTAAATTTCAAGTCTAGGATAATGAACCTAAACTTTTCTTGAAATTTCAGGAAAGAAACCTAGACCATTTTCCAAAATTATGGCCCAGAATGCTACTATGGTATAAAAGGCCAGGTTGATACTAAGCTTCGTTAGAAGGGATATTGGAAAAGAAACTGAAAACACTTTTTTTCTCTCCTTTTATTATATCAATATGTGTTTTCATCAACAATATCCTGAGTACAGATAGTTGCTACACCACACAGAATTTTAAAAACTGTAGAGCAAAGTAACCAAAACAATGAAAGTGGGTAGAATGAGTTCTACATATAGACAGACTGAAGAAAAACCCAAGAAATAAAAGCAAATTTGGGAAGGTAAAGTTGGAGACAAGATTATGTTTGTAATGCCCTAAAGATTTTAGATTTTTACAATATAGTATTAGAAAAAAGTTTGATTATATCTTGAGGCAGAAATAGATCCTTTCTGGGCAAATAGAAGAAACTACATATAAACTTAAAAGAATCATTATGGATGGAATTATTAATACTTGAAATACAAATAAATTCAAAAGGATTTTAGATAAATTCGTGGATTATAGCTCCATAATTCATTGTTAAAAAGGTAAGATTAACTTAGAAATATATCATTTTACTTCTTTAGGTCTGACTAGTGGAGGGCAAGCAGAAATTTCATTAAAACACATTCTGTGGAAACTATCAGAAAGCAGAAAGCATTGTGCTTGGAAAAATCTTACAATATGAAGGTCATTTCAATTTAAATATCTTGTAATTGTATTAATGTTTTACTGCTTACCTTAGTTTTTAATGTTAGCACCTCATTTCTTAAAGTTGATAGAAACGTTTTTAGGAAATGGCATTAAACAATCATTGAATATTTAAACACATTTTCAGGAATGTTAATGTTGTTATTCATTTCTTGCAAATTAATTTTTTTTTACTTAAAATTTCATCCATAAAATTACTCATCGATAACTGATGAAATAAAATAACATATGGCATGAAAGAGAGCACGTGTGTAAGATGTACATCTGATATTTTATTAAAAATCCTGACTGATAAGTGTTCAAAAACCTGCAATTGTTTTCTTTTCTTTTATTTAATCAGAATACCTAGAATTGTCACTTAGGGCGGGAGT
The DNA here is from genome assembly GCF_000001405.40 of Homo sapiens. Lineage (NCBI taxonomy): Eukaryota > Metazoa > Chordata > Mammalia > Primates > Hominidae > Homo > Homo sapiens. Next base: position 192,368,008 of record NC_000001.11, on the reverse strand, counting down.
GAGTTGAGGAGGTAGGTATTGTTATTGAGGGTCTTTGGCTGGGATCCTATTAGAGGTCATTTAACATCCAATTTTCAACAAGACATTTTGACACCAGCCGTATTTTTTTAGGTACTATCAAGCACCTACTGTTTCTAGGTAGTGAAAGTTTAATTTGTGTCTTCTTTCACATCATTAGAGAAAACTTGAGAGGCAATCATTAAATATAAAGTCTTGCTCTATGGTAACGAGAAAGAAGTTGCAAACTGACTGTAAAGAGAAAATTGAAATACCTGATGAAAGGGATTGTGTCTGGGTATTTGAGGATTAGTTGGAGTTTAGATTCCAGACCTCAGAACAGTTCTTAATTGGAGAGAGGACTACACTGTTCTGTCAGAGTAGGGAGCCCACGTGGGAAAAGCACTGCTCTGACCAGCTTGGTCACTTACTAGCCTTGTGATCTGAGGAAATAACTGAGATTTTTTTCTTTTCATATCTAAAAGTGGGAATGTGATTTTAATTTCCAAGATTCCTTTTATCTTCAAAAGTCTATTTTTTCTCCGAGAATAATTTGAAGTTTCCCATTTAAATAGAGACTAAATTAAGGTTGGAATCTCTACAATATATGTTAAAAAGTGTAGCTATTTTCCACTAAGTGCACCTTAAGGCACATTGAATGCTTCACAACCAATTTCTATTTATGCCTTCTTTTAAAGAATTTGCAAATGTACAGGGAATATTCCATTTGAATATGTTTAAATGTTTATTTCTCATGATGAAGGGAAGACAAAATTTTGTCTATCAAATGAGTAGTTTGTGAAAACATAAAATAAGCCATGCTATTTTTCCTCCATTTTTTAATGTTCAAACAATCTAAAAGCAGAAATATCAATGCAGATAAATAAATCTGTGCAAAGAAAATGGAAACGTGGGAGATCTGTTGAATCTTTACAGCTTCTCATATTGAAATGAAATTATTCGTATTTATCACAGGATATTTACATATAGAATGAAACAATTTTAGGAACATCTCAAAATAAATGCATTTAAAAATTGTTTGGGTTTTATAAACAAGTATCAGTGCTGAAGGAGTGAATAGATACTTCCCCACAATTGAGTAGATAATGTTGCAAATTCTTAAATTTTATGACTTGCTATATACTTCATCTTATAAGGATTTATCTATGCTCCTTAGTCTTCCACTTTCTTTTATATTTCTGTTAACATAAGAAAATCAGTATTCCCCACCCTTGAGGCCTTTTCATACATAACTCATCACATTTTATATGTGATGCCATTGAATTGAGCCAAGTGATATATTTTGAAAAACTTTGGTCCATGGTGCATTCAAGACATACATATAAATGTGTATACATTCCTGTGATTTAAAAAATATAATTTGAGAGGCGTAGCAGTTTTCATAACCACATTATTAGAAATAGTTGGAAAGAAATGGCAGAAAAAAAACAGTTAAATATATTAAATGAAAGCTTGTATTTTGGTTCAGAAATTCTCTTTTTACAAAAGTGAGATTTTTTTGAATAAAGCAATGGTATTTAAAATTGTGTATATGATGCTCAAAAGTCTTTCATTCTGCCACGTGAAGATATGTATAATTCCTTACATTATAATATAATAAGAATATTCAGTTTTGGTTTAAGACTATATTGTATCTCTATAAACTTTCTTTGTACTCCCCCAGTAGGAGATTAAATAGCTGGTAAAGCAAATACATTCTAAACAACTGAGTTAGAAATTCAGGCTTGTTGTATAAAACGTTATTCATCTGTTTGGGTAAAAAATGTTTTCTAAATCCTAAAAACAAAACAAAAGACAATGCATCATGCTTGTATATTTAAAATATTGTAGCCCTGAAGTATAGTGATTAGTTAACTTTTACCTTCCTCACAAAAAAGGGAGCCATTTTTTATGATTTGGAACCTGTTGGCTATTTACCAGTTTTTTATAAATCTCTGACTTCAGAAATCGAGGGAAAGAATCCTTGGCCATGAGACAATAGATTAATTTCTGAGCCTCATCAAAGCATTTGAGTGTTGGTTCAGCAATATTCTTTGAGATGAGGTCTCTGGTACCGAAGTCAATGTTAATCTGTGGAAAATAAGGTTGCATATCATTGAATTAGTTTAATCAAAGAATGTATAGTTTATACATATATATTATTTAAAATTCTTTCTAAACACAAAGCAAATCTGATGCAAAACAGCAGAAAGTTCATGTATTCATTTTCTAGAATGCAGAATACATGCTTGGTTTAATTATTTTTCTTCCATGCTTGAGAGGGGTAGCATTGACAGGAAACAGTGGTAAAACCTTATTTTGAGATTTATTTTAAAGAAGGCAAAGTGAAAAAGCAAGCAAGATATTTTATGACTTTACATTTTTTTCACCTACCTTTTCTTTTCTAACACTTTGAACTGAGTACTTAAAATGTAATTTTCCTAGGCAGAACTGTTTCTAGAATTTATTAGGTTTGAATATACCAACTCATTCCCATTCTCCATATTTTCCTTTGTTCCTCACAACACTGCTTTTCTTTCTAATTTGTGTTTCTTTTTATTTGATAAATGGATCAAATAACATCCCCTCTTTAGTGATTCTCATCTCTCCCACAGAACATATATCTACATATAATCTCCCTGTTTCTTTATCATTACCACATATAGGCATTTCCAGCGAGTTCTAATGGAGATCTATTATATTGAAACACACCATTCACCTGCAAATATGTAAAATGCTCCAAACCTTCTTGTGGAGATACTAAGATCCTCACATATTCCAGGATATATTTTGAGAAGCAGAAAAGTTTATATCCAAATTATGTAACTTAAACTGAAAATAGTCATGAAGTTCAAAGAGCTTTTTTTTTTTTTTTGAGACGCACTTTTGCTCTTGTCGCCCAGGCTGGAGTGCAATGGCACAATCTAGGCTCACTGCAACCTTTGCCTTCCAAATTCAAGCGATTCTCCTGCCTTAGCCTCCCTAGTAGCTGGGATTACAGGTGTGCTCCACCATGCCTGGCTAATTTTTGTATTATTAGTAGTAGAGACGGGGTTTCACCATGTTGGCCAGGCTGGTCTTGAACTCCTGACCTCAGATGACCTGCCTGCCTCGGCCTCCCACAGTGCTGGGATTATAGGGATGAGCCACCGTACCTGGCCTCAAAAGAGATTTTAATCTTAAAATTAAAAGCTCACCATAGGCGGGTTCTGTATCTGTCTTATTCATCATTCTATTTTCTAGCACTTAGCAGAATACCTACCACATAATAGTAAATCAATAAATATTTGTTAAATGGAATTTAAATGTCCCTTGGAAAAATGCAGGAGATGGTAAAAATGTTAGAATTTTGGAGTATGGAACTATAAATGACAATTTATGGTGCACTAAATTGAGGTTAAACAATAGGCACAGACACCTGCAATCAAATTCCTCCTCAGCTACTTACTTGCTGTTTGCATGAGTGAAGCAGTTTCTATAATTTCCTTTAATTTTCAATTTCCATAGTGTGAAAGAGAATAGTAATAGCACCTATCTTAAAATGTTTTCAGGATTAAATGACACAAGAATACCAAACTATTTTAATATTATTATTCTAGGAAGAAAAGAATAAAAAAAGTAATTTGAAAAGAATCATCAAAAGGCCACTATTTGCTCATAGATCTTTCCTTTCCTTTGGGACTTCAGCTACTCATGATCCCAGAATATACTTCCACTTTTCTTCCTTTGATTACCTTCTTGAGTCCCTCATCAAAGTTCCAGAACAAGTGCCAAAATAATCTTAAAGGCCTGAAAATCTGGAATCAGTTGTCCATTTATTATACCAGAAGATGGTGCAGGGCAGTGGAAACACTTGGGGATCCTTTTCAAGTCTGTCCTCTAACACTTACAGCTTTGGTGACCTTGGGTGAGTTAGCTTAATATTTCTGAGTTTCTGCTTCTTCAGTGTTAAGCTGCTGATAGTTTTTGACCCAGTGATATAAGAATTAAAGCAGGATGATCCATATATTTATTATTTCACAAAAAATTTTGAGTGTCTGTTATGTACAAGATGCTGCTGTATTTGGGGAAACAAAACCAACAACTAAATAAATGTTTTAGATGTAAAGTTGAAAGATAAGAAGAAGATGGTGCTCTAAGAATCTGGGGAAAAACACTTAGGGCAGAAAAAATAAGCAAATAAACACAGAGTCCCTAATGCAAGAAAAAAATTATTAGGTTCTAAAGAGCCACTACACCTTGAGAGCCAGAGTGTAGGGTGTAAGCAAGGAATTTTTGTTATAATATTGTAAAAGGAGATCCAGGCCAGGTCTTGTAGAGTTTATGTGCTGTGTTCAGGACTTATTTTCCTGCTAGAAGCAATAGAAAGATACTGAAAGGTTTTGTGCAGTTAAGTGGCACGATAACTTATATAATGAACATATACAGTGTTTGCCTCATAGTGGGAATCAATAGTGGCTATTATCAAGATTTGTAGTGGTTTTTAAACATCTACTATAGTCTGTTTCATAAACTTATCTGGTGTTGTGGGAATATGAGAATATATGCAGCCTGTTTCTTCAATTAACTATATTGTTAAGTCTTTAACAGCATCATCTGTGATTTGTTTAACTTTATATTTCCCCTAGTGGTTAAGCAGAGGAACCTAACCTGTTTAGACACTCATCAAGGGAGTTTTTTGCTGACAGCATGGCCAAAGTGTGCCTGCCAAACAGTGCTAGCTTATTATTATTATTGTTGTTGTTGTAACTGAACACCTATAATAATTCCTCTTTTCCTACTTAAAAAGTCCAAAGCCATGATTTTGGCATTCATGGCCTTTACAATGTAATACCTACTTACACATTTCTTCTCTTTTATGTGTGCCCTGTATTCCCATCAAGCTAGACAATTCCACTTACATTTCTTGTATATTTTTACTTTTAAACATTTCTCATAATATCTCAATCAAACTGAAAGTCACTCCTTTTATCCTAAGTCTTTCACAAGTCTTTTTGTCTTTAAATTTAACTAACACCTAGCATTGAAGTTTATGTGTGGATTTTTTTTCTTTCTGATCTGTTAAGGGATTTTGCATTGCTAAGATGATATTTACATTTTGAACATCCTTTAGTATGCCTTGCACACTGTAAGAACTCAATAAATACATGTATAAGCAGTGAAAAAATGGTTCTATACTTGTTCAAAATCATGTTTAAATTTTAGAGAGAACTCTTCAATTTCAACATAATAATGCTAATTAATATTATTACTGAAATATATTAACCTTGTACTTCTGACTTATGCTCGTCATTTTTCTGATTTGCCTATTTTCCTACCAAGGAACTGCCAGCATCAGCAATTGGTAGCTAAGTGATGAGCAGGTTTACTGTTCTCAGGAGATGATCAGTAGTCTTATAAAGCTGTGTCTTGGCAATTCAGCTTAATGTCAGTGACAAAACATCACACCTCCATGTTCGTGTAAATGTAATTATATTTCTTAAAGTTGTTCAAGCTAGAAACATAGGAATTGTCTCTGACACCTGTTTTTTCTCTGATCACTTATGTTGTGTGTTTGTGCGTGTGCACATGCACATATGCGTGTAAATTCTTTTTTTTATTTTCTAATTTCACAATGGTCTTTTTCATTCTCACTCTTATTTTTCCAGCTTAGGGCTTTATAACCAACATTTTCCCTAAGTTATGGAATTTGTCATTTATCTGATACCTCTTTTTACAGTATCTTTCCCTTCTGAACACAATAAATAATATTACTAAATCAGTTTTACCAAAATATAACTTTTATCACATAAAAATTCAGCTGAAAACCCATTATTTTCTATAACATAAAAGTTAAACATCTCAGTGTGGCATTTGAGATTCTTCACACCCTGACTTTAATATGTTATTTTGAAATCAACTTCTACTTTTTCCTATTGATATGCATAAACTGGACTACTCTCTGTTCCCAAAGTGAATATTTTACCTAAAACTTTTGTTTACACTGTTTCACCATCTAAAATTCCTTTTGCCCTCATAATTATATCCTGTACAGTTTGTCTTCCACCTTTATCATTTACCTTAAGTTGAATATCCTCTGAGAAGCCTTCCTTGTTCACAGAAAGAAAGTCACTATAATTTCCTTTTTATTATATTCAATTTTGGTTTAAAAATCTCCAGAAAATTGGCCGGGCATGGTGGCTCATGCCTGTAATTCCAGCTCTTTGGGAGGCTAAGGTGGGTGGATCACCTGAAGCGAGGAGTTAAAGACCAGCCAGATCCAACATGGTGGAACCCCATCTATACTAAAAATATAAAAATTAGCCAGGCGTGGTGGTGGGTATCTGTAATCCCAGCTACTCAGGAGGCTGAGGCAGGAGAATTGCTTGAACCCAGGAGTTGGAGGTTGCAGTCAGCCGTGATCATGCCACTGCACTCCAGCCTAGGCGACAGAGCGAGACTCCGTCAAAAAAAAGGAAAATAAAATTCCGGAATTGATTTTTTAAACAGATTTGAATGCAAAAGCTTCTGATAATGTTAAGTATTCAATGTGATTATCAGAGAAAGATTTGTCACTACAGATGGATTCAATAGTTCGTGAAGTGGAATTAAGCTGTCTTTAATTTACTATCTTCTCTCTATTTCTTTTACTAATTTTTTATTCTCCACAGGTCTTTGAAAAATATAAGCAGAGCATATATATATTCTCCAAGTTCTGCCTCAAGTCTTTTCTTTCTAGACTTTTTCCTTAGTGATTTTGTCTTCTTCCATGGCAAAGTATTTTGAACAATAACATCAACTCTAAAATAATCATAAGGATATTTCAAGATGATTATTTTAACTGTAAATAATATGTTATTTTAATTAAACATTAGTACTGATGTGCTAAGTCTTCATATGTCTACTTTATGCTAAATATCACACAACCATATAAGATGGATAATATTATCCTCTTTTGGTGGCGGAGGGGAGAGTCTTAACATATTTTGGAAAGCTATCTACTTTATTTTTAGTAATTTTTTCAATTTATTTATTTAGAGTATTTATGGAGTAGGTGCTTAGGAACTGTGCTAGGATTTGAAGATAAAAGATGATTAAGGTAAAAAGTCAATCAAGAAATCAGATTTTGAAAAAGTAACCCAAAAGAAAAAAATTGCGTCCCTAAGGAAAAGCTTTCTGAAGGAAATGAAATTTTAAGCTGGTTTTTCAAGTAGTATTATGACTATGAAATATTAAAAAGGAGACTTGCACATGGAATGGTAAACTGGAGGAAGCCCTGTGGGTTTTGAGAAGAAAGATAAATCACAAAAGGCATAAAGGTGCCAAATCATGTAGGACATTGTAGATCTTGTTAAGGACTTCTTTACTTATTCTGAGGCCAACGAGGAGAATTTTAAGTCAGGGACTAATGTAACCACATGTTTGAAAAAGCATCGCTGGCTCCCATGTGGTGTAATAGCTGGCTGTGGGTGAAAGAAAGAAAAATTAGGATACCACACCAGGAGATCAGGAGGACAATTGATGGTGAATTAGGTTTGGTAACATCACAGAGAATAAAGGGAAGTGCATAGATTTCAAAGCTATTCAGAAAGTAGAATGAATGGGACTTGTGATTGAATAGTTATGAGCTAGGGCAAGGGAGAACATCTTTTTAAGAATAGCTGGATATTAGAAATAGTCTAAAGAAAGAGATGACAGAAAATGCTGATGGATTGAATATAGGGTATATGAGAAAGAGAAGAACCAAGAGATGACTACAAATTATTTAGCCAGAATAGTGGAAGAACAGAGTAGTTATTAACAGAGATAGAGAGAACTTGGGTTGGAGAAAGCTTTGGGCAGGAAATCAGGACTCAGATTTAAATTTGTTAAGTTTGAGATTCCCTTTAAAAGCCATAGAACTAGAAGAGATCATCAGGAGAGTGAGTGGAAGCAGAAAATAGATGAGGAGTGTCTCTTCTCATTATAATACATTTTGGATTATGAGTAGGAACAGGAAAAGAAATGGTGAAAGGGCAATCAGTAGGGGAGAAAGAAATCCAGTCCTAGAAGCCAATTTAAGATATTTCCATTAAGAGGGAGTCATATGTTTTGTTAAATGCCCCTAGAAGTCAATTCTGGTGATGTATGGAACTATGCTATCAAGAGTGCCTTATCTTTCCTTTTCAACTCCCTTGAAATTTTAGTAAGATAGATATATATATCTTACTAAATAATGTATATAACTTACTATGTGTATATATATATATAGAGAGAGAGAGAGAAAGTTACATATAGAGTTATATATAACTGTCTCTCTATATATAACTCTGAAATATTAAAGAGGAGACTTGCACATGGAATGGTAAACAGGAATATATATATATATATATATATACACACACACACATATAAACATATATATACATACACATAGATACATATTTCTTCCTTTAATAGAGTCACTCCTTGGGACATGTCTGTGAACTGCACTCCCAACTTGGCACTCCTCTCAAATGTGATTTTTGTTTGTATTCTACCAGAAGATACTTGGATACAGTTCTATCTCTAAAAGTAAGACAGATGAAATATTGAGTTTGAAGTATACTGAAGGTGGGACTCCATCAGGAGGTGACACTCTAGAAACTCATACTTGCCATTTGCATGTTGAAGGCACTCCTGAGTTGCTTGGAAGCTACAGAGAAGCTTAGACTTCGCTGAGCATCTCCAACTATGAACTGCAGAGTGTGGGCTGAACATTATATCAATTAACCAAAAAAAACAGTGCCACATGTATTTTATTTACTGACATAAATAGCTACTTGTATTGTTTGTATGGATACCCTTTGGTTTCAGTGACTTTCAATATTATGTTTGTGAAACATAATATTTTATTTGCTTATTTTTCAAAAGGTCATAAATTATCTTAGATTTCTGAAACCACTACACTGCCAATCTTGGAAAACAAGACACAGGATTGTGGTTCTTAGAAAATGACAGCTGAGATGTCATCACAACCATTTAGAGGCTTTTAAATCCTGTCAGTTTTGAAAAGGTCTTGACACAACTGACATTGACAACAATCCATTGCATTAAAATGACTGCTTTATGAATGATGTTTCAGGTAGTTGTGTAAAACAATTTTATTATGAAGACCCAGGATATTTTAATATGCATGTGATTTTTGTTAACTGAAAGCGATGCAAACCAAATTTATTTTCTCTACACCAGCAGTCTTAAATTCTTTTGGCTTTCAATAAATTACTTTAGCAGAAAGAATACATTTTAAAGTGTACCTGTTGGCTCTCTTGTGACCGTAATCTGTGCTTTATGTATTTTTACATAATTTGAATGAAAAGTTTTCAACTGTGCTCTCACATTCAAATTAGATAGCCTTTCCTCATTTAGAATGTATAGTGTAGCAGGAGACTGTCATTATGCAAAGGGTGTGTGCATGCATAAGTAAAACGCCTTACAAAAATGGAGCCGGCAGCATCTTAGACCTCATTCACAGCTGAGCTTAAAAATTACTATTCAAATTAAGGCCATCTATAATCATATTTTTGGTTACCTAATTCTTTTAATCACCACTAACACCTCAAGTATTACTTCATTTTGGCATCATTAAAAGCAAATGAATATCCTAAAATATATTCTCAAAGGTGGCTATTAAAGTTGAATACAACAAAGTTTGTAACATCTAGAAGGAATTCATCCCTGCATAAGACTGTATCCTTTTGTTGTCATTGGCTTTGGAGGCAGAAATACAAGGTGGGAGGTAAGATTAACACCTTAAATTGGGAAAGAGAAATGAGAGAAATATAATTCAAAACCATCCTGATTAATTAGACAAGTAGTCAAAGCAAAGATAGAACTGAATAGAAACCAGATGCTTCTCCGATTTCTGTGGTGATAAAGGAGATGACACATATGAAATCATAACGTGTACGGATGGCTAAAAATAGATATACAAAAGCTACAGCTACACTGGAGCAGCCGAAATGGAATCAGATTGACCTGTTTCCATCACCAATCCCAACATGCTAAACTAAGATCATTTTAAGTGGCACAGAGACACAGAAGTGTAAAGAACACCTGAGCCTTTTGTTTTTGAGTTGAAATGCAGAAATTATTTTTTGAAGCACAGAATGATTCTGCAGATTATTAGAAGAAATACTTCTGACACTTTTTTCCTTCTAATGTCATATTTGAATCTAGGCTTCATAGTCTAAGAAGTTACACAAATTAGAGAGAATATGAGAAGAGAAATAAAACTGTTGATAGGAAGATATATTGTATGTGACTAGATAATTTTATGCTTCTGCTTTTATCATAAACATCAAGTATCCCAGGCTATGTCATAAACACTTCAAATTAGTGGTAGATCTAGGGGAAGAAATTTGAAGCTTAAAAGTATGGGCTGAAGACCTCCCTCTCCATGGATCTTAATGACTGCAGGGCTCATCATTTTATCTCTAAGCCTCAGTTTTTCACCTTAAAATGTGAATGAATGTAATACTTCCCTAAGAGAGTGAACGTGATGACCAAATGAGATAATCCATGTAAAATCTCTGTACAGATATTATAGTTTCTTTAGCTCTCCTTTTCTCTTTCTCTCTCCCTCCCTCTTTCTGTGTCTCCCTTTCTTCTTTTGAAGGAGAGCTCTTTAAGAAGGAATGAATAAAAATGTGGAAATCATTGGGATCCAGAAGGTGCAGTTAACCTCAATTTATACTTGAACACACACAATACTAGGCTTCTTTCACTGCTGGACCAGTCTTCTAGGCACTGGCTAGTCCTTTGCTTGGCTCTTCTTCCTCTTCCTCTCCTATCCTTCTCTCTTCCCATCTTGTCTTGTTTCCCTCTATAGTCAAATTTCTGGTCAAAGCTTACCAGTTACTTCTTCGAAATACATTCCCTGATCCTCTAGACTTGGATTTTCCTGTTGCAAACTACCATCTCACCTTATATTTCCTTGTTAGGACACTCATGGAAGTTTATTATAATTATTATTTTTTATCTGGTGTCTTTCTACCAGAGTATGGGGAAGGATCTACTCAGGGACCATGACTGTCTTTTTCTTAGTTGCACCAGCATAATGCTTAGCAGATAGTAAGTATTCAAGTATTGATTAATGAACAAAAACCTAGAAAATTAACAAATAAGCAAGCACATTGTATCCAGAGATGATTCTGTAGTTGGGGGAGCACTGTTGGCTAACAGTCACTAGTAGGGCAGAAATAAGCTACTCAAAATAACATCAACATATAGAGGAAGTGGTATTTAAAAATGCAAAGAAAAAATACGAATATAAAATGCAGATTACAAATTGGCATCACAGTAATAGGATAAAATGCTTCTAGATGCCTATTTTCATGGGCTTTTCTCTGTCAACAACTCATATATCTGTTTCTTCCCCCAAGACTCAGTTTAAAACTATCCTTATTTATAATGAAGGTCTTATCTCAATATGCTGCTGTCTTACTGGTATTTAATCATCATATCCTTCCAGGTAGCATAAAAATAATTTCATCTTTGTTTTGCACTTAATCATTTGTTGCTTTGCCATTTTCTCTAGTTCTATACACTTTATTTTTTAACCCAACTGTATTGAAAAGTTCTTTAGAGTCAAACTAAAGTTTCTATTTATTTTCTTACATTTCGTTATGGAGAGCTGCCTAACACAGCAACACATTGTGTTATACTTACGTGTTTATTATCTGTTTTCCTGCCTAAACTGAGCTGCTCTTCCATGGAGGGATTTTATCTTACAAGGATGTGACTAGGCACAGAATAAAAAACATTTATTGATGTGAAAGATAATGTGACTCAATAAGCAACATTGTGCTGAATCACAAATAAAAGTAAGAAGCCAAACACAAATATTAAAAAATGTCCTGCACGGACCCGTGAAGATGTACTCTCGTTTATGACTATAATTTCTTCTTTGTTTTATGAGATACAGTGTCCTCACATTTGGTAGATACATTTAAGAATTAAACATTTTCTGCTGTTTTTTGACTTAAAAAACTACCAATGTGTTTTTTCCTGGATTGTTGACAGTGTGAAATTGAATTTATATAATTTTTAAATGTTACACCATGATATGATTTGATACTATAATTCTAATTTCATAGAATGACAATCAACATTAAAAATTTCTCTTTAATGACATATTTTCATCCTCTATGACTTTCTTTTCAATATAGAGGAATGATGACATAAATATAATATATATTTTAAATATGTTAATTTCTTAGCTGAATATGAAAATATTATTATTTTTCAAATATTATTTTCTCAAAGTTAAGTAATATTTTCTTGAAAATTCAATAATCTGAAATTAGCAATCCAAGCTGAAGCAAAAATAAGTACAAGTTTAAGAATTTTTTTGTTTGCCACTCCCACATTATTAGTATGTACAAAGTAGAGATACTTTAAAAATATCTATTTCTCTAATAATTTTCTTATTTTCAAGTCACTTAGTCAAAATACTTGGGTCATGATTTTTTTTTTCTGCTATATTTTCTCCTGAAGCCATCTAGGTAAAATTTACTCAATGAGCAACTGTTTTTATTTGGACCTGGCAATTTGCAAACCCATTTTTATAATAAGTGTTCACGTTTCCACTTCTCTCAAGTCTTAACATTGCTTATCTACATATGTTCTTAGAAATAAGCTAAGGGTTGTTTCAATAGTTAGTTTCAATAGCACTTATCGTGACTTGTTTAAAGAAAGAAAGGAATTACCATTCCTTAAAAACCGTTCTGCATGATGTAAACCCTAGACACACTATCTCATGTATCATTCTCGTTTTTCCTATGTAAATGTATCATTATACTTTTTCAGATGAGGAAACTGAGGCAGAGAGATAAATAGCTTATGACAGAATTACACAAGTGAGGGATCAGGATTTGAACCCAGGTCTAGATAGCTCCAAACTTTAGTTTTTCTGCTACATCATACTAACACCCTGTTAATTTGGGAACCAGAGAGAATGTAACACTTTAAAGGAGAGGACATAAAATCCAGCTGAAATTATCATCTCTCATAGAGACCTGAAAGTTCAATATATAGTCTTTCCTATTAGAGTAGGAAACTGATACCCATTAGTAATGTCAATTTATAGTCAGGGATAATTTAGTAAGTTTCATATAGTTTAATTGTAAATTGTCCAATTGCATCAGCAAATAATTATTAAGCCATGTTAGCAATGAAATAGGTGAAATAAAGATATAAAACTTTGAAAAGAAAGTAAATGGGATATAATAGGCATATGAGTAATATGACCTTGTTGTTCTTTATTTTACCAAGGAAACTGGTTATAATTTAGATTCTTTATAAGAGTCTGTTATATAACTACAGAGTAATATAGAATATAGAAAAACTGAGAATATCCTCATATAAATCTCATTCTTGATTTAATTTTCCACTTGTGCAAATCATATTTTCCAACCATCTCAAATATGTCACCGAGTCTTGTCAAGTCTGCCTACTGAGTATATCTAGAATACATTCCATCATTTCTTTATCTCCACTGCTGCCTACCTATCCAACCTCATCCCCAAGTCCTCTACTCACATTAGCAATATCAATATGCCTGCAATTTCTGGAAAATGCTAGGGAGCTTTATACAATGGTGCTCTCAGTGCTGGAATAGTGTTTCTTCATTCATTCTTTTCATAAAATATGACTCATTTTTCATGTGTGAACCACACCGCAAATCTAACTTTAACTCTCCAGGTAGATTAAATCACTCTTTCCTACCGTGCTAATAATGAACTTTAAATGAAGCTTTATTATTATATCACCTATTGTGTATTTGACTAGTTTTATTATGTGTCAGTCTCTTCTTTCACTCGGTAATTTCACTGTGGGAACAGATACTCAAAAAATCAGTTTAATGAATAAACATACTAATAGTATAACTATAACACATAACTGATGAACTATAGAGAAATACCTTGAAGATTGCAATCGGTGTAATATATAACAAGCAAACTTCCTTTAGTAATTTGAATAGGAAACAACTAATAGAAAATGATAGGAAACAGAATAAGTATTTCATATATATATGTATATATAAACATGGGGTATACATATTTATACTTGCGTATTTTCAGTTAATTTGGTAATATCTAATAGCATTTTTAGAGACACTTCAAGGAAAGACTATAATTTATTACTTGGAAAGCAGCCATCAATTTAATTATATTTTGTTTTATCAAAATTAATTAGATGTACAATCTATAAAAAGCTGTGAAGTTTTATATCCCAAAATAATAGCTACACTATTTAGTTAAATTATTACAGTATAAATTAATTTTGGAAGAAAAGGTTAGGAAAATAAATAAAACTATTTTATCAAAATTGATGGTTTATTATGTATTATAACCTTAAATTCAGCTATAATTAAAAGATGACATTTTGTGTTAGAAGATTTTTCACACACAATGTTTCAAAATATTATCCTAAAGCAACTACTATTAATTAGATGAATTCATAAAGGAGGAAAAAATATGACTTTCAGACCAATATAACATTAAGTAGGATATCTTTAGGGTTAATTTCAAAGCAAAATGACACATCAATCAACCTTACAAATCTTACATGCAACATTTTCAATTTTCCAGAATTATTTATTGATTCTTAGATGATGACTTGGAAATAAATGTTGAAATAGCTCTACAGGAGTTAAAGTGCTTTTTCCATCCCCATGAATTCCAGGCCATGCTTCAGTGGTTCACGTGACTATTAATGCTATACTAGACTAATATATGCTGCAGTAATTAATGTCTATCTAAAACTTGAACTATTAGTAATATGGTAACTAACTTTATGTCTCATATTTTCTGAAAGTGTTTGCATTTCATCTAGTCTATCTTTTTTTCCTATAAGTACAACCATCCTCTCATACCATGAATCCTCGTTTTGGATCAGAATACATAGTAACTGTCACTTATAAAGATGTCAGCATTTCACCTCTGTATGAAAGATGATTGGTAATAGTAGTTGGTTTGGTACTAGTAGTTTAATGGAGCTTCCTGTTTGTAGGTTACTTATACATTAACGCTCTTTGTTTATGTAATATATTCAGCAAGAAATCCAAAGCAGTTTACAAATGTAAATTGCTTAAACTTTACAGTTAAAATTTTAAAATGATTTGAAGATGATTATGGTTTTGGCTCTGGAAATTAAATCAACTACAAATGAGATATTCCACATATAAAACACGTTTGGAGCGCTATTAACAGAGTCATTGCAGGTTTCTCCCCAAGGCTCTTTCTAGTTTCCTGATCTTTAAGCAGCACAGGTGAGTCCTGATCACTTGATACAGAGCCCCACATCTTTGGCTCAATTTTACCATCAAAGAAATAAAGGCAAGCAACATATTAATTTGTTTAAATTAATCCCCACACATTACTTTGTTTTTAAATATTCAAGAATGCTATCCATATTGACTTTGTCTAATTCCTAGTTTAGCAAAATAAAAACAAGAAACTACACTGGAAATTCAACAGCATTTTGAAGTAGGATTTATATTGGGTTGATTTTAGCACTGTTTGAGATATTAGACGTTATTTTTCAAGGGCCTGAGTATTGTTGCAAAGAGACAGAAATATTAGTCATACCTAGCCCATAATAAGTGTTGAAAAATACTTACTGAATCAATGAAAAAAAAGAGAGTCATCTTAAGGAATTTCTCTTGGAATCTACTGACATTTTCTATTTAAACACATACTGAGAATTTGATTATCTTTTAGATGGATTTAAGGTCTTCTAATTGGGAGCAGATCTGCTACAGGATGACTCTTCACTGTTCTGAAGTAGTTCACTCACCTCTTTAGGTGCATCAGCTTCAATGAATTCAGAATAAATCATCTTGGCTTTGGAAGCAATTTTGTCTGCATTTTTCGTTTTCTTAAAGTCTTCACAGGCAAGCCAGAACTCAACATTTTCTTCACTAAACTCTGATTTTAGAAATATTCGAAAAGCATCTAGACCAGCTATAAAATATATGAGAAAAAGTTTTGTATAATAGCATACAGAGTAGTAATATGACCAAAATGAGTACATTGTATAATATGAGCATTTACTGGATATTCAGTGGCAAATATTGATCATTGCATCTAAATGTAATGTATGTTTTAGTTGCTAACTCTAGAAAACTTTATTTTCAATCAGTAATTGTTAACATATATAGAGCATATATATAACATATATAACACATATATAGCACATATATGTTATATGTGCTATATATGTGTTATATATATTATATATGTTATATATTATATGTGTTATATATGCTATATAGCATATATATTATATGTGTTATATATGCTATATATAGCATATATAGCATATATATTATATGTGTTATATATGTTATATATATAGCATATATATTTCTACAATTAGCTTCATTAACAAAGAAAACCTGTACTTTTTTCTTTCTGTATTTGAGAAATCTAGAAGTTATGTTTAGGAGATCTTGATGGTAGTTACTTCACAGGAAGCCCCACGGATTTTGCTTTTAAGATTCATTGCACTACGCTCAGGTCAAATTAATTATGTTATACTCAATTCAGGGTAAGAATATCTTTGTTGCTATAAGTTGGTGCAGAAACAAAGTCTGATGCTAAAGTGTTAAATTGTATTGGTTTGGGCTTAAAGCAAAGAAGGAAGAGCTAGCATTTATTAGTTTTGGATAAATATATAGGCCAACTCGATCTCAAAACCAAGAAAGTAACTGGCAACATATTTGATGTGAATGCTTCTCCCCTTTATGTGGCGATAAGCAACTTTAATTCCATAAGGCAAATACAAATACATAGGGTTTTTCTCCGATGTTGCCTTAAGGAAAACATTGATGCTTCCCATTCTCCCTTGTAGTACCTGTTTATAGTGTTTTCCTCCTCCTCCCAGGTATTATCCTTAGCATGTACTTCTCCAGAAACTCTAGATCCGAAACTGCAATGGACTCACTTATTCACAGGCATGTTTACTTTCACTTGATCATGATATGCTCTTTTAAATGTAATAACAACACACAGGGCTTGCAGTCGGTGATTTCTATGAGTCTCACTTCTTTCCCTTATCTTACTTTCAGTCAAATTTACACTTATATCCCTTGCTCCTAAAGATATTTGATATTGTGACCACTTGTTTAGACCTTTCCTTCTCTATTTTCCTCATCAAAATGGGCCAGGAAACATTTTTCTTTGGCATACCCAGAGCTTATGTGAGAAGGTAAGTGCCTCTAGTTAGACAACAGGTCAGAAAGATCATTATCACATTCCCACTGTGGACAAAACTAAACCAATACATTTAGGTCATGTTATTCAGTGTCACAGTTTGCACCCTTTCGCTGGCTGTCTCTATTTTTGAGAATGTATATCTCTGAGGAGTAAAACATGCCAGCACTTTTTCCACTCAGAGAAATTTGCCTTCCAGAACGTTGGTGGTTTTCTCCTCCACCTGCCAGGGAGGCCCCCTTTGCATGTGCTCCAAGCAGCTGCTCCTTTCCTGCAGGCGGAGAGAGTTAATCCTTCAAGTTCCAAAGTACAGGAGGAATAAGTTTATGGAAAAGCAGGGGATAGGCAAAATTGGCTACAGAAATAGAAAACAATAAGAGAAAAGTGAATGAAAAGAGGTTTAAGTCTGTTGTTTATGGGCTGCTGCCTGCAGAATGCAAAAGTGAAGTTTATAGAAATAAAATAGAAAAGGACTTCCTGGAGCAGAATTAAAGTGTCTAAAAACACTGGATTAAAATAGATTTAACAGATTTTTTTAAAGTTATTTGAAATAAGTTTGCAATAACAAGTCATTGCAAAAGGTTATCAGGTACCAATTAAAATTCTTGGTTGAAATACTGGAGAGTGTGGATGCAGTTAATATATGAGCACTATATAAAAATTCAATTAACTTCACGTTCCTTGCTCAAGAAGTTTCTGTAACACCAATTTAGGTTATAAAAATCCCCTTAGTAACACTCAATTAAAATTTTTCTTGAATTCAGTTCAAACAATGATGAAATTTCAGAGATCTAAACAGAATTTATGCTAAGATGTATTTTTATAGAGAGAATAAAGTGTTCTTTAATAATACAGAAAGAATATTGTAGATTCATGCCTGGCAATATTTTATAGTGTATCATCAAGGCATATGGAGCTTCTCCCTAGGAGGATTTTCTAAATGCATCCCAGAGAGATGGGAAGTTAGAGATCAAGATACAATCATTATTTTCCCTTGCTCTCCACTTTTAATGATGGGCTACTCTCAACTAAAAATTAGTATCTTTCCTCCTCCTGTAGGTTGGTTTAGAACCCAATGGAACAAAATAAACAGCTTAAAAAACTAAACCTGGGGCTACTTATCTATATCTTGAACATGATATTTTGTTGATTTACTCTCCTATACATACAATTTGAATGTTCAAAAGATGCCAAATGATTTTAAAGTAATATGCTACATAAAATTAAACTTATTATCTGAGGGCACTCTCCATAGAATGGAATGCTTACTGGTTAGCATCAACAAAGGGCGTTAAGTGGAATATGTCAGCATTATGGGGTGAAAACTAGGCTAATGCCTATGCTTAGTACATGCAAAGTATGTCTGCAAATCAACAAAAACAACTAGGTAATTTGACAAGTCCTTTAGCTGTTTAAAACATTAAAAAGCATTCATACTATTGCCATTTCTCTGGTATTATGAAAAGCAAACCAAACAACTGTTCGGATGTATATGACTTTTCTATTTCATGTGGGCATGAAATATAAAATCCCAGAGGGTATGCAGAGGAATGAGTTTGCCTTCATCTCACCCTTCCTGCCTCTCCTCTATAGTACTGTTGTATGGACTTCCACCACTCTGGATTCTTCTGAGTCACAACACACAGAGAGATAATTCAGTAAGCCTTTTAGCAAACTTGATCTGTCCCATTGCTTATACACTTAAGGAGAAAGGAAATACACCATTTAACACTTAATAAACAGCAATTCCATATTCACATCTCTTTAATATATGCCCTTAGGTGGATTCTGGAAGTTACGTGGATCCTTTGATGTTTATACTTTCTAATTATTTCTAATTATTTCTAAATTAGTCATTTAGAAATAATATGTTTATAGTATCTAAATTCATCTAAGTCATTCTAACTTTATACATAAATAAGCAGCTGTGAATTCAGCTCTATTGTGTTTTATATTTTTCTAATATTCTAATTTTTATTCTTTATGAATTTAAAATAAAATGCCATTTGATTTATACAAATAATATTATAAACATTTTCTCTCTGTGTTTCACAGTGTCATTTTTCCTCTTTCAGATGAGATAGAATTGCAGATTATTTATAACACAAACAGAAGTTATACCTTTGTAAATGATTATTTTATATGTAAGTTGTGTTAACTAAGATATTTTATTAAAGACTAGGATGTTTTATTTATAATTGGCCAAAATTGCCTTACTGAACCATTCTATCAATTATAAATACATATTCACACATATACATATTAATACACACATATACATTTAAATATGTTTTCATATTCACTGAAAGTGAGAATAACACAGTTGATATAAAGTACTTTAAAATATTTTTTATTTTGACCAACAGTACATGTGAAACAAGTGATTTATTTAAATTTTCAAAATTTTCAACAGTTTGTATGTTTCTTTCAACTTGTACCAAAGGCAGTCGTGATCAAATTATAGTGGGCCAGCTGGGCGCAGTGGCTTATGCCTGTAATCCTAGCACTTTGGGAGGTCAAGGCAGGCAGATCATCTGGGGTCAGAAGTTCGAGACCAGCCTGGCTAATGTGGCGAACACCTGTCTCTACTAAAAATACACATATTAGCTTGGTGTCGTGGCATGCTCCCGTAGTCCCAGCTCCTCGGGAGGCTGAGGCAGGAGAATCCCTTGAACCCGGGAGGCAGAGGTTGCAGTGAGCAGAGATCACACCACTACACTCTACACTCCAGTCTGGGTGGTAAAGCAAGACTCCGTCTCAAAAAAAAAAAAAATACATATATATATGTATGTGTATGTGTGTATACACACACACACACACACAGCGAGCCTAGGGCTGGCACAGTGGCTCACACCTGAATTGAATCCCAGCACTTTGGGATGCTGAGGTGGGTGGATCACCTGAGGTCAGGAGTTTGATACCAGCCTGGCCAACATGGTGAAACCCTGTCTCTACTAAAAATACAAAAATTAGCCGGGTATGGTGGTGCATGTCTGTAATCTCAGCTACTCAGGAGGCTGAGTCAGGAAAATTGCTTGAACCCAGAAGGTGGAGTTTGCAGTGAGCTGAGATCATGCCACTGCACTCCAGCCTGATAGAGAGAGAGAGTGAGACTCTGTATTAAAATAAAAAATAATAAAAAATGTTAAAGTGAGTCTAAGGCAATGGAAAATTTCACTTGCTAGATTGAATTTCCCTTTTGTTTTAATGTACAGAGTTAACCTATAAACTTATTTTAGCCCCAACCTGATTCTATTTAGATTTTGGATTTTTATGAATTTATGATTATTAATAATTTTATACTTCATTGATTAAACTCATACTTTATGATATGTTACCAACTTTCAGAATTTAATAATTTATATTTAATTATTGTATTTTAAGCCTATTATTAGTTAAATCTTACCTTGGTTGGCTAAAAGCGTGTCCATATTTTCAGACCATGTCATTGTTTCCGCAGTTGGTGACCTGTAGAAACAGCATCTAACCTTGACAATAGCATTGTGATCTTTTTCTTCTTTAACCAATAGTAATATTCGAGTTACATGTATTTTGAGTTACATCATTCAAATGAACTTCATGCTGTTAATCAAACAGCCAAATGTCAAAAAATTATACAATGCTATTTACAGTAGTTAGCTATAGTGACATAAAGTGGGATGTAATTTGACATCAGCAAATTATTTATTAATCTAGCTGACAGTCTTAAGAATATTTGAGGCTTCTTAAATTCTAATAAAGGCATAAAAGATATCGGTTCTGTGGATCAATGGTGAATTTCTTTTCAACTATGAGTATATTATTTGTTAATTTATGTGACATTACTCTAGCCAAAAAGTTATGATAGCAATGGTGATGAATAAACTATTTTCTAAATTTTTATAGTGTAAAGATTATGTCATAATTATGCATCTCAAAAGAGTTCAAAAAAGTTTTAAGAATTTCTAGCATGTGATGAACTTGAAAACATTTTGTTCGTAATATTTCAAAACGTCTTTACCTACTCTGAGGCAGCCTTTATTTCTCTTTAGACTGGTATACTTCTAGTTCTGAGCTGATTTATTTAAATCTAGGAATCTGTCAAGACAGAGTAATATCTTTTCCAAAGCAGTCAAAAATTTATAGACTTAAGTCTTCTGAAGAAGGTTACTTTTGGGGATGTGATGTAGAAATCATAAATCAGGTTTAAGATATAAACTTTCTGAGATGCAAATATATCATACATTACTCCTCTTAATAAACAAAGATCCTGATGAAATAAGCCCCTATTCATAGAAAGCATCTGCTGCCCAGAAATAAAACCACGTTGGATTATGTAGCTGTGATGTGCAAATGACTTAGTTATGGAAAGAGAGGGTCCAATTTAAAGTTTGTATTGAAATTACCAATAATAAAATAGAGAAAAACTCATATATCGCAATTCTTATAAAACTTTTGTATTTGCACGGCAAGATAACTAATCTTAAACATACTAGTGTGAAGTGATTCCTATGCTTTTGTATTACTTCCTGTAATTTGCTGCAGTTTTTATAGTTTTTGCTAGGATTGATTGTACTTCCTCTACTGATGCAGTTGTAGTTGCATCTTCAGTTAATAATGGTCATCCTCATTAAGGACACATAGAGAGGACACTGTAGCTAAGAATTCATTTTACTATTTTCCATTACTCACATTTCCAATCTAAAATTTCCTTCTCCTGTTGTAGGCAGCTGACTTTCCTTTCTTCCTTGACTTACTAAATCTTGGGGACACAGATTACCTGTGAAACCATTTGGAAATGGTGTTTTTTTTCATTCAAATAGACACAAAAATTGAGTTGTTCAGTTTCTGTCTTTCATAAATGGAGGTTGAGACACAATGCTAGATTTAATTTTACATTGAAGATATTTTGTGTACTCTATAACCTGTTACTCAAATAAGCTTATGTTATATTTCATATAACTCAAATATTAGAACTTGTAGGAATTCTAAAGTTATACGATCATTTAAAATACACATGCTTAAAAATATTCCTGTTTGTATACTAAAATTTGGCTGCTAGCAGGGTATTCAAATTAAAGCTACTTAGACCTGTGGAACATATGCTAATGAATAGGATAGAGAGGAACCTGGCCATGCAGAATGCCCATTTTGAATGAGGAACAGGCAGCCAGGAAAAACTGAAAAATAAAATCTAGACAAATTCATTCAAAGATGAACATTTATATTCCCATTAGTATGTAAGTCATCTGATGACAGGACTAAATGTTATTTTCTAGCACCAAGAACAGTGTGCCTGGTCTATGAAATATTGAACATATTAACAAATAAATAATGGATGACCAAACCCCAAATATTGACACATATTAAAGCCTTCAATGGAAGAGGGTAAATGGCCTTCAAGATGCTGATAAATTACAGTGATAAAAAGTATTGAAAAGTGTAGCTAAATTGTATTAGCTTCAAAGGCATAGAGTGTTCTGGGAAAGAGAAGATGAAAAATAATGTGAAAACGTCACTGAATCATCATGGACCTCATTCTCAACTCTGAGGTATGTGAGGTTGGAGAGAATAGCTGACATCCATTCTAGAAGGCAGTGTCCTTTAAGGACAGACAGGTTTTACTTAATCCAAAAGCAAAAAGGCATATTTCTTGAAATCTTTTTGGATATAAAGGAGTATTTATAGAATGAAGGTGTTTACATAAATAATAGCTATTTGTATCATCTTCATTAATGTAGAGAAACAGTAAGAGAAAGAAAGCAAAGTGTGGGAGATGGTGTAGAACCAAGGATAAAAGAAAAATTCCTAATGTTTTGAATTACAGAGGGATGCTAAAATGTTACAGATATTTTATAGATAAAGACATGGAATACTATGGATAATAGAATTAGTTATATGGGTATATCCTAGTATTAATCAAGGTCCACAAAATGCTGACATTGTTTTTAGGAGAAAAAAATTGCCCATCGGCTCTGAAGGAGTACCTCTGCTGGTGTGTAGCAATGCCTGGAATACCCTCAGCTCATTCCTTTATAGCCTATTTCTTATCCAGAAGGTTAAATTTTGACTATCTGAGATGTTGAAAGAGTTGGAGGTAACATAGCATTTACTTTTCAGAAATTAGGTGAAGTGTAACTATTTTAAGGAGTAATGCTTGTTTGTTGCCAGTTAAATTTGTAAATTTTGGAGTTTCTTGTAATTCTGTGAAAGAGCAAATTGATGGTATCTATGAATAAACTGAAATACAATATTTATAATAGCACTAAAATGCACAACTATGTATTGGATGTTTACAATGCATACCACATTGTGCTACGCATATCATAGACTTCATTTAATCTTGAAAATAACAGTCTGTTTTATTCCAATATTACCAAAGAGTAAAGAGGGTCAGAGATACAAATAAGTAGTGCAATATTCCACAGACAGTAATGGCCAGAGTTAGAATTGAAACACAAGTTTGTCTGCTTTAACCCAAGTTATTTCATACTTCTTAAATGGATGAGTTAATACATATATATTTGTACTTTATTCATGTTTTGGAACATTTATAATAACTACCTAAAAAGTGTTTTTTTCCTGCAATAGAGATTTATCATATTTCATAGAAATACTATAATTCCTCTAAATAATAGTTAAAATTGTGGTAACTGGCTGCTCAACTGAAAGCTTACACGAAACAGAATTTAAGAATTCATGAACAATATTATTCATGAATTCTTAAAGCTTGTACACTATCAAATAAAAATAGGGCATTTCTTATGGTAGATGGGAGTAAGAAATATCATCTTCTGTTTTTAAAAAATGTAACTATATAAATGTTAAGAAAGAAATCTATTGAATAAAAGTTGGAGAAAAAAGAGGATGGTTGATTTTAAACTCTACTGACTTGGTTGACTTTTACTTGATATGTGCTATCTGAAAAAATGGACAATGGCCACTCCCTCATTTCTTTTTTTCTTCCTTTTATTGAATTTTAACAGCAGTTTTGTCTGGCTCTTTTCATTTCTGTGTTTATTTCCTGTAAAATTGTGATGCATAATCAGAGTAAGTTTTTGTTTGTGTATGATTTGCCATGAAAAGTCACTGTGTATCTGAAGCCAAAATTACACTTAGTATTTCATGCGGTTTTGGCTGATTTCCTTTCTATTTTCTTCATTAAGCAAGTGCCATCAAGGCCAGCAGTACCCATATTATATGTCCAGAGAAGAGCCAGGCCAGATGGGAACTGCGTGAAAGCAACCAGTTATCTTGCTAATTATGCCAGCTAGAACCAGTTGTATTGCATTAAAAAATGTGGAATCCAACAACTTAGCTGTTCACACTCAATTAGCAGTGTGCTGGAGAATGGAAAACTCAAGCAAGGAGTCCATGTGCTCCAGGAAGTGACAGCTGCTTCCTTACCCAGCATTTAATATCCATGTAAAATTTTTTCAATAAACGTTGTGATAATTTTTGCAAGAATCATGTATATGTTATGTCTCTAATTCATCTCATAATTTAAAAAAAACATAAAGTTCAGTGGTCTATCTCCACTTTATAACCTTTCTTTAGCCCACATGAAGAATAAAGTGCAAAAGTAAGCCACAAATTCTTGACATGTTTTCAAAAAGAAGAAATCAGTAGAGAAAGGAGAAAAAATCAGGAAGACAACAATTAGCGTATTTATCATAAATGAAGGAAATAAAACATCGAGACTAAAAGAAGACTCAAGTGTTTCATTTGTACATCTTCTGAGATAAAAATAGCTGGAAACGGCAACTCACTTCACTGGCATTTTTCGTTCCACTGTCTGTCACAGATGATGCCGAGTTTCTCTTTCTGACTGATCTTCAAGCTGAAGGTAATGTGACAGCAGGAACATTACAATTAGTATGCGAATACCTATCCCCTGGGTTACAAATTGGCATTCTTTAAATTCTGCTATTCTCAGCTTTTTTATTTTTGTTATTAACTTTTCATTGGTCAAAACACTTAAACTTCTAAGTAATAAATAACTCTTTGAATAAATGTGACATTTCTCTGAGTCTGTGGCATAATTGAAATAAATTCCATCTGAAAGTTTTTTCTGAAGTTCATATTCATCTGTTTGCAAGACAACTATTGTTCACAGGAGGTTAAACCAATATATAATGATATACATATTATAAATATACATATTTATAATTAATATTCACCTTTAAGTCTTTAATCTGCCTAAGAGATCATTTTGTTTTCCTTTGTTCTTTGATTTTCAGAGAATCTGAGGAGGGCTCTACCTTTAGTATACTTATCTTAAACAACTATATATGTTTAACTATTTAAGCAATTTTATTCATGAACTAAAATGTTCTAATATAAGACATTGCAGTTTTCTTTGAAATTTATGCAGTTTTTATTGCTTAATAACATACATTTCTCTCTTTTAACCATGGATCTCAAGTCATTTTATGCCAATATTTCTTTATGCAATATGATGTTTAATGTAATAAGGCTAATATATTTATCAAAACAAAGACCATATATTGGCAATTTTAATTATAGTTAAAGTTTTATAACTTCATGCTTTGTCAAGCTTTTATCTCAATGTAATACAGTTCTTTGGTAGTAAAATTCAACTGGTATGTGTTTATGACCCTCAATGTCAATTAAAAACTCTTGAAAGATTGACAATTTTTCAGGTGGGAGAAAGAAAGCAGTCAAAAGAAGGTAAAAAATGTTCTTCTCCTTGACTTACCGTGGAAATGCCCTAGTTGATCTATAGAAATGGTTAGTATCAGTGGCCCTGGACTAATGAAACTGAGAGAAGTAGAAGAAATGACCTAAAAAGTCGGTGTATCATTAAGAAGGGAAATCATCAATCAGCACGATCCCTTTTGTTAATTCAAGCACCATTAAGTAATGTTCTTAGGATAAGCAAAAACTGAATCATTAAACATATTTTCACTTTTTGTTTTGCTCAGGGGGGATAATGAAGTATTAATTTTATAATATATGCTTGAAAATAGTACAGTTTGGAAAATACACTGTCAAAATTTAAAGACCCTCTTGGTTAAAAAAAAAAAAAAAGAACCATGCAAAGTCTTTAAGAAATAGGAGCCAGGAATAGGCTTATTTTACATTAAAATGTTAAAACAAAAATTTAAATTTCTATTTTGAGTTTAGTGCAATTGCAAGCATGCTTTTTCTCATAAATCCTTCCACAAACCACAATTATTGTTTAATGTGCACTTTCCATTCCTTTCAATCTTCATTGTTTAGAAAAAACTAATAATTGGATTTTATTTATCAAAATGAAGCCTCATAATACAATGAGCAGGTGAGGAAATAAGCTTTCTTATTAGGCTGAATGATGCTTTATAGCATTCAATGTATCTTGACAAAGGATTGCCATATAGATACTGTTGGGACATCTAAATACCGTCAGCTTTTGGTCCAGTGGGTTTAGGCTCCATTATCAGAACTTATGCACAGTGTAATAAGCTAAGTATACAACCCTCCCTGAAAAGATGTCTGTGTCCTAATGCCTGGAACATGTAAATATATTACTTTATGTGACAAAAGAGAAGCTGATTATCCTAGATTATCCTGGGGGATGGGGTGTAATTATAAGGGACCTTTTAAGAGGGGAGAAAGGAGGGTTAACGTCTAGTAGTAGGATATTTCAGGATGAAAACAAGATGTTGGAGTGATGTGAGAAAGGGGTTAAGAGCCAAGGAACGTAGGTGGCCTCTAGAAGCTGAAAAAGGCAGGGAAAGAGATAGTCTCCTCAAAGACTCCAGAAGCATGCAGCCCTGCCAATATCTTGATTTTGACCCAGTGAGACTGATTTTGGACTTCTGGTCCTGATATGGTTTGCCTGTGTCCCTACCCAAATTTCATCTTGAATTGTAGCTCCCATAATTCTCACGTATTGTGGGAGGTACCTGGAGGGAGATAATTGAATCATGTGGGCGGTTTCCCCCATACTGTTCTTGTAGTAGTGAATAAGTCTCATGAGATCTAATAATTTCATACGGAGTTTCCCCTTTTGGTTGCCTCTTTCTCTTGTCTGCCGCCATGTAAGATGTGCCTTTCAACAGCTGTGATTGTGAGGCCTCCCCAGCCACGTGGAACTGTGAGTCCATTAAACCTCTTTTTCTTTATAAATTACCTAGTCTCAGGTATGTCTTTATAAGCAGCATGAGAACAGACTAATACATGTCCCCTGGACTCTGAGATAATAAATGTATATTGTTTAAGCAAGTAAGTTGGTGGCAGTTTTTTACAACAGCAATAGAAAATGAATACATCTAGGGAACTCCTCTCTTTAAAACCCTCCTTAAGAGAAGGAAGGTAAGTAATAAAATAGGCATAAATTTTGAGACAAGAGTAACAAGTTCATATGCAAATGTGGATTCTTCATCCTGGACAATAACCTTGACCTTTCTGAGTCTCTTTGCTACTGATAGTATTGATAATACCTATCTCACAAAGTTATTTTGTGAAATTGAAAGAAAATATAGCAAGCCAACACATCTTACATAGGTTTATTTATATATGCTTATTTATTTTGTTTCCTTTCTCCTCATTTGACATTCACAGAAACATGGTGAAGATAATAATATGGGAGATCTTATGGACAATACTGTCATGCAATCAATGGGAATTTCTGTGGAAAGATATGAGATTTATTCTGCAATATTTTTAAATACTTGTACAAGAAATCATAGGTGCTGGAGGAATATAAAACTTTAATCAGACAGTATAAAATTGGTCATTCTGGAGAATTAACATGATGAGAGTATGTGTGGAATAATTGGAAGACTGAGAGGCAGATGGGAAAGTTAAAGATCATGTTTAACTCCATAATATATAACAATTATGTACATACATATATAATATAAATATATGTTTTATTTGTCAATTACAAAATTAATTAATTTAAAAAGTAAAGGGGATTTAGCAGAATCATAGAAGGTATTTCTTTTCAGTTTATGGGTTCATGACACAAATTATACTCATAAACCACTTTAGAGCTATAATATTTTTGGGAACTGGACTCTGCAGTCAACTTTCTAGTTTAAAAAGTAACATAGTTTTTTCTCCTTGAAATTGCAAAACAAAGTTTAAGAAAATTTTTTTAAAAAGTATAGTATGCTGGTCCAAACACGAGAGAACAAGGGTGGCTACAGATGGATGGAACAGTAAACATCATTGGTATTACGTCTGTGCAGAGGAGATGGGGTTAAGAGGGTCAAAGGAACAGATTTCAAATCTGGTAGCTTGAAAGAATGGTGATTCCACTCATGATCATGGCAATCCATTAAAAAAACAGGGTTAGGAAAATCAATACATAAAAAAAAGGTTTAGAGATATGTAGAACATTTAGATATGGTTTCCTTAACTTTCCTGTCATAGTAATTTCATAGGCATATTCAAAGACAATATAGAGCATTTAAATCTACATGAGACCCCACTATTAACCTAAGAAACTACTGCTGTTTATACTTCATCATTAAAGGTAGGATAAAAAAATTAATAAGAACTTAATTCTGGTACTTGCATAATTTAAGCAAAAGTATCATATTTTATCTTGATGCAAGTGCTAAACAATGTTCTTTTTTTTTAAAAAAAAATGCCGATTTGATTGTATGACATCCAAGTAAGAATGTCATAAAAGATTTGTGGGAAAAACACCATAACAGTTAAAATAATTGAGGATTTTAACCAATAATAGTTAAAATACTTCAGAAATACGTGTCAGAAACTTTCTGAGCATTATCTCCTTGGTTATTATTCTATGAGATAGTCAATATTTTTATTCATATTTTAAATATGAGGAAACTAAGACTCAAAGAGGCTAAATATCTTGCTTAGGGTTGCATAACTAGAAAGGGGAAGGGCTAAAGCAAGACTGAGTGGGGGCAACTTGGTATTTAGGTGGTAGTGATAGTTAAATCTGTTAGATTTAGTTTAACAGGTGAAATGACAGAGAAAAATGGAGCTGAGAACTGAGGGCTTAAATGTTCATGTATTCAATAAGTATTTAAATACTTTAGTGACTACTGAATGTAGAGTAACACTTATATTTTAGGAACAGAAAAGGAAAATGAGCTAGGGAAGATTTAATGCAATAAGCCAGAGAAAAGTTAAGGCTACAGTGTGGCATGGAATTTCCTTTAAAAACACTGTTCACAGACTTTTGGAAAGAAGAAAGAATGATCAAAAGGTCAGGTGACAAAGAGAGGTTAAGGAGAATGAGGAGCAATAAAATACTGTGAAATTTGTTAAGATGGTCTCTTGCACAGGTCACAGCAAAGGAGATCAACAAGAATCAGATTAGATGAGCACGACAGTTCACCACAAAATCGCACTGATCGTTATTTGCCCATATTATGTTTCTATTCAAATTATAATAGGAAAGGAAAGATTAATTATTTTTTTACAATTGTCTTCTTAGATTTATATAATAGGGTTATATAAGTGGTTTATTTTAGGACTAAATAATTTGAAAGTTAATTTTCTTTTCATAAACAAATGGGAAGAGAAAATTATATTTTCTTGATTCTGCTTTGCCTCAAGTTACTGCTATATGAGGTTCAATTTATAAAGCAATGAGCCTGAGTTGTGTATGGTTCATCAATTATTTCTGAGAGCGGTTCTAATGGAGAAGTTAGAAATGTTTTGAGCAATGGCAATACCACTGAAATGTGTCTGATCTCCCAAAGTGGCTGCTTGGAAATATAACGCTCATTTGGATGTATAGTTCTTAGTATGCTTGTTGACAAATTTGTTGCATTACTTGCTAGTCACACTTCATGATTGTTATGTCTTAAATGTATTTTCTTTGTGTTTTCTTAGAACATGTACTATCATTGATAGTCAAAGAAATATCTGCCTTAGTAAAATAAAATATTTAGAAGTTCAAGATTTCTGATGTAAGTAAAAATGTCTTTTCTTATGTTTTAAAAGTAAATAACATTTTTTCACTTTAGTGAATTCATATACCTCAATGAATTAATTAAAATAGTATGATAGATATAAAAGTATTGTATACATTTAAAAGTCAGCTTTTGGGAGGTAGAGAATGTTTAAATCCACATTGTAATCTCATAGTCATCATCATATTTGTTATCATTTGATCTGTTGCAATTTTCTTTTACTGTAGCTGAATATTTTTAGAACACAAAGATAAATAATCACTTAATTGACCCCTCCCCCTGTGTTTTACATTTCTGTGTTGCCATCGTGTATACACAGCATCCGTTAAACTATTCTCCTGAGCTAACCTTTCCTGTCTTTGCTGACTGGTGAAGACCTCAGTATTCAATGCAAAAATATGCAAGGCAGAGTAGCAGTCATGGGAGATATTAATAAAGCTAAGTAATATAATTTTAAAAAGAGTATTTTAACTGAAATCTATGTACACAATATTTTTTATTTAATAAAAAATAAAAAAGTTATTTTTTTATTAACTTTTTAATAAAAAATTTGATAAGAAATTAGCTCAATGGAATACCACAGTCTGGGTAGTAAAATTCTATTAGGTAATATCACAGTCTGGGTAGTGGAATGTTGACATACTGAGAGGAATGATTCCTTGTAAATTCTAGCATTTCAAAAACGTACAATATTTGAGATGGTACTAAGATTCTCTTAATATTTCGGGGCACTGATGCCTAATAAAAAATGGAAGTAACACAAATTTAAGCTATATGTGTCTATTACATCCAAATACATTTTAAGTATAGCATACAAGATCGTTGACTATTTTATAAGGGAATGGCTCAACATCTTTTATAATATATTACTAGAATAAATTATCAAAGCCATGATATAAATTAAAGTTTATTTAATTATGTTATTGCAACTATATCCACATTTCAACTATGAATAACTTCTACCATCCTATTTATAAACTATTCTGAATAGAAAAGGAAAAAGACAAACAAAATTCTCACCCAGCCAATCACTATTTTTTCCCTCAACTCATAACAAGATTATTTTTATTTATTTTCTTCATGACCAGGTATCTCCCCCGGCATGGTCAGTTTGCTTTCATATCATTTTTTTTTAACCCTTAACTTGTAAACTTCATTTTTTTTTAATGGAGAAGGAAAAATGGCAATTAAAAACTATCCACTCTTTCTTGCAAGTATTATAAAATACCTGGCTTGATTCTTAGGGATATTCAACCATTCATTTTTTTGACAGGTTAAATGGGTTTCTCTTAATATGTAGATTATTGCTGAAATAACTCTCTTTTTAACAGTATAAAGAAGGCAGGAAGTCATCTAATATGCGCACTGCCAGGCATCAGACAGTAACCAGGTCTTGCATTGAATTTATCATTCTTTGACTACTTGAGCCTTTTATTTTATTTTATTTATTTATTTTTTAGATGGGGTTTCAGTCTTGTTGCCCATGCTGAGTGCAATAGCACGATCTCAGCTCACTGCAACCTGCGCCTCCTTGGTTCAAGCGATTCTCCGGCCTCAGCCTTCCAACTAGCTGAGATTACAGGCATCCACCAGAGTGCTCAGCTAATTTTTGTATTTTTATTAGAGATGGGGTTTCACCATGTTGGCTAGGCTGGTCTCGATCTCCTGACCTCAGGTGATCCACCCTCCTCGGTCTCTCAAAGAGCTGGGATTGCAGGCGTGAGCCACTGTGCCCGGCCTGAGCCTTTTGATCTTCTGATTAGTGGTGCTTTAGGCTTGACTTATAGACTGGCTACAGGAAATTCAGAAATGTCATACATATATTAATTTTCAATTAACTGATTTTTAGATAATATGCTTTACACGGAAGAGCATTACGCAAGTTGTTAATCTGGATGCTATTACAACAAATATACTTTGTTCAACAGCAACTAAAAAATTTTTTTGTTGTTGATTTCCCAATGATTACCTAGAAGTCCAAAATGCTAGCCTGGTAGTATATAAACTGTTTTTCTAAAACACAGGTGTTTGTGTTTTTGTTTTCCCTCTCAGACACACTGACTGCCTGGTATTCCCTGAAAGTCCCACTGTTTCATAACTACTTCTGTTCATGAAATTTCTTCTACTTGGAATTCTCTACCCAGTTTTTGTCTTCTGTAATTTCTCAAGGCATAGCTTAAAAATTATACCCTCTTAGAAGCCTTTGGTGTTCTCCAAAGAACCAACCTATCAATAACCTTCCGTTGGTAGCATTGCGATGCTGCTGATTACATATTTTCTACTGCAATATCCAATGTTCCAGTCTTTTTTCTTATCTAAGGTAGAGACACAGTCTTGTACATCTCACAACACATGGTATAGTGCCTAGCACTATATGAATGTCCAGTGAGTATTTGCAAAAAGAATAAATGAAATGGATAGGTAGAAAAACAATACGTAAAACTAAGGAACACACTCAAAAAATGAGTAACCAAAAATGAGGAAGAGGTTCTTAAGTAAATTATTAGTGACAATGATCTCTATTAGTAAGCTGCTATCATGTGCAACACACTGCATACTAGCTTTAAAGAGAGTATCTAATTTCATTCTTATAAAAATTCTAAGATCCTCATTATATATGTGAGAAAATAAGCTCAGAGAATCATTTCCTTCTTCCCAAAAGTTACTTAGTTTAAGTGGTGGAGAAAGGATTCAAACAGGTTTAACTGATTCCAAAATCCATGTTCTTTCACGATTTAAAATTTCAAATTATGTTCATCCTTTGCTGCAACAAAAGAATAAAAGTAGCAAGCTTCATCCTGATGACCCATGAAATGATTTTTTTTAGGGAAGCTAAGCTCTGTGAGAATAATACAATGAACAGGTTTATTCGGGATCATACCTTAATACTGTTATTTGTAGGTCCAGATATGGTGATAAATATTTAATTAGAAGAGTATATGAAATACATGTTAAAAAGAGGATTTGTGCAAACTCATTAGGCAGGCTTTCAAGCTTTGTAATGACATAAGTGACAAGTGGATTATGGTTTATTTTAAAAGACGTGTCAACCCAATCTTGTTGGGGGAAGGGAAAGAAAGTGGAGAAAGAGAAAAAGAGAGATGGAACACATATTCTTTTGCAAATTTAACAAATGATTTCACATGCTTCATGCTGTTTATTCTGTGGGATTGTTCTCTTAGTAGTTAAATATACATACTCATAAATACCACATATTTCCTACTGTCTGTTTAAACTTTTGCAACTCATTCTTTATTTCCAATAGCTCTTTTCTCTTCAGCATCTGTGTTTTTCTGTGTTTTTTGTGTCCCAAGTTTCTTACATATATTACAACACAATTCAGAGGCCTCTTTTTTATTTTATCAAGTTTTTAAGCTAGAAATAGAAACAATGTCCAGTGACCTTCCATGATATAACTTTAAAAGTATATTGTACTCATTGTCCTATGAAAAGATCTAATTCTTCCTGAAATAGAATTCAGTATAGAATCCCAATATAGAATATAATTCAATTCTAAAACAAAAATGGAAGAATGTTAGTAGAAAATACTTCATAAACTGTATTTGATCTTGACTGTAATAGCATATAACTATTTATTATCTCTTCTTTAAAGGTGATAACCTAAAGTGAGCATTAAGATTTTTTACTCATGGTTACATGACAAGTACGCTCTTTAAATTAATAACTGCTGGATGGGGAATTGAAGCTCAGGTCTCTTTAAGTCCAAATATACTTTCTACTACACTTATGTTGAAAAGTTCACTGTCGAGAAACGTAGCCTAGATTAGCAAAGGCATGCAGACCCAAAGACAATGCTATATATACATCTTTTTATAATTATGATGTTTTTAGAGAGCCATATGTTAAAGTAAACTTTTTCCAAAGGATTAATAATTTTGAATTATATTTTAAGTCATAAACATGTTTTTACTTTTTTCAGCTTTTTATTTTGACATAATTATATATTCACAGGCAGATATAAAGACAGAACAGACAGGTTTCAGATCCTTTGCACAGTCTATCCCAGTGGTTGGCATGGTTTGCATCTTATATAATTATAGTGCAGTAACAAACCAGTAGTTGACACTGGGGTATATGTGTTTGCCCTTTGTCATTTTGTCACATTTGTAGATTTACATAACCACCAATGAAGTCAAGACACAGAACTATTCCATTACATCAAAGATCTCCCTTATGTTATGCCCTTATAGTACCTTCTCTGCATCATCCCTAACCCCTGGAAACCACTCATCTCTTTTTTTTTTTTTTTTTTTTTTTTTTTTGTCATTTTGAGAATATTATAAAAATACGATCATACCTTACATGACCTTTTGAGATGGGCTCTTTCCAATCAGCATAGTGTTCTTGTGATTAATCCACATCATTTCGCATGTGACTAGCCCTTGCCTTTTTATTGCTGAGTAGTATGTCATAGTATGTGTGTATCACTGTTAATTTAATCATTCACTACTTAAGGACACTTCTTATTTAGGGGTTTTGATCTATGACACATAGAGCTGCTATGAATAGTGTAGGTGTTTGTATAGACATACATTTTATTTATCTGGATTAAATGTGTAGGATTACAATTGATGGGTCCTATGGTAAGTGTGTGTGTGTGTGTGTGTGTGTGTGTGTGTGTATTTAAGAAACTGCCAAATTATTTTCAGAGACAATCACTTTATATGCTACCTGCAGTGTATGAGAGGTGCACTGTTTCTGCATCCTAATGAGATTTTTGTTTTGTCATTAAAGACATTTTTATCTGTTCTATTACCTAGATCGGCAGTGATAACTCATCTTGGTCTTAATTTTAATTCCCTAACAGCTCGTGATGTTGACCCTTTTTTTCATGTGATATTTGCCATCTATGTGTTCTCTTCAATGAAATGCCTCTTGTATTTTACCTTTTTTCTAATTGTTAGTTGTTATTTTTTTTTAACAGTTGAGGTTTTTTTTTATTTAAAAAAATTTTTTTGAGACTTTTGGATAGGAGGAGAGTATCTTGCTCTGTCACCCAGGCTGGAATGCAGTGGCATGACTGTAGCTCACTGACTGCAGCTTTGAACTGCTGGGCTCAATCCATCTTCCTGCCTCAGCCGCCGGAGTAGCTAGGACTACAGGTGTGAGGCACAGGCGCCATGTCTGGCTAAACTGTTGAGTTTTGAGAATTCTTTATGTATAGTAGATATGAACTCCTTATTAGATATGCAGCTTGCAAATATTACTTCCTAGTATGTGGTTTGCCTTTTCATTCTCTTAGCAGGCTTTTTCACAGAACAAAGGTTTTTAATTTTGGTAAAGTTCAATTTATTGTTGTTTCTTTTATGAATTGTGCTCTTGATGTCATGTCTAATGACTCTTCCCCAGGTCCTAGATCCCAAATACTTTCTCCTGTTATATTCTAACCATTTTAGAGTTACATTTAAATCTATGATTCATTTAAAACTAATTTTTTAAGTATAAGGTGTGAAGTTTCGAACAAGGTTGACTTTTTTGCCTATTGATATTCAATTGACAGTTTGGCAGGGATTAAATTTTAGGCTGAAAAACATTTCCCTTTATAAATTTGATGGTATTGCTCCATTGTCTTTTTCTATCCAATCTTACTGATTACTGATCCCATATAATTCTCATTTCTTTGCATTTTTATTACTGGTTTTATGAGATATTTTGATTCTGTTCCTTTGCATGGTTCTTTTTTCATTTACTGAGTTGATTTATCTTTTAAATATGGAGCTTTATGTTCAGCTCTTGGAATTCTTCTTTCATTATTTTAAAAATAATTTTCTCTTTTCAAGTCTGTTTTCTTTTTCTGTACCTTAAGCTTATCAGTTAGATTATGAACATCCTGAATTTTACTTCTTTATTAGTAATTTTTACCATGGTAAGCCCTCAGTCTAAGATTCTACTTCATTTTCCCTGTTGTATTTTTTTTACATCAAATAATTTCCCCAAAATTAAAAAGGATTTCTTTTTATTTAAGACCGTTCTCTAAATATCTTCATTGTTGTGGATATATGCAATGTTCATTCATTTAATATTACTTTTAAATGGTCTCAAAGGAAAAGAGATAAATACATTTTCAATCTTTTAACAAAAGTAGAGACCCTTGTGTCTAAATTTTAAAAAAATATTTAAAGTAGTAAATGTTTCAAAATGTTTTATTATTTTTCTAACTCATGATTTTCATAATCTTCTAGTATTTTATCAAATACCTGTACCTTAATTTTTAAGTTACTCTCATTGTGCCACTCAATAGGTTTTTAAATATGTCAAATTTTTTGAATAATATGTTTTAAAGTCAATTTAAATTATACACAGTCTTTATTTATTTATTTATTTATTTATTTATTTATTTATTTAGAGACGGAGTCTTGCTCTGTCACCAGGCTGGAGTGCAGTGGCACGATCTGGGCTCACTGCAACCTCCGCCTCCCATGTTCAATCGATTCCCCTGCCTCAGCCTCCCAAGTAGCTGGGACTACAGGCGCCTGCCACCACGCTAATTTTTTGTCTTTTAGTAGAGACGGGATTTCACCATGTTGGCCAGGTTGGTCTCGATCTCCTGACCTCATGATCTGCCTGCCTAGGCCTCCCAAAGTGCTGGGATTATAGGCGTGAGCCACCACACCCAGCCACAGTCATATTTATTTAAAATAGATTTTTTTTTAAAATCAGATCACTTACAACTTTTTGATCCAGAAACGAGGGAGAAAATAAATTCCACAAAATTTGCGTGGCTGCATACAGCCGGACATTAACAAGAATGTAGAGCTATTATTTATTCAGGGATTCATATGTTCCATTATAGTCTTTCTTAAAGTAGTCTAGTTGAGTAGAGCCATAACATATACATCAACCATAGGTTTCAGTTACTACCACATACACAAGCACTGATACAATCTACTACATCATAATCACCTAATTAATTACAAAATACATCTCAGTGCCACATTCCCAACTATTGCACAGATACACATGGTTACCCCTCAGCTCATCAAATTCAAAGTGTTTAAAACTGAATTCATTTTCAATTGTCTATCATTCAATCCTTATTTTTTGTTTTGACTTAACTATACTTGTAGTCACTGAAATTAAAAGCTTCAGAGTTATCATTAACATAACTTCACATGAAGATAATGACTTGTCAGGTCTCATTTAGATATCGCTCACATTTATCTATAACTCTCCAACTCCAGCAACATTCCGTTTGTCCATGCCCTCACTTCTTAGTGATTAATGCGTCTCTTAACTAATTGTACTGTCTCCAGATTGTTCTCCTTCCAATCCATCCTACATATCTTAGAAGAGTCTTACTGAAAAACATAAGATCTCATTTTGTTTTTTTGCCCTAGAATCTTACATGCCTCTGTCATTTACCAAATTTTGTGTAAACCTTTTAAGATGACTTTCAATGTCTGCCAAAATCTGGCTTCAACCTGATTTTCTAGATTTTATTTCGAAGTTTATTGGGTCAAAGTAGCTTCTACTTTAGGAAAATTCTTTCCCCACACCACACTTTTCTTGAATTCTGAACCATTTCATACATCTGTCCATATTTCAAACTCCCTCTGGAATTGATTTAACCTCACCGTCTTTAGTTGTCTAAATTCTACCCATGGATTTCAAAGCTTTGCTTGCATGATTTCCCATCTCTGATCCACAGAACTGGAAATGATCTGTTGCTCCTCTGAACTTTCGTAACACCTATTATATGCTTTATCACTTTCTATCTTGTGTACTTCTAGTGTGTGACCATATCTTATCTCTCCTTTTAGACTTCTTATTCCATAAGGATAAGTTAAATATTTATTCAGCTTTAAATTCTTCTCAACACCTATTACCTCATATATAACAATACCAGTTGATATATAATATTAATAACAATGTTGGACGTAGAAATATAAAATGTTTAAAAATTTATATTTTTCTTCTTCCCTCAACCTTTAGGGAGCTCTTCACCACATGATTTTAGCTTACTATAAACAAGTATAAAAGATGAAATTTATCACTGAATTAGAATACTTCTGTTTAAATCAATAAGCTCATATACCTAATCCTACTTATAATATGGAAAAGGCAAAGAATATCTATTCTGTGTGTGTAGGTTTTTGGGGTTTGGAGCATGATTCAATTTTTTTTTTACTTTTCCCTGCCTATGCTGACCCCCTTTTCTCATCTGTACTATTGCCTGAGGCAGTAAGATTATAGCACAAAGATTTGACTACAGTTTTATATTAATTGCATGACACACCTCATTTGAGAAACATCTCTCTTCTTCATAGAATCTATGAAACTGCCTTAGTACTTTAATTCCTTTGTTACAGATATTCTTTTAAGTTAGAGTAATAGGTCGTTATATGTTTTTATTTTTCTTATGTAAGTCACAATTTACATAGATGCCCCTTTTCTCTTAATAATAAGCAGAGAAATTAAAAGACACTTGCATATTCTTTTCAAAATAGAATCAGAAATAGTCAAATCAGAATCAGAAATAGAAAAAAAATGTAGCTTTGGTAGGCAGAAGTCCTGGTTAATCTCAGAGAAATGGCCTAGGGAAGCAAAATTAACAATGAAATGAAGTATACCTCTGCTCATAATGAAGCTGACATATATCCAAGGAAAAAATGAATAGGTAGTTGAATTTTATGCTCATACTAGTGGGATCAGTTCTGTATATGTTAGATACTCAATATCACTGAATTCACTGAGGTGTTATCAATTTATTTCCAGTTAAACCTGACAATATTGGCCACTAAAATCTACGTAATATCTGTTAATATTAAATTTGTGATTTATTGTATCGAAAAACTTATAACCCACATCATTATGAGTGATATTAACTTCCCTGATTGTCTTCTTGTCATTTAAAAAGAAAAAAAATTCTCATGGGATTGTAAAGTTGATCTATGAGAAATAATTTTAAATTGTATAACATTTTAAAGGAGTAAGTTAATTGAATTTAATCATATTTACCATGTGAATGTATGAGACTTCAATATCAAGCTTTAATATTTCTATACCAATAAATATGATTCTTGTACATAACAGCTATCACCTGCAAATTATTTGTTGATTTCTTTAACCAATCCTCTATTAAACTTAAGGGTTATTTCTCCTTATCCACTATTGTATTACTGTGACGAACATCCTAGTGTACACATATTTTATACATATATAGTTATATCAATGTAAATTCTTAGAAATGAGATTGCTAGATCAAATTTTAAGCAGAATGTGTATTTTGATAATTATTTCCAATCTTCCCATTAGACACACTTTACCTATTTGCTTTTGCAAGTCCTATTTCTCTAAACTTTTTCAACAATGAGTTTTTATCATTAAAAATAAAAGTCTTTGCCATTTTGATTAAAGAAAGTAATATAATGGCCTAGCATAGTTGATGGCCTGTTTTATTAAGATTCTTATCTGAAGCTTGGAAACATTTAACTTAGAAAAACATAATGAACCATAGAGACAAATTATTAATTCAATTACTAAATTATTAATTCAACTACTAAGCACTTACTCTATAAATAATAAAATCAACTAATTTTAGGTAACCATCTGTGTTTAATTTTTATCTCTAATTCTTATACCTCCTATCCTGTAAATTGAGGTGATATATTTTACATATGAAATTAGTATTAATTCTAATAGTCTTGTATCATACGTCTGTCCCTGGCCGCCCTCGGAGCCATGCCCAGCCTGGCATGCATATGTGGTGATTAAGAATACAGTTAAAGGATCAATCACGTGTGTCCATGACAGAGATGCACGCGGCCCTGTATGCCTTCTTTTTTAAAGTTGAGAATATGGTATTCATTTTGCCTATGGGATATTGTTCACATTGCCAATTACATGGATTTTACTCCTCAAAGTAAAGACAACCTTATTGGTTTCCACTTTGATCAGACAATATGACTTAAATATCAGCATTTCATGAGACATTATAAATCTTCAGTTGCTATATGTCAGAGTCTTTATTTTTTGCCATGTTAATTCATTTCTCGTGTCATCATTTCATGCATATAACAGGGGATATAACAGGCTTTCTATATTTACTAAATGCTCGGTTTATTACTTAATAGAACTTTGCTTTCCAGATGGCAAATTCTTGTAAGACTGTTTTTTGTGGCCTCCAGTGGTGGCTCACACCTGTAATCCCAGCACTTTGGAAGGCTGAGGTGGGTGGATCACGTGAGGTCAGGAGTTCAAGACCAGCCTGGCCAACATGGTGAAACCCTGTCTCTACTAAAAATACAAAAATTAGCCGGGTGTGGTGGCACATGCCTGTAATCCCAGCTACTCGGGAGGCTGAGGCAGAAGAATCGCTTGAATTTAGGAGGTGAAGGTTGCAGTGAGCTGAGATCATGACATTGCACTCCAGCCTGGGCAACAAGAG
Source organism: Homo sapiens (assembly GCF_000001405.40). Lineage (NCBI taxonomy): Eukaryota > Metazoa > Chordata > Mammalia > Primates > Hominidae > Homo > Homo sapiens. The sequence continues at coordinate 192,327,503 of NC_000001.11, read as the reverse complement.
TGAACCTCCGTCTCAAAAATAAATAAATAAAAAAATTAAAAAAAAAGAATGTTTTAAAATGCAATAATTTTAAATCTCATAGACTTTTGAGATTTAGCATTATTACTAGATTTTTACTTTCTGGATTTCTTGTATTTATATGATCTGTGTATTTTATAATCTACTCGTTGCTAGAATATTTTGTTGTCACTTCTTTTTTCTGATGCTTTTTCGGAGGCTACTGTCATTTTCCTGAACTCTGCACATTTTATACTGCACTTATTTTCTTTTTTTTCATTGCTCTTTGCCACCTGGTAATACCCATATCCACCTCTTTATTAAGGTCACATGCTGTTTGGGTGACTTGTATAGCTTCTTAGGTCAGTTAAATGTTTAACAATTTCTCTATTATTCGATGCACATTGAAAGAGTTTATGTGCTTCTACACATTCTATTATTATTTTTGAAGGAAATGGCTGACTTCTCTAGGACTCATCGAAAAACCATTTTATTAGAACATAAAGTGGATTTTTCTACCATCCTTGACAATACTCTAAAACAGGATAAAAGAGCCCTAGAACTTTGTGTGTGTTAGAACTTTTTGGAGAGCTCTTTTAACTTTACTATCTATAATATTAGAATTATGCAGATCTGTACATTAATTTATTGGCATTCTTCACCTGCTGTGAACAAGTGGTTAGTACAATTTATGTCCTTCTTGACTTAAATGATAGGCACATAAAGATGCTACTTCCAAAGTTTGGGAAGAATATTGTGTTTGAAAACAGTTGTGTATATTATAAATACAAACTGAGTTAATACATATTGCATGTGAAATACTTTTGTTTCAACAGGACTCTATCATTGTGTGCATTTCCATATTCTAAAACTGAGAAAATTGTATTTCACTTTGCCTATTCAATTTCTTGAATTTTATTCATCAAAATAAAGACAACTTGCTTGGCTTTCATGTTGATTAAGCAATATGACAAACATAATGAGTACACACATAAGTACTTTTCAATTTATAGAATTATTTCCTTATGTCATTCCAAGTTGTTAAAAATAATTTTGAGGTAAATATTATTAACCATATTTTTTAGGTGTGGAATTTATCTTACTTAAGTCATAAAATTAGCAAGCTGTAGAGTTAAAATTTGAACACATTTTGTTTAGCCGTTTTAAGAGAGTCTAATTTGGCTTCTTTCTTTCTCTATCCAGTTCAATAACACTGGATACAACACCATTGTTTATATCATAATGGCTTAATGTATTTTAAAATAACTTTTATATCATTAAGTGGTATAACATAAAAAGAAACATCATTATTTTAAAGTCATGTCAAACCTTTTTACAAATCTAGTGCCACAAAGGCTACCTAGATTTGTTAGTCCATAGAGACAACAGTCATTCCATATTCCTTATATTTAAGTTGTAATATTTGCAGGATCCATAGCTTTCAAGTATCCATTATGAGTCGCAGAAGAGCCATATTTTATCTTAATAATGTAAATAATTAAAATCATTCCTATAGAATACAACTTCTGTTTTTCAAGTTAACATATACAGATCCATATTCTTTCTGCAGGATCTGTCTCCAGTTAATCAAATAAAAATTTTATTAGTATCACAAGATGATTTAAAACTAGAAAAACTCACAAACTGCATCTGACAAAGGTCTAATGCCCAGAATCTATAAGGAACTTAAACAATTCAACAAGCAAAAAACAACCCAATTACAAATTGGGCAAAGGACATGAACAGAGACTGCTCAAAAGAGGACATACATACAGCAAACAAGCATATAAAAAGTGCTCAACATCACTAATCAGAGACATGCAAATCAAACCACTATGAGATGCCATCTCACACCAGTCAGAATGGCTATTATTAAAAGTCAAAAAATAACAGATGTTGGCAAAGTGGCAGAGAAAAGGGAACACTTATACACTGGTGGGAATGTAAATTAGTTCAGCCTCTGTGCCATGCAGTTTGGAGATTTCTCAAAGAACTTAAAACAGAACTACCATTTGACCCAGCAGTCCCATGACTGGATATTTACCCAAAGGAATATATATATTGTTCTACCGAAAAGACACATGCACTCATATATTCATCACATTAGTAAAGATGGGTACTCAACCAAGATGTCCATCAACTGGGTAAAGATAATATGCTACATATATACCATAGAAAACTCCACAGCTATAAAACAAAAACCAAATCATGTCCTTTGCAGCAATGTGGATGCAGCTGGAGGTCATTATCATAAGCAAATTAATTCAGAGACGGAAAGCCAAATACCTCCTGTTCTTAGTTATAAGTGGGAGCTAAACATTGTGTCCATGTGAACACAGATGGGAAAAATAGACACTACCTATTGGGTACTATGCTCACTACGTGAGTGATGAAATCACTTGTACACCAAACCCAAGCATAATGTAATAACCTAAAATAAAAGTTGAAAAACAAAACTAAAATAAGATATTCAAGCCAGATCATCCTTATTCCCAAGGATAGTGGAAATTAAAAACGGAGAGAAGAGGCCAAGATTTAACTCTGTTATCACCAAAAGGATTTTTGTAGCTTATAGAGTCTCACCTTTCCAGCCTTCTCTTAGACTCATCAATTTCCTATTTTTCAATTAAGCTTCTGAATGATTACCATGTTACTAAGACATTTGTTGGCCTGGGATGGACTTTGTAGGCTTACCTTTGATGAGATTCAATATAAAATTTTTTAACATCGAAGTTAGGATAAGTAGTGTTTAATAAATATGAATAAAGCAAATGTAATTTTTTCTATGGATGGAGGTTTTTGAATGCCAAAATTTTATAATTATGTGTGTGTGTGTTTTATAATTATGTGTGTGTGTGAATGCCAAAATTTTATAATTATGTGTGTGTGTGTGCACGCACACACATACACACATTCCTCTGTGAATATTTTTGGTGTTTTATGTGCAGATTTCCAAGTGCAACATAATCATTATTTCAGTTTTTTCCAATGTGAAATTCACATTGAAATGAAATACTCTTCTTAAGGGAACAAGAAGTCATATGCTTGATACTCAGTTCAATTCTACAACTACTGCTATATGAAATTGTTAAGTGCAACTGCTAATGCCTTATCTTGCTGTGAAGCAGATCTCTTTCAATAGAGAAATCTAAACAAGGAAAAATTATATGTTAATGTAGATCAGTAATCAAACTGAAGAGAAAACTTGCCTAATGAGAAAATTGTTTAAATATCTTGTAGAATTTGTCATTCTAGAGCTTTACTAACTTTGTTTCAACCAAAATATAACTAAAGATATTGTTAGTAAAAAGACCCATTGATCCTTTAATATTTAAAGAAAACTCTTTATGCTGTTTTTATGAAGTTATGACTGTAGAGAAATAAACATGTGTCTGTGGAAACAGTTAATAATGATTACATGTGTATTATTTCTTTCTATATGTAGCTATATATTTGCTTTTCTCTATTAACTGTGGTATTTCTTAGGGATGAACAATGAAACATGATGTAAACATTTACATGAGGCAAAATTAGTTTTTTAACAATCAGGTTTTTTTTCCTTACAAACAACTTTTTTTGAATACATTTCTTAGCATAATACTTGAATCTGTCTAAGGAATAGCCTGATTTATAATCTCTGGGCTGTGTATTTATATGATTTGGAACTTTAGTTTTTATTCATTTCTGAACCTATGCATTCTACTTGGATCATCTTAATAACTTTTTAAGTAATCTTCAGGAAATTTATCCACATCACTTTCAGGCTGATGGTTGTCCAGTCTTCACCTGCAGTTCAACCCTTCTTCTGAGCTTATTATCATTTCCATTGCCACTTAAAATCTCCATAAGCGTCTAAGCATCTATATGCTCATCATCTTTGCCCTCTATCCACATGTCTCCTTCTATAACTTTTTTTCCCAGTCAATTTTTCAATCATCTACTCAGTGACAAGCAAACCTGGGAGTCATTTTTCATTCTTCCCTCACTCTTGCCATTATCTATTTTCTTCATGTTATATACTTTCTTCATATTTCCTGATTTATTCATTTCAGTTTCTCTTTACTTTCACTAGTCTATCACAACTTTTGCCTAACGTGCCTGCAACAGAGCCGTAAGTGCTCACCTGGCAACTTCTCTTTCCTTTCTAAAGGCCATACTCCATAATGCAACAGGATTCATCTCTCTGAAAAGCAAATCTGAGATTATGTAGTTGCCTGAGCAGATGCCATGCAAATAAATGGAATTTCCTTCACAGCCAACCTTTATGCAAAGGCAGAAAGAGGCAACTGCGTTTGTGGGGTAAAACAAGGAGTGACTACACTTTCTTCATCTCAAACTTCTCTTGTTGCAAAACTAACACTGTATCTGCAATTTCCATCTTCCTCATCCTTTGTGTCAATACAATGAAGTCTCTTTTAAAAACACAACACTTATTTTTTAAATAAACTATTTTGGAATAGTTTTAGTCTTACAGACAAGTTGCAAAGATGATATAAAATCCAGATAGATGCTTCATCCATCCCCGCCCCCTTAATATTTTACATCATCATGACAGGTTTTTAAAAACAGAAGTCAACAGTGGTATATTACTGATATTTAAACTCTGAAATTTATTCAGATTTCATCTGGTTTCCCACTGATTTCCTCTTTCTACTTCAGAATCCAATCCAGAGTATCAGGGAATTTAAATAATGCTTATTTTGACAGAGTAAACTTTTTGCAGTTATTAGAATCTTAGTTTAAGACAGTTTAAGACACCCTTTTAGAAGGGTGAACAAATAGGACAATAGGCAGTGAAATCTGGGGAGATGGTGTTGAGTTGTTTGAGTGGTGTGCTCTAGCGTGGGATCCTGGCTGGAAGTGTCTGGCGTTAGTGGAAGAACTTGGGAAACCAGGTAATGTCATGAGGAGATTTGATTTAGAAGATACAAATTAAGGGGATTGTTAGAACACAAAATGGGTTATTAGAAACAAACATTTCAGTTGTATGTTTGAGAATGTTTATTGATTACATAGAAATGGATAAAATCGTGAGTCCAGCCTCAGAATGGGAAAACAATTGTGGAAGTAAATGAAAGCTTATGTGCCATTCATTAGAACTGTGAATTTGTAAATTTCTTCCTAAGAGAGCCTTCCTGTGGCATTTGATGGGCCTGTTGGTCTGGGAGTGTGAAAAAATATTCTGAGGTTTGGAACAATTAATTTGATTGATTAGATTGATCCTTTCCATGATAGGATTTTTTTTTCTGCTGACACAAAATTTATAATGAACTTTAGATATTTGAATGTCATGCTTCTATATTCAAATGAATCTTCTCAGGTTCTAAAGGAACTGAGTATACCTTTCTTGTGAAGTCATGTACATTCCTGAGGGGAAAGACTGGGTAGTTGTCAATTTCCCTGGAAGTTATCAGCTGCAGTCCCCTGCAAGGGGCAGGATATTAGATTAGCCGTTCCACTTGTAATTTCCTGGGAACATATTGTGTGTTTAAAAGATATTATAAGAAAAATCTGCATCAAATTACTTTTTAAAAATGAGACTTGCAGAAGATTTACTTGCTATAATCTCTGTGTGTGTGTTGGGGAAAATTGTGGGTGTGTGTTTGTGTTTTTAGCTGTTTTTTATTTTTTAGTCAAAGTTTTCAATTCTAATATAAGGACCTACTCAAAATGAAAGATTTATTTCAAGTATTAAAAATAAAAACAGACTCAAATATCATATTCTCTTCAGATCAGGGCTCTTTTTAATACATCAAAGAGTGAGTATGTCAGATTCATGAGAAAATAATTTGATTTATACTAATTGTACATGCATATGGTACATCTTTTAACTTATGCTCATATTATAAATATACAAATGATTAATATAAGAGTAAAAATGGCATTAAAATAAAATCAATAAGAATTAGCTCCTTTTTATGAAGTGTCAATAACTTTTTAATTTATTTACTTTTGTAGTGTTTGGTACCTAAAGTTATAATCAGAAAACAGCAAGGATCAGGATGATTTTATATTAGAGTTAGATTTCATCAATATGCCTGGGGATTAGAAAATCCCTGAGTTATAAAACTTTCCACCAGTTCCAATGAAAATTCAGCCCTAATGTCAAATCATTTTAAGTTTATTAGGCACTTATCATAACACTAATTATAAATTAGATCATTTTATATTCTTGAGATTGAGAAAAGTAATTAAATTGGTGGTTTCATTAGTTGATGGACAGTTTTAAAGAGTATTTCTTCTCGAAAATCAAGGTGTATTATTCTTTCTGTTTCTAAAGAAGTGCTTACTAGAAAAAATGGGGTCGAATAGAAATCTAAATCTAACAGAAAAGGGTAATTTTGTCATGAATATTGACTTAATTTTATTAATAGCTTTTAATATACATATTTTAGAGACATGAAGTCTTAGCTTTAGAATTTAAATATTAGGATATTTCTTCATTAAACTGAAAATTCAAATTCAAAATAGATATTCAATTAGATGAATTAAAAATATAGAGTCATGGTAATATTACCTGTTATACAGTCAATCCTTTAAAAATATGCTAATTGCAAGGTTTATAAATGATATGGGGAGTCAAAGTTTTGTAAATCCTTAAGCATTATAATTAGTGTTTAGAATCTTTTTTTGTTGTTGCTGCCAGACATAAAAATGTACAAATGTTTAACTTAAGGTCAGCCAAGCTGAAAAAATATAAAAATATTTTTAGTCAGTTAGCTAATTCTAAATTTGCTTTGTTTCTTCTCATGTTATTTCTTATTCTCTTTTTTTCTGAAACTGCTAATGTAGCAGTAGGAAGTTAAATTAATAATATAGTAAATCATAAAAGTCATGTTCAAGCAAGGTTTTAGCTTTATCACTGGTAGCCCTGCTTTAGATTGAATGTATTTTCTTACCAGGAAATTCTGGAGAGGTTATTACAACACATCCTCACACATACACATACACATACACATACACATACACATACACATACATATACACATACACATACACATACACATTCCTTTACATTTTACATGGTCTGTGCTAGAGGATTAGCATTTATTGAGTTTCTACTGTATGAGGTGCTCTGATTCTCAACCTCCCATGCCACATTTGTGATGTTGAACATCTGTGTGCATGTATTCTTGCAAAATGTGTGTTGCAATTTTTATGCAAATATTTTAATTTAAACAAATGTCATTGTGTGATATATTTCATTTTGCTTCTTTTTAACTTTTAAGTTCAGGGGTACAAGTGCAGGTATGTTAGATAGTTGAACTTATGTCATGGGGGTTTGTTGAACAGATTATTTCACCCAGATATTAAGCCTAGTACCCATTAGCTATTTTTCCTGACCCTCTTCCTCCTCCCACCCTCGATTCTCTGAAAGCCCCAGTGTGTGTTGTTACCCTTCTATTTCTTAATGTCTTTCATCTGGTATTGCGGTTTTAAAAAGATCTATCTGTATTGCTGTGTGACCTTTGCTTCTAATTGCTATAAAATACTTCACTGTGTGGATCCATCATCTTTTCCCTTTACCCAAAGGCTTCTGACTTCCAGCAACCACAGGTAAAACACAATTGAGTATCCTTCTTCAGCTCCCCTTTGTCACCATTTTTAGATGAAGAAACAGAGGCATGGAGAGTTGAATAATCTTATCAGAATTGCACAGCTGGGATTAGAACCAGTCTAATGGCAGGCACATAGAGGAAAGAGAACCATCAGTTATTAAACATCTACTATGTATCACACATTGTAGCAGAAGTTCTATGTCAAAAAATCAATTTTATCCACTTAGGTGCCTTATGTAGTAGCTAAAATGACTCAAAAAATCAGAAAAGTAGCCTGAATAATCACAATTGATAACTGGCAGATTCAGAAGTTTACTTAATACTGGTCATCCCTTAAAGCTCATCTTGTTTTTTTAATTAACCAGTGTCTCATTTCAATGAATGTATTATTTTTAAAAAATATGGAGGTAAGGTTGCTTGATTACTCAGGTATTTCTCTCATTTTGGAAAATTGCATACATAGCCTTAGCAAAGAGCATGTAAAATTCTTTCCAAATATCAATTTTTATTTGCTTGTTTGTTTTCTTATTTTTGGATAACCTATAGCAGCAGAAGAAAATTATATATATGTACACACATACATATAGATTGGAGGATTAATTTTCCTAGAAAACAAACATTTTGAAACAACTGATATAAAAAAAAGTTGGAAGGGATTCTCATGTTAAAAGCTCATTGGATTATTTTTTGGATTTTTAGAGAAAGGGTTCTGTTCTCTCACCCAGTCTGTAGCGCAGTGGTGCAATCATAGCTCACTGCAGCCTTGAACTCCTGAACTCAAGTGACACTTCCCTCCTCAGCCTCCCAAGTAGCTAGGATTACAAGTGTGGACCACCACACCACACCAGGCTAATTTTTAAATTATTTTTATAGAGATGGGGGTGCAGAGGGGACCTTGCTAATTTTCCCGGACTGGTCTTGAATTTCTAGCCTCAAGCAATCCTCCCATTCTGGCCTCCCCAAGTGCTAGAACTACAGGCATGAGCCACTCTACCCACTCTTGAACTCTTAAAATGGATTTTATTCTGCCCTTCTTTTTGTTTATTGATTTACAGATAGACACCGTGACTACATAAAATTATTCCCATCTTTCATTTATATCTAAGTAAAAATTACCAGCTGGTTTTTATGGTGACAATGACATGGATCAGCAATAGTTCTTGGAAGTGTTATTTTTCAAAAAATTGTTGAATAGAAAGGGTTTTTTATTCTTTCAATAAACTTTTTTTCCTCCAAGCTTGAGCAATGATGAGTATGAAGATTAATCAATATCATTTTAAGTACTAGAATGGCTCCTGAATGATAAAACCCATCAATAAAGACAGACTAAGCCAAAATTAAGAAGTAAATGATATCTGACCTAGGAATTTCTCCTTTAGATACGACATTCTCCCTGTTCTTCTGCTGGAAGATAAATCTTGGGCGAGGACAACATCGCATAAAGGCCTGAACAGAGAGTTTAGCTCAGCGTAAAACTTCTGGCAGATTTTGCTGTTCTGGGAGGGATAGAGTCTAGCCCCAAGGAGGGGGAATGTTAGAGGCAGTCTGATGGGGTGAGATCCTGTGATGTCCTTCAAATCAAACCAGAGGAGATTGCTTTACTTCTTTCCCAATTGCACAGAGGCAATTAGCAGAAGTAATTAATAGTGTTACTTCGAGAATGCTGTGGCTGCTTGATTTATTTTCAAATCAAATAGAAAATTATAGTGTCCCCTTAACAAATTCACAGGTGTACTTGACATTTCTAAGTTTAATGACTAGGTTTTTTTTAGATAATGCAATATTTTGACATTGTCTAAAAATAACAGGATATTGATTTCTTAAAAAGGCAATTATACGATGAATATATTAATATTTACTAATATTTTAGACTATAATACATTTTAGAAAGCAGGAGAAAGAGTTGCCAGCATTTGGTGTCATAAGTTTTAGGGCATGGTACAAACCACTAATATGTTATACATATACTATAATACATGTACTAGTAAATGCCAAAACAAAGTAACAACCATTTCATCTTGAGTTGTGAATGCACATGTTGACTAAAAATTTTATGAAATTACAAACTAAAATTATATAAACTAATTTTAAAGAACTTAATATAAGTTATAAGTTAATAAGACTTTACTTAGAGTGACATGAAGATGCATTTTTCAAAATTATTTTAAAAATAAAATTTGAAGAATAGTGAAAGTACTAACTGAAATATATCTTTAAAACTGTAAACATTGTTGAAGTAGTGCTTTTATCCTATCAAGTTCTACTCAAGTCATTTAACCATATATAAGTAAAGACATAAAAATAGTAATATTATATTTAATGTGCTTTTCTATGCTGTATGTAACATCTTTCTCACATTTTCTTTATTTATATAATTCATTACTTTCAGGTATGGTAATTGGCCACCTGCTGTGTGTCCTTGAGAAAGATGTTATTATTACTTGTTCTAGTTGCTTTTCCAAAAGGATATAAGAAAAGTATGAGATAGATTTTTTTTTTTTACATTTCTTCTAGCTTTAAAATTCTATGGGTTCTATAATCCTATCTCTTGTCTTTTTCTCTCCCCTCCCGTGGAGTCTGATATCCTTTGTTCATCTTTTTTACAAATTTGAAGCAGACTAGTTGGCAAAGTGTCAGTTCTTTGACAATCTGTGATAATATATTATTTTCTGCAAATGTTACCAAATGAATAGCTAGTAAAATTTTTTCTTTTTATGATTCCAAACTCGCTGAGTTTGATGAAAAGAATCTAATAGTTGGCATTTTTATCTCTAAATGTCATCAGTTTAATCTTTGTAACAAGTTCATTTATATAATAAACCTTAAATCTCTTTATACTCACACAAATGCAATGCAGGGGAAATCACTGTCCTTGCTCTCTTGATTCCTTCTTTGTTGACAGGATAGATGAGAAAATCTGTGCTTCTTTCAGATGAATTGTTTTCCAAGTGGTAACTTTTCTATATTAACATACTCTCTACCATATGTTTTTCTTTTCTACACAATCTTCATATAACCACATTATTTTTGAGGTTAAGTTTAATATCTAAACACCATTGAATCCATTCCATAATCAAGATATTTAGATTGTAGTTAGTTTTAATTTGAAGAATTTTGGTGGTGTTTCTATTAAATACATAATAAATGTAACAGTAACTCCGACTATCTGAGTCTCTTTTTTTAATGACCTGGTACCTATTTGTGTCAGTGTCCTAAAATCTTCACATTGTGAAGTCACATACATGTGGTATGGAAATTATTTTTTCAGTCAAAAATATGTAAATCTTTACTTTGCAATTGTACTCTGATAAAGTAGCTCAGTTTGAGGGAAAAAAATAAAACAAGCCTTTGTTTTTCTTCTGAAGGCAGTATTTGCATGGCTTTCATATGGTATACATGTTTGCATAGGAAATTTGTCTTTAGTTTCGCATCTGCCCAGATTATAGCCTTTAGTTTCAATGATTCAAAGCTTATGTGGAAGACACTTAAAATACTTAAAAGCTACATACTATTATTTTATGATTTCAGCTAATCAAGGCGCAACTTTTAATGTATGAACAACATCTTTATCAAGTCAAGCAGATAATGAAGGGAAATTATCAAACTATGCTCTCTTTTTTAAAGTAATGGGCCTAAAATTGGACAGATATACTTGAAGTGGCGAAGGAGGAAAATATTATACAACCACTTCATCTGTCCAGATTATTTGAGCCTTTCCTGTATCAATGAAACATCAGCTGTTGCGGTGAGAGCATTTTAATGCACATCCTATTTTACGATCTAGATGCATTAATGATTAATTTATTGAATATGTTTTGTTTTCTATGCTGTAACACTGGCATATCAAAAACTTCAATAGATTGTCACATTTTAACTCTGGACCTTTGGGTTTTAGTGCAAATAATTAACTCTTTACTACTCACATAGCCTCAAATGTGTTTAAGTATTATTACAGGGAGAAATATATTGCTTTACTAAGTAGTTTTACTTGATATTTTACTAAACTCCGTTAAATATATGCTATGTATGTAGTATTTGAAATGTGATACATCTATAAAGGAAAATATTTAGCATAATTGTTAGCTTTACCCAAACAATTTTGAAAGTTAGGTTATTTATTTTCTTTTTGTCTCAGTGTGTATACTTAATGTCCCTCTTGTGCTACACACAATGACTGAAGAAATGTAAGCTTCATGAGAAGAAACATTCACATAGAAATCTTGATCAATTTCTCAGAATTAATAAATCAAAGGGAAATGCTGATACTGTGTAATAAATTTGGCCATATGTAACAGACTAGCTTTCACTAATACAGATCTGTGCCTTCTAATGATGTTACAGTCAATAATGAACCACATAGATGATGATGATCCTGTAAGATTATAGTCCTTTCCAATCTTACTATGCCTTTTCTATGTTTAGATATACAAGTACTTGCCTACAGTATTCAGGACAGTAGCATGGTGTACAGGCTTACAGCCTAGGAGCAATAGGCTATGCCACTTAGGTTTGTAAGTTCATTCTATGATGTTCATACATTGAAATCACCTAATGACATATTTATCAGAATGTATCCCTTTTGTTAATTGATACATGACTGTATAAGTATGCCATTTCATTAAGCAAAACAAAACAAAAACAAAATGGGGCACTAGATAGCTCAGGGAAAAAAATAGAAAACAAATCCTCTATAGAATAATAGCTCTTACCTCTTAAGTTCTCTGTAATGATTTTGATTTCATTTTGAAATGCATATTGAACGTAATGAATTATTTTAATTCTGATTAGAGGTAATGACTTACTTTTAAGTCTGATTTATTTTTAACCTATGAGTAGTGGTAGTCTCATCCAAGTAAACAAATTTTATACTACTTTTTTAACTCTCAATTTACGGTAATTGTTTAGAGAAAATGTTTAGAGAAATGACAAATGGGGATGTGCTTTGGCTACTTTAGTCAAAGTCTGAGTTCAGCTACACACTATGTACATTCTTGTGCAAGATAACCTTTAAAAACCTTTATTTTTCTACCAGTAATATATAGAAAATAGGATTGAGTTCTTATACCTATTATAGTAAGAATTAAGTGAGGTACCATCTAAGCATTTATCAAAGTGATCACTACATGGTAAACATTAACACATGTTAGCTATTACTGCTAAGGAAACTATTTTAATACTTAAATTTCATATGACCATAAAAATAAAATTTAGAAGATGATTTTTAATCATTATTGAAAAAAGAAAATACATTTAAAATACACAATCACTTCTCAGCCTTTTGGCTAAGGTCAAGTGTAAAAGGGACACAAATGTAGTTTAGAGCAAATTTAAGTGACGTAGTTAAAAAAAGGAGGTAATCACAGTATGATAATCAAGTCAGATTATTTCACTATTACAAAGAAAAAGTGAAGTTACAGAGAGAAGTAGTAAGACCTTAGTAACCTAAAGCCTACTAGCTGGCCTGTGGCAAAGTTTTGAAATAGAAATGGTGAATTCTGAGCACAGGGTTAGAAAGAAAGGTCACCTGAGTGATAGAATTATGCATATTTTCTACAGATGCAGGATTCTAAAAATGTGATTTACAGAGTTTATAGGAAAGGCAGTCAAGGAAGAAAGAACTAAAGATACAGATTGAGGTTTCAACTGAATCATAGTTTAAGCAGGGCTATGGGTGTTGTGAGAGAAATTTTAAGGATGAATGTGGTAATATATGTGAAACACTCTCTGTTCCCTGGAAGAAAGGTTCTATAAAAACGTAACATATTGCTGATTCTTAGAATGAATGGTGAAGGTTGAAAGATTTTCAGATGTAGGGAAAGGGCACATTCACAATCCAGTGAGAGGCAAAAGATATTGGAAATGGAAGGTCAGAAACAAGAAACGAAAAATAAAATTTGAATGCTTCTTACAAGACTACACACACATGCACATATACACTACAGTTTTAAACAATTATTTGCATTGGAAATACTCTGTAAACTAAGTTTATTGATTTCTAAGATAGCTTCACTTAGAATTGAATAATTTAAGCACATAAAGTTAAAGTGAATATAGTGGTTGGGGTGAGGAAAGAATGAATTTGGATTGTCTAAGGAAACAATATCATAAAAGAAAAGGTATAATAAAAACAGTAAAGAGATAGATTTTTGAATAAAAATTATTTTGCCAAGAAGTTCAAGAAAATGTTTTGAAGGATAGAATTTAGAACTGTTCTAAGAAGTTCTGTATATGGTAGATAAAGCAATAGCTTGCCAGAAGATATATGGCCAATTTTAGATATATAAAAAGAGTTGGAGGAAATACAAGGAAATTAGAGTGTGCCACCCAGAGTGTCTCATGTGGAGCTGCTGATTGCATGTCCGGATTTCATAACTGATGCAGAGGTAGCTATCAGTTAACTTAGCCAACAGACACTTTTGAAATAAATCAAGCATCCAAATTACAAACAGTATTGAAATATGTTATTGAAGGTCTATACCTCCTTAGTGATTTAAATCTGGATATATTATTGATGCTCTAATTAGAATGTCATATCATATTTTTTCTAAGTAGTCTTATCAATTAGAATTTTATAGTTAAATGGGGATCTAATAATTAATGTCTTATGACTTGAGGAAGAGGCTTTGGAAAACATATTTATCAAATGCTCATGGGAAACAATTCAATACTATAGTGTTACAATAAATTCAAATCGTGTGTTTTGTAATGTATCTGAAATATACTTGAAAAGATAATGGACTTTTCCATTTGTAACACCCATGGCCCTAAAAATCTTATGAAAGAGTAATTCAGTGTCTTTGAGTTCAGAATGTTACAAGATTCTTTTATTATATTAACTTATCACATATGTAAGTGCAAAAAAGTAAAGAATAATCTCAGGCTTTCCCATTATGGTTTATCTTTACTTGCAGAGAGGACATAATTTTGGCTTTGTTAACAGTCTTTTTCTTTTCCCCTTCTTTTTCTTTCATTTCCCCCTTCCATTCACTTATCAAACCTATTTGATTCTACTTTCAAAATATAATCATGTCTTTACGCACTCACCTCTATCTTCATTATATTGATTCAAGTCTAAACTGCCTCTTCCCTGGATTACTACAGTTGTCTCTGAGCTACCTCTGTGCTTTTTGGGTTTTAATCCTGCAGTGTATTCTCAGTGTGGCCAATTGGGGGGTACTTTTAAAATGCAAGTCAGATCATATCACTCCTCAACTCACACCTTCCCCTGGCTTTACATCTTGCTCAGAGTTAAAGCCGTGTCAGCTGGGCACGGGCTCACACCGGTAATCCCAGCACTTTGGGAGGCCGAGGCGGGTGGATCACTTGAGGTCAGGAGTTTGAGACCAGCCTGGCCAACATGGTGAAACCCTTTCTCTACTAAAAATGCAAAAAAAAATTAGCCGAGTGTAGTGGCGGGCACCTGTAATCCCAGCCACCAGCTACTGAGGCAGGACAATTGCTTGAACCTGTGAGGTGGAGGTTGCAGTGACCCGAGATCATGCCACTGCACTCCAGCCTGGGCAGCAGAGTGAGACTCCATCTAAAAAAAAAAAACAAAAAACAAAAAACAAAAAACAACATGTCCTGGAGTGGCCTGAGCATCCCTACAGAATATGTCCCCATCCACCTCGCTGATACGGTTTCCCATTACACAACTATTTGCTTGCTCCACTCTTGTCACATTGGTCTACTTGCTGCCTTCCTACCTGTCCAAGCACCCTTATTCCTAAGCATCTTTACACTTGCTTTTCCTTCTTTCTGAGTGTTCCTTCCCCAGTTAGCTATTCCCATGGCTTACTACTGCACCTGATTTACTTAAATGTCAAATGAAGGCTTCTCTGACCAGTACACTTAACATGGCTAACACACTGCAGCTTCTCCTTCCTAATTGTTTCTTCCCCCTTCCCTAGTTTATTTTATCCATAACATATAATAGCACTTATTACCAACTGGTATACTATACCATTTATTTTGTTTTTCTGTTTATTTTCTCTCTTACTACTTGACTACTTGAATGGAAAACTCCAGGTAAGCTTAGATTTTTGTTTGTATTGTTTACTTTTGTATCATAGCACCTAAAACAGTTTACAGCATGTAGAGATTCTTAAAAATATTTATTAAATGTATAAATGAAATATGTTACCCCCAGAAGCTGGCTAATGTAATGGCACCTTGATAATGCATTATTGTCTAGAAGTATTAAAATACTGGAGAGAGGTCACTAAATAAAAAGTCAAGGAAGCAGTACTCAGTGGGAGAGGGAAGTTAGGGAGAAAGGATGGCATAGGGGAATGAAAAGCCTGTGGATATTCATGAAAAAATGAAACTATGCCTGTATCAAAATATCTCATGTATTCTATAAATATATACATCTACTATGTTCCCACAAAAAATCAAAAAAAAAAAACTTATCTGCTTTCATAAGTTAACCAAACCCTGCCTGCCTACTTTTGCCAATAGATGTCAGTGGTTGACCATATGAGTGAAATTATTGCAGATACACTTATTTTATGCCACTCTTAAAAGGCTAGTCTTTAAGGAGTGTCTCATTTCTTAAATGATCCTTTTTATTATTTTACCTTGAGAAGTAACATATATTATGACATGATAGAGTTGACAAGACGAAATGTTAATAGATTCCCTAATATACTGAAACTATTGAAATTTAAGGGCTATAAGAAGTATTCAAATTAAAATGACTTTTTTAAATGGTTGCTTTGTTTATACAGATTTATGTATATTCCTCCAACCATGCAATTTTCAAAGTGCAAAAGAAATTGTTCGTACATACAGTGTTTTATTCACATTCATGCTTGCTATGGAGATTTTTATCCAGGTTTCAATCAATTTAGTTTAATCCAGTACAATTCCCAGGCAGTTTGAAAAGAGTTTTATTTTTTAAATTATAAATGGTAATTGAGTAGTCATCATCTTATATCTTTTAAGAATGATTGTGAACATTGATTTTAACGTAAATATTCTCGTTCCAAAGTCCTAAGTACCTCCAATGAAATACAATCGTTTTCCATTTTTTGTTCTACTACTTAATAATTTTTATCAATGTTTAATTCCTTAATTGTATCTTTCAGAATTAAAATTAATGTTAAAAATAAACAATATATGTTATATTTACATGGATTTATAGTTTCAAAAATACCTGCCAACAGGTGTTTAAAAATTTCAAGAATGATATCATGTTTCTCTTCTTTGGTCAGTGGGAAATTCAGAGGCCTCTGAGGTATTTAAAAATTCTCCTGATCATGATTATTTTTTCTAGAAAATTGCTGTTACTATGTTGGACAAAATAATGAGGCAAAATATTTTGATAAGGGTTTTATTGAACAGAACTAAAATGTGTGCCATCATTTATTGATTAATTCAACATATATTTATTGAGCTCCTACTAGAGATCATTAATTTAAGATATCTTCTTTTTTTTTTTTACTATGGCTATCTGTTGCCATGTAAAGAAGGTTTTTTTTTCTCTTTTTCTATGTATAAAGTAATTGAAAAAAATAAATTCAACTGGGTGTGGTGATCCCAGCACTTTGGGAGGCCAAGGTGGGAGGATTGCATTGACCCAGGAGTTTGAGACTAGCCTGGGCAACAAAGTGAAATACCATCTCTACAACAATTTAAAAATTACTCCAGTGTGGTGGCAAGCACCTGTAGTCCCAGCTACTCAGGAGGCTGTAGTGGAAGTTTCACTCGAGCCTGAGAGACTGAGCTTGCAATGAGCCGAGGTCATGTCACTGCACTCCAGCCTGGGCAACAGAGAAAGATTCTGTCTCAAATAAATAAATAAATAAATAAAATAAAACTAATTGGGTGAAAGGACATACAAGACACAGAGTTGGAGAAAATATTTGCAATACTTAATCTGACCGAAGTTGTGCATGCAGCATATATAGGGAATATATTAAATAGTCAGTAAACATATGAAAAAATGCTCACCAATATTGGTCATTAGAGAAATAAAAATGAAATCACTATATACCCACAATAATGTCTAAAATTTAAAAACAAGACTGTGGAGCAACAGGAACCCTCACACAGATTTGATGGAAGTGTGCATTGTTACAACCATCTTGCAAAACTGGTTGGAAGTATCTTTTAAAGCTGAACATCTGCAAACCTTATGACCCGGTAATTTCTTTCCTAGGTATCTATCCAGAACAATTGCATATACACATGTATAAAAAAAGATATGCATCAGAATTTCATCTACAGTGTTATTTGTAAAAACACTATACTAGAAACAATCCAAATGTGAATTTATGAAAGAAAGAATTAATACATTGTAGAATAGTCATACAAAGAATACAGCAATGAAAAAGAATGACCTCTTGCTACATGCAACAACATGAATGCATTACAGATTATATTGAGGCTGGGTGCGGTGGCTGATGCCTGTAAACCCAGCACCTTGGGATGCCAACGTGGGAGGATTGCTTGAGGCCAGGAGTTCGACACCAGTCTGGTCAGTATGATGAAACACTGTCTCTCCAAAAAAAAAAAAAGAAAGAAAGAAAATAAAAGCCAGGCCGTGGTGGTGCGCACCTGTAGTCCCAGGTACTCCAGAGGCTGAGGCAGGAGAATTGCTTGAACCCACGAGGTACAGGTTGCAATGAGTCATGATGGCACCTGTTGTGGGAAGTCAGGGACCCCGAAAGGAGGGACTGGCTGGAGCTGTGGCAGAGGAAGATAAACTGTGAAGATTTCATGGACATTTATCACTTCCCAAATAATACTCTTATAATTTCTTATGCCTATCTTATTTTTTTATTTTTTATTTTTAAGATGGAGTCTCGCTCTTTTGCCCAGGCCAGAGTGCAGTGGCACTATCTCGGCTCACTGCAAGCTCGGCCTCCTGGGTTCCTCAGCCTCCCAAGTAGCTGGGACTACAGGCACCCACCACTGTGCCTGGCTGATTTTTTTGTATTTTTAGTAGAGATGGGATTTCACTGTGTTAGCCAGGGTGGTCTCGATCTCCTGACCTCGTGATCTGCCCGCCTTGGCCTCCCAAAGCACTGGGATTACAGGCATGAGCCACCACCCCCGGCCATGCCTGTCTTATTTTAATCTCTTAATCCTGTTATCTTTGTAAGCTGAGGATGTAGGTCACCTCAGGACCACTGTGATAATTGTATCTAACTGTACAAATTGATTGTAAAACGTGTGTTTGAACAATATGAAATCAGTGCACCTTGAAAAAGAACAGAATAACAGCGATTTTAGGGAACAAGGAAAGACAACCATAAGGTCTGACTGCCTGTGGGGTCGGGCAGAATAGAGCCATATTTTTCTCCTTGCAGAAAGCCTATAAACAGACATGCAAGTAGGGAAGATATCAATAAATTCTTTTCCTAGCAAAGAATATTAATAATTAAGACCCTGGGAAAGGAATTGCATTCCTAGGGGGAGGTCTATAAATGGCTGCTCTGGGAGTGTCTGTCTTATGCGGTTGAGATAAGGACTGAAATACACCCTGGTCTCCTGCAGTACCCTCAGGCTTATTAGGGTGAGGAAAAAACCACTTCCTGGTAAATTTGAGGTCAGAGAGGTTCTCTGCTCTTGAACCCTGTTTTCTGTTGTTTAAGATGTTTATCAAGACAATACATGCACAGCTGAACATAGACCCTTATCAGGAGTTTTTGATTTTCCCCTTTACCTTGTGATCTTTGCTTTGCCCTTTTCCTTGTGATCTTTATTGGCCTCAGAAGCATGTGATCTTTGTTCTCCTTTTTGCCCTTTGAAGCATGTGATCTTTGTGACCTACTCCCTGGTTCATACACCCCCTCCCCTTTTGAAGTCCTTAATAAATCCTGCTGGTTTTGTGGCTTAGGTGGGCATCACTGTCCTACCGATAAGTGATGTCACCCCTGGTGGCCCAGCTGTAAAATTCCTCTCTTTGTACTCTTTCTTTTTATTTCATGGACCAGCCAACACTTAGGGAAAATAGCAAGAACCTATGTTGAAATATTGGGGGCAGGTTTCCCTGATAGGCACCACTTCACTGCAGCCTGAGCGACAGCAACACACTGTGTCAAAATACATATACAAAAAGAAACTAAACAAGTAAATATTATAATTTAATTTTATTTATATAAAGTTCAAAAGCAGTCAAAACTAGTCTATGGAGGCAGAAACAGCAATACCTTTAGGAGAGGTATTGACTGAAGGAGTTCATGAGGGAGGCTTCTAGAAAGATGGTAATTTTCTCTTCCTTGATCTGGATGGTTTTACACAGGAATGTGTACTTTATAAAATTATTGCAATTTGCCTACCTTTCTGTATATGTGCTACACTTCAGTAAATATTTAGTTGGAAATCGAACTGATTACTCTTTTCATAATTGTTAACAGAATAACACTAATACATTTTCTATCACTTCATAAACACTTGACTATTCCAAGTAAAAGATTCCTTGAGACTCTTTGCAAGGTAGGCAGAAGGCTTTCCTCATTCACTCATTTACATTTTTAACCAGTGTCTATATCATATTATGTGGGTGAAAGAACAGGACTGTGGTGATGAAGGCAGAAGTGAGATTATTCT
Organism: Homo sapiens; assembly: GCF_000001405.40. Classification (NCBI taxonomy): domain Eukaryota; kingdom Metazoa; phylum Chordata; class Mammalia; order Primates; family Hominidae; genus Homo; species Homo sapiens. Next base: position 192,307,389 of record NC_000001.11, on the reverse strand, counting down.
ATTCGAGATGCTGCACTAAACACAGCCATTTAAAGCACAAAACTAAGCTCTAAAATTTTTGAAAGAACATTATGAGAGAAACACAATGGAATACAGGTTTGTTTGTTTCTTTTTAGTTTATTTTGTTTTTTACCTGATATAATAAGGCATATTAGAATACAGATCAAACTTTTTAGTAGCTCTTAATTCTGAGAGAATCTTACTCTATTTTTTTCTCTTTTTCAAAAAATGTAAGGGTCATTAAAACAATATAATGCCTGTGTTTGTACCATATACATTTACATGTACCCTGTACCATATACATATACAACCAAACAAATCAAATCAAGAATCATATTTCCTATGTGTTTAAATGCTTCCTGGTGATAATTCTTTATATTCAGTTTCTTGTAGATATCTGAATCCTATCATGAAAAACAACTGAAATAGCCAAATTCCCTGAAAGTAATATTTCTCTAGTCGAAAATATATCACTCCCTCTGTCTTGTCAACAATATATTGTAAAAAAGTATTACTTAATACCACAAATACTTACTGATTGCTTATATTTTGTGTAACAAGTGCACAACATAGCATTAAATAATAATAGAAACTTCCTTATGAGGAAAACACTTTAAAGTGAGATTCTTATTGTCCTTTTTTCCTTGTTTATTTTGCTCTAATATGACATTCACTTAATGACACACACGGCTACATGGACTACATTCAGTTCATCTTCTCCCAGTTTTTATTTTTTTAATATATCATTTGTTTAAGTTATGTGGCTAAAATAATGGGAGGAAAATAAGTACACAATTTAAGCTTAGCCAAAAATCACATCTTCTCTTTTTCATTTGTTTTTCAAACTTGAATGAATGTAAATCATTTCTTTCACCTGTAGTCTGCAGACCTTCAGGAAATGAGCTTCAGGCTGTTTCTTCTCAGCTATGATCACCTGGGAGGAGCTTGAATATTTCTGATAAGGCTTTCTCATCGTTGTTGATAACACCATAGCTAAATATATGTAGAATTTATGTGTTATAGATACTGAAAAATTTAAGTGCTCCTTTCAAAATTTTCAATATTATAGTCTGGAAACATTATATTATCTAGAGGAATATCCTGGGTTGATGACTACACAGAAGAGAAAAGGTGAATACTGAAAAATCTTTTCAGACTTGAAGTTGTTATTGGGATTGGGATCTGAGGGACTGAACTTATATACATTCTCTTAGTTTTCTGCACTTGAAAGCTGAAAATACAATTATAATGGTGTTAGATTTTGTTCATGATGACGTATAATGACATAAGTGCAAGAAACATGATTATATATATAGTACATATACATATATGTGTATATACAAATTGTACACATAAAGTTTATGTGCAATTGTATATGTATAATATACATACATTTTACATATACAAACTAGATAAATAGATATACATTTGATACTTGAACAATGCAGGTGTTAGGAGTGCTGATCAATTGCTTAGTCAAAAATTCATATATAACTCTGACTCCCCAAAGCTTTAACTAATACCCTACTGTTGACTGAAAGCCTTACCGATAACATAAACAGTTGATTAACACACATTTTCTATGTTGCATGTACTATATAATGTATTATTATAATAAATAACAGAAAATGTTATTAAAATCATAAGGAAGATAAATTATATTTTAAGAAGAGAAAATATATATTAAGTGGAAGTGAATAGTCATAAAAGTCTTCACCCTCATGGTTGTCATGTTGAGTAGGCTGAGTAGGAGGACAAAGAGAACAGGTTGCTTTTGCTGTCTCAGGGGTGGCAGAGATGGAACAGGTAGAGAAGGTAGGAAGGTAGGAGAAGCAGGCACATTCAGTGTAACTTTTATTGAAAAAAATCTAAGTATAAGTGGATCCATGCAGTTCAAACTCATTTTACTCAAGAATTAACTGCATATATATCATGTATGTATACTATACATACATAAGCTTCTTGTCTACTATACACATTTGTGAATATTTATATAGAAATAGAAGTAAAAATTGTTAGGAAAACTAATATTTTACTTGAAAATTTTATTTTCTTTTTCTCTGGGTTTGTGTGATGTTTCTCTTGAGGTTTCTTACAACATAAAGGAAAAAAATAACTGTTTAAAGCAGAAATATTTCCCTTATATTTAGCCAGGGGCAACCTCCTGAAAATTGATAAACTTGAATTTTGACAGAAGGAAAGTGAAGATAATTTAAAGGTCAAGAACCTGTCTTAGAAAATATTTCTGGAGCTCTCTGAAATTTGAGTTGATGAGTTTCTCATAGGCAAAGGCAATTGAAAGACCAAATTTAAACATCACTCTTTCAAAAAAATAAAATTTAGAGACAGGATCTCTCTTTGTCACCTAGGCTGGAGTGCAGTGGTAAAAACATAGCTCACTGCAACCTCGGACTCTTAGGCTCAAGCAATCCTCCCACCTCATCTCCTGCGTAGCTAGGACTACAGGTTCATGCCACCGTGCTTGGATAATTTTAATTTTTTTTTTATAGAGACAGAGTCTCACTATGTTGCCCAGGCTGGTCTTGAATTTTTGGCCTGAAGTGATCATACCACCTTGGCCTCCCAATGAGAAAAAATACTCTTAAAGCTAGTGAAGGCAGAAGTTATAAAATAATAAGTAGGTTAAAAGTATTACTCTTCAGTTTTGAAAACTGAAGATTTCTCAAAGAACGTAAAACAACTACTCTTGGACCCAGCAATCCCATTACTGGGCATATACCCAAAGGAAAATAAGTTCTTCTACCAAAAAGACACACGCCCTCTTATGTTCATTGCAGTACCATTCACAATAGCAAAGACATGGAATCAACCTACATAACCATAAATAGTGAACTGGATGAAGAAAATATGGTACATACACACCATGGAATATTACACAGGCAAATAAAGAACAAAACCACGTCCTTTGCAGCAACATGGATGTAGCAGAAAGCCATTATACCAAGCAAATTAATGTAGACACACAAAACACTGCATGTTCTCAATTACAGGTGATAACTAAACATTGGGTACACATGGGCATAAAGATGGGAACAATAGGCACCACAGACTTCTAGTAGGGGGACGAAGAGAGGAGAATAAAAGTTGAAAACTACCTATTGGGGTCTATGATCACTACCAGGGTGACGGGATCAATCATACTCCAAACTTCAGCATCACTTAATATACCCACGTAACAAACCTGCACATATACTCCCTGATTGTAAAACAAAAGCAGTATTTTTTAAAGTACTGCTTTTTTATCATAGGCTACCTTCTATAGGAAATTCCCACCACCTTCGGGGGGTGAGAATTTCACTAGAATTGGTATTAAAATACATAAGTTCAAAATTTCATTCTGCTATTTATAGCTGAATGATGTTGAAGACGACAATTATTTTTGGATCTCAGTTTATCCACTGAAATGGCTGAGTTAGGAAGAAAGATTTGGAACCTTCTTTATAGTTCCAAAGTAATGCTATACATTCCAACAAATGTGAATATCAGCAATTCAAAATAAACAAATGCTTTCTTTCTATAGAGTGTTCTAATTATCACTGCTAAAAAAAAAACAAAACACATGAAAAAGCAATATAAATCCCACACAAAACCACTCTACTCTGCTCATGAAGAACTCGCAGTCTAAAGGGGCAGACCATAAGAAATCTAGCAAGAATGCAAGTGAATTCAAAAATTAAGCTTGAATATATATAGTTACCTTTCATACTTTTCTCTCACTTGCAAAAACATATACGAAATACAGCTTTATCATTTAATTCCAGTGAAAACTTGGGCAAGCTGAATTTTTGTTCCCTCAATTGTTAAATAGGAAAAATAATTTGTCTAATTTGTCAAGATTTGGTGACATATGTGAAGCTCCTAAAATTGCGTTCAAAGCCTCTGTATCTGCACATTGTTCAAAATTGCTAGTTCCCTGCCTTATCTAACCTTACTATTTTAAATAAATTATAGTCTGTTTATTAAAAGAGGACAATAAAGAGGTCAAAGATAATAATGCAGGATCATGGGAGACATAAGAACAATAATATAGGATTCTTAATTTTGTCACAGAAAACTGTCCCATACTTCTGGATTTTTGACTCAGTATCTCATAGCTATCTGGAAATGCATGCCACTGTTCACAAGGAATGATATTCAGGAATTTCTCAGAAGTAATTCTGAGATCCCAGGAAAATGAGTCAGAGCATAATACTAATGGACTGTGAGCCACATATATTATAATTATTTCTAAAGAATGGTGACTTTATATTTTGTTTTAAAGAGGTTGAATATATATTAATGACAGCAACAACAAAAATATGACTTCGAGGTACAAAACTTTTGTCCTTGAACTTCACTGGAGAACTTCAGTATTTCAAATAAAATGTGTGATCATGTATATATTTCCACTAAAGGATAGATTCTTAGAGATTTCCAGATAATGTCAATTCAGTTGAGTTAATATCATTGCTTAACACTTATAGAAGTAGTATCTTTCTAATAGATCATTAAGAGATTATTAAATTAGAGAAAGAGAAAATTAAAAAAAAGATTTGACTTTCCAATTACATTATTTAGCTTACATCCATTTTGCCTGATTGTAACAGTATTAATGATACAGGCGATTACCCAAAGGCACTGTGATTTACACACTTATAATCTTTAGCTGTAGCTTTAAAAAATAAAGTCTTGGTTCATTAAAATAAAGACAGATTCTTGGTTCATTAAACCCAATGTTTATCTCTGACTCTGGTACAAATGAAATAATTTTGAAAGTTAGTATTCTTTCTAAGTCAGCCATAGCATCCTCAAAAAGCTGACTAATTTCTCCCAAATATCTTAATGTTCCTCTAATACAGTCTGTTACAATCATATTATCCATTATTGTGTAGAGATTATAATAGAAACTATTTTTTTCTCAGTTTGGAAATAAAATTTACCATCAATTTTCTCTCCTTCATGTAAAGCACTTCTTTTATCTTTTCAATTTTTATCCCTTTTTAGATTTTAAGGTGCATCTCTTTTTCTTGCACTTTAATTATTTAGTTTAAGATGTTTTATTTTGAGGGTAAAATTCTATTTCTCCTTGCTCATGGTATTATAATTTTTTTTAGCCAGAAGACCACACTGCACTAATATATTCAGAGAGTATGTCACAGTGAGTTCTATTTCTTTTTACCTAGTAAAAATCAATAGCCTTGGAGTCCATCATTATATTACTATTAATTGGATAGTTTTTCTCTCAAATTCCCAATGCATTTATTTTTACCATCTAAAGAGCTTTGCTCTGTATTCCTATAGATCAGTTTGTTTTTGAGATGTCAATTTGTGTAGCAGAATCTGCAAATTACGGCAACCACTATCCCATTCTTTCCTTTGCTAATGGAATCCCTGAGTTTTAGCTAAGCAGATTTCCCAGCTATTCTTGCAACTAGGTGCAATCATGTGACCAGGATTTTGCCAAGAATAACAAATTGAAGTGATGGTCATTAATTCTAGATTGTAATTTTATGAGAAAATTGCTTGCCCTCCAGTTTCTCTCTTCTTATTGTCTGTACTGTGGATGGGACAAGGATGAGGAACAAGCGAAAGGCTAACTGGATTCCGTGATGACATGGCAAAGCAAAATACTGGACTGGTATGTGAGAGTAAGTGAACTTCTGAGTTGGCTGAGCCATTAAATTTTGGAATATCTTTGTAAGTGTAGCTTAGCCTAATAACTGATTAATACATCAAAATTCCATTGGAAACTCTTCTAGATAACGTGTAAGTGCCACAGGTACCCATATTCTTGATAATTTTCTTTTTTTAAAATTATACTTTAAGTTCTAGGCTACATGTGCACAATGAGCAGGTTTGTTACATATGTATACATGTGCCATGTTGGTGTGCTGCATCTTCACATTTATGTTTATTCTTTTCATCTCCCTCTAAAAGTAGTTAATAACCACTCACTGAAAGACAACAGAGGGCACACTACTGAAATATGTCTTATGGGATCACTTAATTCCATTTTGGAAGAAGGTATTTAAACAAATAAACTAAACCGCTCTAATGTTTTAAGAAGATCTACATACCCCAAATTTTTAATTTTGCTGCTGTTCCATAGGGGTTCTTTAATCTAGAGTATGAAAGAATAATGAAAATGAGATCAATTAACAAAATGCAAACAAGTAAAAAATGACATAATATTTTTACATATAAAATTTTGAAAGATGTAATAATGTTAGTCTGAGGAGGGAAGGGGCTTGAAATAATTTTAACTTTTGTCTGGAAAGAAGAAACATTAATATTTTCAAATTAAACATTGGAAGATGTGCAACAGTATCAAAAACTAAAGCCCATGTGTGGAAACTGACATCCTTTATCACAGTTTATTTTCACACATTTGAACACTAATTTATTTCAATTCTGTGCCCTAGTATAACATCACATCCTGCAGTTCTCTTTTTTGTACCCTAAGGTGTGGTCCTATGAAAGTATTTTAGTTTCAAAAATACACTATCTTGCTTTCTCCCTTCAGATTTTTCAGATGCTGTGCCTTCAAACTGCAACAATTTTTTCTGCCATGGTTTTAATTACCAACTTTTCATTATCATTCAGTCTATATAAGCCTTCCTGACCATTTTTCATGTCTTTTCCTGTTTTCCTGTTCTCCCAAAGTCTGGAATTATGTTAATCTCACATGTGCCAAAGATTTAGCTAGAGTAACTGTTTATTTATTATGTTAGAATATTATGACAATTAGTTCTATTTAAAAAAGCTATTATGTATATTTATATTTAAATCATATCATAAATTAGATGTTATGTTGTATTTGTGAGCACAGTCTGGGTAGATGGATGCTTTTATTCCTAACATAATATGATTTTATTTCTGCCACAATCAAAATATAAATGATAACTTATTGGGATTACTTTCCTTCTTTCTTCCTTCCATTTTTTCTTCTAGACTGTGTCCCCCGTGAAGCCAACATCTTCATTGTTCAGTACTCTATCTTCAAATATGTAGAATTAACAAAAGACTGAATGCAAAAAAATACATATGTTATTTGCTGTAATGAAGATTTGCAAGGAAATCGCTTTGATTGTATTAATTCAATTATGATGTAATGGATGATTATTTAGGAAAGTTTAACCATGCTTTATTTGCTATCTATGTAGAACATGGTCCATTTTGGGCACTGTGGAGGATTTAAAATTGAATCTGCAAAATTACTATCCTCAGTTGTTTTCTAATTCTGTGGAGGTTAAGAAGTGTAAAAGAACTACATTAGGCTGGGCATAGTGGCTCTCATCTGTAGTACCAGCAACTTTGGGAGGCTGAGCTGGGAGGATTGCTTGAGGCCAGGAGTTCAAGATCAGGATGGGCAATATAGTGAGACCTTGTCTCTACAAACAATTTAAAATAAAGCCAGGTACAGTGGCATGCCCCTGTAGTCCTAGTTACTTGGGAGGCTGCAGAGAGAGGATCACTTCAGCCCAGGAGTTTCAGGTTGCAATGAGCTCTAATCATCCCACCGCACTTCAGCCTAGGTGTCATAGTGAGACCCTGTCTCAAAACAAAACAAACAACAGCAACAACAACAACAACACACACACACACACACACACACACTCCACAAAACTTAACTGCAAAAAGAAGGCTGAAAGTGGTATATTTCATAATCAAGTCACTGTGGGAGTTCAGAGGAAGAATTTGAGTTGGGTCTTAAAACACAGTAGTAAATTGGCTAAGAGAGGAAGGTCACAAGAATACGAACAGTGAATCCTATGAGCAAATATATGGAATTTTACAACTCTGGAGAAATTCTGAAAGTTAGGTTGTCCAGTTGCTCCTTATATGTAAGCCTGCAATTGTACATTTTTCCTTGAGCAATGGAAAATTGATCAAGGTTTTGGAACAGAGATATGACTTGAGGATAGCTGTATTTCATAAAAATATGGTAGCTGTATACAAAATGGATCAGATATGATATAGACATGGCAGAAAGCAAGTGAAGATGCCTATCAAAGTAGCCTATGGGGAAATCTGAATTAGAATAGTGGGTTTAGGAATAAGGCAATTAGTAGATACAGAAATGTAATGCAGAAAAGTTAGCATATTACTTGTGGGCAAGGAAAAGAGGGAGTCACAGATGAGTCTGACATTTTAAACATTTATTGCTTAGAAAAGTAATTTATATAAGAACATGATTCTCCAATATAAGAATGAATATAGTACAGACTATGAGGTATGAAAAATTGAAAATTGAAAATGTGTCTTCGTGGGGATACAAAAGAAATATAAAGACATTTGTAGATATAGAAAAACTTTAGAAAGAACAAAAATAACATGAGAAGATATTTCTAGAAAATATCTTAGATGGTTTACTTTTCCAGGTTATGAGAACAACATCAGTCCTTGACAAGGTTGTGAAATTAGCTGATAATGCCTTTATTTTGTCACTTGCCCTTTCTTGGACCAGATATTTAGTATGGGATTCATGTTGAAGAGGCTTAGAAAGGTTGCCCCTATTCTCTGGCCTCTGTTCTCTCACCTCTGTGCCGTTGATAGTCTCTGATCTGTCTATATCAATTCTTCAAGATCCCTTTCTCAATATTTCAAGATAAAATGAGGTAACCAATTGAGCCAACTTGCATTAATGTTAATAGTAGAAGACTGGGTATTTTCTTTTCTCCTTCCATAAAATATTTCTATTTAGCCATTTGGGTTCTATAATTCTGCCTTTATTGTTAATTCATCATAAGGACTACATCATAGTAGTTTTAGAACAGATAAATTAAATACATATACAAGAAAGGGATATTGGGTGGTTGTGTTTTAGTACCTCAATCCTCTAATTTCGACTATGTTTCTTTGCTGTTTACCAAGGGGTAGGCTCTTTGGGCTGGATTAAAAAGATTGAAATTACTGAATTTATTTAATCTGTAAATTTGTTGCATGCATTTGATCAAAATATTGAGTGACATTATACACAGAAAACAATACAATGTGTCTCTCATATGGCATTTGGGAGGCTTCATGCCTGTTTACTCATAATTAAAATAGCAATAATATACTCACACTACTTAGCTTCTGAAGTTGTTATATGATACTAATGAAAATAGTAAGTGTGGTTTGTGAATTATAGAGTGCTATAAAATGTATAGTATTATTGTTTGCTGTTATATATACTTAGAATATAGTTATACATGAAAATTCTGGCATTTTTTTTCTGGTATGACCTTTAATATGCTCAATTTCAGAATCTCACTCTTTGTTTACTGATGACTACTGAAGGTGTGACTGAATGATATTAATTCCCAAATCCCACCCTACAAACTAGCTGTTTGATGAGGTATCTTTATTATCATAAAACAAAAAGTAATAGGAGTGCAAAAAAGCAAATCAAAGACCAAAAATTCCATGTGGTATAACATACAGCTGCCATTTAACTGAAAAATCCCAAAATACAGATGCTAATTGGACTCTATATGAATTATTAAAATAAAGGTAATGAATATTCAGATATGTTGCAATCAGTAGTTCAGTAAACTATTGTTGAGAGAACTTCTAAATCCTAAATGAGTAAAAACATAGAAGCTTAAAATTATGTCAAAACATTCCAAAATTCTTTTCTATCTCACTACTAACTCTACAAATAATTTAATACGTTTGTATATTTCTTCATGTTTGTGTATGAGTGTGTGTGTGTGTGTTTTGTTCTGAGGTATTTTGTTCTGCGGTAAATCTCTAGTCAAAAAATAAATGACATAAATTACGTGTAATTTATTACACTAGACTCAGATTTTGTATACTCTTATTGTTTTATAGACTTTCATAGCCAAAGAAATATTTATCTCCTCACATGGTATCTCTAGGCATTGTGATTAATAGTCTAGAAATCAAACAGCGTAGGTATATAGCAAGGCCTATACTAGGGTAAAGGGAGTGAGGTGCTCTCAGATATAAATGTGCACATTAAGCCCCTCAGTAATCAAGATAGATAATGTTTAAATGTGATATTTAAAAAATTAAAATTAGTGCAAAAATCAATGATGAATAAAATTTCACATCTTATGTAAAAACAGGATGAGAATGACTAAATTTTACTTTTGTTTCAGGCTGTATCATGGCTCAGCACAGCAACATTGTACAGATATTTTCTAATGTCTAAGGCTATACATTATAATATTATCTTTTCAAAATTGGTTCCAAGGTCAATACTCAGAGAGAGTACACATTTATTCTCTAAACTGATATTACTAGCAAACTAATGCAGGAACAGAAAACCAAAGATTTTATGTTTTCACTTATAAGTGGGAGCTAAATGATGAGAACACATGGACACAGAGGGGAACAACAGACACTGGGCCTACTTGAAGATAGAGGATGGGAGGAGGGAGAGGATCAGAAAATAACTATTGGGTGCTAGGATTAATACCTGGGTGACAAAATAATCTGTACAACAAATCTCCATGACATGAGTTTACCTATATAACAAATCTGTTCATCTATCCCTGAACCTAAAATTTAAATAAATAAATAAAAATTATATACAGACGTATAATAGTATCTTTGGTATCTTGGTGAGTTTTGTATGTGAAATGGGGTCAGTAAGAGAAGCTTTCCAATCAGCTAAGCTGCATATTTTTCACCACTGGAAGTAACAATAATATATATATATATATATATATATATATATACACACACACACACACACACACACACATATACACACACACATATATATATATGCACTGTTGATGGAGCCCAAATTATTTTTTATGACTTAAAACATAACATATATTTTGAAATAAATATAATTTTAGAAATATGTTTTTTGTACAAACATAACAATCAAGAGATTTTTCTAATGTATAGGTATAAAAATGATAGGAAAATATTGGTACCACACAAAGAATGTGGACCTAATAGTCAAAGATATGTATGTACTCATAATGATAATTAAAAAAATATAGTTGATTCTCAGTTGGCCTTTATTTGGCTCAAGTTTGGAAATGAATATCAATAATTTATGTTTTGTATCATTCCATGAAATGTCATCATCAAAATATCAGAATTCCCCCACCAATTATTATTTAGTAATTATATTTACATAGGTCATTTTTTTTTCTCAGGAATTCAGGTATGAGTTTGCTTTCTGCCACATGAGAGAAATTTGAAGAAGAAATGCAGCTTAGCTACAAGCAGTGAAGGGGGTGATATGGAATCTGAATTTGGAGTCACAGAAATCTGGGTGTGAAGAAAACTTTCTAGTTGTGTGAATAGAAAAGTTTCTTACATTGTGTAAGGTTGATATCAGGTTTTACATCTTTATTTTCTCTAAATTAATTTATATTTACTAATATGTACCTCAATCCACTAGGCTATTAAACAGTTTAATATCATTCATATTTAAGTTCTGTCAACATATTCCTACATTCACCACTAGTGGAGGTAATCAGGAGGCCTTAAATAACATCACTGGACGAAAGGCTAAATCCTCCAATAATTTGAATATTAATAAATTTAGGATCTTACACAAGAAAACAATAGGTTGGTAGTTTGACATTCTGTAGAATATTGACCTTAAAGAATATTTGCTGTGGTGATGAGAGGTGAGGGTTAGAGTAAAAGGAAAGGAGGGTATTATGAGATGGCGGTGGTGGCAGCAGGAAATGGGTAAGCTACAGACTATCTTAACAGTAAAAAAAGATATATTAAAATTAAAATTTTAAGTAAAGAGAAACCACTGTTTGAAAGATACCACTAAAGGGTTTTCACAAAGACCAAAATTGGCAGCATGCTATATTATTTGATTTTTGTTTTCCACTTGGCCATGAGCGGAAAAAGGAGAAAAAAAAATTCTATGACAAGTTGTGCAGAAGTTGAAGGTTTCTTATTGTAGAAAGAAACCAAAGTCTAACTTAAAGTTGTTTTTTAATGTGCAATTGTGTCATTTTGTCATTTTACTTTGCGCAATGTAAAATGCTATACTAAAGCCTATTGCTGTTTTATTGTCTAATTAGCAGGTTATAACGAAGCTTATTGGAGAACCAAACTATTCAGTAATTGATTATCGGAAGATACACGCAATTAATTGAAAAGTCTTTTCTGTTTGTTCCCTACCCTGACCCTGGAAAAGTATTTCCTGTCTCAAAATTTTATTAAGAAGTATGTGACATTTCTATAGATGTTGAGATCAGGAAATATTCATTACATATACTTAACTACTTTAATCATTTTAAAACCATTTTCTTATGGTCAAGTATGCAGAATTGGATTATAAAGGCAAGATTTCGGCCTTACCCGTATCTTACGGTGATTTCCTTGAATTTCAGTTAGGAGGCATAAATATTTCAAGTCCTTTCAATAAAGAAGCAGCAAAAGAATCAACTATGATAGACAAGATTCTAAAACAAAATCTGACCGTACTACTTTTAACTTAGAATCTTTTAGTGGGTTTTCATTTTCCAGGAGACAATGCCTGTATCTTTTTTCTGGTCCGCTGTGACCAATCTTCAATTTCTTCCTCTTGCAACTTACTCTCCCATTGTGCTCCTTCTCCCACCTAATACACGAATTGTAATGACCTACTTATTCATGACAATCTGTTTCCTTGTACATTTTGGTATGGCTCTGTGTGAGAATCCTAAAAAGTCTGGCTTGAATTTGCACACATTGAGAGAAAATTTGCATTTGTGTCTGTCAGAGATTCTAGGGTCTAGTGAATCAATTTGACAGTGTACATTTGAACTGCTGACCCTTGGTAGGTTAGACCTGTGGCTCAAATCCTCAGGAACTTTTTCCACTCACACTATTTTATTTATTTTTTTCCTGCATCAGTGTCTTTTCTAGCCCACCCTTTCACTGAGTGAGGAGACTTCAATTGTCTCATATTTATTTAGAGATCTAATTTCTATTTCACACCAAAATCTTTGTCTCCTGTTATTGAACTGACCTTAAAATAATTAGCCTCCTGTGGCTGGGTGCAGTGGCTCACGCCTGTAACCCCAGCATTTTGGGAGGCTGAGGCAGGCAGATCACTTGAAGTCAGGAGTTCGAGACCAGCCTGTCCAACATGAAGAAACTCCGTCTCCACTAAAAATACAAAATTATCCGGGCGTGGTGGTGGTGCATGCCTGTAATCCCAGGTACTCGGGAGGCTGAGGCAGGAGAATCACTTGAACTCGGGAGGCAGAGGTTGTAGTGAGCGGACATCACGCCATTGCACTTCAGCCTGGGCAACAAGAGTGAAAATCCATCCCTCCCCCTGCCAAAAAAAAAAAAAAAAAAAAAAAATTAGCCGCCCAGTTTCCAAGATTGGCAAAGCTTCATGTACCTTGGAGTTCTCACCTGCCCATCTTTTTTTCCAAGCTCAGTTATTCATTGAAAAGAATATTTGTTATATTTGGCCAGAAGCTATGTGTCTTCAAAAAAGCAATTTTGTCATTTTTGTCTTCAGAATATATTGTCTGGCATATTTCCAAGATTGAAAACCACAAACTTATACAAGAGAATTAAAGGTGAATAACTCTTCTTCCAGCAATTCAATATATTCTAGATTGACGCCACTTTTATATGTAAAAAATGTTTAGTGCATGTTACTTAAAAGTGTTTTGTAAAAAAACTTGAATTTGTGATGCTCTAGTTCAGCCCTGTCCAGTAGAATTTTCTACAATGATAAAAATGCTCTATATATCTATGCCGTTCAATATGGTAACCATTTGCCATATGTGACTATTGAGTATTTGAAATGTGGCTAGCATGCCTCAATTTTTAAAGCTCAATTAATTTCAATTTCAATAGTTACATGTGGCTGCTGCTACTGTATTGGACAGGGCAGTGGGTGAGAGAAATGGTTTTAATTTTACCGTATGTAGCAGAGTAAGAAAAAAAAAGCAGGCCGGGCGCGGTGGCTCAAGCCTGTAATCCCAGCACTTTGGGAGGCCGAGGCGGGTGGATCACGAGGTCAGGAGATCGAGACCATCCTGGCTAACAAGGTGAAACCCCATCTCTACTACAAATCCAAAAAAATTAGCCGGGCGTGGTGGCGGGCGTCTGTAGTCCCAGCTACTCAGGAGGCTGAGGCAGGAGAATGGCGTGAACCCGGCCGGCGGAGCTTGCAGTGAGACGAGATCGCGCCACTGCACGCCAGCCTGGGCTACAGAGCGAGACTCCGTCTCAAAAAAAAAAAAAAAAAAAAAAGGAAAAAAACCGGAATGAAAACACTAGAACTATGGAGCTGTAGTGGGGTGAGAAGATTTAAATAAACTGGCACAATTGGTAAAATGAAAAATTGACAACAGAGCTGCTTCCAGTGGTTTTCAAAGGTTAATGTGGTCTGAAACCTAAGTGTCCATCAACAGATGAATGGATAAAGAAAATGTGGCACTAATGCACAATGGAGTACTCTTCAGCCATAAAAAAGAGATTCTTTCATTTGCAACAACATGGACAGAACTGGGGGTCATTATGTTAAGTGAAATCAGCCAGGTTCAGAAAGACAAACGTTACATGTTCCGGCTTACTTGTGGGGTCTAAAAATCAAGACAAATGAATTCATGGAGATAGAGAATAGAAGAATGACTACCAGGGGCTGGGAAGGGTGGTGGCAGAGGCAGGGAAGGTGGGGATGGTTAATTGGTACAAAAAATAGACATAAAGAATAAAACCTAGTATTTGATAGCAGAACAAGGGGACTACAGTCAATAATAATTTATTTGTACATTTTAAGATAACTGAAAGGATAATTGGATTGTTGTAACACAAAGGATATGTGCTTGAGGGGATGGATGCCCAATTTTCTATGATAATATTGTGCATTGCATGGCTGTACCCCAATATATCATATACCCCATGAATATATCCACCCACTATGTACCCACAAAAATTAAAAAGAGTTTTAAAATGTTAACATGGTCAGAATCACCTGGAGGACTTACAAGTCCTCACACCCAGAGTTTCTGATTCAGTAGGTTTGGGCGGGGTCCAAGAGTCTGTGTGTTCAAAAAGTTCTTAGGTGATGCTGATATTGCTGGTCTGAACAAAGCACTTTGGAAACTATCAGTCTGATTTTGTCATACAGTTGCTAGTTCAGACATGGAAGTCACTCAGAGAGCTATGGCCTGAGCCCCACCATCCTATTTCTCATGGAAAACTCTGGCTTCTAAGCAAGGTGATTGTGTGATTTCTCCAGGAAGTGATACAAAAATCAGTTGGAAATGCAGATCTTTTCATTATTTTAAACAAAGGTGACCATGTAAACATTTTTACCTACATATTTATATACTTATAATATAATTAATGTATAAAATCAGTAAACTATTATCTAACAAATTTTGGTATTTTTTTCATGGCAGTGAAAATATGTTCAATGTAGCAAATACTGTGGTTAGCTATCTACCCAACCCATGTTTCTTTCTAACAGAGCCTTGATTTTCTAAAAAAAAAAAAAAAAACAAAAAAATTCTACTTCTTATATGACAAAGTTAACTCATCTGTAGTTTCAAGATTAGATCTTAAATTTTGAAAATTGCTTAAGACTTTAAATGAATTATGGTAATCTCATTCTCCTTACCAGTGGACATCTATCCCAAGCAGTGAGGAAAAGTTTATTTCATTCTAAGACAGAAGCACAAGAGTAAATGCTATTTTTCTGTTTCTGGATTTGCTGCGTTTGGTTGTGAAACAAATGTAACTACTACATTCCATCATCTTCCTACAAGAAGTTCTTAAACTATCCCCAAGCAGAGCACAGACACTAGGGAATATCAGAGAAAGAGAAACGAGAGCATTGAGGCCTGGGGCTCATCCCACCCCTTGACTTATTTTTACATGAAATAAAACTCCAACATTTCTTATAGTTTAAGTCAGTTTTGGTTGATGTGTTCTGCCATTTAAGGCAGAAAACTGCCTAACAGCTACCTTCAGGGTGTGAGGATCAGGATTTTTCAAATCACAAAGATAATGTAGAAATTGCAGAATTATTTTTTTGTTTTAGGTGACTGTGCTGATATGCTACATCTAATTATTTCCCACTACGGCTTGTCTTTAGAGCAAAATGGCAACAGACATGACCTACTTCCTTTTTCTCCCCCTAATCAGATCAAATAACAAAGTAGAATAAATGGCAATAGAAACAATAACATTGCCATAACCTCTGGTTATATTTTTCAAACAGAAGAAAGACTTCCAGTATGTCCTTTGGCATGATATAACACTAACCTTTAAAATATCCTTTTCCTTTCCTTTGACATTCTATAGACCAGCCAAAAGCAAATGTGACTTGATGACATGTAATTGCCAGTGGGTGATTGGGGAATGGCAACATTGCCATTGATTAACTTGTCTCTAGTTTATAAGTAGCAGCATTTACTTTTAGATGGCAGATAAGTCATGTAATAAGCATGAGCTATTATAAGTATGAAACAATCACAGCTGAAAATAGTCTGTTTCTCAAATTTCTCAGATGAGTTATACATATCCATAATATTTATTATCGCTTAAGATTAAATTTTATATAAATTGCACACTTCTCAAAATTAAGCCTTAATTTATAAGATTGGGTGGTAAACAAAGGATGGAAAGAAAATAACATATAAAATATTTAATGGTATAATTTATTTAAAATTGCTAGGCGAATAAAAATATTCACCAGATACAATTGAATATTTGTGAAGAAAAACATTCTATTTTTTTTGGAATTCTTTCATTTTTAGGATTTTTTTAAGATTATCCACTTCTGTCAATGTTATTAGTTGTTCTTTTCTTTCCTGTTTAGTGAAGATGCGCAGAACAGATAATTTCCCATTTCCAGTTATGTTCCTCTCTTTAGCCTTTGAGTTTGGAATTTTTTAAGGCTCAGTCCTGGGTCCTTTTTCACTATGTACTTTCTCAAATTTGGAAACCCTTGGCTACAATTTCAATCTATACAATAAGGTCAACCGAATTTCCATATCTCCTGTGCTCTAAACATGTTTATTAATCTGCCTAGTTGAATATTTCATAAACATTTTAAATTTAAAATGTTCAAAACTTAACTCATGCCATCCCTCTTCAAACCAAGGACTCATTTTAGTGATTGGTACAAAAATTCACCCACTTAACCAAGGAGATATTTAGTTATCATCATTGATCCTCATATTTCCTACTTCCCATTCCAATTCATTTTGAAATGCTTGAGATTTTAAAAATAGTTTCATTGATACAATTCACATACCATTTAATTCATTTAAAGTGCATAATTTAATGTTTTTTAGTATTCTCAAAAGGTATACAGCCATCTCCACAATGTAATTTTAGAACAGTTTTGTCTCCTGGCAAAAGAGACCGTTTACCTGTTAGCAGTCATCGTCACTGTTCTCTCTCCCAACACTACGCAACCACTATTCTACTTTCTTCCTCTATATTTCTTCCCATTCCAGACATTTAATGCAAATGTAGTCATGCAATATGTGGTCTTTGTGACTTTTTAATTTTTTTTTTTTTTTTGAGACAGAGTCTCATTCTGTCACCCAGGCTAGAGTGCAATGGTGCAATTTCGGCTCACTGCAACCTCCACCTCCTGGTTCAAGCGATTCTCCTACCTCAGCCTCTCAAGTGGCTGGGACTACAGGCATGCGTCACGACACCCAGCCAATTTTTGTATTTTTAGCAGAGACAGGGTTTCACCATGTTGGTCAGGCTGATCTCGAACTCCTGACCTCAGGTGATCCACCCTCCTCGGCTTCCCAAAGTGCTAGGATTACAGGCGTGAGCCACCGCTCCCCAGCAACTTTTAAATTTTCAATTGATAGATATATCAATTAGTTGTAAATATTTTGGGGTACATGTGATATTTTGATACATGTATACAATGTGTAATGATTGAATCAGAGTAATTGGAATATATATCACTCATTTATCTTTTCTTTAAATTGGGAGCATTACGGTTCTTCTAGCTATTTTGAAATATATGTTATCGTTAACGATAGTTTCCCTATAGTGAAATATGTAAGTTATTGTTAAGGATAGCTTCCCTATTGTACTATCAAATACTAGAAACTATTCCTTCAATCAAACTGTATTTTGTACCTATTAACCAACTCCTATTCATTCCCACCCTCCCCCTTCCCTTCCCAGCCTCTGGTAACCAACATTCTCTTTTCCACCTCAATGAGATCAACCTTTTTAGCTCCCACCTACAAGTGAGGACATAGGCTATTTGTCTTTCTGTTCCTGACTTATTTCACTTAACATAATGATCTCTGATTCCATCCATGTTGCCACAAGTGGGAGGATTTCATCGTTTTATGGATGAATAATATTCCACTGTGTATTTTCTTTATCCATTAATTTGTTGATGGACACTTAAGTTGATCCCATATTTTGTCTGTTGTGAATAGTACAGCAATAAACTTACTGATTTCTTTGCTTTAGGATACATAGCCAGCTGTGGGATTACTGGATGGCATGGTAGCACTATTTTTAGTTTTTTGAAGACCCTCCATACTGATTTCCATAATGGCTTTACAGCTTTACACTCCTATCAACAATGTACAAGGATTCCTCTATCTTCATATCCTTGCCAACATTTGTTTTTTGTCTTTTTGACAAGAGCTGTTCTAACTGGATTGAGGTGATAGTTCATTGTGATTTTGACTTTCATTTTCCTGATTATTAATGAGATTGAGCATTTTTTTCATATACTTGTTGGCCATTTGTATGTCTTTTGATAAATGCCTATTTAATTCCTTTACCCATTTTTAAATCAGATTGTTATTTTTTTGCTATTGAGTTGTTTCAGTTCCTTCTATATTCTGGATATTAATTCCTGGTCAGATGCATAGTTTACAAATATTGTCTCCTATTCCACATGTTTTCTCTTCACTTGTTAATTTTTATTTCCTTTGCAGTGCAGAAGCTTTTTAGTTTGATGTAACCCTATTTGCCTATTTTTGCTTTGGTTGCCTGTGCTTTCGAGGTCTTACTAAAAATTACTTTCCCAGATGAGTGTCCTGTAGCATTTCTCCAATATTTTCTTCTAGTAATTTCATAGTTTCAGATATTACATTTAAGTGTCTAATCCATTTTTAGCTGATTTTTATATAGATGGAATGATAAAGATCTAGTTTCATTCTTCTGCATGTGGCTTTCTAGTTTTTCCAGCACAGTTTATTACAGAGTCTGTCTTTTCTCCAGTGCATGTACTAGGCATCTTTGTTGAAATGAATTAGTTGTAAGTGCCCTGGATTTATTTCTAGGTTTTCTCTGTTCCATTTATCTATATGTCTGATTTTATGCCAGCACCATACTGTTTTGATTACTATAGCTTTGTAGTGTAATTGGAAATAAGGTAATTTGATTCCTCCAGCTTTGTTCTTTTTACTCAGGATTGTGCTTTTATTAAGCACATTTTCAAAGTTCAGCCATGTTGTAACATATATCATTACTTCACCTCTATTTATTGCCAAAAATATTCCATTGAAGGGATATGCCACATTTTATTTATCTTTCAGTTGATAGCCATTTGAGCTGTTTCTTGTTTTGGAATAGTATTAATAAGACTTGCATGAGTATTCATATATAAGTTTTTATTTGGAATATTTGTTTATTTCTCTTGGATATATAGTGATAGAATTTTTAGATCAAAAGGTATCTCTATATTTGACATTTTGAGGAACTACCAAGCTATTCTCCAAAGTCACTGTACCATTTTACATTTCCACTAGAAATGTATGAGAGAGTTGCTATTTCTACACATTCCTGGCAACATTTACTATTATAGGTCTTGTTTATTTCAGTTATCCCAATGGGTATGATGTTAGGATTTCACGGTATGGACTTGCAGTTCTCTGATGGCTAATGATGCTGTGTATCTTTTCATATGCTTCTTGGTAATTTGTATATCTTCTTTGGAAACTTATGTTCAGATCCTTTGTCCTTTTAAACATTAGGCTATTTATCATTTTATTAATTAGTTATAAGAAGTTTTTGTATATTGTGGATAAAATTCCATTATAAAATGGATAATCTGCAAAGATTACTTCTCATTCTGTACATCTTCTTGATTGAATCATTATGACACAGAAGTTTTACATTTTGCTGAAGTCCAATTTTGTAATTTGTTGTCACTTGTGTTTTGGTGTCATGCATAAGAAACCCCTGTCTTGTGCAAGTCACAAATATTTGCTCTTATATAGTATTTTCTCCTAAAGTTTTCATAATTTTAGTTTATTTAGCTCTATGATCCATTACGAGGCATTTTTATGTGTGTGGTTTAAGCTAGGAGTTCAATTATATTATTTTGCCTATGGCTAGTCTGTTGTCTCAGCACCATTTATTAAATGGCTATTTTTTATCCATTATATTATCCTGGCACTTTTGTTGAAAATCAACTGAATACAATGATTTTATTTCTAGGCTATAAATCCTATTCCTTTTATTGCTGTATCTATCCTTATGCAAGTACCTCAGTGTCTTGATTACTGTAGTTTTGTAGTAAGTTTTGAAATCAGGACATATGAGTGTTCCAACTTGGTTCTTTTTCAATAATGTTCTGGCCTTTTTGAGTCCCCTGAATTTCCACATCAAATTTACAATCAGCTTATCAATTTCCTTAAAAAGCCAGCTGGGATTTCGATAGGGATTACATTGAATCTGTGGATTAAGTTGAAAAATATTGCTATCTTAACAATTTTATCTCTTCTGATCTATAAACGTGGGCATATAGTCCTAAAATTTGTGTAAAATCACAAAAGATCTGTAATAGCCAAAGCAATCCTGAGCAAAAAGAGCAAAAATGAATCAATTTCGCTCGAAGATAAAGGCATCAGAATACCTGACTTCAAAATGTATGACAAAGCATAGTAACTAAAACAGCGTGGTACTGGCATAAAAACATAACTTTCCAAACTTGCCAATTTTTAGGTCAAAGTGTTTGTTCTTTTCCTTTTTAGTTGAAAAAAATATATAAATGTATATATACACATATATGTGTATATGTATATATGTGTATATATGTATATATATGTGTATGTGTGTGTGTGTATATATATATATGTATATATATATTTGAGATCTTAACCCTGACTCAAATGCATAGTCTGCAAATATGTTCACCTGTTCTATATGTCATCTCTTCATTCTGTTGATTGTTTCCTTTGCTATGCAGAAGCTTTTTAGTTTGATGTATTTCCATTTGTGTATTTTTGCTTTTGTTGCCTGTGCTTTGTAAGCCTTATCAAAATGGCCTTTGCCTAGACCAATGCCATGAAGCATTCCCCACCCCATTTTTTGTTTCTAGTAATTTTATGATTTCAGTCTTACATTTAAGTCCTTAATCCATTCCATGTTGATTATTGTATATGGTGAGAGATAGGGGTTTAGTTTTATTCTTATGCATGTCAATATTGAGCTCTTTCCACATTATTTATCAGCCTGTTTTTTCCATTTTAAAAATCCTTTTATTTTCAGTTGATGTGTAATAATTATCCATATTTATGGGATACAGAATAAATCAGGGTAATTAGCACATCAATCACCTCAAACATTTGTCCTTTCTCCAACATGTGTTCTTTGTGCCTTAGTCAAAAATCAGTTGACTGTAAATGTATGGATTTAATTCTGAGTTTTCCATTCTGTTCTATTCGTGTATGTATCTATTTTTATGCCAGCACCATGCTGTTTTAGTTACTATAGCTTTGTAGTATGTTTTGAAGTTCAGTAGTGTGATGCCTTCATCTTTGCTCTTTTTATCCAAGATTGCTTTGGCTATTCAGGGTCTTTTCATACAAATTTTAAAATTATCATTATATTTCTGTGATGAATGCCATTGATATTTGATAGGGATTGAATTGCATCTGTAGATCACATTGAGTAGTATGGACATTTTAAGAATATTAATGCTTTCCATTCTTAAACGTGCAATATCTTTCCATTTATTTGTGTCCTCTCCCATTTATGTCACTAATGTTGTATAGTTTTCACTGTAGAGATCTTTCACCTTCTTGGTTAAATTTACTCCTACGTATTCTATTATTTTTGTAGTGATTATAAGTGGGATTGTTTTCTTCATTTATTTTTCAGATAAGTTGCTTTTAGCATTGTCTTAGTCCATTTAGTGTTGCTGTAACAGAAATACCTGAGGTTGGATCTTTATAAAGAAAAGAGATTTATTTAACTCACAGTTTTGTAGGCAGAGAAGTACAAGAAGCATGGCACCAGCATCTGCTCAACTTCCTATGAGGGCTTTCTGTGCTGTCTTATAACGTGGTAGACAAGGACAAAGGGGAAGTGAGCACTCTTGTGCGGTGAGCAGGTACATGCCAACCTACCCCAAAAGGCTGAGGGAACTGAGAGGTTAAAGAAAGGAAGACAAATGCAGTTTGTCAAAAAGAAACATTTAATAGGACTTAGAACAAAAGCCATGTCTCAGGTGTCTGTGAGATGGTGGGTCCCTGCATCTGCCCTCCAGAAAGCTTTCTTTGTATAGCAAGCTTTTGGGGTAAAAACTGTTTTACCCTTAAAGAGATGAAGCTGTTCATATTTCCAGATTTTCTTGCCAATTCTCACGACCACTGGGGAGGTTAGATAAGTATTTTTATAAGAGTCATCTATGCTACCGGCATTGTTTAAGATCTTACTGCAGAACACTTTCGCATGTGGGGGTCTAACATCAGTCATAATGGCATTTTTGCTTCAAGATGGCATCACTTTTGCCATGAAATAGGATATTTCCTACAGGCACATGCTAAAAGGACAACCCTCAGGGGTGTCCTGGCTTTATAACAGCCTACTCTTACAGTAAGTAATTTAGTTTTGCAAGGGTAAAAACTCACTCACTTTCATGAGCATGGCATGAGCCACCCATGAGGGTGCAGCCCTGAGGCCAGGTAATTTGTAAAGAAGAGGGATTTATTTTGCTTACAGTTTCTGCAGGCTGGGAAGTTCCAAATTGGGCAGCTACATCAGGTGATGGCCTCATGCTGCTTCAACTCATAGTAGAAAGTGGAAAGGGAGTGAAAATGTGGATAGAGATCACAGGACAAGAATGGAATCAACGGGGAAAAAAAAGAGGAAACCAGAGACTTAATTACCTGCTCTCCTGGGAAGAAATGTATTCCTACAAGAGAATGTATTCCTACAAGAGCAAAAACTCGCTCACTCTTGTGGGAAGACATTAATTTATTCATGAGGGATACACCTTCACGACTAAAACATCTCCCACTGGGCCCAACCTCCCAATTCCACCACATTGGGGATCAAATTTCAACGTAGGTTTTGGTGAGAACAAACCACAGCAAATTACCACCCTTTATTCTACGTTACCTCCTCCAGTTCTGTAATCCTTGGCCACAGTGATATTTTCCAAGTGAGTTTTAATCATGTCATTTCTACTGAAAATCCCCCAAAACATCTCACTGTTTACACAACAGAGAACAAAATTATGTTAATGTTCTGAGTCCTACATTGTTTGGCCTTGTCTTCAACTCCAGGATGACAGGACCACAGAATACCGCTGTTCTTACTTTGATCTCCAGTCACACTTGCCTCTTGTTGGTTCCTGAGTCATACTATCCTCCCTCCTTTGGCAGGCCCTGAACAGATGTTGCCCTCTGCCAGAATGTTCTCCCCTTCACTCTCACCTGGATAACTCCACACTACCCCTCAGATCTTGGAGAAGCTCCCTGTGACTTCTGTGTTAGGCCAATTTCCTTACTTTTAACCTTCATAATACCACATACCTTTTCTTCATAACAATTTCTCTTTTTATAATTGAACACTTACTGGTTTTAGTACTTAATTAATGACTGTATCATCTATAAGACAATAACCAAATGTTAGAGATTATATCTATTTTGCTCCAATGTATCCTCAGTGCCTGACACCTAGACATGTTTCAAATAAAAATGTGTTGAACAAATGAGTCCTTATTGTAGTTTCTGGCAAGTAGTTTATACCTGGAGTGCATTTTGCTTTGTGATTATTAGTCATGAATAGGAGTGAATGTTGTTTTCCTTGTTAAGCCCTAAATATGATAGTATTGTTCTCTCTGATTAAAGAAATTTAATCAGGAGTTTTCAGGTTCAGGAACTTTCAATTGTAACTATCTAATTTGTTTTTAGAAACATTCTCTCTTATCAAAGATACCTTATTAAACATATCAGTTTTGCATTTAGAAATTTCCACCTTCTTTTAACAGAGTCACTAATGAGGATGGCACTTCCAAAAGAGCTTGGTCCTAAAGTTCTTAATGACAGTGTGCCTTTTTGTAAGCTACTTAATGTCTTTGAACCTCATGTCTCTAATCAGTGAAACAGCTACCTCATTGGTTGCAAGCAAAATGCCTAATCCATAAAAATGTTAAGTTTCTTTCTCTTTTCTGCTTCTACATGCCTCTTACGATCTTTGTCTCAAGGGTTTTCAGCCTAATAGTACATGTTAAACGAATTTATAACCATTTGAACCAGACGTCTTCAAAATGAAATGCATGTGTACAGGATTCATAAAGATGATCCATTGGAGCTAAGAAGAAAATATTGGAACTTTAACCTAGGGCTAGGAACCATGGCCCACATCTGTAATCCCAGCACTTTGGAAGGCTGACACAGGAGGATTGCTTGAACCTGGGAGTTCAAGACCAGTCTGGACAACATAGCAAGATCCTGTCTCTACAAAAAAAAAAAAAAAAAATTAAAAATTAGCTAGGTGTGATGTTGCAAACCTCCAATCCCAGCTACTTAGGAGGCTGAGGTGGAAGGATCACTTGAGCCCAGGAATTTGAGGCTGATTGGATGACTGTACTCTAACCTGGGCAACACAGCAAGACTTTTTGTCAGAAAAAAAAAAAAAAAACCTTCAGCTTATAGGTATACTTGTTTTGTTGCACTTTGCTTTATTGCACTTCACAGATATTGCATTTTTTACAAATTGAAGGTTTGTGGCAACCCTGTGTCAAACAAGCCTGTTGGCACCATCTTTCTGACAGCATCTGCTCATTTCATGTTTCTGGCACATTTTGGTAATTCTTCCAAAGTTTCAAAGGTTTCATTATTATTATATCTGTTATAGTGATCTGTGATCAGTGATCTTTGATGTTCCTACTGAGATTGTTTTAGGGTGCCATGAACCATACTCATATAAGACAACAAACTTAATAAATAGTGTGTGTGTCCTGCCTGCTCCACTGACGAATCATTCTCCAGTCTCTGTCACCCTCCTCAGGCCTCCCTATTACCTAACACACAATAATATTGATATTAAGCCAAGTAGTAAACCTACCATGACCTCTACATGTTCAAGTGAAAGGAAGAGTCACAGGCCTCTCACTTTAAATCAAAAGCTAGAAATGATTCAACTTCATGAGGAAGGCATGTTGAAAGCTGAGATAGGCCAAAAGCTAGGCCTCTTCTGCCAAACAGTTAGCCAAGTTGTGAACACAAAGAAAAGGTTATTGAAAGATATTGAAAGTGCCAATCCAGTGAATACACAAATGATAAGAAAGCAAAACCATCTTATTGCTGATTTGGAGAAAGTTTTAGTGGTTTGGGTAAATGATCAAAACAGACACACCATTCCCTTAACCCAAAACAAAGCCCTAACTTTCTTCAATTCTCTGAAGGCTGAGAGGGGTGAGAAGGTAAAAAAGAAAAGTGTGAAGCTAACAGAGTTTGGCTCATGAAGTTTAAGAAATAAGTCACCTCCATAACATAAAAGTTTTAGGTGAAGCAACGAGTTCAGATGTAAAAGTCATAACAACTTATCCTGAAGATCTAGCTAAGATCATTAAAGAAGGTGGCTACACTAAACAACAGATCTTCTATGTAGACAAAATAGTTTTGTATTGAAAGGCAATACCATCTAGGACTTTCCTAGCTAGAGTGCAGAAGTCAATGCCTGGCTTCAAAGCTTTAGAGGACAGGTTGAATCTCTTGTTAGGGGCTAATACAGCTGGTAACTTCAAGTTTAAGCCAATGCTCATTTACCATTGTGAAAAATCCCCCAAATTTCCTAAATCTACTCTGCCTATGCTCTAAAAATGAAACAACAAAGTCTGAATGACCTGTTTACAGCATGGTTTACTGAATATTTTAAGACTAATGTTGAGACCTACTCCTCAGAAAAAATATTCCTTTCAAAATATTACTGATCATTGACAATGCATCTGGTCACCCAAGAGCTCTGACAGAATCGTACAAAGAAATGAGTGTTGTTTTCATGTCTGTGAACTCAACATTTTCTGCAGCCCATGGATCAAGGTGTAATTTTGGATTTCAAGACTCATTATTTAAAAAATAAATTTTATAAGGCTATAGCTGCCATAGATAGTGATTCCTCTGATGGATTTGGGCAAAGCAAATTGAAAACCTTCGGCAAAACCGTCATCATTCTAGATGACTTTAAGAATATTTGTGATTCATGCGAAGATATCAAAATATCAACATTAGCAGGAGATGGGAAGAAGTTGATTTCAACCTTCCTTGGATAACTGAGGGATTCAAGATTTCAGTGGAAGAAGTCACTGCAGATGGCATGGAAATAGCAAAAGAACTAGAATTAGAAGTGGAGCCTGAAGGTGTGTCTGAATTGCTACAATCTCATGACAAAACTTGAAGGGATGAGGAGTTGATTCTTATGGATAGACAAAGAATGTGGTTTCCCGTGGTTTCACTAATCTTAGTGAAGATACTGTGAACATTGTTGGAATGACCACAAAGGATTTAGAATATTACATGAACTTAGTTGATAAAGCAGCAGCAAGATTTAAGAGAACTGACTTCAATTCTGAAAGAAGATCTGTGGGTAAAATGCTATCAAACAGCACTGCATATTCAATATATTTCTAAAGAGGAAATATTTTATGAAAGAAAAAGTCAATTGATGGGACAAATGTATTGCTGCAGGTACCTAACTGTCAGCAACCACTATCCTAATCAGCCTAATCAGTCAGCAGCCATCAACATGAAGGCAAGACCCTCCACCAGCAAGATTGCAACTTGCTGAAGGCTCAGATAATTGTTAGCATTTTTTAGCAACAAAGTATTTTTAAATTAAGTTATGCACTTTTTTAGACACAATGCTATTGTACACTTACTAGACCCTAGTGTAGTATAGACATAACTTTTATATGCACTGGGAAACCAAAAATTTTGTGTGACTTGCTTTACTTTATTGTGGTGATATGAAACTGAACCCACAATGTTTTGAGGTATGCCTGTAATTATTTTTATTCATAAATGAAGACATATATAAAGCTTATTGTATAAATAATAAAGATTGATGCTGGTGGCCTCAGTTTGTGTTTAGTAAATTTAAAAATTTTGTGATTTAATTCCTACAAAGCCAACCTTCAAAAAATGAACAAGTTGCATAAAAGGATTTCTGCAAAATACTCTCTGGTTGAAGATAACTGTCAAAGTTAATACCTCAGTGCTTTGTCAGGCATGTATTGGGTAGATTGGTAAAAACAAGAGCATCCTAACCTAATCACACTGTTGCATACCACCTAAAGTTTATTTTTAAAAATAATTACATTTAATTATACCCTGAATGGTAAATATGGCTGTTTTTCCCCCACCTTGAGAAGGAAACTCATCCCATGGAGGTAGCATTTAATAGATAGGAATTTGGAATTGTTCTGTTGCAAATATGTTACCCATAAAGACCCTCATTGCTATTTACATTTTTAAAAATCTAGAAATCGTTTTTTAAGCAGTTCCTAAGAACAACCAGCTGAAGGAATACAGAAATTTAATGCAAAGCCTAATTTCAACAAAATCTTTGCCAAACTATGTATATATATATATTGAAAACTCTTTGTCTTGATTATTATTGAAGCCAATGGTGCACTTTTTTTCTATTTTATTTAGATGTTTTCTGGGTACTTTATTTAGCTGAAATGGTAATGTCAACTCTTAAAACCAAGTATTAAAATGCATTCTATTTGGAAAGAAACTTTGGATGCTGTAACAAAAAATATTGAAGCATTTACAGTGAGAAAGTTTTTGTACACTTTGCCAATAATTTTTTAATAAACATATTGTCCCATTTTTGAAGAATTATATTTTGTGTGTATCTTAACATATATGCAATATGTCAGCACAGTAGTATGTGAATATAATTTTAAATAAATAATTAAACATATACTGAAAGTACATGTTTCTTTTTTCTTTTATTTTTAATATAATAATTTTTAAAATTACTTGCTGGATACCTAACTTCATTTAAACTTTTTCCCCACACTCTGATTAGCTCTTCATATAACAATTTAAATTTCTTTTAACTTGATATAAATTAGTCTTCAGAAAAGTTTGGAGAGCCCTAGAAACAACATCTACAAAAAAACTCTTAATTATACAGCTTTGGGAATACACATTTCTCCTCTTCTTCCTTTTCTGCAACATATTCTTGAATTCATCAGCCTTATACCTTTGTTTTGTTCTATTTTATTCTTTCAGAACCATGTTTTCTTTCTTTTTCACTTCCTCACTAGGTTACTCCTTCCATCCTTTCTGGAAATGCCTCATTATCACTAAGTTTGAAAAGTGTTTTTACACCATTTCATCTTCTTCTCTAGCTGGAGACTGGCTCGTAGTCACAGAGCATATAATTGGCAAATCCCTCAGGCAGTGAGACAAACATAGCCCATATCTGCAGGTCACTGGAACAGGGCCCCTTGGTATCCATTCCTCTGAGAATCTAGTTGAACTCCCTTTTCTTCTTCACCTTCTGTGAAGGCTGCTCTTAAAATACTCTAATTTATTTTCTACCCCTCATCATGTAATCTCTGCATTAGTAAACCATACAAATTCACACAAATGTATCAAACTCAATCCCCTTAGGTAATTGCAGCACACACACTGAGATGCCAGGGATCTGTCAGAATCTCTCACTGCTGCTCTCTCTTATTTTGGGAGGTTTGTTTGCAGCTGGACTGCTAAGAAATTTGTGGGTTTTTTTCTGTTGTTGTTGTTGTTGTTCTTTTGAGACAGAGCCTCTCTCTGTCACCCAGGCTAGAGGGTAGTGGCACAATCTTGGATCACTGCAACCTCTGCCCCCAGGTTCAAGCGATTCTCCTACCTCAGCCTCTGGAGAGGCTGGTATTACAGGCACATGCCACCACACCTGGCTGATTTTTTGTATTTTTTTTTTTTTTTTTTAGTAGAGACAAGGTTTCACCATGTTGGCCAGGCTGGTCTCGAACTCCTGACCTCAGGTGATCCACCCACCTCAGCCTCCCAAAGTGCTGGGATTACAGGTGTGAGCCACTGTGCCCCAGCCAGAAATTTGTGTGTTTTTAAAACCTGTTGCAATAACATTTTATTGAGAAAAACTTGGTCTTTATATTTTGCCATTTTATCTATGATTTAAAAAGTTTGAATCACATACACACACACACACACAGAGACTGCTTTAACTAATATAATTTAAATTAAGTAAAAAGGAAGCAATAGGGAAAAAATGCCTCCTTTGTCTTTTTCTCCATCAGAATGTCATATTATTCAGCAGAAATGAGAAACAGATGTCCAAAAAATTGGAGGGTATGTTCTACCTGTGAATCTAAGACATGCAGAAGGGGTTACCAAGCCCTGCTTGTGGAAGATAAGTAAAAGGGCTGGGGCTTCAGCTACAGTCTGTAAAGGGACTCCAATATCAGAAATGAATAACATGTCAAAGCCTTGGGAGAAAAGAAGGGGTCCAGACGTTGTTGCTCATGCCTGTAATCCCAGCACTTTGGGAGGCCTGGATGGGAGGATTGCTTGAGGCCAAAAGTTCCAGACCAAAAAAAAAAAAGCAGACAGAGTTGAAAAACTGATTTTATTAATTTTACAGAATTAGTTTCTCAACTGGGCTCTCTTTAGGGTTTTTTCCCAATGTGCTATGATTTTGAAAGAGGTAAAAATGTTTCTGATATATCTTGCTACTGGAAAACAGGAGGGAAATGAAAATCCAATTATTAGACCTATTTATTGTTATAGTACCAAAACCCATTTTTAAAAAATCCATGTTCTAATGAAATGTTTTTTATATTTATAGAATTGGTTGCTGTCATGTTTACATAGCTTTCTATTAGCACATTTCCATAAACATTTATAGAAAAATCTATTTCCATGTAGAATACCTCAAAGTTATCAAAATGCAAAAAAGGTACATTTCCATTCACCTTGTAAGTCATCAGATAATGGCCACTGCTAGAGGTAGGATTTTGACACAGGAAAAACCAGAGGTTTGATCTCATAAAACAATCTTCCTCTTCCTATCTTTTCCATTCAGCTACTAACTTTAAAAATATGTTGAGGTTGTTGGCAGTTTATTATATCCAGAAGGAAACTTGACTTACTTTTTAGAGGTGAAAAATTCTGAAAGTGCAAAACACTCAAAATAGCACTTACCTTTAAGATAAGTGAAATAGATTCAAATTTAAAGCATAGTTACCCTTTTGATTAGTAACTTACAGTCTATAAAACATGTGGTGCTGCTTGGAGAAAAGGTGCCACATAAAAAACAACTATAGCTATGAGGAAGTGTGGTGTGAAAATTATAACTTAGTTTTAAATGTCTTTTAATGCCGATTTAACCATTTGAGGAAAAAAATCATGATTCTTTTCTTTTAAAAGCTTTCAAATAAACTAGAAAGTTTTTTCTTTTTTGTAACTTGCATTACAGAGTTGAAATAAGATAACTTTAAATCAGTGAACTGGTCTATATAAAGGCAGAAGAATAAGTTAAAACTTTATTTTTTATTTTCTCACTGTAATGTAAAATGTCATTAAATTAAATAAATAAAAATATAAAACTATTCCCTCATCAGTTATGTTCTAGGTTTATAAGACAATAGATCATGATTAACAGCTTTTCTATTATTAATGGAAAATGAAAGGGGGTAGAAAACACCGCATGTTCTCACTTATAAGTGGGAGCTGAACGACGAGAACACATGGACACAGCGGGGAACATCACACACTGGGACCTGTCAGGGGTGGGTGGGGAGAGGGAGAGCAAGGCTTCATACCCAGGTGATGGGTTGGTCTGTGCAGCAAACCACCATGGCACACCTCTACTTATGTAACAAACCTGCACATTCTGCATAAAATAAAAGTTGAAGAAAAGAGCAGGTTGAAGAGGAATTGGGAATTGGGACTACATTTAGATATGTGTCTCTTCTTTCTTTTTTTTCAGTCTAGTCTAAAAAAAATGTCCCCCAAAATCATTTTGCTGTGAAGCACTGTCTCAGATTAAGTGAAGAGAGAAGGGATTTAGCTTAGGTAAAGGAGATTTTGGGGTGTATAACTAGATTCTAAACAAAGCAATAACTCAATTGATACTGCCATAAATTTGGGAACAATTAGAAGCAAACATTAGGATGGTCTAGAGAGAGAAAGCATAGAACTGTGTTTGGAAGTTGTGGCGGTCATGCATGTGCTCAGGCCCAGAATCCCCACCCATTAAATTTATCAATTGGCTAACAGTTATTGAAAGCAGATGAGCACATGCATTCGTAATATGGTTCAGGTGTCTTAATGGTTAAGGAACGCTTGATGGGGCTGAGGGGTATTTAACGGCTACTGAGTCCTGAGGGTTTTTGAGTCACCCGTGTCAGCACAACCCCTTTCACTGGTTACATTTAGCCAAGTGATAGGTAAAGTTTCCTTAGTACTTCTAATGTAGGCTATGGCAGTTTAAAGAGTAGAATTCTCCTGCTTAATAAAATATAATTTATCCCATTTTGGATTGTAAAATATACTGCTTTTATTTCTTTCTTTTTAAGAAAATCTATATAATTTCAATTTGAACTTATTAACCTGATTTAAATCATCAGAGTAAAAAAATAGCTAACTTTATAATTGAAGTAAATATTATTTAAGTATAAGTTGGCTTAAGTTCTGCATAGAATGTCTGATGACCGGCAATTTATTACTGAAAGTGGGGGAGTGCTTAAGAAAAATATTAAAGGAATTAGTGGTAATATATTAATATATTAAGTAGACAACATAGGGAAGAGATTTACACGTAAAGAGATGCAATGGAGTCTTCTGGAAGCTCCACTGGTTTTCCCAGTGGAGGCTTTTGGTAATACTGGACATCTCTTTCTAGTGGAAATGTCAGATAGACAATGTCAGAAATGTGTGCCTCTCAGCAAAATAATATAGGATTTATTTCCATCTTTCAGCTGTGGGACCCGTCACTTTCTACAAGGAAGTAGCCTCCAATTAGAGAATATTGCTGGGTCTCAAATTCCTCAACTTCTGCTGTCTTCCTTTGGTTTATCCATTTACACCTAATTTATTTTCATATATGATTATTCTGCTTCATAGTTCAGGCTCTGGGTGTTATTTGGGATTCTTAAAAAACTTATATTTACCTTTCATTTGAATTTTCCTATGGACAAATAAAGTGATACATATTTTGTAAATAGCCTCAATATTTTGTTATACATGCACAGATTTTTCATAAAGTCACAGCATCAGATTGGATGGCATACTTGATAAAATTCAACAAAAGCAACCAGGTGTGATTCAATGTAGTTGGGGAAAGCAGGTGAAGATATTAGTAATGAAGAGCATTGGGTACACTTGGGTCAAATGAGAGATCCTTGCTTTGTGAAACAGGAAGTATTGCTAATATGTTAGGTACTACTTTTTTTAGGTTTAAATACGGCTTAAGAGATTTTTCAACGTACAACAACTTCACCAGCACTGCCGAAGCTGGTTTATTTATAGATGAGACTAGAAACAGGAAAGTTAGGTTAAACACAATTACAGTGGTACAGGAGAAATATGTTGAGAGCTGGAAATAATGTAGTGAGAATACAGAAGGGAGGCCAGATTTTAGGGATATTTAAGATATAGTATATAAGAATGTTTCATGGTATTTGGATTGAAGAATGAGAAGGTGGGATAAATTACATTATATTGTTTTAATAGACCATCCGATATTTATAATTACAAATTCTAAAATAAAATGTGAGACATTTATACAGCAAGTCAAGATCAAAAATAAAATTAAAAGGTTGTGTACAAACTATTACTAAAAATGTGTGTGCATGTGGGCAAAGGAACAACTAAAGAATGCCAAAACATTACATACTTTGTAAAGCTAATTTCTACCTCTCAATCACTCTGGCCCCTTCAGACACAGTATGAGCGGGATGCAGCCCCTCTGGCCATTGGCCATATGTCCATGTAGATTACCCTTGAAATCTCCATTGACTAGTGGCCATTTGCTCTTGAAACCAGTGGCTTTCTGCCTTCCAGGGCTTGGATTTTCAGTGAGGATACCTCTGGTATCATCTTCCTGTGGCATACATTCAGCCAATTCATGCTGGGTTCTTTCTGTTGTTCTGGTATGCTGTTAGGTGGCAAGGTCTTTTTACTATCAAGATATCTGGCCTCTTCTATCTTTCTCTCTGTAGTCTAGTGATAGTGGAGATGATGGAAGTAGAGGAGAAGGTGTGTATGTGTTTGTGTGGTTTATGTGACTGGAATGGAAGAAGTGTTCTTTCTCCTGCTTCTGGCAGAGATTATCTCTTTCTGTGGTCCTAACATATTTTTCTCTTACAGCAATGAGCATATAAGAGAGAAAAGGAAAAAGAAACCTGCCTAATATCTCAATATTCTGAAATTTCACTGCCAAATCCACATAAATCTTTGAGAGTAAGATATTTTTCTAAAAAATCATGTTTTCAATTTCAGCCCCTAGCACAGTACAAAAACAGTGTTGTTAAATAAATATCTTATTTGTGCTAAATAAATATCTTATTTCCCTCTTACAGCAATGAGCATAAGAGAGAGAAAAATAAAAAAGAAACAACACTCCCTAATATCTCAGTATTCTGAGATTTTGCTGCCAAATTCACATAAATCTTTGAGAGCAAGATATTTTTCTAAAAAATTACATTTTCAATTTCAGCCCCCAGCACAGTACAAAAACATAGTGTTGCTAAATAAATATCTCATTTGTCTAAAGATAAAATGAGGTCCTCCATTAAAAAATCTTAAGAAAGGATCCTCTATAACTAAGCCCTTAAAAATATCTCAGACTACTTTTTTGAAATAAGATGTTCTATTCAGAAGAAAATTATTAGCATAAAACTATTTCATTTAATGCTAGTTTTTGATGCATAGAGAGATCATTTAACAGAAAAACTAGCAAAGGAGGCAAACACATTTAATAGAGATTTTATGTCTTGGCGTATGGTCTCAGGATTGTAAATGTGAAATGTCATTGTAATCTGTTTAAAGGGAATTGAAAAAAAGAAATCATTTTTGTTAGATTTTGGAGTTTATAAGTATAAAAAGTAGGATCAACTCCCTTCGTGTTATAAAAGCTGGAACTTATGTTAAAATCTCCAGTGAGCATTATACATGTTATATTAGTCAGCTACTGCTTGCAGTAATGCTGCATGAAAATACAGACACCAGTGGTGAACTGCATTAAGGGTTTATTTATCTCATTGACATGTCTGTGGGTTAGATAGGGTGCCTTTGCCTCAGACTACGGGTTGAGCGGAGATCTGCTCTGTCAGTCTCCTCATTCTCCTTGGATCAGCAGCTACCTGAGAGAAACCCAGGACAAGCAGACTTTTGGAGAAAGCCCATCCCTGCCAGCAGATTTAAAACCTCTTCTTGCTTCAGGTCTGCTAGCATTCTATTTATTAATGCAAGTCAACAACTGAGCCCAGAGCTAATGGAGTGATCGAATATTATTCTCTCATGGAGAAAGGGGGAACCATGATAACAGAAGAGGGGAGAGGATGAAAGGAATAATCATTAGCTGATAACATGAACTCTAAATGTTTTTGCCCAAAACATTTCACTTGGAAGTTAAGATAACGCTAATGTCAAAGAAACATGTGAGCTTTTAACAAAATTACATTATGACTTGTAAGAATTATTTTATTCCAAAATCAACATAATATTTAATACACTATATAGATTTTAAATGTATATATACAATGTTTTAAAAGTTCAAAAATTAATATATAATGCATTTGATAATTTTCTCAACATATCTAGTTAAACTGTTGTGATGGTAAACCTCTAAAATGTAGTGGATTATATAAAAGAAAATTTATTAAATTATCACATAGCAGTCCAGGGTAATTGTCCCAAGTCAGCAGTATAATAGTATTCCACACAGTTATTAAGAAACCTGAGGTAATGGAGGCTCTGCCATCCTCCAGGTCATTGTGGTTTTCCCCATCCAACTTAGAAGGCCTAGGAATGGTCCACATCACTTAAACCTTCAATCCATAGAAACATCTAATAGCAATGCAGTCTAAGTGTGCACCTAGGGGGAAAAAGAGCAGGCTTAGTGAACAGCTTAGTAGTCTCTGCAAAAATTGCTAAAAGTCAATAAACTCAAATTATTTAAAAATGTTTGGCTGTTCTAGTTGGGAATATGGTAGAAAAACTTTTTAGCATGAATTGCTTTATATTGGGGTACATATAGTATTTGTCAAATATTGAATAAAATATAATTATGTTAAAGAAAAAAATGCTATCAACTAATTTCTTTGACAAGAATCATCTAAAATGTGAGAGGGACAAGGAAAAGTAACAAGCGACAAGGTTCCTATAGTTTTTACTTTTTCAGGCACATTGCCTTGAATATGATACATGATGGCAAATGTTTGTTGAATGGATTGTATTTCTTTAACAGAAACACAGTGACTTCATAACACATCACATCTTTTTTAAATAAAAAGAGCAAGTTTCACTTGATGGAGTTCTAAGCTTAGATTGCTATGGCAAAGTATTTTACCATGTAAAGAAACCTAAATCATTAGACAACCTTTCTTCCTTTTATTTCCTTTCATTTTCTTTTTTTAATCTTTAAAAAATTATGAAAACCAATGGCAGTTTATCTCAGGGCATTGAAAAATATACTCTTTAATTACTTACATTTCAATGATGTCTGATTACATGGGCCTTTTCTTTACAAAATCTGGGACATTTATGCTGTTTGTTTTGTGTAGGTTTGAATTTTGGTGGTGCAATATAATATTTGGTAATGACAAGATTTTGAATGACACCCTAGTTCTAAACAAATAGAATTAAAGTTTTTATATCTCATACACTTCAAAAGTTGTGTCCAGATTTAACTGACATAAATAAAATGGTATGTTTTCTAAAGCTGTGTAACTTATATCAAATTTCTATTCATAGCGAAGAAGCAGTGCTTCAGTTTCAAATATAAGAGGGCAAACATTTTTTTTCTAACTTAGTTGCTTTAATTTTACTGTGAAATAACAAGGTTTAAAACAATTTTTCCCAAATGTAGCCATTCTAAAATATTCAGTGTTAGCTATGCTTTTTCTCCTCTATTTTAAAATATTGTCGCATGTAAATTCTTTCAGAAATGAAAACGATATCCAACAATGCAAAAAAAGAGCAAAATGAGTCATGTTTTACACAGAAAGATTATAAATTTATTTTCAGCTTTAAAATAGATATGAAGTTGATATATAAATTTAATTATATAAGTATGTTCCTCTATGGAATTACCTTTGAATTAACTTCCAATATATTAAGTAGTAACTGAGCAAGAAGATTTTTAATGTAGCAAATATACTAGCATATTCGAACACATTCAAATGGGACAATTTGCAAAATGTTTATTTTCAGGTACTCCTTTTTAGATATTTCATATTTCATGCATGTTTTACCTGGAGGAAGGGAAAAAGGCACTATCTAAAACTATAAAGTGACTATTCAAAAGTGCAGCCTACTCCTAGAAAGATACTGACATTCCTCAAGAATTGTGCAGCCATAATGGAATCAACAACAGAATAATTTCCTGGTCACCACCCTCCTTCCTGCTTTGCCCTGAATGTGTCATATTCATTGCACCCTGTATTTATTCTCCATCATCAGGCAACTCTTATTGACTGAGTCATCACAACATGCCTCACTGTATAATAATATTTTTATACATTATTATATTTCAGTATATAATTATCTTTTAGTAACCTTAATTGGTCATGCAGTTCAATTAAGATTATATTATTATAGTAGGACGAACTTACTCTCCAAGAATGTACAATAATTCAATCAAATTGTTAGCCATTTTCTAGCCCCTTTCCTACATACTTAACACATTGTTGGAAGTATTTATTCATGTCCTTAACACACTAAGCCTAAGCCTGCCTTAAATATAATATAACACACACACACACACACGCGCACAAATTTGTCTTGTTCTTCTTCGCATCTCTGTTATTAAAACTCTCTCTAAGCCTCATTTTACTCATCTGTAAAACAAAAACTCCCAGCTTGATTTTTCTCATATAGTTCATACATTCATTCATAATATATTGCTAGAATATCTGTTTAGTTAGGATTAACATGTAGGAGGGAAGAAAAACAAATGCATATACTGAAAAAAGTCACAGAGAAAAGAAAAATTGCTTGATTGTGGTTTAGAATGGGCATAGTTTTCTAATTCAATTCTTCAACTATTTGAGTGCCCATTCTATGAAAATCTCCATGTTTCCTTCTTTTTTTTTCTTTTTTTTTTTACAATACTTTTCTTCTTTCCTAATTATATCACAATATATGCAGTGTTAGCCAGAAAATTTAGAATTATCCTAGACTTCACTTTCTCTCTTACCTTTTCTGTCTAGTTAGACTCTATTTAAAACACAATTCTCTTCTTGGTGTCTCATCTCCCTATCTACCCACCTTATCCTCATTACTCACAGTGTTTCAGTTGGACTGTCGATGAATTTCCTAATGGGGTTCCTCATCACCAGACTCTTTCAAGAATTATAAACACTGCCTACCACTCCTTATAAATCTTTGTTGGTGTTTTATCGTCTCTATGAAAAAAAAAAAATGTGTCCTCTTTAACGTGAGGACCTTAAAACATGGTTCCTATCTAGTTCCAGTGTACCTTTCTAGTATCATTTCTTGCCATTCTCTGCACTCGACATCTCTCTCCCATCCTTCACATTGTTGGGCGATATAAGATTCCAAACTTTTAAATTTCAGATCCCATTCACTGCTTGGAATAGTATCCACATCGCTTTGAGTACTAATTATCTGTATTCAGCTTTCACCTCTTATCCACATAGAGTTACCAGATCAACCAGTTTATGTACATTATCAGAAATTCACAATACCTGAGAAAGCCAGAGTGTGTTTCAGCTTATATCACATTTCTCTGGCAAACTGTTAACCTCCATGAAATATGTCTTGTTTGAAGAAGGTTTTTAAAAGAAAAATTTAAAAGTTTATTTCCTAACACTGCATCATTGGCAGCTGTTCAAGAACACAGTTTTGTTGCCCTTTTTGTTGTTTGGGTTGCATACCTGATACATAAATACTATAATAAAAAAATTGTCATTGCTAAAATAAAATGCAACTGAGAAAGAGCTGAGATGTGCTTGGATTGGAATATATTGCACAAGGATGCTACTTGATGCAATTCTTCTGGGTTTGCATGGAGAATGCTATTTTGACAGAGAAATTAAGTCATCATTTACTACACAATGATCCGAAGAAAAACGAACGTTAGATCTCTAAAATGCACGTTGCCGTAGGAAATGTTGATGGAATCAATGAATCACCTCCCTAACATGTATTTGCAACTTCAGCATAGATCATTAACCTAATGGATTATGTTTTGTAGTTGATGTATCTTTTTTTGTCTATGTACTAAAATGACATATGGAA
This sequence comes from Homo sapiens, assembly GCF_000001405.40. Taxonomy (NCBI): domain Eukaryota; kingdom Metazoa; phylum Chordata; class Mammalia; order Primates; family Hominidae; genus Homo; species Homo sapiens. The sequence goes on along the minus strand of NC_000001.11, from coordinate 192,268,747 downwards.
CTTTCCCATTTTAATGGTCACTTAACCTTCACCGTGTGAAAGGCTTAAGTGAATTTCAACATTTGTATTAAAATCCATACCATCTATCTCAGACACTAAGTAGCTAGAAGCTGCAGTTTGCTCCCTGACACAAATAGCAACCACTGTTGGCTGGTGTGGTAATGTTGAAGACTCCTTTGCCTTAACTTTAAGGGCACCTTTATTTTTGGAGAAATTAAAAATTAGAAAAGGACCAGACATGGAGGTTCATACCTAAAATGTCAAGCACTTTGAGGGGCCAGGGTGGGAAGATCGCTTGAGTCCAGGAGTTTGAGACCAGCCTGGGCAACATGGTGAAATCCCTTCTCTAAAACATAAAAAAATTAGCTAGGCATAGTGGCGCATGCCTGTGGTCCCAGCTACTTGGGAGGCTGAGGTGGGAGGATCACTTGAGCCTGAGAGTCATGACACTGTATCCCAGCCTGGGCAACAGAGATGGAACCCGTCTCGAAAAGAAAACGTTTGTTCTCAGCATCCTATATAGAATTTTGCATTTATTCTTTTTCTTTAAGTCCTACTTACTCCAATCTTAGAGAAACATTACAATAATGGTACTTATAGCAATATATTAAAAACTTATGTGCTACTTACCAAAAATGCATTTATATTTTTAAAAAAGATTGTAGTGAAAAGCTGGGTGTGGTGGCTCATGCCCATAATCTCAGCACTTTAGGAGGCTCAGGTGGGTGGATCACCTGAGATCAGGAGTTTGAGACTATCCTGCCCAACATGGTGAAACCTCATCTCTACTAAAAATATTTAAAAATTAGCCACGCGTGGTGGTGACTATCTGTAATCCTAGATACTCAGGAGGCTGAGGCAGGAGAATCACTTGAACCTGGGAGGTGGAGGTTGCAGTGAGCCAAGATTGCGCCACTGCACTCCAGCCTGGGCGACAAGAGTGAAACTCTGTCTCAAAAAAAAAAAAAAAAAAAAAAATTGTAGTGAAAGGATAATGGTTATATACAGATAAATGAATAATTAATATAACATTTTTATTTAGTATGCAAGTTATTTTAGGGAAAAACAGGTAATTAGTTAATTCAAAAAACATTTATAGATCACTTATTTTAATGCTAGGTATTTGCTGGGTTTTGAGGTTAAAAAAAAAAATTAAAAGAAGTCCCTTCACATCCAAGAGCTCAGAGACTAACAACATCTATAGGTAAATAATTATACAATTGAGAACTTACATGATGGAAGAAAGTATGGAGAGTAGAGATAACTCCTTTACCAAAACACAGGTCTTATACAGAATTAATCTAGCAGAAAGCCTGTACTAAATTGTAAATGATAAGAAGGAGAGTCAGAAATGGTGAATAATACAATAGAGTGACTTGGAGGTAGAGAACTGCAGTGCTAGGTGTAAGCTGAGAACAGAGGCACTGGAATCATGTTTCATATACAAGAAGTGATATTTGGGGTCCTCTTCTAAACCTTATTTCAAATATGTAGCTGATGATAGAGAACCCGACCTGGGATTGTGAATGGAAGAAAAGAACAGGAGGAAGAGCCTAAGAAGACATTGAAGAGAACTGCCCAGGCCTCTGCCAGAACAGCAGGTTTTATGGAAGGTGTTGATCCCAAATTCAACTCAGTATCTAGGTTGTTTTTAGAAAGGCTGCTCCACTCTAGAGTGGAAAATAGGTAGGATAGTTGTGGGGGTAGAGCATGAAGAAGAACCCATAAAATCAAATCAAGTGGACAACTGCTTATATAAGACTGACCCATCCCGGAGGACCTTGCAGATCTAGATGGCAGGACCTTCAATGGGGAAGTTCCACAAGCCTTTCCTTGAATTCACAAGCTTTTCTGCATTGGGTTTTATATCTGCACTCTGACAAATACGTGCTCACTGATACAGCTCTGAAAGATCAAGGAAGGAGGTCACAGCCCAGAGTACTTGGAAACAGCAGTATTGAAATCATTATCTGGGCTGATGAAGCCCAGTTCTGTCGAGACAGCTTCACTCAGACTTCCTAATGGAAGCTGAAGTTCAGTTTAAGTCAGCACTTCCACCAGAAACTTTTGGGGTTTTTAAAAAACTCTTTAGTAAAAAAAAAAAAAAAAAAAAAAAAATCTCTGTGACTTCGCCAAAATTTTTTTTGTCTGCTTGACTCAAAGAGGTTGATTTTTTTTTACTAATGGAGAAATTTTAAACAGAGAAAAATAGAAAAATTGAGCAAAGGAAAGGGAGGCACAGGGATTTTCAATTATTTTCTCATTTGTTTTAGTGCCATCATTACAAAGAAAATAAAACCATTAATCAAAAAGTGATGTTTATTTTTAAATATCCTTTCCAATCACCAAGACTATATGATATTTTCAAAGTGTGACATGCACTTTCATAACTCCTTACCTTTTTATTCCATTCTCTAAGCCTATTTTCATGTATATATATATATATATATATATATATATATATAAATGTATTCTTCAACACTCAACTGAAAAGACCGCTCATTTATTTGGCTTTCTCTGAGATGACTTATTCAGGCAGGTTTAAATGCACCCTAACATTGCCTGTAAATTTATTGTGCCACTTATTTTTAGTTTTATTATTATTATAATTAGATTTTTGCATTTCTCTTTTCTGTTGTAGATTAAACTACTTTAATAGCTTACATTTATTGAACTCTCACCAGGTGTATTGTTTCTTTTAATTCTTATGAGACTCCTACGTGGGAGATACTATTAATAGCCCCATTTTACAGATGATGAAAATGAGACACAGAAGGATTATATTCAAGGTCAGTCTAGTAGGTTGCTGAGCATGTTTCTAAACTCAAAAAGTCTAACCACAGAAACTATTGTATCCACTAAGCTCCAAATGACAGATTTTTTTTATAAAAATTAAAATTTACCTCTATGTAAGGACAGAAAAGCAAAAGACCAATGTTTTAGGTATAACATAGCAAAAGAGAGGACAATCTGCTAATGCTGAAATATAATCATGCATTTCCTCCATTGTTATCAAAATGCAGCAGCACTGTTAACTAGCCATCTGTATCAATGACACTTAGACACAGAACATGCTTTATGGTAATTTTTCTTCTGTACTTGCCTTTTGTCACTTTCCTTTAAAGAAGGTCACAAATATACTTTAAAAACAGTCTCAATGCAAGGAATATAACTTTTAGAAAATGAATTTCTTAATCAAAATATTTTCTGGGAATTTACATTAAATTCAAGGTATATTCATTTAAGGAAGCATCCTAATATGTGTCTTCTGAGACCTAAAATATGAGGTTTTTTTTCCCTAATTACCTCTATGTGGATGAAAAGAAGCTAATCTTTAGTTATTTTTAATTGCACTATTTTCTGGATTTTTTAACATTGCATTGTGCAGTATATCTTTTTATTGTATTATGTGTGTTGTTTCTGAGGAATGGATTTATTCTATTTCATTCATTTTTAATTTGTGCTCTGGAAGAAGTAACACACAGAAAAATGCTAGGCATTTTATAAGACATGTAAAGTGAATGTGAAGGTTAGTACTAAAAAATAAGGAAGATTAAAGACTAAAAAGTCTGTTTAATTCTATATAGAAACATCTACTTTCACTTGAAAGAGAAAAATGTTCCCCCAGAAGTAGCAGCTATTTGTAGAATAATGTCACCCTTATTGCCTGATGTTCTTAGTGTCAGAACTAAGGTATAGTTTTTTTCCATGGTGTTAGATGGTCATGATTAACACGTATATTTAGTAATTACCTTTAAGAAATACACATGGATTAGGAAATGGATTAAAAATGGATTATATTAGTGCAAAAGTTGCTTCTCTTTAAAAAGTTTGTAACTGAAGTTAAGGTTGTGGTCATCAAACAGCAACATAAGAAAGGCCTCTATGCTTCCACTTTTGATTGGGGTAACTGAAGAAAAAATAATTATATATCAAAAGAAGATCTCATATATACACACACACACACACACACACACACACACACACACATATATATATATATATAGAGAGAGAGAGAGACTATATAAAGCATTACATAATTTCTTTAATTTTTAATATTTCTGTTATTAATCTTCCTGTGAGTAAAGAAGGAAAACTGCTAAAGGTGAGAATATGCTCAGAATATTCTGAACCAAATACCAAGGTATTCAAACAAATCTACTAGAGTACACTTTTATGCTCAAGTCTCTAATTTGGTTATGTTATGGCTTGCCATTTTTGGTGCTGAAGATCAATTACTTTTCAGAAAAAATTAATACAGAAAATAATGTTTAATGATATACAAATATCTAGGGGCTATTAGATAGGATGAGAAAAGTATTGATTGAGATGAAGACAAAATAGAATTTGATATCAAACAGACATATATTAGGTATGAATAGTTTTGGTTTCAGAATTCTGACACTAAATTAGAGGCTGTATGTTTAAATTTAATGTTGAACAAGACACAAATAAGAATGGATTTTATGGAAAAAGAAATGAGTCATGATGTTTTGTCAGCAATATATTGCTTGTAGGAAAAAAATAGACAAATGATTAAAAAAGGGGATCTGTAATGTGCTTCTGAAAATTGCTATTGCAATAAGCAATTGAAGACATGAAATGGCAATTATAGAGTTTACATTTCAAGTTAAATTCCTACATTATCTGTGTTATTTTAAATGTAGAATCTATTATGTCTTCAGAACACTTAAAAATGTTCTGTGACACCAGTAAGTACTCTTCTATTTCCTAAGCTTAGAACTTGGCTTCTGTAACATTAATAGCTCTATTTGTCCTCTTACTCCTCACGGTGAATTATTGTATTTTTATTTTGACATAAAATGTATCCTGTTACATGTTAAACTTTGGTTCCTCTTGAGTGTGTTCTTCCCTTTTTCTTTATCACATAAAATTGACTAGCAATGTCCTGTGAAATACAATCACTCTATGAACATTTATCCAAAGGGCAACTCTGAATTGTTGCAACTTACATTCATTTTTCCAGACCTCCTGTACTAGCAAAGGCCACACTTTCTCTCCAGAACTGCCAATTCTTCCTGGAGTCAACTGGTCTCACTGGTGCTGGTCACATGAAACGTGAATCACTCCCTCCCACATAGATTCTCTTTGTTTTCTTGATGTCTATCCAATTCACATTTTTAAAAATGCAGTTGGTAAAACACGTCAGACTTAATCTAGCCCTCTATTCCTGGAGTAATGGTTCATTAATAGATACATACACATTTAGACACACAAATCACTTATATCCAGGCAGCCTACAGAACTGTATCTAGAGGTTCATCTCAGTCATTTCTTCCTGTCTTTGTGTATATAATTTTTAGTAAATGATGTAGGTGTTTGCATATATCTCAGCACTTTACAACAACACAGTAAGAATGCAAAATCATAGCTCAAGTTATTTTTCATATTCTTGTTGCTTATATCTATTATCCTTAACACCAATCATAGGGATCTATATTCTATTAGAACGAGTGACCTAATGTTTGAGAGATAAGCAGAACAGGCAGATAGCAGTGAAAGAAGGAGGAAGTAAATAAAATTTGAGAGTGGGCATGGCAAAGTTTTGATTTTAAATTTTTAAAAATATTTTTACAATGCACACATAAGTTTAAGATGTCTTGTGAAAGTCCACATTGAATTCTGGAAGCACTTGGGAATTCATACATACAAATTATTCTGATAACACCTGGATCAAACTGGTTTGCCCATCACAATTATAACACAGGCATATATTACTGTAACATATTTTTATTTCCCCATCTTAGATGTTTTATATAGATCATTAAAACTAATCTCAAATTGTTAATTCAACAAATGACATTTCTTGTTGGTTTTGGTAGCATACATAGTTCTCAATTTGCAAATAGTCAACATTTGAAAACCAACAGTATTTTTTCCTTTTTTTATTTGCCTGTTTATTATTTTCTATCTCTATACCTGACTCCCATTCTTCCCAAACACAGGCAACCATTTTTGTTGTGCTTATTGCATATTTAGTATTTAATTATGTTCTTTCTCAAATGATTATTTTGTCTGCAGACATTTAGTATACATAACTGGAATTATATGACAAAATATAGTTTCCATTTTAAAATAATCATTTTATTTCTGAGGTCATTCACATTCCTAGGTTTTTGTCTGTTATGTTGCTTCCAACTGCCTTACAGTACTCATGGCCTCTACCAGAATTTGCCCATCTATTCGCCCCATCTCTGTCAACAATTCTTCAGTGAACAGCTGTTTGCATGTCCTGCAGACTACCTTTGTGTTGTGTTATTAGGAGGAGAATTGTGTATATTTTATTTAACTAAATAAACCAAGACTGTTCTCCAGTGTGATCTAATCAATTTTATCTTTCCATAGCAAGGAATGAGGGATTCTACATCCTCTACACTTAGAATTATACAACTTTCTAAAAGAAGTAATACAGCATTATTGCTTTAATTAGCATTTCTTTGACCACTATACTTTTGAGCACCTCATCTTCTATTTGTCAATGTTTTTGGTTCTCTGCTGGAAAGTGACTGATGTGTCCTTTATTTTTGTTTTGAGATTGCAGGCTTTTTCTGATTGATTTCCAGGTTTATTTTTATACTTTTTGCTTCTTGGCTTGTGTTTTGAAATTTTTACTTAATAAGTGATTTTTTTGGTCATAATAATTTTTCAACATTTCTTCTACTGAACATTTCTTCTAAATTTGGCTTTTAATCCACCACCTAGGCTTCCCATTTTTTGTGTGGTCTTAGGTAGGCATCAAGTTTTATATTCATCCATGTAGTGAACCAGTTTTCCCACACCAAACAATTCTTTTCTTCTAGATTTGTAGTGTACCCTGTTCATAGAGTGTTTGTATATATATATGTCTGTGAACTAACCATTTTATTCTATTGGTCCATTAGTCTTTTTTTGCACCAATGGCTTTTCAATAAGTCAGAGCAGGCTATGTTATGCTGTGGTAATAAACAACTTGAAAACATCAGTGGCTTAGAACGAGAGGCTTACTTTTCACTCATGCTGCAGATCCACTGAAGGTCTGCAAGATACTCCAATTGTCTTAGTAACTCAGGAACAGTGGTTTTTACTGAAACCTGAAACTGTGTGAGGCCATTCACAAGCCAGAGGGAAGAACAGACTAGAAGTTTTCATGCTGATAATTAAATGAATGCTTCAGTCCAGAAGTGACATATCTAAGTTTGGCTTATAATTTATCATCCAAAACAAAAATCCAGGAAGTTACATCCTAACATGTGATCACAGCATGAAAATAAATGTTCAGTAAACAGCATTAATGACTGCTATAACTTAATATAATAATAGCATCTCTTTCTTTCTTGTAGGTTAACTTATATGTTTGAATACATTTTTATGCCATATACATTTTAAACTAAATCACTCAAAAACACAATTAAAGTTTTGAATTGGATTTCTTGGAATTTATAAATTGATTTAGGTTGGTTTACTAAACCAACAAAGTGTCTTTGAGATTGATCAATATTGCTAGATTTAGCTGTAGTTCTTTAAGGCTGCATATTATTCCCTTGTGTGAGGAATTTACAATACAGTCATCATTTGACTTTGGATGAATATTCGATGGGTTATTTCTTGTTTGAAGCTATTACAGCTAATACTGGAATTGACACTAGTACATGCCTTTTGGTGCCCATGTGCATGAATTTTGGTTAGGAACATATCTAGGAGTAGAATTGTTTCAAGCCCAGTTTAGTCAATCAAAGGCAGTTGTCTTCTTCTTACAATTTCAGGGAAAGGATTATGACTAATCCATCTCTGGTCAGGATTGTAGATTTTGTCCAATTATTTATAGTTAGGATGTCGATTATCCTGCCCACTTAATGGACTACGGAAAGTTACATTTCAATGAATAGGCACAGGCATGGAAAGAAATTGAATTATATTTTCACTGTACTGACCACAAATTAACCTAATAACCTTTTCTTCTTTAGAATTCCTTATTCTAGTTGACCATACGACCATCAAAACAGTCCTATAATCATAAACTTTATCCAATAGAATCCTTTATCCAGTAGGATGGCTTATCCAATAGGATGCTTTCCCTTACAATGTGTAACGAATCAATTATATTTTCTGAACCACTGCCCCCTATCTCATCTCTATTTCTTTTCCCTCCAGCCATTTGTTTAATTCAGATATTTGACTCAAAATTGTGGTAGCCTCCTATGTCATGCTTACCCTTCAATTTTCTTGAAATTATGTTTTCTATAATTTCACCTGATATATTTTGGATGTCTTCTTCAAATCTCATGTTGAGAAGTAACCCCCAGTGTTGGTGCTAGGGCCTGTTGGGCAGTGATTGGATTCACTGGGGTAGATTTCTCATGAATCGTTTAACACCATCCCCTTAGTGCTGTCCTAGCAATAGTGAGTGAGTTCTCATGAGACATGGTTGTTTAAAAAAGTATGTCACCTTGCCCTTTTCTCTCTTATCACCTTCTGCCATGAGTAAGTTTCCTGAGGCCCTCACCAGAAGCAGATGCCAGCACCATGCTTCCTGTAAAGCCTACAAAACTGTAAGCCAATTAAACATCTTATCTTATAAATTACTCAGCCTTAGGTATTTCTTTATAACAGTACAAAAATGGCCTAACAAACACACCACTCAAATAATATTTTAATTAATCTTTCTAATATTCATATCCTGGCATGCTTAAAACTCTCCCATGGATATATAATTACAGGTTAGAGTCCAATTTTTTTAACATTATAATGTAAGAATTTCTATAATATAACTCATACCTCTTCATCTCATTTGGGTCTGCTTACCTCCCTCAGTTTAAACCTGCCTGCATTTACTTCCTCCTCTTTCCCCTTTCCTCTATGTGTTTGTATTGTGCAATGTGGTTATTCCACTAAAATGCTTGTACAGTGTTTCATTTAGTTGTTTTCATATTTGTTTTATGTTTACATGTTCAATTCCTTAATGGCTGGGTTTGGACTTGTTTATTCATCTTTTTATCTCCAACACCTAGTACAGTGCTTGATAATAAAAGGCCTTAGCTGAATTAATGAAATCTGGGACTAAAACTAAAAGGTTATTTCTGCTATTCAACAACTAATATTATTTCTTATCAAGTTTTCTAAATTACATATTTTTAATATACCTCCTCTTCATTCTCTCGCCCGCAAACATGGGACTACTAAGTCCAGTTGTTCTTGCTTTCTTAAACTCTTAATGAGGTCAGTTAATTGTCTCTGAATATTTCTAAATTGCTCTCCAAACTGGTTTCTCTGATTACAGTCTTACCTTCAATCCCCTCTGTCTCCAATTCCAATTCATCACTTATACTATTGCTAATGTAATTATCCTAAATTCAATACTGATATTTTCAATAACCAGCTCAAAGTTTATTACTTGCTCTCATTGCCATTAGGCATGCTACAGCATATGAAACCTTTCTCCTACCTGCTGTTCTCTCTCTTAAATTCCTCTCCAGCTGCAGTATAATCCTGTGTTTACCCAAATGGGTAAGATCAATATATGTTTATGTGTCTACGTTCAGTAGCTTTTTTTCTGTTTGTGTCCTCTCATTTGCCACCCCGTGAATTGTTTAGGATTCTCTTTATACTCTATTACCTTAATCAGATTTTTATTAAAGCAATCATGATACTTATTACCCTTATTAGTTTATAAATATACACAAACCTATATTAAGTGTCTTGAAGATATTAAATGATATTTGTCTTATGTCACCTAGCATGTAGTTAGCTTTCAGCAAATCTTTTATTGCATTTATGAATGCATGAAAGAATAAATCATGATCTTATGTGACTGGCAATCTTCACTTACAGATTTCTATAATGTTCAGTTCTGGGGACTTAGAACTATTGAGACTTAAGAATTATTCTAATTTTCAAGGCCCTGTTGAAATTTTAGAATACATTGAGAGTTTTATCTGCCTAGATGAAACTTCTGTAATTGATAAGTTGGTCTAACTGTGTAGTAGAAAGGCTTTAGCATAGAATTGGAGAAAGATTCTATGGCCATCATGGCAAGGGTTAAGGAGAACCCTTGTGTTAGGTACAGTATCAGGTGTTCTTCCTGTAAATCACTTGGGATTTGACATATAGACAATTCAGACATTTCTCATCTAGTACTAATGCACATGTAAAAATAGTGTGGTCATATATCTACATAAAAGCATAGATACACTATTTTTCACATAATGTAGTTGGAAAAGTAAACATTTCTAAGATATGTTTCAAATTAGTTTCACTGGATGACCCTAAAGCCAGGTGTTCTAGCAGCACTGTAGATATTTTGCATTTAGGAAAATACAATATAAACGAACTGTTAAATATAGCTTTTTCCAAAGGATACAAGACCCTTAGGAGCCATTGATTTGCAAATTACTTAGTGACATAATCATAACATTTCTAACATTTAGAAATCAATTATGCAAAGGATATAACCCTATAGTTATTTCCCTGTCTTGTGTGAGGTATGGAGATAATTTTTCTATTATATGCAATATACAACTTAAAAATACAGTCCAAGCAACCCATTAGTATATAGTTTTGTTAAAGACTCTTTTTAAGAATAATTTTGAGGGTTTCTCTGTATCTCTTATTAGAATTGCAGTGACCTCATGATGAGAAAAATGGCTAAAAATCTGAGAGGAAAAAAAAGAATTTAAAGTGACTATGACATATTTGAGAAATAATAGTAATATTTTGTGTTACTTTCATTCTGCAATATAGTGCTTGATCTGACTGCTAAAAACAGAACAAAGGAAATTCATTTAAATTTGAGCAAGAGTAATTTGTATCAAGCATAAGAAAATTCTTTCTGGTTCAAAGAGAAGTTCGACATAAAAGTGGATTTTGATGAAAGCTGTGTTTTCCCATTCAATGAAAATAATTAAATACGCACAAACTATGATTTGGACCAAAAAGTTGAGATACAGATAATGGAGTAAAATTGATGACCAAACTGTAAATGACTGTTTCTTCATTCTCCCGCTTTAAGTATCAATGTTTTATCTTCATTATATACGTAAAAGAATTGACTGTAGGCAAGTAGTGAATATATATTATGTCTATATGCAATGATTATTTTCAGAAAATCATTGTAGTTGCAGTTTATTATAAACTAGAACTGTTTGGTGAAGTCATTATGTAAAATCTCCACACTACCCACATGATAGGGACAAACTAATCAGTCTTCTCTCTTGCGAAGTGTATTAGTCCATTTTGCATTGCTACAAATAATACTTAAACTGGATATATACATGTGTGTATATATACACATATATGTATGTGTGTATATACATATATACATATACATGTACATGTGTCTATACATATACACATATACATATACATGTGTATATGCATATACATATTTATGTGTGTGTATATATACACACACATATATATGTGTATGTGTATATATATATACACACACATATGTATATATATACACACACACACATATGTATATATCCAGAAAAGAATATATATATGTGTATATATATATATGGAAAGAGAGAGAGAGTTTATTATTTGGCTCACGGTTCTGCAGGCTGTACAAGCCTGGCAGCAGCAGCTGCTCAGTTTCTGATAAGGCTTCAGGAAGCTTTTACTCATGATGGAAGGCAAAGTGGGAGCAGGTGTGTAATGTGGCAAGTGAGGCAAAAATGTGAGGCATTCCACAGACCTACTCTCCAGTAAAACCAGCAAAGCTGGAGAAAACTGTTCTAGAAATAACTATATTCTCTTAAAATAGTTCTAAGAGCATAGAGCAAATTAAGAAATGTTTATTCAAGACAATCCACTAAATGTGATAAGAGCAGCAACGATCTGTGGCATTGGAATAAACATCCACTTCCTCCTTTCACCCTTCCTGCTCAGCCTGATGGAAGCTCCACTTGACAGGGTGTGGCTGAAAAGATGGGCTTCTCTCTATCTCCCAATTATGGGTTAGCATACCTCATCGGAAGGAACAGGCCAACAGCATTTATTATGCCCTCTAACTTCCGAGTTGAAAAAGTTAAATTCCTCGTAAGTATTCTCTGGAAGTTAGGGGCTCCCTTCCTACACCAATCGCCTACCTGTAGAATGGAGGTTCTGTCCTAGGCATAATAGGATGAGAATCCTGTGTTCCTGAGTATATTCATCTCAACTTTCTTATAGGGAAGAAGTTCCATCCCGACGAGGCAATCCACGAAAGACAAAAAATTTTGCTACACCAACTTTCGAGAGCAGTGGCTTAGAATTTTGATCAGGGGGTAAAACAATCACTAAAAAATAGCTCTGAATCTTTCCCTAGAGCTGACTTTATTTGAAACAGAGTGTGAGGAAGTTCAAGCCTAAGGGTGCTCTCAAATGTTCTTTAAGAACAACAAGTTAAATTATACGCCAGATAGTTCAACAGATAAAAAGAAAATTAGTCAGTTGAGAAGAGATCTCCTGGGATCAGGACAAACCTTAAATTGGTGTCAAAAATTACCCCTGCATAAATGTAGTTGAATCATACTGCTGAGAAATTTGTTATCAGACACTATTGAAAATAATAAAGCGACCAGCCAGTAAACAGCAGAGACTAACTTTTAGCTGTGATGCCAAATGAGGTAGAGAGTTTAACAGAGAAATTAAGAAAAGAAAGATCAAAAGACATCCCTGCTACTACTACTGTAATCACAGATGGCCATATACAAGCCCAATAATATGCCCTATAAGGAGTGACACCAAAGGCTTCATAGCATGGGAGAAATAGACCTCACTGAAAGATGATAACTAAGTCACAAAACAAATACTAGTAAACAACCACAAACCCAGAGAGGAGAGAGGCAAATCAGTATTCAGAATTGCTGCAATATATGACTTAAACTGTACAGTTTTCAACAAAAAATTATGAGACAAGCAAAAAGACAGAAAATTGTGAAACATATAGGAAAAAGCTGGCTACAGAAACTATGAGAAGGATGATATGACAAATTCAACAGAAGAAGATTTCAAAATAACCACTCTTAACATGTTCAGAGGACTAATGGAACTATGCTTAGAGAAAGAAGGGTATGAAGGCAATGTCTTATTAAAAAATAATATAAATTAGGAACTAGAAAATTTTAAAAAAGCAAGAACTAAGTTGAAATTATGAGTTTAAAAGTACAATACATGAAATAAGAAAATTCATCAAAGGGTTAAACAGAAGATGTGAATTGACGAGAGAAAGAATTAGTGAACTTGAAAATAGATCAAGAGATTATGCAATCTAAATAACAGAGGGAAAATAAAATTAACCGACCTTAAGAGAAATGTGAGACTCATTAAATGAATTAATACATGCATAATGGAAATACTCGAAGAAAAATAGGAACAAAGAGCAAAAAAATTTTTTAAAAACTCCTAACATTTCCCAGATTTGCTGAAAAACATTTTACATATCCAAGAATTTCAACAAACTCCAAGTAGGATATATGCAAAGAGATCCACAGTTAGAAATATGAGTAAAAAGGCTCAAAGTCAAAACAAAGAGAAAATGTTAAAGGCATCAAGAGAAAAACAACTTACATAGTGGACCACAATAAAATTTACAGTTGAGTCATTATAAGAAACAATGGCCAGAATGCAGTGAGATGGCAGTCAAACTTCATAAAAAATATTCTCAACCAAGGATCTTATATCTAGAAAAACTATCTTTCCAAATTCAGGCCAAACCAAAGACATTCCTAGATAAATAAAACTGGGATAATTAATGTCTAACAAATCCACTTTAAAAATTACTATTTTTTGAAAACTGAAAGCAAATAAACCCATATGCAAATTCATATCTACTCAAAAGCCAGACCATCAGTATAGATAATTATGTAATTGCAAAAGATAATATAAATACATATTTCCTTTTTCATCTCTCAGCTGATATAAAAAAATTGTATATAACAGTATATATATACTTTGTTTTCAGCTTATAACATGTAGAAATATAATATATTTAATAAAAGCAACACCAAGTGGGTGGGTGGGAGCAAAGTTGTATTGGAGTAGAAAAATGATACCATATGGTAACTTGAATCCATAGGAAAAAATAAGAAGAACAGAAATGATATAGAAAACATACAGCATGGAATACTATGCAGCCATATAAAAGGATGAATTCATGTCCTTTGCAGGGACATGAATGAAGCTGGGAACCATCATTCTCAGCAAACTAACACAGGAACAGAAAACCAAACACCACATATTCTCACTCATAAGTGGGAGGTGAACAATGAGAACACATAGACACAGGGAGGGGAACATCACAAACTGGGGCCTGTCAGTGTGTGGGAGGCTAGGGGAGGGATAGCATTAGGAGAAATACCTAATGTAGATGACGGGTTGATGGGTGCAATAAACTACCATGGCACGTGTATATCTATGTAACAAACCTGCATGTTCTGTACATGTATCCCAGAACTTAAAGTATAATTTAAAAAAATCTATAGACTGAATGTGGTGGCTCATGCCTGTAATCCCAGCTGTCGGGGAGGCTAAGGTAGGTGAATCACTGTGCCCAGGAGTTCAAGACCAGCCTGGCAACATGTTAAAACCAAATCTCTACAAAAATACAAAAATTAGCCTGGCATGGTGGCACGTGCCTGTGGTCCCAGCTACTCAGGAGGCTGAAGTGGGGGGACTGCTTGAGCCCATGAGGCAGAGGTTGCCGTTAGTCAAGGTTGTGCCACTGCACTGTGTGCACTCACTCTGTTGCACAGCTTGGGCAACAGAGTGAGACTTTGTCTCAAGGGGAAAAAAAAAAAAACAACTAAAGAGGAATGGGAAAACAAAAATACTTGAGACATATGGAAAGCAAAAAGTAAAAGAACTAAATATGTAGTTGCTCTTTTTCAGCTTTTAACATATACAGTAATTATGTAAAGTAATAACTATAACAATGTATTATTAGATTTGTAACATTATAAATGCAATATGTACAACAATAATGGCACAAAAAGAGGGATGAGAGAATAGAGCTACATAAAAATATTGTTTCTATATCTCACTGGAATTAAGTTAGTATAAATCTGAAGTAAAATCAGATAACATACATATTGTAAATTCTAAAGCAACCACTAAAAAGGCAACTCAAAACTATCAAGTGAATAAATAATTAGAAAACTTAAAATGTTTGACTAGAAAATATTCCCTTAATGCAAAAGAAACAAGTAAAGAGGGATGGGGAACAAAAATACATGAGACATATGGAAAACAAAAAGTAAAATGGCAGGCATAAGTCCAACTATATCATTAATGATATTAGATGTGAATAGAATAAACAATCATAAGGCAGAAGATATTAGACTGGATTTAGAAAACATTATTCATATATGCTATCTACAAGAGATGCCCTAAAGATTCAAAGATACGAATAGATTCAAAGCAAAAGGACAGAAAGCAATACATTTTGCAAACAGCAGCCCTAAGAAAGATGGAGTGGCTACAGTAATATCAGGAAAAAAAAAAAAAAAAGAAACACAACTAGACTTTAAAACAAAAAAAAAGTTACTAAAGATAAAGAGGAGTAGAAGTGCCAATTCATGAGTAAGCTATAACAGTTATAAGCATATATGCACCTAAAAACAAAGCTGCAAAATATGGACAGCAACAAGTGCAAAAAAATAGACAATTTAATAATAATAGTGGAAATTTAATGCTATACTTTCAATAATGGACAGAACAACTAGGCAGAAAATCCACCAGGAAATAGAAGACTTGAGCAACACTACACACGTACTAGATCTAACGGACATTTCTAGAACACTCCGCCCATGATGGTGAAATACACATTCTTCTCAAGTGTACATGAAAAATTCCCCACCATATGTTAGGCCATAAACAAGTTTCAATAATTAAAAGTACTAAAATCATACAAAGTATGTTCTCTCATTATAATGTAGTAAAACTGGAGAATATTAACAGAAAGAAATTTAAGAAAACTCTAATATATGGAAACTATATAACACACTATTAAATAACCAATGGGTCAAAGAAGATATCAAAAGAGGAATTAGAAAATATTTTGAGCTGAGTGAAAATGAAAACACTATGAATTAAAATTAATAAAATGCAGGCAAGGTAGTGCTTAGAGAAAAATGTATAGCTGTAAATAACTACATCAAAAAGGAAAACAGGGTGTGGGGCCAAGATGGCCAACTAGAAACAGTGGCATTCGGAGGCTCCCATCAAAAAGAACCATAATTAGCATGTGAATCCTTCACTGGCAACCAAGGTATCTGGGTTCTCTCATCAGAACTGACTAGGCGGCTGGAGTGATCCACAGAGAGGAAGGAAGAACAGAGTGGTGTTGCGGCCCACCTGAGAGCCACATGGGGCAGGGGAACCCCCACCCCTCCAGCCAAAGGAGGTGGTGAGTGAGTGTGCTACCCAGCTGAGGAAACCATGCTTTTTCCATGGATCTGTGCAACTCATGGATTGGAAGATCCCACTCATGAACCCACACCACTGGTGCCTAGGATCTCAACCCCAGAGCTGCAAAGATTCTCAACAGCCTCTTAGATGAAAGCTGCTTAAGTCTGCCTAGCTCCTGGGTGAGGGGCAACCAGCACCACAGCTGCTGCTGCCTGCTGTGGAAGCCCTTTGAGCCCCTTGTGTGAGGGCAGCAGCCAGCACTGGGACTCACAACTGCCTAACAGGCTAAGCTCCCTGGGTAGGGGAAGGGCGGCATCCATCTCTATAGCTCCAGTCTGTGCTTTTCCCCTGCTGCAGCCAGGGAGGCTGGACAGCTTGGTCCCAAGAGGTGTCCCCCACAGCCCAACACACCAGCTGTGACAGACTGCAGCCAGAGTGCCTCTCCAGAACTGACCCTGACCCATTATTCCTCACTGGGTGGGGCTTCCCAGCAGGAACTCCAACAACTTCAGCTAGGGTCTCAGGGACAGAACCTGGATTTCCCTGAGCCTGAGCCCACAGGGGGAGGGGTGGCCACAGTATCTGTGGACAGGCGGACTTAGCCTTTCCTCCTGGTAGTTCTGAGAAACCTGGGCAGCCCAGGCAAGTAGCTTTTCCCCCAGCAAACCACACCCCCTCCACCAAGGGACAATCAAAGTGCTTCATGAAACTGGTCCTGTTCCCTGTGCCACCCAACTGGGTGAGATCCTCCAACTGGGGTTGTCAGACACCCTGTACAAGAGCAATCCTACTGGCATCAGGTTGGTGCCCCTCGAGGTCAGAGATCCCAGAAGAAGGAGCAGGCATGCATCTTTGCTGTTCTCCAGTCTCTTTGAGTGAAATCTCCAGGCGAGGGAGCAAACCAGATGAATAGGGCCTGAAGTGAACCCCTAGCAAACTGTAGCAGCCCTACGGAAGAGGGACTTGACCAATGAAGAAAAACAAACAAACAGAAAGCAACAACAACAATAAAATAGTCCCCACAAAAACCACATCCACGGTTCAGCAGCCTCAAAGATCAAAACTAGACAAACTCATGAAGATGAGAAAGAATCAACAACAACAACAACAATGCTGAAAACCCAAAAGGCCAGAGTGCCCCTTCTCCTCCTAATGATCACAACACCTCTCCAGCAAGGGTGCAGAACTGGACAGAGGATGAGATGGACGAATTGACAGAAGTAGGCTTCAGAAAATGGGTAATAAAAAACACCACTGAGCTAAAGGACCATGTTCTAACCCAATGCAAAGAAGCTAAGAACCTTGATAAAAGGTTAAAGGAGCTGCTAACTAGAATAATCAGTTTAGAGAGGAACATAAATGACCTAAAGGAGCTGAAAAACACAGCACGAGAACTTTGTGAAGCATACACAATTATCAATAGCCAAATCGACCAAGCAAAAGAAAGGATATCAGAGTTTGAAGACCACCTTGCTGAAATAAGGCATGCAGATAAGATTAGAGAAAAAAGAATGAAAAGGAATGAACAAAGCCTCCAAGAAATATGGGACTTTGTAAAAAAAAACAAAAACAAATCTATAATTCACTGGAGTACCTGAAGGAGACAGGGAGAACAGAAACAAGCTGGAAAACACACTTCAGGACATTAACCAGGAGAACTTCCCCAACCTAGCAAGGCAGGCCAACATGCACATTTAGGAAATACAGAGAACACCAATAAGATACTCCATGAGAAGCTCAACCCCAAGACACATAATCGTCAGATTCTCCAAGGTTGAAATGAAGGAAAAAATATTAGGGGCAGCCAGAGAGAAAGGTCAGGTCACCTACAAAGGGAAGCTGATCAGACTCACAGTGGACCTCTCAACAGAAACTCCACAAGCCAGAAGATATTGAGGGCCAATATTCAACATTCTTTTTTTTTTTCCAGCAAAAAGAGGAGCTTTATTTTCAGGCTCATATAACTGGGGAGAAGGTCTTCTCCAGCAACTGCCCTACCCGTAGACCCCTCAGTCTTCCATTTATGGGGTTTTGGCTAAGACTTGATAAATGGTGCTATACAGGTCACTTAGAGTATAGGCATGGAACAATACATATTTGCATTGTTTTGTTTTTTAAAGGCATTCAGATTACTTGCAGACAATAGCCACCTAGCATGTGAGGACAATTATCCTGAAATCACACTGCACCAATTAACAACACAGGTCCCAGAAAAGGGCTTGAAACAGTTGGTCAGTTCTGGAACTATTGAATCCCTTAAATATCTCTCTAGAATTCTTATCTGCATGGTATTAATTTGTTTAGCAGAGCTTTCTTCACAGGCAGATAAAAAGATTTTACACATAATGTCTGAATGACTCTGGGTTCTTAGTGGGATCTGATTCAGTAAGATATTCATTGGTGTACATGTTCTTTCAGGTATTTTTCATGTAGGTTCTTTACAAACTTGCAGAATTCATTCCACGGAAGGCAGGTTCTGCATTAGGCTTAATTCTAAGAAATTTGAACTTCCTGTGTTTATAAGTAAACACTGGGAATTTGAGATGACAGGGCTCTTTGCCAGTCTCCTGATGAATGACTTTGAGAAGGTGAAAGGATCCAAATATAAGATAAGGCCAGGAGAACTGGATTGTGTTTTCAAGTTGCCTACACTTTGTCCATTTGTGACATTTAACTGTAAAGTTTATTCACAGTTAAGTAAGTAATCAACAGCTCACAGTAACTTGTTGGTCCTGGATTTGAAATGTTCAATTAAGAAAATAAAGTCTTGTCAGATTTTAATGTCTCCTCTTTCATTCTTAATGCAGTTTCAAAAGAACAGAATTTTTTCTTTGAGCTATAAACTTTATTTATTTGTATTTTTTTCAGAAACTTTAAGAGCAAATCCTTTATTTGCCATTTTATTTCATTTTTTATTATATTTTAAGTTCTAGGGTACATGTGCACAACTTGCAGCTTTGTTACATATGTATACATGTGCCATGTTGGTGTGCTGCACCCATTAACTCGTCATTTACATTAGGTATATCTCCTAGTGCTATCTCTCCCCCCTCCCCCCACCCCACGACAGGCCCCGGTGTGTGATGCTCCCCACCCTGTGTCCAAGTGTTCTCATTGTTCAATTCCTACCTATGAGTGAGAGCATGTGGTGTTTGGTTTTCTGTCCTTGCGATAGTTTGCTGAGAATGATCATTTCCAGCTTCATCCATGTCCCTACAAAGGACATGAACTCATCCTTTTCTATGGCTGCATAGTATTCCGTGGTGTATGTGTGCCACATTTTCTTAATCCAGTCCATCATTGAGGGACATTTGGGTTGGCTCCAAGTCTTTGCTATTGTGAATAGTGCTGCAATAAACATATGTGTGAATGTGTCTTTATAGCAGCATGATTTATACTCCTTTCAACATTCTTAAAGAAAAGCATTGTGAACCCAGAATTTCATATCCAGCCAAACTAAGCTTCATAAGCAAAGGAGAAATAAAATCCTTTTCATACAAGCAAATGCTGAGGGATTTTGTTACTACCAGGCCTGCCCTGCAAGAGCCTCTGAAAGAAGTACTAAATATGGAAAGGAAAACCTGGTACAGCCACTGCAAAAGCACACCAAAATATAAAGACCAATGACACCATGAAGAAACTGCATCCACTAGTGTGCAAAATAACCAGATAGCATCATGATGACAGGAAAAAATTCACAAATAACAATACTAATCTTAAATGTAAATGGGCTAAATGCTTCAATTAAAAGACACAGACTGGCAAATTGGATAAAGGGTCAAGACCCTTTGGTGTGCTATATTCAGGAGACCCATCTCATGAGCAAAGACACACATAGGCTCAAAATAAAGGGATGGAGGAAAATTTACCAAGAAAATGGAAAGCAAAAAAAAAAAAGCAGGCGTTTCAATCCTAGTCTCTGACAAAACAGACTTTAAACCAACAAAGATCAAAAAAGGCAAAGAAGGTATTAAATAATGGTAAAGAAAACAAGAAGAGCTAACTATCCTAAATATATATGCACCCAATACAGGAGCACCCAGATTCATAAAACAAGTTCTTAGAGACCTACAAAGAGACTTAGACTCTCACACAATAATAATGGGAGATTTTAACACCCCACTGTCAACATTTGACAGATCAATGAGACAGAAAATCAACAAGGATTTTCAGGACTAGAACTCAGCTCTGGAGTGGACCTAATAGACATACACAGAACTCTCCACCACAAATCAACAGAATATACATTCTTCTCAGTGCCATATGATGCTTATTCTAAAATCAATCATATGATTGGAAGTAAAACACTCCTCAGAAAATGCAAAAGAACTGAAATTGTAATAAACAGTCTATCAGGCCCCAGTGCAATCTAATTGGAACTCAGGATTAAGAAACTCACTCAACCACTTTAAAAACAAGTGATGCATCTCTGAATCTCAAGTTTTCTGTTGGAACATAGCCATCCAAAAAAATGTTTATGGCTTCTCTTACACTAAAAGGCATAGTGACAACTCCATAGGCGCTTGGTACACCATATAAACAGCAGATGAAGTCGGAGAGATAGTCTAATACACTTAGATCATGTTCCACCACAATGATATATCTATCTGGATTTATTAGAGATCGTATAGTAATAGCAGGCTTTAAACGCTGCTTGACATCTAGGTAACCAGAAGCCTCATCAAACATGAAAATATCAGCTTTCTGTATGCAAATGACAGCACAAGCAAATCTCTGCAACTCTCCTCCTGAAAGATCTTCAACATTTCGTTCTTTCAGGTGGATTAAATCAAGCTGCTGACATACAACTGCCTGTGTCTTTGTTTCATCTTTTCGGTCCAAAATAGATCCCACTGTCCCCTTGCAAATGAAGAGAAGTTAAAAAGATGTGTATGTATAAATATCCAGGAATGAAGAAAAAAATGGGAGAGTTTGAGCTAGCAATTGTAGCTAGAGAGTTTACAGATTCTGAAATTATGGTGATGCTGGGGGAAAATGGAACAGGTAAAACGACATTTATCAGAATGCTTGCTGGAAGACTTAAACCTGAGGAAGGAGGAGAAGTACCAGTTCTAAATGTCAGTTATAAGCCACAGAAAATTAGTCGCAAATCAACTGGAAGTGTTCGCCAGTTACTACATGAAAAGATAAGAGATGCTTATACTCACCCACAATTTGTGACCGATGTAATGAAGCCTCTGCAAATTGAAAACATCACTGATCAAGAGGTGCAGACATTATCTGGTGGTGAACTACAGTGAGTAGCTTTAGCCCTTTGTTTGGGCAAACCTGCTGATGTCTATTTAATTGATGAACCATCTGCATGTTTGGATTCTGAGCAAAGACTGATGGCAGCTCGAGTTGTCAAACGTTTCATACTCCAAGAAAAAAGACAGCCTTTGTTGTGGAACATGACTTCATCATGGCCACCTATCTAGCGGATCGCGTCATCGTTTTTGATGGTGTTCCATCTAAGAACACAGTTGCAAACAGTCCTCAAACCCTTTTGGCTGGCATGAATAAATTTTTATCTCAGCTTGAAATTACATTCAGAAGAGATCCAAACAACTATAGGCCACGAATAAACAAACTTAATTCAATTAAGGATGTAGAACAAAAGAAGAGTGGAAACCACTTTTTCTTGGATGATTAGACTGACTCTGAGAATATTGATAAGCCATATATTAAGAGGAGTATTTACTAGAATTTTGTGTCATATAAAACTTGAATCAGGATTTTATGCCCCACATACTCTGGAACTTGAAGTATAATTTACTTAATATAACATAAAAGCCAGTTGGGTTCTAAATTGTAGTTGAAACACAGAAAATGCCACTTTTCTGTTCCTGAAGAGGCCCTTTTGTGCATAATATTCTAAAATGAAGACATTTCAAGCCATACAAATTACCTCCAAGTTTTCATGATGTATGGGAAGATTTTCAGTAGGTGTATTATATTCACGGTACCAAATGCTGACCAGTGTTGCTCCATTTTTTAAATCTTGAAAAGGGTTTCTGTACTTACCTGGTTTGCCAAGTATGCCAGTGTGATGAAACTGCCCTTATTTTAAAAGCCAGTCAAAGATTCCACTGATTGACATTTGATAAATAAACATCAGGATTATGTTTAAAAAAAAAAAAAAGAAACTCACTCAAAACCACACAATTACATGTAAATTGAACAACCTGCTCCTGAATGACTCCTGGGTAAATAATGAAATTAAGGCAGAAATCAAGAAGTTCTTTGAAAACAATGAGAACAAGGAGAAAACATACTGGAATCTCTGGGACACAGCTAAAGCAGTGTTAAGAGGGACATTTATAGCACTACATTCCCACATCAGAAAGGTAGAAATAATTCAAATCAGCACGCTAACATCACAATTAAGAGAGCTAGAGATGCAAGAGCAAACTAATCCAAAAGCTATCGGAAGACAAGGAACCACTAAGATCAGAGTACAATGGAAGGAGATAGAGACATGAAAAACCCTCCAAAAAGTCATTGAATCCGGGAGCTGTTTTTTAGAAAAAATTAACAAAATAGATAGACTGCTAGCTAGACTAATAAAGAAGAAAAGAGAGAAAAATCAAATAGACACAATAACAAATGATAAAGGGAATATCACCTCTGACCCCACAGAAAGGCAAACTACTATCAGAAAATACTACAAATGTCTCTACACAAATAAGCTAGAAAATCTAGAAGAAATTGATAAATTCCTGCACACATACACCCTCCCAAGACTAAACAAAAGAAGTTGAATCCCTGAATACACCAATAACAAGTTCTGAAATTGAGGCAGTAATTAATAGCCTACCAACCAAAAAACGTCCAGGAGCAGATGGATTAACAGCTGAATTCTACCAGAGGTACAAAGAGGAGCTGGTACCATTCCTTCTGAAACTATTCCAAACAATTGAAAAGAGGCACTCCTCCCTAACTCATTTTATGAAGCCAGCATCATTCTGATACCAAAGCCTGGTAGAGAAACAACAAAAAAAGAAACCTTCAGGCCAATATCCCTGATGAACATCGACACAAAAATCCTCAATAAAATAATGGCAAACCAAGTCCAGCAGCACATCAAAAAACTTATCCACCATGATCAAATCGACTTCATCCCTGGGATGCAAGGCTGGTTCTACATATGCAAATCAGTAAATGTAATCCATCACATTAAACAGAACCAAAGACAAAAACCACATGATTATCTCAACAGATGCAGAAAAGGCCTTTGACAAAATTCAACATAACTTCATGTTAAAAACTCTCAATAAACTAGGTGTTGATGGAACATATCTCAAAATAATAAGATTTATGACAAACCCATAGTCAATATTATATTGAATGGGCAAAAGCTGGAAGCATTCCTTTTGAAAACCAGAACAAGACAAAGATGCCCTCTCTCACCACTCATTTTCAAATTGTATTGGAAGTTCTGGCCAGGACAATTATTGTTTTACCTAAAATATTGTTACTTTGAAAAAAAACCCACTTTAATTATTGAGAGTGGTTGTGTTAATCAGGGTCAATTGAGTTATGGGATAAGAAAACTATTGGCAATCTACTGCTATATAACTAATCACCCCAGAATTTAGTGATGTAAAACAACAATCTGTTATTTTCCTCATGAGATGCATTTTAGGTAAGAGTCACAGAGGATATTTTGTCTCTAATTCATGGGATATCATTTACAGTGGATTGAGAGTGAAAAAGTCTTTCAGGATGATTTACTTGCATGGCAGACAAATTGTTGCTGGCTTTTATTTGGGAGACTGGGTCTTAAGTTTATTTTCTTCTGTCATTTATACATTATGCTTTGTCTTCTGCTCACCATAGTTACTTAATTCAAAGAAAAAGTGTAAATTATCACAAGAGGAGAAAGCAGAAGTCCATAGCATTTTAAAAATTTAACCTCAAGAGTTACACATCATAACTTTTGTCATACTGCATTATTAAAGCAGTCACAAAATCCTATGTCTTCCTACATTCAAGGGGGGAGGATGTAAATACTACCCCTGAATAGAAGTATTGATGCCATATTGTAAGCAGAGTGTGTGGGATGGGAGATATTATTGAGGACTTTTTATTTTTTGGGGAATGCAAGAAGAATTTTCGTTTTTAATCTTTCATAATTGACCTTTAGGCACAACAATCCACATTGTTCTTACCTAAGAAATTCATGTATCTTTTCTTCTAATAACCAAGTTATATCTCATTAGGTCATCAGTTCAAAGCCTAGACTCTCTTTACAAAACTCAGGTCCATGTTTAGATTAGCATTATCAGGTATAGTTCTGTAGATACAGCTTGTTGAATATTATTATTCTCCATTTGAAGCACTGTGAACAAATGATACCAAGTTATCCTCCTACATTCCTAACATATAACGTAGACAGGCACAGGACAACCACAATAGACACTCCCACTGATAAAAGGGAAAGATGAGAAGCACATAGCAGTGACTAGTTCATAAGAGTTCTGAAATCTAGGTTGGCTTTATATTGCTACTGTGAGAATTACTTCCTATGGCTATTATCTCTAACTCTTGAGATCTTGAATTCACTACTGAGTCATTCTTTCTTTTCAATAAAAAGGGCTTCTTTTGTAACTGAGTATTCTTTTTAAACTGATATTTACTTGTAAATGTCTGGGGGTTAAAAACATTTTTTAATTTTTTTCTCTATTTCCTTTTTTTCAAGCTGGCAACAATTTTACCATTACAATTCTCTTAATAGTTTAGTATGTTTTCCATGAATCTTATTAGATTTAACCCATTAAATGAAAGCCACATCCAATATTTTTTATATTAAATATTTAATACTTAGTACATATTAAATATTATTTATTTAATATATTAAATAATATTTAATATGTACTAAGTATTAAATATTTAATATAACTTTTACATTATCTTTAACTTAGGCTCCCTGTGAGATTCTCTGAAGCCTTATTGTTTAACAGAGATAAATTTTAAGGAATATTTTTAAGGTCTTTAGGAGCCCTTTAACTATCAGGAGGGTAACATGAAGCACCAAAGATCTTTAAAACAGATATTAAAACATCTCGCCCTATAAATTTGGTCTTTTGCCAGAATTCATTTCCTAATTTTAGAATTGTTTGCTATCTGCAAAGGCTAAAAATAAGGAAGAATTTCAGTTTTTAACCCACCAAGCCTCAGTTCCACTATATTTCACAACTTATTGTTTAGCTCATCTCTTTTCTTTTACATTTTATCCTAGGCAGTGGGAATACAGTTGGCACTTTCAATGTTCTTCCTGGAAATTTATTTTCCCAATACCAAAATCTGTGCCTACTACCTATTACCTATTACTGTTTAACAAAGCACCCAAACTGAGTGGCTTAAACAATAACAAACTTTTTTTTCCCTTCTCATGATTCTTCAATTTGGGAGGGCTTAATGTAGATGGCTCTTTACGTATAATTTTTATGTGAAGTCAGCTAGGGTGACTCAATAGAGATTGTAGGACATACTTTAAAAAAGCTGGCTCACTGACCTGGCTACAAGTTAGCACTGGCTCTCAACTGGGAGCTTACATAGGGCTTTAGGCAAAGACCTTAGTTCCTCTCCATGTAGCCTTCTGCATAATATGCTTGGGCTTCATCACAGTGCAGGGCAGTTCTGGGTGACCGTGAACTGACCAAGTTCTGCCCCTTTTTTGCTTGTAGTTTTCAAGAATAGCTGTAAAATGTGATGGGAATGCAACATTCTGAGATAAGGAGGTACTGGCTATAACAACTTGAGCATTATTCCAGTGCCCCCTAGAAATAGGACATCCTTCAGTGTTTTAGCCTATTGTGTCATGTGACACCTGAGGTAGAAAATCCGGGGCAGGCTGCTTTCCAGGGTCCCTCAGCTGCAATGCAAGGGGGACATGTGCAGATATGGCCTCCCCAGGCAGCTTTCCTGAGCCTTGAAGGAATGGCTCACAATCAGTCCTAGGCTTGTGTTGTCCCTTGCTGCCTATGTGTAAAAATAATAAACCTGCTTCAGGTAACTTGTGTGTGTGGGTGTTCTGTCTCACTGAACTTAGACAAGTTGCTAACCAGTCCACAGTGAATCTGCATCATGGACTGCATAGTGTGTGCTTGAAGAGTGAGCATTCCAAAAAAGCAAGGTGGAAATATAAGGCAACCTAAAGATATGCCTCAGAAATCATATAGCATCAACACAATCACAGTCTATTGCTTGGGGCTGTCATAAATGCTTTCCCAGATTCAATAGCCTAGGAAGAGTAATAGATCCCAGAACTTTGGGAGGAGTGTCATTGTCAAAGTCATATTGGAAGAAGATCATGTAGTATGAGAAATATTTTTATGGTTATCTTTAGAAAATACAATCTGCCACAGGAAATAAGAGAAATTAAAACTTCAATAGTAGAGGAAAGAACTCAGAAGTGAAGCTCTGAAAGTGGGAATTAGATGGTCACAGTTGTCATTGACCAGTCAATCTGAGAAGCCAAGTATGTGTCTTCACGGATTTAGGACGACCTGTGGGAAGCTAATGTTGTTACACTACTGAACATTTGATGGTGGGCTTTCCTATGTTCTTGGTCAATAGGCTAGCAGTCCAGGATAAGAGCTGTCTGAAGAACAGAGGAGAGTGAGGACAAGCTGGAACATGCAGGCAGCCCTGAGTCTGTTTGTCACTCTATCTAACCATGATGACCTTCAGACAGTAATATCATCTGCTTTTCTTCCATCTCAAAAGACTTCCACAGTTTACTCTTATAAATTCTGAGAAATATAGTTTTATCTTAACAAATGTGCCACTGTACAGTGAACCACACTGACAATTCACTGGGCAGAATATAATACAAGTGAAGCTGTCAATTCCAAATAAGGCTCTGAGAAAATTTTCTTCTCATACTGCCCTAGCTAAGCAGGGTTGGGTAGGTCTGAGGATATTGAGACAGAAGAATTATTAATTGTTGATATAAATAATGTTCTGTGAGTTTTATTCAGAGATGACAGCTATAAAAAATAACCCAATACATATTTAAAAGGTAACAGATAAATACTCTTTTTAAGCCTGTATTATTTGACGTAAACATGTAGAGCACCTCTCTTTTCTTAATGTTGTTAAATGCGCTTACGTAACATTTCACATTTTTTAGATTTGAGCTTAGCTTTGGAATCCCTAAGAACATTGATGAACTCCATTAGAAAGAGATCACAAGTTAATGTTTGTGTGTAAAGATTCTCAGGTTATTATTTAGTTTAAAGATGTGTTAAATTTTTTATAAATGGATTTTTAATGCTTATTAATGAAACGTAATATTTAAAGTCATTTTTTGGCAATACAAACTAAGTTATCTAATTTATTGGGGTTACTTCTTTTGATTTTTGTTTCAATATTGAGATGTAAAATCTCAGAGTTTGAAAAAATTTAACTTAATGCATTTTGCTTGATTATTGCACAAATAAAAATTTTTGATTGTTCAGTATATCAACAAGTATTTTTGGCCCCTTATTTTGTGACCAGTATGCATCAAAGTATGCAGAGATAAAAGGCATGGAATTTGTCTTGAAATAACTAACATTATTTTCAAGGAGAAAAATTAGACACAAGTGAGAAAGAGAATCAGACAGTGACTAACAGGTTATTATTAAATGCTAATGTATATAGTACAGACATTAGTGCAATAACAATTTTAAGAATATATTTGTGTATTAATTTAGAAGGCTTTCTGCAAGAGAGATAGGTCTGGGGTTTGAAGATCAGATAAGATTTGGAGAGGTGAAAAGGTTGGAGAAATACATTCCTTGAATGATAAAAGTAATCAATGGTTTGGACAACTAAATGGTGAATATAGTCTTTTTCTTTTAAGATTCTGAAATCTATGTAGCAGTGTGCCAGTAAGGTTATGAAAGCCACCCCCATGCTTTTGAGAGGGTAACCAAAATTGTTCACGACTTCTTATAAGTCCTGAGAAACTAATACGGGAGGAGATGGCAATGCATAACACTGATAATTTTTAAACAAATTTATGGGACTTATTTCCTGTTAAAATTCTTTTTGTAAGCCTATATACACAAACCCCAATTATAATCTGTGAGTAGATAATTGAAGCTTTTGACTTCTTTTATTGAAGATAAGTTTGCTAGTTTTCAATAACATCACAATAGTCTCAGCACTGCATAATTATACTAAGCCTTAGCATTTAAAGCACTTTATGTAATATAATTTTACTACAGAACAAATTAATGTTTAAAAGTATTTTCCAACAAGTATATTAAATATATTAGGATGCAGTACTATGTAGAAAGAGCAGGGGTAATGTGACCATCAAGACTCATTTTTTGTTTAATGTTCTGGTTCTCTTCAAATTACATCTACTCACAATTTGAATTACCTTGGTTGTTTTCCTGAGCTACTTGAACTAGTAAGCCATTAAACAAATTTTCTTTTATTCAAGGAGAAGCACTTATTTCTAATATCTGTGCTGAGGTTTCCAGTTTTTAATATATTCTTCTTGGGGGTTGTCTTAAACAATACATTAAGCTAATAATCATATTAATGATTTGTTCTCCCTTCTGCTTTTCAGACATGTGGCAGGCAAGTTAATCTTCAGTGGAATATGCAAATAGGATTTCTGAATTTGGCATGCAAATGAATTTGAGAGGTAAATGTAAAAGTTAACTTTACTAAGAAAATCAGTGCCTGCAAAAGCTTTCATATTTTGGGATTTGTGTGTTGAATCCATATCAGTTGCATTTAAGAAACACTATTCAATTCAGACTTTCATTTATTTATTTATTTTTAGTGCTTAAATATCTGTCTTGAATCTGGGTCTCTAAAAAGACACAGTATTTTCAAAGAGCCTTCAAAATACTTCCAATAGTGATGAAATAAATTTACGAGTTTTACCTTTTTGCTGCCGGATTGTGAGAGAAGTGAGGAGAATTTTATGAAAAAAAAATCCTAGATTAGCATTCTTTCTTTATTAGCTAACTTTCAAGGAAAATTGCCCTTTTTAGGACCTTAGTCATAACCATTTGAATTATTAATGAAACCTCTTGTCAAATCAAAATAGACATTTAAAAAATATTTATTAATGGATTTGCTCCCATAGCAACTACAAAGAAAGAAAGCATTCTCTTTAATACTAATTATAATAGTTTTTGAAGTTTAAAACTGTCAGACAATTTTAAAGGTTAGTTTTACCGATAATAAGTTCTTAAACAGTAATTATTCATTCTACCAATGTAATGCAATTACCCACAAAACAAATAAATTTTTCTTTGACTTCTCAGAGATAAAAATGGGGATGGCATAAACCTTTGATGACATTATGCTAAATGTAGCCTGTAAAATCAATTTTATTGACTGCATACCTGGTGTTACAGAGTTGGATTTTCTGAAAAGCAAATTCTGAAATGGAGATTGATATTTAGGGATTTTATTAAGAAGAATTTTTGGGATGGAGGCTTGTGGAAGGGAGAATAAGAAGTGGAAATAGGCAGATGTTCATTCCGTGACTTTTTCCCAATAAAGACCTTCATGACCCTTCACAAGGACCACAGAACTGAGATTCAGATGTGTATTAAGTTGGGTTGAGGGGTCCAGGCCTTCTCTACTCTCATACTGATCAATCATTAAGTGTAGAATGCCTGTGGACGGAGGTGTGACCTTAGAGAGGCAATTTTTTCATTTAGGGCAATCCTCAAGGAGTTCTGACAGTGAGAACTGTGTTTTGGCAGGACTTCCAGCAGATGGGGGAATATTCACTTCATTCTGCAGGACCTGCAAGGTATATTAACTTCTCCACCACAATTTTCCTTCTTACAGCTTCTGGGAGCATCTCTTCCAAGATTCTGGTAAGCCTTTCTTCCTGGGCGAAACTTAGCAGAGGAAGGTAAGTAGGACAAACCATGACCCCCACTATTGTGGCTGGATTTGATGCTTATTCTTTCCACCTTCTACAACCATTTTGATCCCCCTCACTCAACATAATCCCTGCTAGTCACAATGATTTATTGGTGTCACAACACAGACTTTCATCTTTGAGGGATCTGAGTCCTTGGTCTCAAGGTTCCTCTCACTTGGGATTGTTCTTGTCCATTTACCATCTCATTTGGGAAAGGGAGTGATGCATAGAGGTAGAGAAGAACATTTCATAGGTGCCAAAGTATTCCTTCCTACTATTCTTGTGTATCACAGCTCTACCACCTCCTGGTCAGGGTCAAATATACATGTTAAGTTGATGACTCCCTTTCTTCCTGCTGAACGCTTGGCATAAGGAACCCCAAATGCCCAGGTGTAGCCATGAGATATAGTTCAGTGGGATTCTGATTGTGTCTCCTGGGAAAAAGAGTTTACCCCTTTTTGAACTATGGCCTTTAAACTGATGGAGTCTGTATTTGTGGGCACAGGGAACACAAATTTCCTAAATAGGTCACTGGAATTGATGACTGCTCAAACTGATTTTTCTCTTTCCCAGTTACTATAGGGTTTATGGAATTTCTCTCTCAACAAACAACATTTCTGTGTTCTCTGTTACTCAATCTGGATACACTCCTTTTAAATCTCCCTCCTTTCTTTTTCCTCTTTCTAACTTATTCTCTTCACCAGGGAAACATTTTAAATTATAATTTGCCTTCTACTTGCTACAGGCCAGTAATTCCGGCCATTTTGTGTTTCTACAAAACATCACATATGTCACTATTTTTGGTGCTTTTACTTATTGGAGTATTCTACTGTTCAGGTCACCACATGATTATTTATTCCTTCTCTAATCTAATCTTATGCCCGGAAACGTCACCTCATTGAGACTTCTTTGGACATCACATACTAAAAGAACATTCAACATCTAGTCATTATTTGTTATATATTCTTCATTTTCCTCTTAAAAGTGGTTAATGTATTTGCTTGTTTATTATAATGCCCTTTTTATTGTTGTTTTTATATTGAGGCAGTGATCCTCCTACCTCAATTTTTGACTTTTTGTAGAGGTCTCACCATGTTACCTAGGCTTGTCTCAAACTCCTGGACTCAAGCCATCCTCCTGCCTTGGCCTCCCAAAGTGCTACCATTAGAGGCATGAGCCACTACACCCATCTAATTTTCCTTTTTCTAGACTGCAAAGTCCATGAGGGAAATAAACTTTTCTGACTTGCTCATGATGGTATCTACATGATCTGGATAATTGCCTGCCACTTAGTAGGTGCCCATTCAATTTTTGTTAAAGAAATAAAAACATGACAGTCTGAGATGAAAAATTTTCTCTTTCCCAGTTATTTTAACCTAGCATAGGAATAAAAGAGAAGGAAAAACGAATAAAATGAATTTATAATATTGGGAATATTGGTAAAATTAACTGAATAAAATCAACTATCTCAATGACTAGTTAAAGATATGAAGATGGCTACATTTTAATAGACAACCTGGAAATGAACCTAAAGTCTAACACTGAGTATGTGCCTTGGTCAATAATTAGAAACATGAAGGTCAATTTTCATTTGGCAGCTTAGAGGAGCCTTGTATAGATGGCGGTGACAAATTATTACAGTGATGGAAAGAGAAAGAACAAAATGGCCCTCTAAGCCAATTTCCTCTGGTATTTTTGTCCTTGAGAAGTGATTTTAATTGATTATGGTTGTCCTGTATTACCTGTTCAGCAATTTTCCAAGTCATTTCTCCCCTAAAGTTTGTGGTACAGACACACTAATATAGTGTCTCCAACACCCAAGCCATTTGATCAAGGCATCCTATTTGCATGTAGGAGAGAAATAAGGACTATTTAATGGTAGCTGCTGCAATAATTATAGTTATTATTGTTTTTGGCTACAATCTGGTCTCTAAATGATGCATTTCTTAATTTGAGAGTTTTCTCTCCTTATTTATGAGACTGAAGTGTAGAAATCATGATTATGCTCAATGAACTTATGTCACTGGATGCATTTGCTATTTGCAGGTATAGAGAAGACCTAAGAAAGACCAAGGAGAATTTGTGTCACTAAAATTTGAAGCTTTGATTCCGAAATTTTATTCAGCCTGAGTTGGTCATTTGACTTTTACTGCTATCAACTTGGGAGTTAAGGTGGTTATGGTATGGGGGTGGGTTTTAGGGCAATATGTATGATGAAGACTGAAAATCAAGTTTGCAGAAAGAAAACAAAACAAAATGAAAATTAAATAAATTATCAGGGAAGGCGAGATGAGGGACTAAGATGTGAATAAGAGAGAAAAGACCAATGTGATTTCTAATGGTTTTGCAGTTTTTGGTTCCAGTCCTCTGGGAAGCCTAGCGGTATTTTCTGATGATAGTTTTCATAAAATATTC
The DNA here is from genome assembly GCF_000001405.40 of Homo sapiens. Lineage (NCBI taxonomy): Eukaryota > Metazoa > Chordata > Mammalia > Primates > Hominidae > Homo > Homo sapiens. Next base: position 192,236,052 of record NC_000001.11, on the reverse strand, counting down.
ATCTATGTTATTTAAAAAGACTACTTTCTTTGGCCTCACAAGTATAACTACATGATTAATGTAATAGTGATGATATTAATCTTATAATAATATGCTCTTTATCTTTATAAACATGATTCCCAAATAAACTTTCTACCATTTCAGTCTTAAAGAAGAGGAACAGTGCTGTTTATTAAAAGGATCAGACAAGGAGTAAATGTGGAATGATCACTCTTCCCAGACCTAATTGACTGCAGGAGGAACAGTCTGAAATTGGGGAAAACATCACACTACACCTATACCTTAACTTCTCTCTGCAAACCTAAGCCCCAGAAATAGGATATACATTACCCTATATTGAAATAAAAGCAAAAATGAAGGTATCTTTGCCCTACTCACATTTGAGACTCTCAGAGGAGACTACCTTGAAGAATGATCCTGCTATAACCATGGGTGACCACATAAGAAAAAACAAAAACAGAAACAGAGGTGTCAAGTGTTTAGATAGAGAGATAGCCTAGAATCTCTTATATATTCCAAATGGTGTGAAATGTATTGAAGTCATTGGTTTGGGAGTTTGAGAGAGAAGTGAGCCTACTTTTATCAATGCAAAATAATTCTTAAATTGAGGATTGCAGGGAGACAACCTGGGCAATAACTAAATTGGATTCCTGCCCAGACCTTAGGAGAATCCACAGAGAGGCCTTAAGGGAAAGGGCTGAGCTCACTAGAGTTTGCTGCTCCCAAGAGATTGCTCATCTTGTGGTCCCTTGACAGCAGGAGGCACTGAACAGGCAGATATGAAATATCATCTCTGCAGGAGCTAGCAAGGATCCAGAGAGCAGATTTACTGCTGGAGTAGATTTGGGGCCCTCAATCCCTCACAACCATGATGCTAGAGGAAATTCTGCAGTCTATGAATGCACCCAAAAGAAACTAAACAAACAAACAAACAAAAAATTAGTTAAACTTAAATGAACTAGATATCATCAGGTGGCAGGGTTTTTAATTTTTTTTAACGTTTTATTTTTACTACCTAACACAGTGGGAGCTTTGAGGAAGATCAAATACATTACAGAAACTGAAGGTGTCCTCTTTGTATAACTGCAGAGTAATAGTGAGTAAAGTCATTTATTAATAGGTTTTTTTTTTGTTGTGATAACAAAGGATTCTAAGATATCCATCACCTAATAGCAAAATGGCTTATTTTTTACTTATTCAACCATGTCTACCAGGGGTCAGCAGAGGTATTTCCTTTACATAGTCACCCAGGTACACTGAGGCACCCAGCATCACAAACACTGCTGCCTTCCTGCCAGAGGGAAGAGGTTCTCATACTGACAATTAAATGCTCCTGCTCAAAAGTGACATGTATAGCTCACTACTCATTTTTCAATACTAGTTACACCATTCCATCTAATCACAAAAGGGCCGGGAGGTACAACCCACTCATGTGCTCAGAAGGAAGGGAAATCAGACATATATCAGGGACAGCACTAATGACTACCTTTCAATGAGTACTAGCGATATCAGTGAGAAGGTAAATTATCATGTTGCTACTTTCCATTTAAGACACGGATAGAAATAAGTCATAGGTGGCTGTGCTTTATCAGGGCACATTTATACAAAGGTAAGCCCTAGAGCTGAGTGGAAGGTACTGAGCTCAATTATTCTGCTTAATGAAGTAAGGGAAATACGAAGGTGAGAAAGTCTTGAGTGAGAGAAGCTGGGCCTCATGCTTGTGTGACTAAGTGACTTTTATGTGTAGAGGCATCTAATATTTATAACTGTTAGTGTTGCTGTGAAGTTAACCCCTAATGTAGCCCCAAACTTCTATAAAGTCTACCACATCATAAAATGCCTTTTATGAATGCCTGGCTTGTTTGTTTGTCTGTTTTGAGAAAATTAAAGGGGTGAAGTTAAACATCTGTGTGAGCCCTGAGGAGGGTGTGGGTGAGGGGGAGAGAGAGGAGGAGAGAAACTGTGAGTTACACTGAGAATTAAATAGATGCAAGGACATGGAGTCTGTTTAAACTTTAAAAATTCTCATATATTGGTGAGGATGTTGGATTGCCCACAGATTATGGGATACAGTACTCAGAAAAATTTTATTTAAAATTCAAAGGTTTGAGTAACTTTAGCTGGGATCTTAGTAGCAGTCCAATATATTATCTCCTTGTTTATGCCAGCCCCAAATACATGCCTGTTACTTGAAATCGAAGTAAATGTGAATAAGACAGTTTACAGCATATTTAGTAACCAAGGAAAACGGCATAGATTTTCTACATTCATAACACAAAAAGCATGACAATTATGTGAAAAAAATTAAAGTGTATTTTGCACACTTAGGTTTTCTCAGACTAATTTTGCTGCATAACCAAGGCACTGATATTTGTTATCTATGGTTTATGTGTACTTTGGATGAGAGGAAAATGGATCATTTTAGCTTCAAATGCTTTTTTTTTTTTTTATTTTGCACAGTCCTTTAAATTCACAATACTCTGTATTGTTACAAAAAAGCTACTATCAGCCTAGAGAATTATGTTCTTTAAGAAGAGAATGATATTCTCCAGCTAAATTACTTCACACATGGAGGATCTTAATCCTTCTATTTTTCAACAGTATTGCATGAAGTTTAAAGGCGGTCTTATATTTTAAAGAACATCAAGATATATTATTTAATTTTCCAGATTACTCACAATAACAAACAAACTGAAAATTACTTTAAAAGAGAATAATAAATAAATGTGGCCGTTAGAGAGATGTTTCATGAGAAATGTAATTCCTTTAGCCAGGCTTTCAGCATGTGGAAAGGCCAGATGCTTGCACAAATGAAACAGTGAGACAGCCAGCCCTTAAGGTACTCCCTCTGCCAACATCTTCACCTCAACCCTCCTGACAAGCGTATAAATCTAGGCATGGCCGCTGTGTATCACAGGCTCCTGCCTGCATGCTGTTCACCTGTTTTCTTAAGTTGTGTAGTCTATACCTTTCCTGAAAGCGCAGCATGGAGGGAGATAGCTCCTGCACCTTATGCAGCTCAGGGCACTCAGGCTACGCACTGGAGAAAGTGAAGCTTGTAATGTCTAAATAAGTATTCTAAGTGGGCAATTTCAGTAAATTGAATGGCAGTCAATGGACCTTTCTGCTACTTTCTTCCTTTCATCCATTACCATTACTTCTATGTGGGAGGTTTTAGCTCGGAGCAGATGTTACAGTAGAGCTCGTGAATAACAGAAATTTTGAACTGTTTTCCTCCTACAGCCCCGAACATTCCAGGGACCACATTCTCTGCAAGAATTTGACAAGGAAACTACATTTTGCTGTGTGCAACTTTAGTAATGAGATTCAAACTTTTAAAACATTTCTAAAGTAGCACACATATGTGGCTTTATAAAAAAATGATTTAGTGTTAGATCAAATGCTACAGTCAATCTTTTTATAAGCAGAGATGTTTAAGTCCAATGATATTTTCTTGTGAATGTGTAGGTCATATAATCATGCTAAAATTTGTAAATATGAATAAAAATATGTAAAATTACAAACATTATAAAGCTAATTATCTGTTTTTATTCTGAGCTCAATATATCTCTCTCATATATTTAAGACATGAATATTCTTAATTTTTCTAATTATTTATCAAATACCTTATATCACCAAGTTATTTCACTGCGATTATTTTATGAGCTATGTACTATCAGTTCTGAGAGAGATTCATAGGTAAATACACAAATTCCTAAAAATCAAAAGAGACCAATTTATTATATTGTTAGTAACTTTTTTCTTAAATGGGCTATAACAAGTTTCATAAACCTTTAAGAAAGATCCCTTATCCCTTTGGCCAGACACGATGGCTCACACCTGTAATCTCAACATTGGGACTCTGAGGCAGGCAAATCACTTGAGCCCAGGAGTTTGAGACCAGCCTGGGCAACATGGCGAAACCCTGTCTTTACAAAAAATTTTCAAAAAATAGCCGGCGTGGTGGCACATGCCTCAGGCTATAGCCCCAGCTACTTGGGAGACTGAGGCAGAAGGATCACCTGAGTTCAGGAGTTTGAGCTGCAGTGAGCCAAGACTGCACCACTGCACTCCAGCTGGGGTGACAAAATGGGATTCTGTATTAAAAAAAAAAAAAAAGATAACTTTATATCTTAGTTTGCAGTTGTTTTGTGTATCTATAATTTACCCTTCCTTGCAACATTTAAGACAAATGCTGTAGTTTGCTGTAGTTTAGCAATCTCAAATTCAATTAGACATTAAAATATAAAATATCAGGCTGGATGCGGTGGCTTATGCCTGTAATCCCAGCACTTTGGGAGGCTGAGGCAGGCAGATCACGAGGTCAAGAGAATGAGACCATCCTGGCAAACATGGTGAAACTCCATCTCTACTAAAAATACAAAAATTAGCTGGGCATGGTGGCGCACACGTGTAGTCCCAGCTACTCGGGAGGCTGAGGCAGGAGAATCGCTTGAACCCAGGAGGCGGAGGTTGCAGAGAGCCGAGATCATGCCACTGTACTTTAGCCTGGTGAGAGAGTGAGACTCCGTCTCAAAAAAAAAAAAAAAAAAAAAAAAAAAAATCAGCACACCTACATAATGGAACCAGACTTTTATGAGCTTCCGTGTGTGCCTCAGAACAATTTGAAAGTTTTAGTATTAATATTATACATATAAATCTATTTATAAATATAGACATAATTGAATTAAATCCAATGTGATTTGGCTTTAGCCACAGTGATGAAATAGAGAAAATATTTTATCTCTTTTACTAAAGTTTCCTCCCAATTTAATATTTTATACATGCATATATACACGTATGCATACATGTAAGCATTCTTTTTTTTTTGATTCACTGCTACTTATAATTCAATAGTTGTTTAGTTTTGCGCTGACATCTGTTATGTCATTTTTCCTGAGGATATACAAAAGAAAATAAAAAGAATGACTTTTTCTAACTTGTTTTGGTTGTGATTAAAAAATAAATAAACTGCCTTTCTTCCCTTTGCCAGGTGGCAATTAGAGGTTCTTTTCAGTTTTTGCTTACCTACTATTTCTAGTTAAGGAGATATCTGAGTTTTAAGAAAAGTGTTGGCGTTATCTCCTTTATCAACTGCAATAGACACAGCTTGAAGAAAGCAACATTTGATGGACTTGAAGAAAGGGCTTGAGAATAAAGCAGAGAAGGTCCCAAGTACCCTAGAAAAGAGGCTGTTTACATAATCCTAACTTGGAAACACTCTTTACTGGAACCAAGAGAAAAGACAGATGGGAGTTTGGTAAAACAATTTGTTTCTTTAAAAATTACCTAAGTTTAGATCTAGAATGAGACTCTTAAGGAAAACTGCTTTTCTTCCTTTGAGAAATTTAGGGTTTGCAGGTAATAGCATGTTTTGTGTCACCAATGATATTATCTGACCTAATTTTTCCAGGTCATATTAATATAGAAGCAAGTTGTATCTCAATTAAACATCATCTCTTCTGAGAAGCAAATAGTGAAACAAGTTAAGATGAAGTAGTTGAAAGTTTGAAGTGAAAAAGAATCATATCAATGTGGGAGATTAATAATTCCTATGGGTAGTGTCTTTTTCTTTCACAATCTATTGAGTCATACTTTTAGAATCCCACACTATTAAGGAGCAACGGCATTTAACATTGCTTTAGATTTTCATGAACATTTTAATCATCTTTAATTTTTTTTTTCACAGATTACTTTTAGGATTGCTTAAAAATCATGCTCAGGAAAGCAAAATAACATTTTATAGTTATTTGTCAAATGTGGATGGTTCTGGAACTCTGAAGCACCTCTACTAAAAAAAAAAAAAAGAAAGAAAGTATGTCCTACACATTAAAAATGATACCTTCTTATTCAATTAATGTTATTCCTTGCCTATTTGGAACCAGAAACTATTACTGTCTGATATGCAAACCATGATTGTTTGCTACATTTAAGGCAGTAAGGTTGGAAGGATTTGAGAAACGTCTTGTCTAGTATTAACTTTTCTGCTACTTAGTTAAGAATTGTCATTAAATGCCTCCAAAGGCAGGTTTCCTCCTTTGCAAAACAAGGAGGTGGGACAGAGTATCTCTAGGGCACTTCATTTAAGACATAATTCTTGCAAGAATTGTGTCATTTGTAGACACATTGTTTTTTATTAGTAGTGAAAATGTTTGCTTCTTTATAAAATTTAATATTCAGCAATAATTCTATACTTCTCTTCTGAGGTTGCCTAATCCCTCTCCAATATGAAACATACAGTGATATTAATAACTTGATACATTTATGGAGATGTATATTAGCCAAAACATTAACTCTGGACAGTAGCTTAAAACAAAGTCCAGATAACTTTTTTTTATAATTTCTTATTTTGCAAGTAACATAAAAGATAACTTTCTTTCTATAAAGTTTGCTTACTTGGTGCAAACTATTGGGTTTTAATAAAAATATAATAGCACTTTAAATGATTGGAAGACCACAAGTATAATGATTCTGTTATGTTTTTACTACAAGTAATTTAATCTGATTTCCGAAATTGTTATAAAATATAAATTAAATCAAAGACTAGATACAAAGAAAGGTACAGTTTTCAATATTTCTTTCATTTTCTTCCCTTTGCCTTATTACTATAGCATTTGCATCCTAATAAAGTTACTAATCTAAACCCCTTTTCTACTCCCACCTCCAGCCACCCAATATCTGCCATCAAAGGAAAGTACTTAGAGCTAAACAACAACAATAATTTTAAAAGAAACCAACTAACTTAAAAATGTAGTAGTTTTTTTTTAACATCATGGTTGTAGAAAAGGGAATCACAAGAATGAGAATCGGTGCAAAGAAAAAGACAGGTAAAATAAAATAGTTAAGTAAATTCCAAATAAAATTGGACCAAACAACTTGAAAATATCACATATTTAAATCATTTTCTTGACTTTTCTAAGCTCTTCATTTCTATCATTTTTATTTCCTCTCTATTTTAATTAACAGTACGTTTTTGACATTTGTTTTACTGCAAATTATTTTGAAATTAATTTTCAAATGTCAAAAGCATGACAACTGGAGAAGTTTTAGGCTTTTATAAAGCATGTATATAGGTAGAAAATAGCAATTTATTGGGTCTTGTGTTTCCACAAAATGTGGAAAGACTTAGTTTTTCACGCATTATTTCAGTTCACGTGCACATGTACAAGCATTTAACTTATTCCTGGTGCCTAGTAAACCATGGTACATATAAGTTAACATTTCAGAGCTTTTAAAATTTATAAACAAATTATTTTCTGCTTAAACAGAAGGAGCCAGTTTTTCACTGTTTAATTTTGTAGGTTGAATTTTCCTCTCTTAAAAGCTCTTCCAAGAACATGTTGGTGAATGTAATATTGGTCAGACTGTGCAGGCTGTTTGCCCTTTTATCTCATAACAATCCTTGCAATGCCAAGTGCTGTCTAGGATCAGTTTCTCAGCATGAATAATGTGAGCCATTTTAATTGTCTTCCATTTACAACTTAAATTCTCTGCTTGATTTGCTGATCTAATTATATCATGTCTATATTCATTATGGGTTGGAAGAGTTTTAGTATGTTTCCTATTGTGAGGATCAGAGGAAGATTCACGTATTCCTTTAATACACACTTCTGGGCAAGACCTGGCTTTGAGAAGAGGGCATATACTCAGTATCCATATGAAGTGATGTAACTGGCTTTGTTATATGTATGTATACATTCATATTACTACATGCATTTAACTTGTACTTTATGTATTTTGAGATACTCTCTGACTTATATAGGGTTTTGTCAAAAGCAAATCTTGAAACAAAGGTTTTAACACAGGTAATTCACTTAGAAAATAATCTTAAGAAGTATCTCTCCGGGGGCCGGGTGCGGTGGCTCACGCCTGTAATCCCAACACTTTGGGAGGCTGAGGCGGGCGGATCACGAGGTCAGGAGAACTAGACCATCCTGGCTAACACGGTGAAAACCCGTCTCTACTAAAAATACAAAAAAATTAGCTGGGCGTGGTGGTGCATGCCTGTAGTCCCAGCTACTTGGGAGGTTGAGGCAGGAGAATGCCGTGAACCCGGGAGGCGGAGCTTGCAGTGAGCCTAGATCGCGCCACTGCACTCCAACCTGGGCGACAGAACGAGACTCCGTCTCAAAAAAAAAAAAAAAAAAGAAAAAAAAAAGCATCTCCCCACAAAAAAAGAGGGAAAATGAAAAGAGGCTCAGGAGAGAAAAGCCAATAAAATGTGCATTAATTAATGATGTGTCACTGTTACCAACTGTAGCTCAATCTCTTTGGGGGAATTTCTGAGAAACTGTAACATGCCTCAGAATTACCTTACCAGGCAATGGGAGCTTAGGACATGCACAGACTTCCATCCGTGGTAGATTGTTCTGGGCACATCTTCTCCATCCCTGCCACTCTAGGCTGTATCACATTACTGTGAAACAAGCTCTTGTCGGTCCGAGAATGAGTGTTTCTGTGTCAGAAACCACAACTTCAGGTAAACTCGGGTATATCAAGGGAAGTGATATGAGGCATCTAAAGAACTGCTGCTGTCCAACACTCATACCTCCTAAATTTGCTCATGCCTCACAATGAACATACTTGTTGCTGGTACTCCATGCAGATGGCTAGCTACAATCTATATATTTTTTTAAAAATCTTAAACTATAAGGCTGGTAGAGACAGCTAATCATGTTGCTGCCACTAATCTAAAATATATAATTGGTATTCTTCGTATTAACCCTTTATCACCTATTCTAGATTACCTTCATCCGCAGGAGCATGTTTTCTGACCTAGATTGCTTGCCTTGTGGACTCAAACCTTTATCCCTTAGGGCTATGAATCTCAGTCACCTTGCTTTTATCTGGCTATGGTGGCTATAATTGCATTTTAACTATTGTTACTGGGCAATGCTCCAGTGTATCCCTTAAGTTCCAAGACATATCTCTCTTTGCTGTTATTATAAAGCATCAACCCGACCTATTATGACAGTAGTTCACTACTTTATCTGATGGCCTACTGGCATGAGGTGCCCAAAATGATTTAGTATCAGTTATATCATTAGGTTTAATGGAACCCTTGCTGTGTCTTTTGGTCGACGCATCCCCTGATTCCCCATTGTATGACACTGCCTTTACAGTCCAATATTTCACTTACCTTTAGAGCCTAATGTTGCGTGGAAGACAAATAAAAGTTCTCTAAGTAGATTGCTGAGAGTGAAGATAGCAGCCATTTCTATTTCTATCCTGTGGTTCTTGGTTTCACATGTTTTAGCTACTGGATGCAAAACAGCATCTAATTGTTATTGACTCAGTGTTAATACCTTATCCTGGAGGAGATTTTTCCAACCTGGCAAGATATCTCTTCCAAGTTTTCATCTTAGGTGAGTGAATCTTTGAATATTTATTCCAAAATTCAGGGTGTGAATTTTTGGGCAATATGCTATATGACAGGATTGGTGAATCCCATGAGTGCATGTTTATTGTTATAGCTCCTTTGCTATACAATTACTTCATTAGTTAAGGGCAGTATCATTTAGTATGGGACATTAGTAAATCTGTCAGAAATTAGATAGTAGTGCTGAGGCAAGGAAGAAAAACATTATTTCAGAGTGAAAAACTGTTGCACCAACAATGAATCACTGATTTGTTCATGATAGAAGAGATTTGATGTATACAACATAGCACCAAGTGGTTCTCCGCTGCTGAAAAGTTCAGACATTCAGTAATGTTTGGAACAATAAAAGCCTTGGTACAAGGGAGTCTATACCTTTTGTGGCCATATAACTTTTGTCCCTGCCACCATGATACTCCACTTTTTAGTTAATTGAGCCAGCAATAGAATGACCAAAGACAGAGGCTGGATGACATCTACTGGACAAGTCTTTTTTATCTAACTAGTTGTTCGGCATCTTCTCTGTAGCTGATGTTTTCTTGTAGGCTTTGATGCGATATACAAAATGCTTCATACTTCAGGTCCACTCACACTCAGGTCCCATTCACATTACTCTCCATCATAACTCCTTTACTATACTTTTCAATCTTGTCCATTCTAGTCTGTTAACAAACTAACTAGGCCATTCACCATTGCCCAACAATCTGTATATTCATCTCAACTACTTTTTCCTGTGTAAAAGGAAATGACTAAGCATATTGCTTAAATTCTTACTACTGGGAAGATTTCTGTTTTCTGTGTCTTTAGGACCACCCCCTATGGAGCCGTGTGTAAAAATATTCATTTCTGGCTTCCATTCAAATACCAGGATAATTCATCTGTAAACTAGGCTCAGGATTTTTTTTTCTTTATTTTCAGTTGAACAGGGAACGTCGACAAGACCATTGGTAGGGTCTGAGGGAGGGACAACTGTGTAATAGAGACAGGTAATTTGTCCATGTAAGCTACCTCTTCAAGTAACAAGTAAATTATTAGTGACTTCTGGATCTCCTTTGGTTTGATCTCAAGTATACCATTTTCATCATATGCATATCCTATCTTACGTTGTGGTGGTAGTGACAATATCTAGCTTATATTGGCAGTTCTAGTTTTAGTGCAGCTTGATGTCTGTAGCCAGGCACTCAGTCTCTACTAGGCACAAGGAGCACACCAGGATCTCCTTTTCATATGATAAGTAGTTTTCTCCTTGAGGTTTGCACTCCAACCTCTATTGAGACATATTAGAAACACCATATAACATTCCTATCTACCATGGAAATCTCTAGTTTCGGTGAGATAGTATACAAAAAGTAAAAATGATTAAATTTTTTTATAGAGAGCAGGAAAGGGAAAATAGCTCTGGGAAAGATAATGATTTGCTTCATCATTTAGAGATATATGAACATCTTTACTAATAGAAATTGAAAAGCCATATTTTCTAGATCAGGGTTTGTCACACTATGGCCAATAGGACAAACCTGACTCATCATCTATTTTTTCAGATAAAGGTTTATTGGTATACAGCCACTTGCATTCATTTACATATTGCCTATGGCTAATTTTGTGCTACAATGACAGAGTTGACACAGACCATATGGCTTGCAAAGCCTGAAATATTTACTAAGTGGCCCTTTACAGAAAAAGATTGTTGATTGCAGCTCTTGATCTAGAGCTGCATGACAAGTGCCAGAGCAGTGTGGATCTGCACCATCATTTATAGCACATCAGCTGCAACTTTTCTACTCTTCATTTAAGTTAATAATAATGTATTATCACACCATGATTCATCTGTCTTTTTCAGCAACCATATTGATATGATGAATGGGGATATTGTGGGAATCACTCATTACTCCTACCACTTTTAAGACTTTGAGGGTTGAACTAACATTTTTAATTCCACTGATGATGCATTATTGTCTCTGATTTACTAGTGGCTGGAGCTTTAGGAACTTTGACTTGACTCTTGTCCACTAACCAGAGTGGTTTTGTTAGCTGATAAGTATATCCATCTTAATTGTGTGCTCTGAATACAGGGAAGCAAACACAGCATGGGTCCACAGACTCATATGAACCCTCACCCAGTGGACAGCAGCCAGAGAACTATTTCTCAGTGGCCTCCTCAACAGAAGAACTATGCTGATATTTGCTTCAGCTCTGTCCAATACCTCTCAAAATACTAAATAATTCCCTTTTCCCATTGTTCTGTTACTCTGGTAGATAGCCAAGGTTGGGATACATTCACTATATACACTTGTAAATTTAAAATTAATGCTCTCTGCCTTAGATTTCCATAAAGTGAAGACTATTATCTCTTACAGGGGTTCACAATGGTATCTCCATTCTAATTAAGTTGGTCTTTCTAAATTTTTGTCATAGCCCTTAGTCAGACAAATATTTCCCCCACTGGCAATATTTTTTTACATTTATTTTTCTAAATCTCACATATTCGCTAAAATCCAAATAAAGAACTGTTTGTTTGTTTATTTATTTATTTTTGTTTTTGTTGTTGTTTTGGAAGCCTTTGCTTTGGAAATGCTCCCTCTGACATCAACTAGGTGACTGCCTTGAGTTGTTCTTCAACTCTTGAATTATTTAAGTCTTCATACCTCAGTTAAACAATGCAACAAGCAAGCAGGTAAACCTTAGTATGAGCTAGTAGTTTCATATATATCTATATTTAATCTTCACAAAATCACCATGAGATATGTGTAATTATTTTTGTCGTTATTATAAGGGAATAAACATTCTCTCATAGATTAAATTAATTTCCCAATGTCACACAACTGATTAAATGTTACAGAATATATGTAATTCCCAGAATTCTGAATCTAATTATAGTGTGCTCTTTTTGTATTATATGTACCATTTTTTCCCAATAGATTTTGAGTTACTAAAAAATGGGCTTGTATCTAGTATATTTTTGATTCCCCGCAATTTTGTGAGAACCTTGCACACAATAGAAACGCAATATATATTTACTGGTTGATAAATTAAACATACAAATCTTCTTCCTTGAATATCCACATTTCTGACCAACTCTTAACTAAATTCTATGCATTTTCCAGAAGAATCATTTAACCTATGTAATGAGACCACAAGCATATACTACATTTTAAGTCTCTGTTCTCTGTTGGGAACTTGATCGTGTAACACCTTATTACCTGTTTCATATTTCATATGTCAAACATGTTATGACTTTGATAGTCAACCATTATTTCCAGTTTCTCATTCAAGATAGTTAATATCTGAGAACAATCAAAGGCATTGCTATGAGATAAGAAATACATATATTTTATACACACACTACATCTATATGTGTATACAGATGTGTGTGTGTGTGTGTGTGTGTATACACACACAAACATGGATATCCGACTGAGCAGGGGAGTGTGTGTGTGTGTGTATATATATATACACACATATATATATACACATATATACACATATATACACATATATACACATATATACACACATATACATATATATACACATATATATATATACACACATATATACATATATACACATATATATACACATATATACACACATATATACACATATATATACACATATATACACATATATATACACATATATATACATATATACACATATATATACATATATACACATATATACACATATATACACACACATATATATGCAGGGGTATATGTATGCAGGATATATATATATGCAGGGTGTATATATATGTGTATATACACACACTATATATATATATACACACACATATATATACATATATGCAGGGGAATGTGTGTGTATGTATATGTGTGTGTGTGTGTATATATATATATATCTCCTGCTCAGTCAACTATCCATGTATAACTTCTGACTCCCCTAAAACTTTACTATTAAAAGCCTCTTTTGATCAGAAACCTTACCAATAATGTAAACAATTAACCTATATTTATATACTGTACTCTTATAATAAAATAATCTAGAGAAAAGAAAATGTTATTAAGAAAATCATAAAGTAGAGAAAACGTTTTTACTATTTATTAAGTGAAAGTGGATCATCACAAAGGTCTTTACCTCCATCATCTTCACCTTAAGTAAGCTAAGGAGGATGGTGAAGAAGAGAGCTTGGTCTTTCCATCTCAAGAGTGGCAGAGTTGAAAGAGGTGGAAAAGGTCGAAGGTGAGGTAGGAGAGGCAGGTACATTTGGTTTAACTTTATGAAAATACATAGTAATCTTGGTCTGACTGTTTTGCTTTTTTGTTTCTCTAAAAATGTTTCTAAACAATACCAGTTCTCCCACCATTTGCTTTAGTTTCAGTAACTTTATCATAGATAGGTCCATGTCATAAAAGAAGGCAAAAGCAGTCTTGAGTACTTAGAGTCCTTCCGCCAGATATTCGAATGTCAATTTGTTTTCTGAGCATTCATCTTCATCAAGTCATCTTCTATTAATTCCTCTGTTGTGGTGTCTATTAGCTCTTGAATTTCTCCAAGATCTATAACTTGAAACCCTTCAGCCCTCACCCTTTTTGCCATATGCATAATCTCTTTCATGGCTGCCTTGACTGGCTCTGTTGTGAATCCTGTGAAGTCAAGCAGAACATTTGAACACAGGTTTTCTCCAGCAAGAATTAATTTTTTTCAGGCTTGATGGCCTTCACAACTGCCTCTATAAAAGTGATGGCATCTTCAATGGTGTAATCTTTCCAGACTTTCATTATCTTCTCTTTATCAAGGTTCTCTTCTATAGCATTGACAATTATTTCCATAGACTACCACATATAATTATATTTAAAGGTTCCAGTGACCCAGTCATTTGGAGGCTGAATTAATCACATTGTATTTTGGGCAGGTAGATCAATGTGGTAGCTTTCATATAGAACTCATTGGGTTTTGGGTGACCATGGGAAGTTTTTGATATCAAAATAAATTTAAAAGGCAGTCCTTTATTGGCAAGGTACTTCCTGACTTCAGGGATAAAGCATCAATAGAACCAGTCTAGAAAAAGAGCTCTCATTGTCCACACCGTCTTGTTGTAAAACCAAAATATTAGCAGTTGATATTTGTCTTTTCCCTTCAAGGATTGGGGGTTAGAGGCTTTATAGACCGTTCTGATCATAAATCTGACTGCCTTTTCACAAAACAGTAGAGTTAGCCTCTATCCCTTCCTGACTTAAATCTTTGTGCTAACTTCTCTTTCTTACCAATGAATGTCTTTGTGGCATTTTTCCCCCAAAATAGGGCGCGTTTGTCTGCATTATAAACCTGTGTAGGCAGATATTATTTCTTCTTAATGGTTTTCTTTTTTTTTCTTTTTTAATGGCATCTGAGAATTCATCTGCTGCTCCTTCGTCAGCAGAAGCTGCTTCTGTCATCTTGACATTTTTAATGCCAAATCTCTTTCTAATATTATCAAACCATCCCTTGCTGGCATTAAATTCTCCAGATTTAGATTCTTCACCTTCTCTTTGCTTTGTGTCTTATAATGACTTTGCTTTATCTTGAATCATATTATAGTCTATAGGTATGCCTGTCATAGCAATTCTGCACCCACATAAAAGCTGCATTTTTAATACAAGATAAAAAGATATTTTATAAAAAGTGAAAGGTTAACACCCAAGCTGGCATAGCTGCAGCGACAGCTTCAAACATTTTCTTTTCTTTTATTACAATGGTCTTAAGCTGGATGCATTTATCTTGAAACGGCAGGCGACTGCAGCTACCGATCTCAATCTACGTCACATGTCAAGCAATTCAATTTTTTCTTGTAATGTCATGACTTTTGTCTGCTTCTTGGGAGCATGTCCAGCATCACTAGTGAGACTGCATATGGGTCCTATGGTGTTATTCAAGGTTGATGGCATAGCAATAAACATGATGAAAACTAAGAATCACAAGAGATTACCTTTTACTGCTATATGCAATTTACCGGAGAGACAAGCTGTTCATGCAGAGCTAATTAGCATCACATGGCATTTTAAGTGGATACTTGCAACACTTGAGATCACTACAAGAGCAACAGGAAGTAACTATAAAATTATTACAGTAGTACAGTATGTACTAAAGTTAATTTTATGCAATTATGGTTTAAACTGCACCTTTCTTTTTACATTTCTCTTCACTGTGAATGGTGCCATGTACAGTCTGTGTTTGTGTAAGTTTTGATAAATTTTTAACTTTTTTTTTTTAAGAAAGAGTTTTGCTCTTGTCACCCAGGCTGGAGTGCAATGGCACAGTCTTGGCTCACTGCAACCTCCGCCTCCAGGGTTCAAGTGATTCTCCTGCCTCAGCCTCCTGAGTAGCTGGGATTACAGGCACCCACCACCATGCCTAGCTAATTTTTGTATTTTTGTAATTTTAGTAGAGACAGGGTTTCATCATGTTGGCTAAGCTGGTCTTGAACTCCTAACCTCAGGTGATTCGCTTGCTTCGGCCTCTGAAAGTGCTGGGACTACAGGCCTGAGCCACCTTGACTGGCTAATTTTAACTTTTAATAATAGATTGTGTATATTTTATTATAGTAAATGATATACTGGTGTTTACATATATTTCATATATTCATGACATACCTAAGTTAAGCAAAAATTATCCCTGAGATTTAACAAATTGTTGCAAATCTCCAAAATTTTTCCCAGTATATTTATTTTTAAAAGTCTGCATACAATAGGGTCCATGCAGTTCAAACGCAGGTTGTTCAAGATTCATCTGTGTGTGTGTGTATGTTTATGACGTGACAAGGGTGTGTATATACATACATATAGATATGCAAAATGTCAGAAGGTACAACTTAGTTTTAGTTTTGAAATTTGTGAGGCTAATGTTATTTGGAAAAAATTGCTTAAATTAGTAATTCCACATGAGTCTACAGTATGTGGTCAAGTTTTTTTTTCAAGGTTTTTCATTGGGGTAAACTCTCCAGAGCGAAAGGATGCAATTCCAGTCAAGACCTAATCATCTTCTGAAATGGCTTCTTAATTAATTTCCTATAAACTGGACTACTCTAATCCTGTGGTGTTTTCCAAGTATATATTCTAAAGCAAGATGTGACCTACAAATGACTAATCTGATCTATCTCAGGAGTAAATCCTAGAAAGTTTCTCTGGACAATGATTCATATCAGATATTTGCATTTATAATTTTTGATTTAATTAATATACTTTAATAAAAATAGCTTTAGGTTTACAGAAAAATTAAGCAGCTAATACAGATAATTCCCATTTACTTTAATTTGTTCCTAATCTTAGAGAAAAACCTCTCATCTTTTCACCACTGAATATGATGTTAACTGTAGATTTGTTACGTATATTATTTATTATGATGAGGGACAGTCCTTCTATGCCTAATTTGTTGAGATTTTTTCTATCATGAAAAGATGTTGAATTTTGTCAAATACTTTTTCTATAGCTATTGAGATGATCACAATCTTTTGTCCTTCATTCTATTAATGTGGTTTATCACATCTAGTAATTTGCATATATGGAGCCATACTTGCATCCCAGGAATAAATCCCACTTGATTTTTTTAAAGGTGTTGTTGAAATCAGTTTGCTAATATTTTTTGAAGATTCTTTCATCTAAGTTCATCAGAGATATCTGTTTTTTTGTTTGTTTGTTTGTTTCTTTGTTTTTTTACTTTTAAAGTCCTTACTTGGCTTTGATATGAGGACAATCCTGGCCTTATAAAATGCAGTTTTGAGGTTTTTGAAAGAATTTGAGAAAGATTAACATTAATTCTCCTTAAATCTCCTTTAATGCTTGGTACAATTCACCAGAAAAGCAATCTGGTTTTGAGCTGTCTTTGTCGATAGGTTTTTCACTACTAATTCAATTCCCATACTTGTTTTTGATTTGTTCATATTTTCTATTTCTTTATAATTCAGTCTTAGTAGGTTGTATGTTTCTAGAAATCTATCCACTTATTCTAGGTTATACAATTTTTTGATGTACAGTTTTTTTTTTGTAATAGACTCCTATAATTTTTGCATTTCTATAGTATGCATTATAATCTCTCATTTTTCATTTCTAATTTTTATATGAGTCCTCTCTCTTTTTTTGTTGGTCTAGCTAAAGGTGTGCCAATTTTGTTTATCTTGTAAAAAAAAACAACTACTTTGCTGATCATTTCTATTGTCTTTCTAGACTCTACTTCATTTATTTTTGTTCTAATCTTTATTATTTATTTTCTTTGACTAATTTTGGGTTTAGTTTGTCCATTGTTTTCTAATTTCTATAGGTGTAAACTTATGTTGTAGACATTTATCATAAGATTCCCACCAAAACTGCTTTTGCCTCATCCCATAAATTTTGGTATGTTAGATTTGTATCTTCCTTTTTCTCCAGATACTTTTTAATTTCTCTTTTTATTTCTTCTTTTGCCCATTGGTTACTCAGGACTGTGTTGTTTAATTTCCACATATAGGTGATTTTCCAAAATTCCTCCTGTTACTGATTACTAGTTTCATACTATTGTAGTCAGAAAATATTATTTGAATTTTAAATTTGTTAAGCCTTTTTTTGTGACCCAACATATGATCGTTCCTGGAGAATGTTCAGTGTGAACTTGAGAAGAATATATTGTTCACTGCTGTTGGATGGAAAATTTCACATCTGTCTATTAGACCCATTTGTTAAATAGTGTTATTCAGTAAAGTTGCAGGGTACAAAATCAACATACAAAAATAAGTTGCATTTCTAGACACTAAATCCAACTATCCCAAATATAAATTAAGAAGACAATCCCATTTACAATTGCATTAAAAATAATACAACACTTAAGAATAAATTCAACCAAAGAGATGAAAGATCTATAAACTGAAAACTATAAGACATTCAAAAAAAATTTTTTAGAGACACAGGAAAATGGAAAGATATTTTATGTACATGCATTAGAAGAATGTTAAAATGTCTGTATACCCAAAGCGATCCACAGATTCATTGCAATGCTTACCAAAATTCCTATGCCATTCTTTAACAGAAGTAAAAGAAACCCTAAAATTATATGAAACCACACAAGACCCCAAAGAGCCACAGCAATCTTGAGAAAAGTTTAAAAGCTTAAGGCATCCTTTTTCCAATTTTTAACTATGTTACAAAACTATCATAATTAAAGTGGTATGATACTGGCATAAAAATGAATACATAGGGCAATGATACAGAATTAAGAGCCCGGAAATAAACCCATGTATATGTATAGTCAACTGATTTTTGACAAAAATACCTAGAAGATACAATGGAAAAATCAGTTTCTTCAATAAATGGTGCTGTAAATAGTGGATATTCACATGGAAGTGAATGGAGTTAGACCTTTTTTACACTACATATAAAAACTAACTCAAAATGAATTAAAGATGTAAACATGACCTAGAATTGTAAAACTTTTATAAGAAAGCAGGGAAAAACTTCCTTGACATTGGTTTTGGCAATGATTTTTTAGGTATGACACCAAAAACACAGGCAAAAAGACAAAAATAAATAAATAAGCAGCACTATATTAAACTAAAAACTTTCTGCACAGCAAAAGAAACAATCAAAATGAAAAGATAGCCTATAGAATGGGAGAACATATTTGTAAACTATATATCTGATAGGGAATTAACATCCATAATATACAAGAAATTCATATAACTCAATAGCAAAAAACAAGTAATCCAACCAAAAACTGGTTAAATGAGATATTCCTATGGTTTGAATGATGGTGTTCCCTTCGAAATTTATATTGGAATTTAATCCTCAATACAGCAGTATTAAAAGGTGCGGCCTTTGAGAGATACTTAAGTCATGAGGGCTTTGCCTTTGTGTTTGAGATTAGAACCTATACATAATGTCTTGAAGTTGAAGGATGCACTATCTATCTTGCTCTCCCATTCCTTCAACCTTGTGAGGACACAATGTTTCTCTTCCCCAGAAGATGCAGCAGCAAGACACCATCTTGGAAGCAGAAAGCAGCTCTCACCAGACACTAAACCTGCTGATACAATGATATGGGGCTTCAACGCTTCCAGAAACCTGAGAAATAAATGTATGTTGTTTATAATTCACCCAGTCTGTGGTATTGTGTTATAGTGGAACCAACAGACTAAGGAAGACAGGAGTAGCTCTTTCCTCAAAAACATAAAAATAGCCAACAGGTATATGGAAAGGTGCTCAACATCACTGATTATCAGGGAAATGCAAGTCAAAATTACAATGAGGTATTACATCACATTTGTTAGAATGGCTATTATCAAAAAGATGAAAGGTCACAAGTGTTGATGAGGGTGTGAAGAAGTAAAAGTTGTTAAACCACTATTGGTGGAAATATTACTTGGTACAGCCATCATGGAAAACAGTATGCAGGTTCCTCAAAAAATTAAAAATAAATCTACCATATGATCCTGCAATCCCACTTCTGTTTATACATTCAAAGAGAATGAAATCAGTATTCCTAAGAGAGATCTGAATCCTTACGTTCATTGCAGTATTAACAATATTCTATATATAGAAATAACCTGTTTCTTTTCATGGATGCATGTATAAAAATGCAGTACATATATACAATGGAAGCTTATTCAGCAATAATAAATAAATAAATCTTGCCATTTGCAACACCATAGGTGAACCTGTAAGATGTTATCCTAAGTGAAATAAGCCAGACGTAGAAAGACAAGTACTGCATGGTCTAATTTATAAGTGAAATCAATGAAAATCGATCTCAGAGAAGCAGAGAGTAGAGCTGGAGCTGGCAATGGCCAGGTCTGAGGCAGTAGGGTAAATGGGGAGATGTTGGTCAAAGGGTACAAACTTTCAGTTATAAGACGAACAAATGCTGGGGATCTAATGTAAAGCATGATGACTATAGTTAATGATACTGTATTGTTTACTGGAGATTTATTAAGAGTGTAGATTTTGTGTCCTCCTCCCCAACCCCAGCAATATAAACATAGATGGTGACTATGTGTGGTGATGAATGTGTTCATTAATTTGATTGTGGTAATCATTTCACAATGTATATGTATATCAAATTATGTTATACATCATATATAGGTATTTTTGTTTGTCAATTATACCTCGATAAAGCTATAACAAAATGAACTATGTTTAGCTTTAAAATAAATTGTTACACTGGTCTCCAAAGTTGGTGTACCATTTTGCATTCCCATCAGTAAGGAATGAGATTTCTTGTTGTTCTACATCCTTACTGTCCTTTGGTATTAGTGTTTTTGGATTTTAGCTATTCCAATAGACATTTAGTGGTATCTAATCATTTTATTTTGCAATTCCTAGTGACAAATGAGGTTGAGCATCTTTTTATATGCTTATTTGACATCTGCATATCTTCTTTGGTGAAGTGTCTGTTCTGGTCTTTAGCCCAATTTTTAATAATGTTGTTTGTTTTCTTGTTATTGAATTTTTTTTTTTTTTTTTTTTTTTTTTTTTTTTTTTTTTTTTTTGAGACAGAGTCTCGCTCTGTCTCCCAGACTGGAGTGCAGTGGCACGATCTGGGCTCACTGCAAGCTCCGCCTCCTGGGTTCACGCCATTCTCCTGCCTCAGCCGCCTGAGTAGCTGGGACTACAGATGCCTGCCACCACGCCCGGCTAATTTTTGTATTTTTAGTAGAGACAGGGTTTCACCGTGTTAGCCAGGATGGTCTCGATCTCCTGACCTCGTGATCCAACTGCCTCGGCCTCCCAAAGTGCTGGGATTACAGGCATGAGCCACCGCGCCTGGCCTTGTTATTGAATTTTTAGGGTTCTGTGTATATTCTGTATATAAGTTTTTTAATAGATATGTGTGTGCAAATATTTTCCCCAAGACTGACTGGTCTTTTCAGTCCCTTACCAGTGTCTTTCACAGAGCAGAAGATTTTCATTTTAAGAATGCCTGACTTACCATGTTTTACTTTCATAGGTTATGATTTTAGTGTTGTATCTAAAAACTTATAGCCAAACCTATGGTCACTTACATTTTCTTTGTTGTTTTCTAAGAGTTTCATAGTTTTGCATTTTACTTACATTTAGGTCTGCGTTCAATTATGAATTTTTTTTATGAAAACTGTAGGTTAGTTTCTACATTAACTTTTTTGCACATGGATGTCCAATTGTTTCATCATCATTTGTTGAAATGAGTATTATTTCTCAATTGGATTGGATTTACACCTTTGTCAGTTGGCTATATATATGTGGTTATAATTCTAGGCTCTCTCTTTTGTTCCACTGATTTGTCTATTCTTTCACTCATAGCAGATTGTCTTAATTACTGCATTTTTAAAATAAGACTTCAAGTTCGGTAGTTTAAGTCTTTCAACTTCGTTCTTCTTCTTCAATATTGTGTTGGCCATTCTAAGTCTTTTTCTTTTCCAAATGAACTTATAATCAGTTTTCACAAAATAACTTTTTGGAATTTTACTTGGGATTGAATTGAATATACAAACCAAGTTGGGAAGAACTGGCCCTTAATATTGTCTTTTATCTACAAACATGAAATACATCTCCATTTATTTAAATATTCTTAGATTTCTTTTATCAGGGTTTTCTAGTTTTTACTCACAGAGATCTTTTACATATTTTGTTAAATTTATACCTACATATTTATTTTTTGGTGCAATTATAAATGACGTCGTGTTCTTAGTTTCAAATTTCTATTGCTCATTTCTTCTTCTTTTTTATTTTCATTTTTATTTTATTTTATTTTTTTTGAGATGGAGTCTTGCTCTGTCACCCAGGCTGGAGTGCAGTGGCGCGATCTCGGCTCACTGCAAGCTCTGCCTCCTGGGTTCACGCCATTCTCCTGCCTCAGCCTCCCGAGTAGCTGGGACTACAGGCGCCCGCCACCATGCCCAGCTAATTTTTTTGTATTTTTAGTAGAGACGGGGTTTCACCGTGTTAGCCAGGATGGTCTCGATCTCCTCACCTTGTGATCCGCCCGCCTCGGCCACCCAAAGTGCTAGGATTATAGGCGTGAGCCACCACGCCCAGCCCTCATTTCTTCTAGCCTGCAACTTTGCTATAATAGCTTGTTACTTCTAGGAGTTCTTTAGTTGATTTTCTGAGATTTTCTACATAGACAATCATGTTACTGCAAACACGGCAGCTTTATTTCTTCCTCTCTAATCTTTATATCTTTTATTTTCTTCTCTTCTTTTATTTCATTCCTTAGGACTTTTAGTATGATATTGCATAGTAGTAGTGAGAGGGTATATCTTTGCCTTTTTCTCAAACTTAGGGGCAAAGAACCTTGTTTCTAATCATTAAGTATGATATATACCATACATTTTTTGCCGACATTCTTTATCAAGCTGAGGGAGTTCCACGGTATTTCTAGTTTGCTGAGAGTTTTTAACACGAATGTTGGATTTTGTCAAGTGCTTTTCCTGAAACTGTGAATACGATTATATCATTTTTCTTCTCTAGCCTGTTGATTGTTAACTACATTAATTGATTTTATAATGTTGAGTCCACCTTGTATACCAAAGAGAAACCCCATTTGGTCATGCTTATTGTATAACTACATGCAATACTGGATTCAAATATTTTGTTGTGGATTTTTGCATCTGTATTTATGAAAGATATTGGTCTATAGTTTCCTTTCTTGTAGTGTCTTTGTCAGTTTTTGCATTTGGGTAATGAGACCTCATAGAACAAGTTAGGAAGTGTTCCTTCTGCTTCTATTTTCTGGAACACATTGTAGAGGATTTGTGTCATTTGTTCATAAAATGTTTGGTAGAATTCACCGATAAAAATATCTAGGCCTGGTTCTTTGTATTTTGAAAAGTTATTAATTGTTGATTGAATTGCATAAATAGATATTCACCTATTTATATTACATATTTATCCTTGTGTGAATCTGTGTACATTGTATCTTCTCAGGCATTGGTCTGCTTCAGCTAGGTTATCAAATTTATGGGCATAAAATAGTTCATGATATTCTTTCATTGCTGTTTTAACATCCTAGAGATATATAGTAATTTCCTATTTAATTTCTGCTCTTAGAAATTTGAATTTTCTCTCCATACACCCTTGGTTAGCCTTGTTAGATTGCTTCCAGCAATTAACTGATTATTTTTTTTAATTTTCATTTTTTAATTTATTTTACTTTTTTTTAATTTTAGTGCTGCAATGAATATAAGTGTGCATTTGTCTTTATGGCAGAATGATTTATATTCCTTTGTGTATATAACCAAAAATGGGATTGCTAGATCAAATAGTATTTCCGTTCTAAGTTATTTGAGAAATTGCCAAGCAGCTTTCCACAATGGCTAAACTAATTCATAGTCGCATCAGCAATGTATACGTACTCTTTTCTCTGCAACCTCACCAGTATTCTGACATGTGTGAGATTATATCTTATTGTGGTTTTGATTTGCATTTATCTAATGATCAGTGATGTTTAACATTTTTCCATATGCTTGTTGACCTCATGTATGTCTTATTTTGGGAAGTGTCTGTTCATGTTCTTTGCCTACATTTTAATGGGGTTGTTTGTTGCTTGTTATATTCCTACTAATATTAGCTCTAGATGTGAGATTCTACTACTGGTTAGCTGTGATTCTCTGTGTCTATCTATCTTTCTCTGTAGTTTTTAGAGTAGCGGCTTGCCTGTAAACATCAATTATTTTCTTTCAATAGTTTTTGGGGTATAGGTGTTTTTTATTATATAGATAGGTTCTTTAGTGGTGATTTCTGAGATTTTAGTACACCTGTCACTCAAGCAGTGCCCATTGTACCCAATATGTAATCTTTTATCCCTCACTCCCATCCCAGGCTTTCACCCGGAGTCTCCAGTCTCTTATATCATTCTTATGCCTTTGCATCCTCATAGCTTAGCTCCTACTTACAAGTGAGAACATGTATTTGATTTTTTATTCTTTAGTTACTTCACTTAGAATAATGGCCTCCAGCTCCATCCAATTTTTTATTGTTGAGTTACTTCCCTTAGAATAATGGCCTCCAGCTCCATCCAAGTTGCATCCAAAAGACATCATTTTGTTCCTTTTTTATGCCTGTGTAGTATTCTATGGTATATGTATATCACATTTTCTTTATCCATTAATTGGTTGGTGGGCACTTAGTTTGGTTGCTTCCATTTCTTTGCAATTGTGAGTTGTGCTGCTATAAGCATGCACGTGCATCTGCCTCTTTCATATAATGACATCTTTTCCTTTTACATATCCAGTAGTGGGATTGCTGGATCAAATAGTAGTTCTACCTTTAGTTCTTCAAGGATTCGAGGTGGTAATTTACATTCCCACCAGCAGTGTAAATTGTTCCCTTTTTACCACCTCCACAACAACATCTATTGTTTTTTTGACTTTTTATAATAACCATTCTTGGAGGAATAAGGTAGTATCTCATTGTGGTTTTAATTGCATTTCCCTGATGATTAGTAACGTTCAGAATTTTTTCATGTGTGGATCTTTTGAGAAATGTCTATTCATGTTCTTTGCCCACTTTTTGATGGTATTGTTTCTTTCTTGCTGATTTATTTGAGTTCCGTGTAGATTCTGGATACAACAAACAAACTATGTTGGTTGCATAGTTTGAAAATATTTTCTCCCACACTGTGGGTTGTCTGTTTACTCTGCTGATTACTACTTTTGCTGTGCAGAAGCTTTTTAGTTTAATTAAGTCAGATTTATTTATTTTTGTTTTTGTTGCATTTGCTCTGTAGGTCTCAGTCATGAAATCTTTACCTAAGTCAATGTCCAGAAGAGTTTTTCCAATGCTGTCTTCTATAAATTTATGACTTCGGGTCTTAGATTTAAGTCTTTGATCTACCTTGCATGTACTTTTTGTATAAGGTGAGATAAATTAATCCAGTTTCATTTTTCTTCATGTGGCTTGCCAGTTTTTCCAGCACTGTTTATTGAATAGGGTGTCCTTTCACCAATTTATGTTTTGGAATGCTTTGATGAAGTTCAGTTGTCTGTTAAGTATTCGGCTTTAATTATGGATTCTCTATTCTGTTCCACTGGTCCACATGCTTATTTTTATACCAGTATCATGCTGTGTTGGTAACCATAGCCTTTCAGTACAATTTGAAGTTGGGTAATGCGATGCCTTCAGCTTTGTTCTTTTTGCTTAGTCTTGCTTTGGTTATTCTGGCTCTTTTTTGGTTCCATACGAATTTTAGAATTGTTTTTTCTAGTTCTGTGAAGAATGATGATGGTATTTTGTTGGGAATTGTATTGAGTCTGTAGATTGCTTTTGGCAGTGTGGTCATTTTCAAAATACTGATTTTTCCCATCCATTAGCATTGGGTGTGTTTCCATTTGTTTGTGTCATTTACGATTCTTTCAGCAGTGTTTTGTAGTTTTCCTTGGAGAGATCTTTCACCTCCTTGGATAAGTATATTTCTAAGTATTTAATTTTATTTTTTTGCAGCTGTTGTAAATGGGATTGAGTTCTTCATTTGATTCTCAGCTTAGTCATTGTTGATGTGGAACAGAACTACTGATTTGTGTATATGGATTTTATATCCTGAGACTTTACTGAATTTGTTTATCGGATCTAGGAGCTTTTTGGATGAGTCTTTAGCGTTTTCTAGGTATACAATCAGCAGAATTCTGCCAAGCCTTCAAAGAAGACTTGCTACTATTCCTGCTGAAACTATTCTAAAGCATAGAGAAAGAAGGAATCCCATGTAAATCATTGTATGAAGCCAGTATCACCCTAAAACCAAAATCAGGAAAAAAAAATAGCGAAAAGAAAAGAAAAGAAAAAGAAAACTAGCCTGTAATCCTAGCCCTTTGGGAGGCCGAGGCAGGCCGATCACATGAGGTCAAGAGTTTGAGACCAGCCTGACCAACATGGAGAAACCCCGTCTCTACTAAAAGTACAAAATTAGCCGGACATGGTGGTGCATGCCTGTAATCCCAGCTACACAGGGGAGCTGAGGCAGAAGAATCACTTGAATCCGGGAAGCGGAGGTTTCAGTGAGCCGAGATCACGCCATTGCACTCCACCCGGGGCAACAAGAGTGAAACTCCATCTCAAAACAAACAAACAACAACAAAAACAAACAAACAAAAACCCTACATACCAATATCGCTGATGAGCAGAGATGCAAAAATGCTCAACAAAATCGTAGCTAACTGAACCCAACAGCACATCAAAAAGATAATTCATCATGATCAGGTGGGTCTCACCCTAGAGATGAAGGGACGATTTAGTATATGCAAGTTAATAAATGTGATACCTAACATAAAAAGAATTAAAAACAAAAATTACAGGATAATATCAATCGATGCAGAAAAATCATTTGATAAAATCCAGCATCCCTTTATGATAAAACCTTTCAACACAATAGGCATAGAAGGGACTTACCTCAAAGTAATAAAAGCCATGTATAACAAACCCCCAGCCAACATAATACTGAATGTCAAAAAGTTGAAAGCCTTTCCCCAAGAACTGGAACAAGACAAGGATACTCACTTATATCAATTCTATTCAACATAGTACTGGAAGTCTTAGCCAGAGCAATCAGACAAGAGAAAAAAAATAAAGGGCATCCAAATTGGAAATGAAGAGGTCAAACTGTTTCTGTTTGCTGAACATCAATTTTTCTGATGGATCTAAAAAGGATTGTTGATCTTCAGTTCATTTAGATTTTTCTTGTTGTGGGTATGGAAGAGAATAATTTCCAAGATCTTTATATATCTGCCAAGAAACCAGAAATAAGATTTATACATTTTAGCCAAGTTACTGGATATTCACTGCTTTCTCATTCCTCTGCTATATGTCAAGTGACCAACAATGAAATGATACATGGAGAAAGAAGTGCTGAGAACTAAAAGAGAGGGAAGAAAAATAGGTAAAGTATTTTTAAGTTGACCTTTTCATTATTCTTCAATTGTTAAATTCTATTTTCAGGATGGTAAGCTTATAATATGACATATAAAATATTTATTCAATTTGCCAAATATACCCCAAAACTTAGAGATCACACTTCAAGAACTTTATTTAAACGTTATTTATCAGAATAGAACCATGGATATTACCCAGTGCATTGAATAAAGATATTTCACACTTTTAATATCATAATATCATATGCTTTATCTAATCACACAATAACCTTACAGTTTATTGTGTATTTTTAATATTTTTGATATTTTCTTCTAGTAACAATAACAACATGCAGATGATAAATATAATTTTTGTCTTGAGCATAAGAAAAAAATGTGTAAGTTTTCATTTTCCATTTTCTTGCTGCAATATAAAATGTCAAAACAATTGAAATTAAATAATATCCTCCTTGGCTGTAGTATTTCTCTCTCCTACATCATATTCAGGAATGACAGTCTGCTTCTGATAAATTTCCCTTTGCATCTATATATATGATCACTGCTTGTTTTTAAATTGAAAGTGGAGAGTAAAATCAGACAGAAAACTGACATATAACCTTCCACCAGGGAGAAGCTAATAGCTATATTTAAGATTTTTTTTTTCTGAAAAAAATTACACTACAAGTGATGATTTATATAACCACAAATTAGATTAGAAACAAATATTCCATAATAAAAAGAAATGTATTAAAATGTCTAAATCAAAGAAAATAAATTTATTTAGCCCAGGTTGTTTGGGGAGTTTTGTGTACCAATTGTAAAGATCCTACAAGCAGTTAAGCCTTTTTCATAACATGTGTTTTATGCCATAACACTGCTGTTCACATTTTCAAAACACACCCTGACTTTATTCTTATGTGTTAAGTCCTGCTCATTGTATTTGGAGCACTTGACACTGTGAACATTTTTCTTCTTTTAGCTTTACTTCCTTGAGGACCAGGCACATACTCCAGTATTTCTATAGATCATAATCCATTCACCTCTTTATGACACTTAAGTTTTTTGTCACATATATCCTACCAAATGGGAAGGCCAGTAATGTTATGTAATTGCAATTTTATTTTAAAGTCTATTTCTACAATGTAAAAACATCTAATTACTTATTTTTTTATTTGAGTTTTCATTTATCACATTTTTACTTGGATGGAATTTAGAGCTCTATAAATGAAATTAACAAAATGTTCTCAAAAGAATAATTATTTTAACATGTGAAAAGGAGCATATGCTGTTGTATACTTCTAACTATAAATTCCTCCAGCTAAAAAGAAATAATTGAGGATGAAATATAAGTAATAATTAAACTTACATAATAGAGTGATTAGTGTGCGTAGCTCTTATGATGAGGTCAGAACTTTAAAGAAAATGTAAGTAGTTTCTCAACAACTGGGAAAAAAATAGTATGTACAATTTTAAACGTATTTATGAGCTGGGCGCAGTGGCCCACACCTGTAATCCCAGCACTTTGGGAGGCTGAGGCGGGCTGATCACAAGGTCAGGAGATCAAGACCATGTTGGCCAACACGGCGAAACCCCGTCTCCACTGAAAATACAAACAATTAGGCGGGCGTGGTGGCGGGCGGCTAAGGCAGGAAAATGGCGTGAACCCGGGAGGCGGAGCTTGCAGTGAGCAGAGATAGTGCAACTGCACTCCAGCCTGGGTAACAGAGCGAGACTCCATCTCAAAATAAAATAAAATAAAATAAAATAAAATAAAATAAAATAGCATAAAAATAAAAATAAATAAAATAAAATAAAAAATATTTGTGAATATCCCCACCAGAGGATATCAGAATCTAGAGATTTTACCTGGCCACTTAAAGTTTCATGGATTTCAGGGGATTACGACACATAATTGTTATGAACTCCAAGTTTGTGTTTCTCTAAAATTCATATGGTGAAACCCTACCTTCTAATGGGATAAGTATTAGGAGGTGGGACCTTTGAGAGGTAATTAAGTTTAGGTGAGATCATGAGAGTACAGCCCCCAGGATGGAATGAGTATCCTTATGAGAAGGGAAGGAGACTTGAGCTTGCTCTCATGACCATATAAAATATTACAAGAGAGCAGCTGCCTAGAAAAAGTCTTGAAAAAGTTTTATATAACTCTAGTATTCAACCAATGAGTATATTGATGTCTGCATTATAATATCCAGGGACTATTCAAGACAAATTTTTAAATATTATACAAGCATCTTGTAGAAAATTTCCATGTTCGTCTTTCAAGGGAGTAGTTGTAACTACCATGGTAAAGACAGATTCAAAAAGCAAATATTGTGGAATCTAAAATAAAAAAGGCAGTCGACAATGATCTACATCTGTCCAATAATAACTTGTGTCTTTACTTTTCTATTGTTGTTTCAAAGCCTTATCTCCATAATGACTATCTAAAACCTAAAAGTAGTAACCCCTCTTTGGGAGGCTGCGGCGGGCTGATCATGAGGTCAGGAGATCCAGACCATCCTGGTTAACACGGTGAAATCCCGTCTCCACTAAAAATACAAAAACAAATTAGCCGAGCGTGGTGGCGGGCGCCTGCAGTGCCAGCTGCTCGAGAGCCTGAGGCAGGAGAATGACGTGAACCCGGGAGGTGGAGCTTGCCGTGAGCGGAGATCGTGCCACTGCACTCCAGCCTGGGCGACAGAGCGAGACACCGTCTCAAAAAAAAAAAAGTAGTAACCCGTTTTCATCAAGTTTTCTTAGTAATCCTCTGTTCTGCAGTTCTTCATCCTTGTTATTCTCTTGGTAGGTTTAATTTACAGTGGTTTTCCATTTTTACCTTGGGTTTGGAACATTGAAACTTTTGTGGCAGAAACAGAATTGCATCTGAATGCCCCTCGTAAGCAGAAAGAACAGAGAATGATACAAAATAGCCATTGGTGAAAGAAGTCGGAAACAAAACATCTACCTCCTAAATCTACCTCCTAAATTGTGAAGGTAGATATGGTTCCAACCTTTGTTATATATGCGACCCAGTACATTGAGAATGCTTAGTGAATTTTAGTAGTGGCAACAACGTCATAAGTGCACAGTGCCTATGTTTTATTTCTTCCTGGTTAATTCATTCTTATATTTTTATGGCTAAAATAACTTGCTCTTAGATTAAATCTTTCTCCTTTGAAAGAGTATTAAATCTTTATTTTTTTCAGCAGTTTGTGCCTATTAGCATATTTGAAATGAAAGAGAACTGTGTGTTGTTTCCTCTGACATTGTAAAAAGTAGTTAGATTATTTGCTACGAAATAAGAAATTACTCTTACGAATTTACTCTGTTCGTGGTTATTATTTTTCCCTTCGGCAGAACTTAACTCTTTTAATGGGCTTCCAGTACCTTTGGCAACCATAGAAAAATTCTATGGAAGAATGAGTCAATGTTTGTACAAGTAAAACTTTAGAAACTGAGGGACAGTTATATATGAATTTTTGGAAATTGAAATTCTAGGAAAAATCCTCGTCTTAAATTATCCTCATTATTTATAGGGTGCTGCAGTTCTCCTGTGGTGTGAAAGCATATAGATTTTTATTAGCTCTCTAAACTGAGAGTGAGATGCCATCTGTACAGGGGCATTGACAGAATATTATTGATTCCGTCTGTAATAAAGCCAAGTCAGGGCAACTATTGTGTGCTGAGCCACCTTGAACTTCCACTGCTGCCAATTGTTTTCCTAGAGAATTGGGATATAAAGTTGATCCTTATTAAGATTTCAAATTAGCGTAGGCTTTTTTCTTTTCATTTGTTAAAATAAACTGCCTCTGTGTCTTCCACACTTCTTGACCTGACCATCTTTTGCCCTTCTTTTTCTACTAAACATATGAAATCCTTTTAAGAGGAACCATTTTCACAATTATGAAAGAGAACGAAGTCCCTTTACGTTCATAAAAACATATACTATTCCTTGGGATAGAGTAGTGAAACTGAACCCAGGTCCTGCGCAACCCATGCCTACCACAACTGTGAGATGTTGGTGGAAGCTGTCTGAATTTTTCCTGAGCAGCTGATGTTGCAGAAGTGTCCAGTTGCTTCTAGGATTTTAAGTATAAACTTAGCTTCAGGAGTACAAGCACTGAAAAATTGATGTTAGCAGCGTGTCTTCCTCAGATGTGTCATCAGTCTTAACATTTTGGTCTTCCTAGTGTCATCTGTGGATTAACAACTTGGCTTCTAGGTAGACATGGCTTTAAAAATATAGGTGTCTTCATGCACACATTTTCCTCTGTGCTTATTTCACTCTCTAACCCTTCAGCATAATTCAAAGTATATTATGCTAGCTTATGAAAGATTTTGTGGATTTGGATGGGAGTAAATATAAAGCTTAGTGTTATTTACCTTCTCACTTTGTTACTTTTTTTTGACTGCCATGCAGAGGTGTGGGTGACATTTAAAGTACAGTTAACTGATTTGGAAGAATCTTTTTTAATATAATTCTAGAGGCTTTTAAAAGTATGAGTGGGCTTTGTATAGCAGGTGGTGAATGACAGCTGTTTGGGCAGAATACAAATGAGAATATGAGACACCTCCACATTATAAAAGTTTCAGAAACAAAATATGTTGAGTCTGATATACGACAATGCATGTAAAATTATATTTGCTTTTTTCCTTTCTTTTTTAAGTTCTGGTTATTTTTTCTTTAGTTTTAATTGTATGTAAAAATAAAAATGGTTTAAATAAAATTAACCATTTGAATTGCAAACTCTATAAGATTTTTCACCAATAATATAACTGTAGCTTTAACTATCTCAAATTTTGTACATCTCATTTGTTGATTTTGTAAGAAAATAAGTGGAAAGCATTGTAATTAGAAAACCTGAATTTAACGTTTGGATCTGACTTCTGATCTCATTTCAATTACTATCATTTTATGGGAGTTAACAGAGGTGAATATTTAAAACTGTTTTTAGTATAAAGTCTTAAAATCAATTTCTTCTTTTCAACTGATATTTATTCATTCATTGATTTTTTTCCAATTTCTGAATATATATGAGACCCCTTGTATCCAACATATGGTCTCATATAAATCACGTTAAAGTTTTCAGTGAGCCTTCCATCCTTGGAGAGTGATAGTATGTGATATGTTTGACTCTGTGTCCCCACCCAAATCTCGTTTCAAATTGTAATTCCCAAGTTCAGGGAGGAAACTGGTGGGAGGTGATTGGATCATGGGGGCAGATTTCCCCCTTTGCTCTACTCATGATAATGAGTGAGTTCTCATGATATCTGGTTGTTTTAAAATGTGTAGCATGTCCCCCACATGTAAAGACATGCTCGCTTCCTCTTTGCCTTCTGCCATGATTGTACATTTCCTGAGGCCTCCCTGAGCCATGCTTCCTACAGAGCCTATGGAACCATGAGCCAATTAAACCTCTTAAAAAAAAATTACCAAGTCTCAGGTAGTTCTGTGTAGCAATTGGAGAACAGATTCATACGGTATGTAAGGTAAATAACTATAAATATGTGTAGAGGATGATTGCATCACAATGTGGTCAATGTGTTTTTAGAATTTGGAGCATTTCTAATTGCCTATAGTTGAAATGTGGAATTGGGAAGATACCTGTACTGTATTTTGAGGAATGGCTAATATTTCTACAAAAGAAGAGTTGGGAATCTTCAAAGAATGGTTTAAGCAAAAATTTGGACAATGGAAAGTATTGAGTATGTGCAGAGCAGTAAAAGATGCTTAACTCAGCAACAGGGATTGTTTAACAAAAAAGCGGTTGATATGGTTTGGCTGCATCCCCATCAGAATCTCAACTTGAACTATAGTTCCCATAATCCTTATGTGTCAAGGGAGGGGCCCGGAGGGAGGTAATTGAATCATGGGAGCAGTTAGCCCCCCATGCTGTTCTCATGATAGTGAGTGAGCTCTCACAAGATCTGATGGTTGTTTTTTTGTTTGTTTTTGTTTGTTTTTTTTTGAGATGGAGTCTCACTCACTCAGTCACCCAAGCTGAAATGCAGTGACAAAATCTCTGCTCACTGCAACCTCCACCCCCACATTCAAGAGATTCACCTTCCTCAGACTCCCAAGTAGCTGGGACTACAGGTGCCTGCCACCATGCCCAGCTAATTTTTGTATTTTATTAGACATGTTGTTTCACCATGTTGGCCAGACTGATCCTGAACCCCTGACCTCAAGTATTCCACCCACCTTGGCCTCCCAAAGTGCTGAGATGACAGGCATGAGCCACCATGCCTGGCCAAGATCTGATGGTTTTATAAGGGGCTTTTCCCCCTTTGATCAGCACTTTTCTCTCCTGCTGCTTTGGGAAGAAGGATGTGTTTGCTTCTCCTTCTGCCATGATTGTAAGTTTCCTGAGACCATCCCAGCCATGTGTAACTGTGTGTCAATTAAAACTCTTTCCTTTATAAGTTACCCAGTCTCATGTATTTCTTCATAGCTGCAAGAGAATGTACTAACACAGTAAATAGGTACGGCAGAGTGGGACACTACTGTAAAGATACTGAAAATGTGGAAGTGACTTTGTAACTGGGTAACAAGCAGAGGCTGGACTAGTTTGGAGGGCTCAGAAGACAGGAAAATGTGGGAATGTTTGGAACAATCTAGAGACTTGGAGGGCTCAGAAGACAAGAAGATGTGGGTAAGTTTGAAACCCCCTAGAGACTTGCTGAATGGCTTTGACCAAAATGCTGATAGTGATATGGACAATGAAGTTCAGGCTGAGGTGGTCTCAGATGGAGATGAGGAACTTGTTGGGAACTGAAGTAAAAGTGACATTTGCTATGCAAAGAGACTGGTGGCATTTTGCCCCATCCTAGAGATCTGTGGAACTTTGAACTTGAGAGAGATGATTTAGGATACCTGGTGGAAGAAATGTCTAAGCAACAAATCATTCAAGAGGAAGCAGAGCATAAAAGTTTGGAAAATTTTAGCCTGATGGATGTGATAGAAAGGAAAACCCCATTTTCTCGGGAGAAATTCAAGCCAGCTGCAGAAATTTGCATAAATAATGAGGAGCCAAGAAAATATATCCAGGGCATGTCAGAGACTTTCATGGGAGCACCTCCCATCACAAGCCCAGAGGCCTAGGAGGGAAAAATGGTTTCCTGGGCTGGGCCCAGGACACCCCTCTTCTATGCAGCCTCAGGACATGGTACTCTGCCTACCAGCTGCTTCAGGTCCAGCTGTGGCTAAAAGGGGCCAATGTACAGCTCAGTCCCTTGCTTCAGAGGATGCAAGCCCCAAGCCTTGGTGGCTTGCACATAGTGTTGAGGCTGCGGGTTCATAGGAGTCAAGAATTGAGGTTTAGAAACCTCTGTCTGGATTTCCGAAGATGTATGAAAACGCTTGGATGTCCAGGCAGAAGTTTGCTGCATGGGCGGAGCCCGCATGGAGAAACTCTGCTAAGGCAGTGTAGAAGGGAAGTGCCCTAGCAGAGCCCCCACACAAAGTCCCCACTGGACCACTGCCTAGAGGAGCTGTGAGAAGAATGCCACCATCCTTCAGACCACAGAATTGTAGATCCACCAACAGCTTGCACTGTGTGTCTGGAACCACCACAGACATTCAATGCCAGACTTTGAAAACAACCAGGAGGGGGGCTATACTCTGCAAAACCACAGAGGCAGAGCTGCCCAAGGCTGTGGGAGCCCACATTTTGCATCAGTGTGACCTGGATGTGAGACATGTAGTCAAAGGAGATCGTTTTGGAACTTTAAGTTTTACTGACTGTTCTGTTGGATTTCAGACTAGCATGGGCCGCCCCTTTGTTTTGGCCAATTTCTTCAATTTGGAACAGACCTATTTACCCAATGCCTGTACCCCCATTGTATCTAGGAAGTAACTAACTTGATTTTGATTTTACAGGCTCAGAGGTGGAAGAGACTTGCCTTGTCTCAGGTGAGACTTTGGACTTAGACTTTCGGGTTAATGCTGGAATGAGCTAAGACTTTGGGGGACTGTTGGAAAGGCATGATTGTGTTTTGAAATGTGAAGACATGAGATTTGGGAGGGGCCAGGGGCAGAATGATATGGTTTGGCTATGTCCCCACCCAAATCTCATCTTGAATTGTAGTTCCCATAATCCATACATGTCATGTGAGGGACCTATTGAGAGGTAATTGAATCATGAATGTGGTTACCCCCTTGCTGTTCTAGTGATAGTGAGCAAGTTCTCCTGAGATCTGATGGCTGCATAAGGGGCTTTACCCTCGTTTTTCAGCACTTTTTTCTCCTCCTGCCTTGTGAAGAAGTTTGTGTTCACTTCCCCTTCTGCCATGATTGGAAGTTTCCTGAGGCCTCCCAGCCATGTGAAACTGTGAGTCAATTAAAACTTTTTCCTTTATAAATTTTCCAGTCTTTGGTATTTCTTCATAGTAGCGTGAGAATGGATTAATACAATAGGACTGATATAAAGGCTAGGAGAATAGGGGAGTTCAACCAGTACATGGCAAAGACAAAAAACAAGAGATGAGAGGTAGTTAAGACAATTAAAAATGATTATGATAAAATTAAAAAGCTTTCTTTTACTAAGTACTTTGAGTCTTCAACAAGGCAGATATCAAATATATATTAATTGGAGAAATGTGTTCTTATTTAATTGCCCAAACAATTACGTGTGGTAGAAATAATTTTCATTTTATAGGGAAAACCGATGAGTGAAAAACAATTAGCAACTTGAGCAAATCCTAAATTTAAAACAACAGTTAAGTTTTCAAACTGAGATTTAAAGTCATTTCATTAGACTCTAGTTTTTATGCTTATAACCAACATACAATCCTGTGTGTTCCAGGAAGGGAATTCAAATACGGGCACTCATTGGCTCTAAGATGTACTCGTCATTAAATAACTAGAGTCCAAAGCAGAGAAACGATTTGAGAGAAGTGATGTTCCAAATTCCATGTCAGATCTACCACAAGAGTGGCTTGCTGCAGAGTTGATAATTCACTGATCTGAGGTTGCCATTCCACCTATTAGTCATAGCTAAACTCTGGGGTAGGAACAATAAGCTAGATAGGCAATTGTAACAGCCACCATTATTACAAAAAAAATTCACACTATGTTCATTAAATGTGTTAATTTATATAGCAATAAAAGCTTGAGTCATTATTCCCTAGTGGATTCTTCTTACCTGGTCTGTTCAATCTACTCTTAACTGATTTGTTAGAATCCACCTAGTCTAGGTATAAACCTATTATTTCATCCTGACTCATGACTTTCAAAGCAAAACAAAAAGATAAACTGAGATAAATAGAAACCATGTTTTGAATTAAAAAACCCATGTTTTAAATAAATACTGTCTATTTAAAGTTAAATACACATAAAAACATATGTATATACCATATATAATTATTGTGCAAATGAGATATTATTTGCAAACGTATGTATAAAATCTCAATATGTACATCTCAAGCCACCACCCTCCCCATCTGAGTGTGGGTCATTTTAACTCAGTTACCAATAGCTCAATACAACATATTCATAATTCTCTTGATATTATTCAATTATATTAATGTTAAATAGAAGCATGTGTATTTTGTTTTAAATAGGCTACTCAATGAAATATATGATTGGGGAAATCTTCTTAGTTCTAAACATTGAGCACAAATGAGCTGCTAAAATTCAAACCACATAACCTGATTCTGATTCCCCACCTTCACCAATAAAACAACAACAACAGCAACAACAACAGCAAGAACAACAACAACAACAGTATTTCAGCAAATGCTTTTATTTCTATGTAAATATATTCTGTGTACTCACTCAGGTGACAGACATTTACTTTTTGTCAGTATGAGTTTTAGGCACTATGGTAAGCTTTTTATATATATTATATCATTTAATTGTCATCTATTTTAAAATTATAAATTTGAAGTCTTAGTATCCTCTGAAGCAACCTGTGGCCATATAACACAGTTTTGGCCAGCGTGGTCAAGCAGAAGTCCTTTGGGAGGAGTCTGTACAGAAAAGAGGGTGGTGCCACCTTTTGCACTTTTTCATCAACTCTCCTCTCTGTTGGGAAAGCAGACATCATGCCTATAGTTGATGAAACGTATTTCAATCATGAGAACAAAAGGCACACAGGAAAAAAATAAAGCAAAAACATTAAAGACATCCAGGCCACCGAT
Organism: Homo sapiens; assembly: GCF_000001405.40. Classification (NCBI taxonomy): domain Eukaryota; kingdom Metazoa; phylum Chordata; class Mammalia; order Primates; family Hominidae; genus Homo; species Homo sapiens. The sequence continues at coordinate 192,198,751 of NC_000001.11, read as the reverse complement.
GTCATATGATGCTACCAAAGCAACCTTGGTCTGCTTATTATTTGAGAAAAGTGATGCTGTAAATTTTTTTTTGAACTTTTCTGCTGTACTTTTATTTCATTTCATTTAAAAAAATAACAGCTTTATTTAGATATAATTCACATATCATACAATGCACCTATCTAAAATGTACAATTTTAAATCGTGATGTTTAGTAAATTCACAAAGTCATGCAATCATTATTATAACCAATTTTAGAAAGTTGTTATTATCCCAACACCACACACCCACCCTTGTACCCATTAGAAGTCACCCCCACCCCCACCCCTAGGCAGCCACTAAAGAACTTGCTGTCTCTATAAATGTGCCTATTCTGGACATTTTGTATAAATGGAATTATATAATATGTGGTCTTCTGTGACTGGCTTCTTTCACTTTGTATAACATTTTCAAGTTTCATCTATATTGTAGAATAAATTAGTATTTCATTTTTAATCATGGGATAATATTCTATTTTATGGATATGCCACCTTTTGTTTGTCCATTTATAAGTTGATGAGCATTTGGGTTGTTTTCACTTGTTGACTATTATGAATGATGTCATTGTGAACATTCATGTACAAGTCTGTGTAGGCATATATTTTCATTTTTCTTAAGTATATCCCTAGGAATTGAGTTGCTGTGTCATATGGTAACTCTGTATTTAACATTTTGATGCTGTAAATTTTTAAAGTCACTATTAATTTTTGGTTAATAAAATTACCACAGACAGGAAGTTAAGGGCTAGGATAAAACATGGGTATTAGTGACTACAAAGCCAGTATTTTTTTCTTATTTTGCCAAAACTGTCTGGGTTCATATCCTTACGGAACACATGGATTTCATGGAAAGGTGAATAAACAGCTAAAGTAATAGTAGCTTGGATATCACTACAATATTAATTATAACTTCATTAGCACTTTATTTAATGTAATTCTTCTTGACAGTGTCCTGGATTTTGGAGAGCTAACCTTGACAGAATTAATTTGCCCTTCCACCACCTTTTGATCTCTCTGTACTCATCCTCCTAGAATGTGTCTCCTAGAATGTGGGAGAAAATGTTTTTCACAAAGCAGGAAAATGTTAAAAAGAAAAACTAGAGAAAACATTGGCCATTACATGAAAGATATTTTCTTTCTAAATTAATGTTTGTTTATATTTGTTCTCAGAGGTCATAAAATTATTTAAAGTGTTAATAATTTTAATATGTATTAAATAGTTGTTCAGAAGTTTAAGTATTTAGTGTCACACAAACTGCTTATAAAACAGTTTTTACTCTGCATCAATCTGCAAATCACAGTGGCAGTAGATGTTTCTGGAAATGTCAAATGCTTTCTGGTTTAAAATCACTCCAGAACACCAACAGTAGCTCCTCATTGACATTTTACTATTCCGCTGCAAGCTAAAGACAGATGGCTCTTTATATGTTTTATATGAAAAACAATGTTCTTTTTAAAATCAAGTCATAGTAAGGTTTCACTAAACTTTTTGAAAAGGTATGTGACTTCTTGTTTGCATGTTTTCCATTCTGAATTGCCACATAACTCAAGAGTTTTGTTTCTTTCAGTCTTGAAGTATGGCAGAGTGCAATTAGAAATAAGAATTTCAATATAAACATCTTATCTTTTGGAGGCCTATTGGAATTAGTGGTAAAGCAATAATAATAATTAGGTTAAACAATACTACAGTCTGTCACCTGTCAGGGGAATTCTAAATTTTAATATTAAAGTTTGTATTTTAATGTACTGTACATACTACTTGAAAGCATAAAACTATAATTAACTCTAAGTGTGACATCTGTTGAAATTAAGGTTAAAATGATGCTTACAAAATGTCATTGTTATCCATTTTTAAGCACAAATCATTGCCTAGCATGTTTCAAAAGATGGAGGAAGCTATTTGATCTAAATAACTAAAAGTATTTAGATAAAGTATTTAGATACTTTAGGTAAAGTAACTAAAAGTTGTCAGTTTTTAAATAAATAGGACACCATGGCAGTATATTCGGAGAGGAGTGATTTTGTAAGTATGATCATTAAAGTGGCTTTGTTAATAGCAATCCTCTTTTGCATTTGCAAAGTATGCTTCCTTAGAGAGGCTTAGGGTGCTTTTTTAATATCTTTGTACTGCTTCACAGTAACTGTGAAAAATGAAACAAATCTCTCTAAAAATGTCATTGCAAAAAGAATTTTCTCTATGGGAATAAATGACCTAACATTGAATAAATAACCAAAAAAATCTATTGCTACCTTTATCTATCTCAAAGTGTGTAGTCAGATCAATGGTCCCATTGAACTTTGCATTAGTCTGAAATTATTTGATATATTTGATCAATTTGGGGTGTAACATTTTAAAAAGGAGTTGTCGATTATGTTTAATTTATCAGTTTGTGTATTCTCAGTACTTCTTATACGTGCATGATATATGAGTTGTTTAATACCTGAATTAAAATCAGATGATGACTATATACATGCAGTAAGAGATGCAGAGGTTTTGAGGTTTAAAAAATGTATTAGTTTTCTCTCTATTGTTGTGTAACAAATTAATGCAAACTGAGAGGTGGGCCAGAATTCTGGGCACGGCTCAATTTGGTTCTCTGCTCAGGGTCTCATCAGGTTGAAATCAAGTTATTGGCCAGGGCTGTGTAACTATGGGAGTCAATATCCCATCACAGTTTGCTGTGTAATATGACCTAAGCAAGCATGTGACTACCCAAATATGCACATGTTAAGCCTACACTCAAAGATATATGGTTGTAAGTCCTATAAACCAAGGAATGACAATCCTGAGAAACTTGGAGGCAATCTTGGAATTCTGCCTACCATAAGAAGGACACACACACACACACACACACACACACACACGCACTAAGGCAGCATCAAGGGAAAACCTCATTTGAATTTTTTTTTCTGTTTCTTCACTGTTATCTCTTATTAGGAATAGAGATGAGGAAGAGGATTAAAAAATCTCTGCTAGTTGTAGTTCAGCTGTCTGAAAATTGACTCGTTTGATGAAATAACATCTAACATGGATTGAATGCTTATTATGTGCCAGACACTTAAATTTTAGCTACATTAGCTCATTTAATCCTACAAAAACTGTGTAGGAAATGTAACATTATTGTAACCTTTTTCATAGTTGAAAGATGTGAGGCACAAAAAGATTAAGTTGTTTAATCAGGTTCAGAATGCTGGTGAGTGGCAACGATAGGATAATATGCCAAATATTTGTTATATGCTCAATAAATGTAGTTATTAATTTGATTATTATTTAGGATCATTAGAAAAGGAAATAGTATAGAATAACCTAAAGAACACATACATTTTGCTAACTAGCACTGTTGGTCTTTTATATTAGAACTAGTGGAGGATTGTAGTCATCCTCATTCCAGAGAAGTACAAAATCAAGTTTGAAGAACTTCTAGTTCAAAATCACTTCTGTTTAGCAGTACCCATTACTTCTGTTTAGAAGTTCCAGCACTGCCCACTTTCTCAGTGTATTGACTAAGGAAATGCAGGGAAAAAAAGACAAAATCTTATAATGATAAAAAAAAAATTAAAACAGAATGGCCAACCACCACCAGGTAGAATCTTCATTATATTTAAGAAAGAAGAATGATGATGAAAAGCATTCAGCCCAGGTTTGATTCAGTGGCATAACCTGACTTTACCTCATGGAAAAAAGCTAACAAAAATAATGCGAGATGTGTTGTTTCTCTCAAAGCTTGATTTTGGTTTTTCCAAAATAAATAGCCACAGTACTGTTTATTTTCCTTGACTTCTACCCTGCTGTCCTCTGCCCTCAAATACTGACTGTATGGACATATTATGTTCATCTAAGCAGAGATAACAAACCCCAACAAACAGCTAGGATTTGGAATCTGAATCAGGGTTGCTCTAGGGGGTGAAGAGGGCTGTAGAAGGAGAAAAGAAGCTGCAGCAGGCAGAGGTGTAAGAAATTTAATGCCCAAGACCCAATGCTACAGGAAGAAACCTGAGAGCAGAATATAACTTGCAGTGTGGTTTTTCATACATTGCAGCAATTCAGATCAGCAGAGAAACATGCTCGTGTCCCTGAATTATTATAGGACTCATCAGAAAATTTTAAGACACTCTTTTACATGCTCAATATGGTTTCAGAAAATCTGACTTTCTTTGTCAAGAAATGCAGAGAATTGCTACTTATTTTGATTTCAGGAGAGTAGGCTAGGTATCAGTTGAGACTGTAATTCTATGACAATTTTACTAAAATAATTTTATTTTAAGATAAGCAATGGATCAGCAGATGTCTGCCACACTATTATGAATAAGAATGAAATTTTAATCTTGTTCAAATAGGTAAGCATGGGACATAGTCAATAGAGAAATGTGTATTGGTTGCCAGAGTTAAAAAATATTACTTATACAATTGATGAGATGCAAAGAGATAGCAAAATTATAAAGTCGACTTGGAATTACTGGATTAGTAGAACTATTGGAACTGTGTTTGAAGTTGAAAACTTGCATTGATACATTTTCTGAAGCCAATTAACATATTAATGAGGTAATACAAAGGATTGCTAATTCTTAGAGTTTGTTATTATTCTACAGAACTGTCTCTTCATGTCTCTCAGAATGAGAGCATATTAGTTGACATCATCAAAGAAAAAGTTTGTTGTAATTGTTGAGTCATTCCTTATAATAATTGCTTTTATAGCCTTGAGGTTGGCTTTAAAAGCTTGAATTATGAATATTTCATATTATATTATTGTCATATTCCATGTGCATAGCTCATGCAAATTAATTTTCTTATAGCTTCACACTGACCTTTACTTCATTGAAGGAAATTAAATTGTAAAATGAATCTGCTTGGGAAAAATATTTTTCAGGAAATATCCCTTTCTCTATTTTTGTTGAGGTTTGAGAGAAGCCTTTAACATTCCAAGTTATCGATCTTATTATATAATGTAATGAAATAAAAATCTAGATATTTAATAAAATTATTTTTTAAAGATTAAAATGAAATACTAATGTTTAAAAAGTTGGAATAGAGCAGAAATGAAATGTAGCTGTTACAATTAGCTCTTAATATTTTCAGGATATGAGGGTAATTTCCACGTCATATACTGGCTTATTTGACATTTTTCTAGGCTGTTTAAAATTGATAAAATACACATTACGACATAGATATTCCATAAATATCTAAAAATCTTTAATTTGTATGTCCAATAATATATTTACTATGAAGAAATTAAAATATACCTTAAACACCTAGAAACAAAGCAGACATATTTTTTACATGTAGTTATACACAATAAGCTGTTTTTTGTTTTATCTGAGGATGGCTTTGAAGAACTTTTTACATCTTTGATGATTTCAGAGAGAAAGTAGACTGAGGATTGTGTATTTTCTGTTCATAAAATCTCAACTACCTACTAAAATTCACAAATGTAACCTTACAATGGCTGGTGACACTGATGTCTTGTATACAAAAGAAGGGGAAAAACTTTGAGCTTCCCGTGCATCATTTATTTTAAATTCACTTAGCACTTTATTTTCAAAACTCTAAAATCATATTACATGGACATTACCTCCTTTATCTAAACATTATGATTCAATTTTCATATTAAAGTGTTTTCAATGTAACATTATGCATGAAATCAAAAATAGAACTTTGGTGTTTATTCTTACACCAAAGAATAGTTTTTTTTTAATAAGCCAGATTTAAAGAGAATATATTTATAAAGAGAGAGTCTATGGATTTTAGAATAATCTCAATAAACAATTAGTTTAGGAAGATGAAGCCTGAGAGATAAAATAACCAAATCCGTAAAATCACGAGTATGAACACAGACTTGTTGGCTGAATCCAAAGTAAAACAAAGACCTAATTAGTTCTTTAAGAAATTTCAGTTTTAAAAGAAGTAAAATAATAATAATGTCTGAGGTAGTAAAACTGTTAAGCTTGTTAACTTGAGGAGCTGTCAAATACAAAATATAAACATCTAATAATGGTTTAATAAAGTCTATGATGTCAGTTACAGAAAATGTATTAAAACACGTACAAAATTCTTTCTTATTTGAACACATTTTCATAGGGATTATGACTTACATTCAAATACTGTGCCAATTCTCTGGTTCTCCCAAAACCTCCCATCCCTACCCCACCCCCACTGTAGTATTTCTGTTAAAGTTTAAATTTCCTTCTCTCTAATTTGTTGTTTTGCTATATTTTTATAATTCTTTTTTTATGTAGCACAATTTGAATTTTTAAAAAGAATGTTTATAAACACCTGTAAAAGTGTCATCATAATTTTAAATTTGATATCAACCTTTTTTTGTTGTTGTTGATGTCAAGTCTGGTCTAAATCATTACTTACCTTTTGAAGGAACTTGATCAAACAAACCGTTCTGTATCTTTGCCAAAGAGTCAGCCATATAATGTGGAAGGGAAAAATTAACCTCTGTGCTCAAACTTACTATATAATTTAAATGTTCACCTTTTATACTATTGATTTTAACCAGTGTTAGTAATTCTAGTATTTATTTTATAGATGAATTAGAATCTTGGAAACAAGCAAATACTAGATACTTTTCAATATTTCAGTATATGTAGCATATATAAAACATTAAAGAGAAGCAATGAGGCATTTTATAAAACAAAAAAATAGATTAGCAGTGCCCATTGTTATAAAATTATTTAACCTAATATCTAAAAATGAAGGTGGCTTATAGTTATAAATGAACATAACAGACATATGAATACATATCTTTGGCTTTTAAAGCCAAAGACAGAAATAACTTGGTATTTAATAATTGAGTATTTATTCAATTAAATATGCAATTTTAACATAAAATGTATTATTAAGTATCTAAGTTCTTATAAAACTCTGAAAGTCTGAAATTATATGCACAGGACATATGTGTACATATATGACTAAAATTTTAATATGGTTATGTGCCATGCATTATATCTTACATTCAAATACTATCCTAATAAATATAATTAATTTACTTCATTTCTTTCATGAAATAAAATTCTCTAAATGTTCACTCTCCCAAAGATTAGCATTCAGTTAAATGCTAGTGTTCTTAGTGTTTTATAAATAAAGTTTAAAAAAGTTAATTTTAATATAGCTTGCATTTCTTTCAACAATTACGTATGTGTATGTTTACGAACACATACAAGCATAACATTAGCAAAAGTAAATTTCAAGGAAATAATGTAGTTTCATGTTGAGTTTTGATTAATATTTAATTTCCATTAAAGTAAATGAGATAACTCTTGTGGCAGGATAATGAACATATCTAACATTTTGTTTTATTAGAAGAGAATCTTGATACTTTGTAGGTACTAATAAATTAATGGTTGATGAGAGGAATACATAAATGATATTGGTTGATATCTGAGTGACATTTTTACTCAAATTCTTTCTTTATTAATGTTGTAAATTAGTCTAGAAATGACTTCCTTATTCTGTTCTACAAAGTGTGAAGGTTTGTTGGGACATGAACTCTAATTTCCTTCCAGCACTAGTGTTTAAAGATGAAATAAAATTTTTAAAATCTGCAGAGTGTCTTATTCAGCTCCCAGTAATGAAGTAGATTTCCCATAACAGAACAGTGTCATGCTTTTAATAGACAATTCAAATATTGCAAACCTTTTATTATTCAAAATATATCACAATGTGCATTATTTGTAACGAAATACTGCGTTTTAGAATGATTACTACATCAATATTGTCTGTCTGTTTTTGGACTCTATTTTTTCTCATTCTTTATCTTCATATTTTTTATAATCCAATTTTTTAATATACTCTGTCTAGGATTTACCTCAAATATATAATCATTTTTCCATTTTGAGATTTGAATATATTTTATTCTTTACTTCAATCTAGTTCTAGTTCATGTTAATACCATACAGTACATTTTAAAAATTAAGATAAGTATTTTTTCACACATTAATACTATCTTTAAAACTTGATTTTTGTAATTAATATAATTCTATGAAAATTGATATTCATATCCATAATCCATTGTTTCAATGAAAAAAATTTGTAGATTTTTAAAATATTAGAAGAATATAAATGTTAAAATGTTTATTTCTAGAATGGAAAATTAGACTTCTTTTTTATTCAACTTATGCTCCTTACATTTTTTTATTTGTCTTTAAGTGATATGTACAATTAATCATGTTAACTCTTCAATATGTACACTGTATAACCCTTTATAAAAACCATGGTATGATTTTAGAGTAGAGATGGTGGTTCAGAATATTATATTTTCACTTTTCTGTAATCTTTTTTCCAGAATATATACATTGTTTTTATTACCAATATATATGTCCTTGAAATTAAAGGATTTCCCCCATGTAACCTTTTTTGTTATGTTAAAGATCATTTAGACATGTGTCAATCATTTGTTGAAAAATTAGCTTTGAAATATTATAATATGCTATAATAATTACTTAACTCTGTCTCTAGAGATGTGTTTGCTGACTCAGCCATTCAAGAAAATGGGACTTTCTATCTAAAATACTCTTAAGTTTCTAAAGGCCTCAGAGACTCTATGAAAAATGAGAAAAATGAACGTGAAATGCTGTTTTTCCTCAGAAAGATAATGGCAGTTGCTGGAGTGAACTCCATCAATAATTTGCAATATTCAGTGATCTAAATAATGCTTATTTTTACGGGATTTTAGAAGTACTACAACTACTATTTTATTGATTTCTCCAATTACTATTATCAGTTATTTATAATCCCAGTTTTCTCATAAAAGTCTTCTGAATGATTTAAGTGTTGTCTTATTTCATCACTCCAAACACTTCCCTAAAGACTTTCTTCAATGAGGAAGAAATACTGATATTCCACAGCAGAGAAAATACACTCTTACCCAATTGACTGAGAAATGATTATGATAATTATATATTCCCTTTCAAAAATCAAACTCTGAGTGTGTGTGCACGCGCGCACACACTCCTGCGTGTGTAACACGCTGAAAACTTTTTATTTACAAATTTTTGTCAAAGTATCTGCCTGGAGAAAAGATAAAACAGACAAAAAACAACAGAAGAAAATATATGGTGAGGTGATTACTAAAGAAAAAATATGTAATGGGGCCAAACTGCAAGATTAGTGTTCCCTTCATGATCATGCAAACTTTTTAGATAATGTGTTTATTATATTTTTCAATAGAAGTGTTTAAGAATAATACAAATAAATAGGATTTCATGGGTTGAATCATGATTTTCCAGTGAACTTATTTAGTTCTCTCAGTTATCATACGTGTATGATCTTTTGGTTGATACTCATTTATCAGTATCTCTTAACATTCTTTCACAATTCTATCAAAAATTTACTTCCAAAGCCTCTATGTTAAATAATTTTCTATTAATGTAACTTGAATACATTTCTGGGAGCTTGCATTCTAATGTGAGTGATGCTCATTTATGAGATCAATTCCGGTTTCTAGAGATTGAGATTTTAAAGCAGATTTCAGTATGAATATAGCAATTTAATACCTAATCCTATATTATAAAATATACTCAGACATATTGTGAAGGCACAGCAACATGACTCTGCTGTTTAGCTACGTTGCATGAAATTGTCTTGCCATTTTTTAGACACAAGGAAGTCAAGATATATTATATATCAATGTTTCACATGTCATAGTGAAATGACTGATTTTTGTGTTTGCCTACATAGGAACACCGTTCATTTAAATACTACAGTGATAGCCTTTACATTATTTTATTTGTCTTTGTATCACTACTGTTCCATATAGTGACTGGGACAGAGGTGAAGCATGGCAAACATTTGTTGAACTACAGGAGTCTATGATTAAATAACGATAAATGAAGTATAAGATATTCCAAACTATGGATTATTAAATACATTTATTCCTGCTATCATTGATACTGATTTGATCTCACTTGGATTCATGTTTCAATATTTCAGTTTCTTTACATGTAACAACAGTTCCATGTTGAAAAAATGATTGTTGGGTTTTACATGTTGATGGCAATCTTTCCAAATGTTTTTTATTCACTTTCTTGCTCTAGTAAATTGCATCCAATAAAAAGAATTTTGACACTTTTTAGTGGATCAACATTTAACAATGATTCAGTCTTCATTTTTCCCACAATTTTATGTTTTTTACAGATAGATAACACAATAAAAAATAATAAGACTGTAGACAAACTATTTAAAATTTAATACTGTTGTTTTAGCAAATGTCTGACGTTTAAAATAGTTGCTTTGCTTATTACTTCTAAAAGGTTCATTTCTACTCTATAAAATTTAGTAGGTAAGATTCCAGGTAAATGTATATGTTTACTATTAAATAATTATGTCTAAAAACACAGCTGAATCTGATTTTTAAAAAAATTTTCCAAATGTAATATTTTACTACCTGTGCTGCTAAATTTGTATTGTTTCCCAAGTGATTTAATTTTGTAAATGTTTCTTAAAACTTGTGTTTTTTCATCTTCAAAGGACCCTTCTATAATTGGTTGATTTATAGAGCAAAACCAATAAAATGACCAAAAAATTCAAACCCATAATAAAATGTATTTATATATACATATACTTTCAGTTCCTCTTTTGTTTTATAAAAGATGCACAAAGATATGCAAGTTAGTGAATCTTTTGTATTGTCCTTAAATAAATGAGGAAATTAGTTACTTAACTCCTAGCTTCAAAAGATAAATGGTAATCTGCACGATTGGTCGTAGAAGGATTTGTTATTTGGGATACATACGAAGAAAAGTTTAAAACATGGCTTTCAGCTGCGTATTGCAGAATGCAAGCTTTATCAGACAATATACTATGAAGAGAGTTTTTCTTTCTCTCTCTTTCCCTGTCACTCCCACTGTTAAATTCACTTTTGAATGCTCAGAAGCTAGCAGTAGCAATCAAATGAAAGTGTTCAATAAATACTTGTTGATTTATTCAAGTTATAGAACATGAGTTTTGATAAGTTGTACGAATTTTTATTTTTATTGTTGAAAAGGCTTCAAATGATATAGCTAAATGAACGTGGTTACATCTGTGTTGGTAATTTTTTTCTTTTTTAGACAGATGATAAAGAGCCAGGAAATTAAATATAAGACCAGCCAATGTGGCACAATGAAAATAAATTAGTCTTTTTAAATTTAGTTAATGCCATAGCTAAGGCTTAGCATCTGATGAGGTGGGGCGGGGAGAGTATACATCTTCACCATGCTTTGTCTTTTTTTTCCTCTTAAAGAAGATCTGCACTGCACATAACTAAAAAGTTAAGGGTTTTTTTTTAAAAGCTTTTTCTTTAGAAAAATGCTTATGCTTAAAATGTTCCCATATTTTAATTTAGCTAAAATATCATTTTTTATGAAGTGCAAATTATAAAAGTTTTGATGAGAGCAATAGTCATCCCCATACTTTAGTCAAGCAAAATCTCATTATTCTCAAAGATATTTTTTGATTTGTAACCAAGGCATTATTAGAAAAATTTATATTATAATTAAAATGTGGTACTTAAACACAGGGAATACTTTCTAAAATCCATCCACACACTAAAGTCAGTTAACACTGTAGCTGGCACTTTGCAAATATTTACAATTTAATCACCATAAGAACACTGTGAAAATTTTATTCCAATATTACAAATAAAAATTGAAGATAAGAATTTAGGTAGCTTTCTCAACATAGTACACTTGGTAGCTAGTAGAGATAGAATTCAAATAAAAATGCACCACATATTAAAGACTTTACTCTTTGCTGAAATACTACTCTGACTTCCTTTTGATTTCACTTGACTTTGCAATCACTTATTGAACTTTTATTATGTACATAACTTGAAGCCTAGGTATTTACTATTGCTTATGGGCTTCAAAAAGTGCCCCAAATTATCTAATTCAACCCAACTTTATTTATCATCCAGTACTTTAAAGACATTGTTATCATACATTTGACTGGTCAAAAAAAAAATCAAGCTCTATTTCCTGTGACTTCTTTCCTTTCATGTATTTCTGGGTTTTCTATAATCTTGTGCCCTATTCTTAGACAAAAATCCCATATTAATTTTTAATCTTAAGTTTTCCTTCATTAATTATACTTATTTGCCTCTTTTCCTTACTTGGATACAAGTCAAGGTTTGCTTCGGAGAATATCAAGTGAACAAATTAGAATTAATGAGTGTGGAGACCATAAAGAACACTAGAAAGTAGAAATCCTGAGTCTTTATCTTAAAACGAACGTGGATGGAAGAGTCCTTAGAAGTTATATAAACTTTTGAGGATCCCACATCCAGTTAGGGGGCTCGCACACTGAGGCTTTCAAGTCTAGTTTCAATTTGTGCGTTTTGCCATCATTCAGCCAACACTCAGTGCTTTCTGTGCATCTGTGCTTGGCTGCTTTCAGTTGTCCAATTATTTATCTTGTTTCTGTATTTGTCCATGTTGTCTCCTCCAGAGAGTGCAAACTTTTTGAAGTCAGTCATTAATTTTATGAAGAAATCCTGGTATGTTTTTGAAGCATCTCATTGAATATTTCATAATTTAATGAAGAGATTGGATGATTTTGGACAGTATTACATACGGAAAAGCTACATGATACATATTTGTGGTACCAGAACAATGCTATTAAAATCAGCCCATGATGTTTCTGATGAGATTGCAAAGTTTGTGTCGAGTCTTAAGTCTGTATATGAAACAATTAAATTCTATGGAAAGAGACTGCCACAGAAAAAGAAAATAGGAATTAACTAAGGAAAACATAAAAATCACCTTTTTAGTTGATTTTTGAAACCCAAGATACTTTGTTTTTATATTCACAACAATTTAAACAACTGATATAGCATTAAGATCAATGATACAATAACTCAATTAATACTTTCTATCCCAATATTACTCTAAAAGAAGAAAATGTTTATTCCTTATTACATAATAGGAAGGATAATCAACATTCAGTCAGAGCTTTTATTGTCAGATAAACTTAACTGTATGAATGAAGTTAAAAATATTTATTACTACAAATGATCTAAAGTTTTCACATTTTACATTTCAACTAACATTAAATTTCCAAAGCCTAATGCATGGCATTTTTAAATACAAATATTTACAGACCATGTAACACACATTAAAAATTAAATATCTCTTTAAAACAGTGACATATAGATGTATGAGTATAATCTTATTTGAATAATAATTACTTAAGGAGATTTGCTTAACAAGAATATAATCAATGAGATAACACTTTCTGAATATGAACCAATGTGGCAGATGCCCAAATCGCTAGGGCCTTAGACTCCTTGCTTCTTCCCCTCATCTCATTTCTGATTTCTACCCCAATTCTAAAGGGCCAAACATGAGACGTCCTGGGAAAAACCTTCTCTGGTTTTTATTCAAGCCATTGATGGCCTAATAGTTTAGTAGCAAGTTTTCTTAGCCGGTGATAAGGTAGTCTACTTAGTTCCCTACCTGGAGATATGCAAAATCTGGTCATGTTTCTGTGACCAACAGAAGTACTTTGTATAACTGGGTACGTCCATGTTCACTTAGGAATGAGTTCAAATGTGGATCTTATTCTCAGTCATTAATCTAGATTATATTTAATCTGAAGTTCTGTAGAGATGAATGTGTCTTCACAAAAGTTCCTGTTGCTGGCTTATAACTAGAGGTGATATTACTATTCTTGGGACAGGGTTAGTAGTAACCCAATAATAAATGTTCTTCATCTCCCATTGTAAGAACCAGATCACTTCTACACTATTACCAAAAAAAAGAGAACATTCATTATGAAAAATGCTATCTGAACATTTGGATATCTGAGTATTATTATGTTTATATAACACATATTATGCTGCTTTGGTAAAAAATCCCAACTAGACTTTTGTTTGAACTTTTGACAACTTTGCAAAAGCTTAACTTTTACTTAACTCTACAATCTTATAAAACATTATTACTTTTTTTGTACTGCCTTTTGATTAAGAAATAAGTTTTTTTTCTGATTATAAATGGAATGACATCAAATAGAAGGTTTTACAGAATATACTGGCAGATACTGTATGTATTTTGTTAGCAGAAAGTTTTGTTTTTACATTTTTAAAATAATTTCACATGACATATTTCAGTTTAAAGGATGGGACCAAATCTTAACATAAACATGCGATATGTTAGAAGCAGATGTATAAGTTTGTCATAAAAATGAGCAAAATCAATTTTCTTTATAACCAAATGGCAACATCTGATTGTACATCTTGGAATTCATTGCAGGTAAATGAGCGTGATCGTCTCCTAAGATTTGTTGGTCTCTGAGGTCTTCCTTCCATCAAGTCTAAATAGATGTCAGATTTCAGAAAACGTGTATAACTGTCTTGTTCCATGAGCTGATACACTCTGCTTTGTGCAGCATCAAAACTGTGGAGGGTAGGTTGAGTGATGCTGTTTGTAATGACTTCTTTTGTGTGAAAATCAAGGTTAACCTGGATAAACAGAAAAAAAGTGTGATTATAGTTAATATGCTTATATAAACAACTTTGAGAAACAGCACAGGACTGATGCAATGTTGGAGTGGGCATCTTGGGCTTAGAAGCAGATATAGTTTGGATGTGTGTAGCCTGCCCAAACCTCATGTTTAATTGTAATCCCCAGCATTGGAGGTGGAGCCTGGTGGGCAGTTATTGGATCATGGGGGTGGATTTCCCATGAATGGTTTAGCACCATCTCCTTAGTGCTGTCCTTGCGATAGTGAGTGGCTTCTGGCAAGATCTGGCTGTTTAAAAGTGTGTGACACCTCACTCTGTCTCTCTCTTTTGAGCCTGCTTCTGAAATGTGAGATAACTGCTCCCCCTCTGCCTTTTGCCATGATTGGAAGCTTCCTGAGTTCTTCTCAAAAGCAGATGCTATTAGGCTTCCTGTATAGCCTGCAGAACCATGAACCAATTGAAGTTATTTTCTTATAAATTACCTAGGCTCAGATATTTCTGTTTTTTTAGCATGTATCAAAAACATTATTCTTTCTGTGGCTGAATATTCCATTCTATAGGTACACCACGTTTCATTTATCCATTCATTTGTTAGTAAACAATTGGGTTGTTTCCACATTTTGGTTATTGTGAATAGTGCTGTTGTGTCTGTTGCAGTGCAAGAATGGCCTAATATAGATGCTTGGGTTTTTTCCTCTATTCTTGACTAGCATTTCATCTGTTTCTTCTCTCCTGGAATTCCTGGTCCTTCTTACTCTCTATGAATTTAGAATAATGCAATATTGAACTGCTAAGATCATAGAAATAATTAAAGCATAACTCATTTTCAAAATAGGTAACTAAACCTCACAGAGGTTAAATTATTTGAGTCATGGGAAAAAATGAGCTGGGGCATATTTGAGATTTTAATGTGGGGCTTCTCTTTATTCCAGTGCTCATTTCATTATGTTATGATGATTTCCTCCAAGCAAACATATGCTGTAGTATGAATGTCTTTTAAAGATATAAAATTCTTTAATGCCTTGTATCATAGCACTGCATATATATCTGGTTCTGATGGTGGTTGGGTTTTCAGGTAGGGGCTTTCTTTCCCCTTGTCCATAACACAATACAACTAGCTGCCTTTTTATAAAAAAAACTATGTAAAACGTTGGTTTTGGGAGAAGCACTATTTATAAAACACACATTAGAAACTTTGAAGCTCTACTTAATTAATATTTTAGGGCAGTCAAGTCATATTTGCTAGTCTTATACCCATTTTAGCAATTGTATCACACAATTACTTCACATTGAGTATGGAGTAAAAGAAAATCTCAATTGTTTTCCACTTGAAAACTTGCCTAGTTAGATTTACCTCATCTCTCTATTGTAAGATTTTTCTTTTAACCTGTCTTTAAAGTATCCCTAAAGCAAACAAAACTCCGTATAAATAGATGAGCCAAAATTAAATTGGTATATGATGCAAACTTCTTGATGTCCCTTGACTTCATCACTTATAAAAATCTTTAGTTTCTATGAGAGGTTGCTTGTGCGAAAGTGATTAATATGAATAAGTGAATGAATCTAAATGTTGCAATTTATCATATTCACTCTTAGTCTAGAATGAAAATAGCTCTGAAAAGTGACTCTAATTGTACTTTTCCTTCTGTGATAGTATCTTACAATGTCTTCCATTTGTATGGATAAATATTCATAAATAATTATCTTCCCTCCAGCAACATCATGAACATTCTGGTAGAATGTATGAGGGTACAAATTTGATAAAGACAGATTATCTAAAAAATTTAGCTCTGAATAGACATTTCTCAAAAAAAGACATAAAGTGCCATTTTGGACAAAATGTTCAACATCATTACCCATCAGGGATATGCACGTAGAAACCATAATGAGATACCAACTCACTTCGGTTAGAATGGCTTTTAATGAAAAAGACAAAAAATAACAAATGTTGGTGAGGATGTGGAGAAAGGGAAACTCATGCATTGTTGGTGGGCATGTAAGGTAGTGCAGCCATTATAGAAAATAGTATAAGGGTTCCTCAAAAATTAAAAATAAAACTATCATACGATCCAGCCATTCTACGTCTAGGTATATATCTAAAGGAATTGAAATCAGCATGTTAAAGAGATATCTACACTCCCATGTTTATTGCAGCATTATTCACAGTATCCAAGAGATGGACTCATCCTAAATGTCCATCAAAGGATGAATGTATAAAGAAAATGTGGTACATATGGAACACTATTGAGTTATTAAAAAACAAAGAAACTCAGTCATCTGTGGCAATGTGAATGAACCTGGAGGACATTATGTTAAGTGAAATAAGCCAGGCACACAAAAATAAATACTACATGATCTGACTTGTATGTGGAATCTAATAAAGTTGCTCACATAGAAGTAGAGAGCAGAATAGTGGTTACCAAGGGCTAGGTAAGGTAGGAAGGATGGGAGGATGGAGAAAGGATGGATCAACAGGTACAGAGATAGATAGGAAGAATAAGTTCTGGTGTTATATTACCTAATAGGTGATTATAGTGAATAATAATACATGGTATATTTCAAGATTGCTAGAAAAGAACATATTGAATATTATCACCACAAAGAAATGATAAATGTTTAATTTGATGAATATGCTAACTCTGATTTTATCATTATACAATGCATACATATATTAAAACATCACACTGTATGTCATTAACATGTGTAATTATTACATGTCAATTATAAATGAAATTAATAAAAATAAGTTGGAAAAATATAATTCACAATTTAAAAATAAAATTATTAAAAAATTTTGAAAGCAATTATGCATTTTTACAGTTATCTTTACTGTACCTCTTTTGGGGCATCAGTCTGTATAAATTTCTCATATATTGCTTTTGCTTTAAGGTGAATTTGTTGAGGTCCCTTGCTTTTCTTGAAATCTTCACAGGCTATCCAAAATTCAATATTTTCTTCACTGAATTCAGTTTTAAGAAATCTGGTAAAAGCCTCTAGTCCATCTATCAAGAAAATAAATAATATAACTATAAAATGGTATTAATGTTGGAAACATTTACTGATTGATAATAAAACATAATTGCAAATATTAACAGAAAACCTACATCTTCCCTCTAATGCAGCACCGCAGCACACATCTTGCACAATATACCTGAGAGACCCTCATGTCGTTTTCACAACTATAAAAGGAAAGTATTATTCCCACTGAAATAAGGCCAGTATCTCACTCAGGCTTAAGTTTGACTTTAGGCCTAAGAGTAAGAGGGACCCCCTACGGTGGACCTCACTTTATGTCTCTTTTATCCGTTCCCCTCGCAGAGTGTGAGGGGTGATTCCACAGAGTCAAGAAGCCATTACAGTTGGAACGGATCCTACTTCTACACCATGCCTTTGGTATTCAGGATCTTGAGGTTCCCTTACTAAAAGCTCTATGCTTCCAGCATTTACACAGCCTTTTCTCCAAGTCCATCTACCAAAAACACACTGACTCACTGGTATTTATACCCATAGGCCCGAGTATGAACAAGGCTTCAATTTGCAGGCTGGAGTGTGTACTCAAATGTGCAAAGAGCTGCTCACAGTGTGAAACCAAACCATGGGGGAAGAGAAAAAGGTGGTAGGTCATGTTTATAGAGTGGAAACGTTAAGTGTCTGAAAATTTTAAATTCAAACATAATCTTCCAAGTGGCTTACAAAGTATATTTGTCAAAGCAGAAGGCTAGCATATATATTTTAAAGTTATTAGTTTCTATAGCTCCTAAGCATTTAGACATACAGCATGGGACCTCTTTTTCACTTTTTGTCTTGCCCCATAAATGTTAGGGGCAGGTATTAAGTCTTGTGGAAGACTGTCTGGGCTCAAATTAGTGTTCATTTAGTTACTATGTGGCCCTGAGCATATTACCTTTTCTTTCTGTGTCTTAGTTTTTCAATATTTAAAATTAAGATAATAATGATCCCTACCTGGTAGGGCTGTTGAGAGAATTAAATGTGTTAAAATACACCAAGTGTTTGGAACAGTAACTGGGACATATTAAAAACTCCATAAGGGTTTTAGTAATGGTGGTTGTGATGATGATGGTGATCTTGATAATTTTTATTTAAGGCTCACTAAGATGACATTTACATAACTAAAAAAGTGGCAGACTTTGGATTCAACCTTAAGACAATGTGACTTCAAAACTAGACAATGTGACTTCAAAAACGCTCTTTCAACTATCTTTTTTAACTCTACTTATTTTTAAGCCTTGTAAAAGTTAAACTTTTTTATTTTGAGAAAATTATAGATTTACATGAACTCGTAGGAAGTTCCTAGGAGAGACCCCGTGTACTCTTTATCCAGTTTTCGCCAGTGTAACAACTTGGAAAACTACAGTGAAATATCACAGCTAGGATAGTGACATTAATTAATATAATCAAGATACAGAAAGTTACAAGTGTAACACATGTTGCCCTTTTACAGCCACATTTACATCTCCCCACATGTAATTTTTTTTAACTCCAGGGAACCACTAATCTGGTCTCCATTGCTATAATTTTGTCAATTCAAGAATGTTATATAAATTAAATCATGTAGTATATGTTGTTTTAGATGTTTCTATTTTCCACACAGCCTGATTCTCTGGAGATTTATTCAGGTTGATGAATGTATCAATGGT
Organism: Homo sapiens; assembly: GCF_000001405.40. Lineage (NCBI taxonomy): Eukaryota > Metazoa > Chordata > Mammalia > Primates > Hominidae > Homo > Homo sapiens. The sequence goes on along the minus strand of NC_000001.11, from coordinate 192,179,635 downwards.
TTGTTTCTCTTTGTTGCTGTATTATATTCCATGATATGAATATACTATCATTTGTTTAACCATTCTGCCATTGAAGGAAACATGGGTTATTTCTTTTTTTTTCAGTTATTACAAATAAATCTGCTATAAACATTTGTGTATAGTTTTATAAAATGTTCACAAGTCTTTATTTATCTGGAATAAATTCCAAGGAGTGAAATTGCTTGGGTGTATGGTAGTTGCACTATAGAAATGTTGAGGGAAGGGAAATATGTTCCTAATGGATTTTTCAGATAAACTTTCTCAGAATAAATCACATTTGAGTTGGATTTAAATGAGTTTTAGCAATCTTTCTTTAGATTCACTCTCACTCTCTAGTTATAGCCCATTTCTCTTTCTGCTCTCCTTATGTAAGTTATTGCATAAGGAAATATCATGAGTCCCATCTGGACTTCCCACTTGGCAGCATCTGATAATACTGACCCCCTCCTTTTTCAAATACTCTTCCACATAGGATTGTAGGATGGCATATCTCCTAGTTCATACTGTGTGATTGTTTGTTTGTGTGTTGTCTGTTTAGGTTTAACTCCCTCTCTTCCCCATTAAATGTGCTATTTGCTAAAATTCTGTCCTTTGCTTTCTCCTTTTCCTTCTTCTTTCCTTTATCTTCCCTATTTGCCCATCTTCTCTCTTGACATTTTTCCTGAACTCCTTTTTTCTGAACTTCAACTGTACTTTATGCATATTGTTAATACCTGTAGACAAAATGAGGCATTAGAAACAATTCTGAAAAACAAAGTTTCTTTACATGTTGATATCATTAAAATATTTTAATCTTCTTACAAGAAATTATTTTTAAAATCATAACTTCAAATATTCCTGTAGCTACTGACATATCTTTTCTCCTTACAGATATAAAATCTTTGATTAAGTTTTCTACACTTAGTCTCTTAATCCCCTCTATCTCATTTACTTTCCAACACACAAAAATGTGGTTTCCATTCAACACTTTACTTAAATTATTTTTGCCAAATTGACTTAATGTTATAGTTAGTGAACATTTTTTTTCCATCCATATGTTATTTCATCTCTCCACAACAGCAGGCACGGTAGAGAATTGCCTGTAATTCTCCTCAATGGCAGCTAAACTCCAGAGTTTCCTATTACACCTCTGACTATTGCATCCCCAAATCCTTCTCAGTTTATCCTTCTTCATCTTTCCCTTAAACTCATTTCCTGAAAAATTACTTCAACACCCAAATACGATCAATATGCAGATGATTCTTAGAACTTATCTCAAGCCTTTTTCCTGAGCTCCAAGTTCATACCAACCAACATGTGAAAAACATCATTGAATTGACCACTGAATTAGTCATATGAATGGTACATTTATCATCTTTACCCAAAACCTTCCCTGCATACATTTCCCATTTAATGACGCTATCCACTCAGGGATATAAACGGGAAACCTGGCATTTATTCTCAGGGATATTTGATTTTCCTCTTATCTCACACATAGCTGATAATCAAATCTTAAAAAAAAATTCCCCTTTCATATATCCTACATCTGTCTTTTTATTTTTGTGCCATCTGTAATTACTTTTATTTAGACCGGAACTATCTCTCACACAAATTATTATAAAAACCTCCTAACTGGTGACCCTGAATTTAGGTTTTCCTTGTCTCTTTCTCCATCCTCCAAGACTATTATCCACATTCTCATCAGTAATATCTTGCTGCAGTACAAATTTTATTATGATTCTTCACCGTTTAAAATTTCCCAATAGCGTTCATCTCTTCCTACTATGTTTTTACACTGATTTAAGCTCCACTCACAGAGAAACACGTATAGTTCCATTCGTGTGCCATGTTCCTGAATCTCTTAGTTTTAGCTCCTGTTGAGAATACTTTTCCCTTCCTATTCTAAATCCATAAAGCAATTTTATTAATCTAACCCATACAGCCTATATTCATTGAGGTTGAAATTACACTTCATCTTGTCCGGAAAGACTTCACCAATCTCTAAAGAACGAGTTGGGTGTCCTTCATATATGGCCTTCTACTGTGCCGGGTAAACTTAAAATATTGTACTGCAGTTGCCTGCTAACTTTTGTTTTCCAGGCTACACTGTAACATATATAAGACGAAGACCCTTGTCTAACTTGTCACCAAATTTCCAGTACCCAACATGAGAAATAACTCAATAATTATTTAATAATACTAAAATAAATTATCAACAAATAATTGAATTAATTATAAAAATACAGAATTATATTAAAAAAACATGAAACACTTCTAGGAAATATTTTGTGTACTAAATGAAATATCAGACCTATCATATTTACAAGAGATATGGACAATCAGAGCTGGTAACATAAAAAAGCAAAAAAAAAATCCACAAAATTGTGTCCTATTGTGAATATGGACAAAAATATGTAGTTAAAAATATACTAATTTATTTAAAAAGTTAATTCTTAGCTTGATGACATTAAACATTTAATTAATATTCTAGTTTCATGCTTGGCAAGCAAAATTTTTAATACATTTTGGATGCTTCTTTGGTCATATGAAAAGGTAGAGAAATGGCTATCAGTGACAGTTTTATTTCTGAATCTGTATTATTAGTTTGGTATTTAACCCCATGAGTTTTGCCAATGTGAGCCTTCTACTGAGAGTTGGGTCCTTCCTGGCATGCTAACAAGATGACAGCATCAATTTTGAGAACGTGTGAAGCTAGAGTTTGTGGTAAATGCCAGTCTATATGACTTTGGACAAGCTCACAAACATTTCTGGAGGTACACTGCTCTCTGTTGGATATCACTATGAGTTATTGAAACATATAATGTATTCCTTACTTTGTTCAACTATTTTATTAAATACTTTTGTTTGCATCCTGAACTCCCCACTGAATAACTCATTAATTCATTGAAACAATATTGATCACATGCTGTGTTCCAGACACTGGTCTAGGTACCAGAGACCAGCAATTTTAGAAGTGGACAAAGCCCTTGATTTGATATTTAATCTATAGAGCACTACCTTAAATAAAAGAACATATTACTACTAAACTATTAAGAAGAGGAGGGTCATTACAAAGTAATGGGAACCAGGCTTGTCCTCCTACCACAAATAACTATAAAACTAGAAAAAATATTGAGGCAGTAGTTTCCAAGCAGAATACAACTGGCAACAGATGAGAAGAAAAACACATGAAGTGAGTGCTAGGTTTGCTCTGGCTTTCTACCTGGGGGCATTTTTAAGACTGGTACGCATGAAGATGGAGGCTAACCATAGTAAGAAGTCTTGCTGAATTGAGGAGGCAGAGATAAGAGTTTGGGCATTATGATGTATTTGGAATTTGTGGGTCAGGCTACTGAAAAAAGGAAACATGCAGAAGGGTGTGGGACAGTTTGAGTGACCTTGTACTAACTTGTTCTCTCTTTTTTGTCACTTGTGTTTCTCAAAAATAAATGTACAATGTGCTGACAATGCAACATCCTGAGATAAGAGAAATTGACCAGAATAACCTTGCTGTGTTCCTTTGCCACCCCAAAATAGGATCTTCTTTGACACTTTAGCCCAGGGATACCTGTATTCCCTCGGACATAAAAACCAGGACAGGCTGCTTTCTGGGATCCCTCGGCTGCCATGCAATTGGAACATCATAGACAAAATTTAATTCACTCTTAGCAGCTTTCCTGAGTGTTGAGGGGGAAGCTCATTATGAATACTAGGCTTCTATTATCCCTTGGTGCCTATTTGCAAGTACTAAAGTTGCTTTGCTTAACTAGTTGTATCAGTGTTCTATCATAGTGGATTTGTGCAAGTAATCAAAATTGTAGCCCAAGACATAGGGGGCTTAATTGGTAACCAGTGCAGAGTGAATCTGCTTTATAAGGGGACCCAGAAGCCTCCATGCAGTTTTCCTGCAGAGCCTTGACTGAGGGCTAAGCTGCACATGAGCAGGGCAAATTTTGTGAAGTCTAGAAGAAGACAGATGCTATGGGACTGAGGTTAATGGAGATAGGAGAGTTTTGATAGGTTTGGATGACTTTGGATTTCTGGCTCAGCCGTAGAAGAGATACCAAAGAAAGTTCGTGTTTCTGGTATAAACACTATGTCTTGTCCTACTACTAAGAAAGGTCTTGTCCTCATACTAAGACAATTCTGAGATATACCAGCCTTAAAGGATCAAGCTGATCAGAAAAAAAATCAAGAGGATACAACAGTGATTTAATTCACTTCCAGAAAAATGATTCAATACTCTATAAGGGAAGACCACATAATTTAGACTCCTATGTCTTCCTCCATGCTCACATACAAAAAAAAAATTAGTGATATAAGGAAATTTTCATGACTTATTATCAATATTTTGTTTGTTGATAAAATATCAATAAAAACTGATAAGTTATCTAAAATGTTGGAAATAGCAGACAAAAACTTTAAAAAAGCTCATATAAATTTTTTGAAAAACACAAAGGTTAAAAAAGACCTAAGACAAAATTTAAACTATGAAAAGTAATTAAGTTGAAATTCAGCAAATAAAATGTAAAATATTAAAAATAAAAAAATATTGGATGGTCATGGCAACAGATTAAAGACTGCAGAAGGGATGGATATGCTAGCAGACAGTTGTATAGAAGATAGATTTACTTAATCTAAATAAGGTAGGAAAGGAGGAAAAGAAAACAACAACAAAATGAGGAAACAAATAGAAAATAAATAGTAAGATGTTAGATCCAATCCCATATATATCAATGATGAGATAACATTTAAATGAGCTAAACATTCCAATTAAAAGTCAGAGATTATCTGACTGGGTTAAAAAGTAAAAACAGACTACATATTGGCAACAAGAGACACATTAAATGAAAAGTATCAGGAAGATGAAGAAAACGGATAAAAATGTTACACAGTGCAGAGGTTAAGCATAAGAAATCTGAACAAAAAAATCTTCACATGGCTTGAAAAAGTAACTTCAAAATAAAGAGTATTTCCGTTTTGTAATTTTTAAGTGACCAATTATTACTAGTACATAACAATCCTAAACATATATGAACTTCATTTAGAGCTTCAAAATACATGAAGCAAACTCATAGAACAGAAGTAGAAAAATTCACAATTTAGGTATAGATTCTAATTCTGCTTACTCATTAATTCATAGAAAAAAGTAGACCATATCAATGACAATATATAAAACTTAAACATCATTAATTCGACTGAATTGAAAAATTACAAAATGATCTACCAAACACATCTTTTCAAATGCACAGGGAATATTATCCCAGATAAACTCTGTGTTAGACTCATAATATGAGCCTAAATAAATTTCAAAAAGCTTGATACCTTACAGATATGTCCTTTGCCGGCAAGGGGTTTGAATTAATAATTGACACTAGTAACATAGATAAAAACAAAACAAAAACAAATATTTGAAAATAAGCACACAATAACCAGTGTGTGATAAATATGTAGTAAACACAATAACCTACATGTTAGAGAAATCACAAGGCAAATTAGAAAAATATTTATACTTGAATTATAGTGAAAGTACAGCAGATCAAAAATTTGTGAGATGCAGCTTAAACAGTGGTTAGAGAGAATTTTATTGCACAAAATGGTGGTCTAGTAAAAAAAAAGAAAGAAAAAAAACAGGAAGGGTATAAAAATTAAGATCTAGGTTTCCACCTTAAGAAACTTGAAGAGCAAATTAAATACATAGTCAGTAGAAGAAAAAATAAAAATAAAAACAAGAGGAAAAATATATGTAACAGAAAAACTACAGAGATTAACAAAGCCAAAGTTGGTTCTGTTAAAACATTAATAAAATAAAACCCCTAGCAAGAGTCTTTCACATTAGGAAGCAAACCATAAATATTAGTATAGATCTTACATATATTACAAACAAGTGAATATTATGAATGACTTAATGCCAGTAAATATAATTTATATGGCATAGGGAAATTGTTTAAAAAAACAATAAACCTATACCCAAACTGACACTTGAAGAAGTGGAAGATCTGGTAGCCCTAATTCAATTAATAGATTTTATAATAAAACATTTCTCTCCGCCCAAAAATACCTGGGACCAAATTTAGTAAATTCCATCAAACATTTAAGAAAAAAATGTATTTTAATCTTACATACTTGCTTTGAGAAAATTGAGAGGAGATGAACACTTTCCACCTTATTTTATGAGACGAGGATAAATTCTAATACCAAAACTTGACACTCTGCCCCATAAAAAAAACAAGTAAAGACTAAGACTAAGAAGGAAGTGAAGAAAATTACACAATATCTCTCATGATTATAGAAGCAAAGATTCTACACAAAGTATATGTTTTAAAATCCAGCTATTTATAAAGAAGGTGCAAATATTCTGGCATTATGGCTGAAAAAAGTTGAAATAAATGTTGTAGCTTTGTCTGTTCAACTCATTTTAACTTAGATTACCACATTTTTTTAAATGTTTACAGCTGTCTAGAACTATTCCTCATGGTTAGTGACTATTACTAATATAAAAAGTTCCATATAAAATGAAACAAGAATAATAAATTTCTATTGGTAGAAGTATGGTAATAACTAAGAGGTTTTGCATTTATAACATGTTTAGAGGTTTTGAAGGTTAAGTGTTACTTATATACATTACCTCATTTAATTTTTATAACAGATACATGGAATATGTCTTATATTCATTTTCTTAGATGAGAAAACTGAGATTCAGATAAGTTCAATTGCCCCAGATTTTATACATATGTGTATATATATATATTTATATATATATATATATATGCATATTTTTCTCAGGAAGGCATTGTTTCCTTTGGTAGGCAGAGAAATAACCCTCCAAAGGTGTTCATGCCCTAATCTCCAGGAACTGTGGGAAAAAAGGAACTAAATATAGTTCAGGACGTTGAGATGGGGGAGATTATCCAGGTAGAGCCAATCTAATCACGCGAGTCCTTAAAAGTAGAAGAGGCAGAAGAGTAGATCAGAGAGATGTGACCTAAGAAGGACCTGACTCTGCTGCTGGCTTTGAGTATGAAGTAGATGGTCATGACCCAGGAAATGTAGTGTATTCTGGAAGGTGGGTGTCTTAGTCTGTTTTGTGTTGCTATAAAGGAATACCTGAGGCTGGGTAGTTTATACAGAAAAAGGTTTATTTTACTCACAGTTCTGCCGGTGGTATAAGAAGCCTGCTGGCATATGCTTGGCTTCTGGTGAGGGTTTTGTGCTGGGTCAAAATATGGTGAAGACCAAAGAAGTGGGCATGTGCAGAGAGGGATCAAACCCGAGGGGCAGCCTGGCTTCATAAGAACCTACTCTCGAGGGAACGAATCCATTCCCCTGAGAACTAATCCAGTCTTTCAAGAGTGAAAACTCACTATTGCTGAAAACTGCACCAAGCCAATCCTGGGGGAACTTCTCCCATGATAGAAACAAATCCCCTAGGTGCCCCCTCCCAACATCACCACATTGAGGATCAGATTTCAACCTGAGATTTGGGGTGAGGGGAGAAACAAACTACATCCAAACCGTAGCAGTGGGAATGAACCTCAGTTTGCAGCCAGCAAGGGAAGGAAGTAGTTGGTCTATAACTGCAAACAGCTTAATTCTGCCAGCAATCCAAATGAGCAGAAACGTGATTCTTCCTTAAACCCTCCAAAAAAAGAATAGCCTGCTGACATCTTGATTTATTTTGATCAAACCCATACTGGACTTCTAACACAACTTTAAGATAATAAAATTGTGTTGTTTTAATCACCGTAGTTGTGGTAAGTTGATATAGCAGCAACAGGAAACCAATACAATCCTCAAATTATTCTTTTTGTATCACCATTTATTCCTCCTTTATATAGACCTTATCCTCTTTGTCATGAAGTGTCATTTTTTAATGTTGTAAGCAATCTTTTTAATGTATTAGAGTTCCAGGAACTTACTGTTTAGGAAATCAGTAGTTAGACAAAGATATGACAACCTATAGAAATTCCTAAGCTTTATAGTATGGAATGATTTCAGCCACTACCACAAGAAAAGGATGACATAGGTCTCTTCTGCACCACGGCCTCTTCATTGGGATGTTTTCACCTGGACAAAGGGAGATCCTGCCATTTCTTTTCCTCAGTAAATTTACCATGAGCAACGGATGTTAGCAGTTACATATTAGTTAATTAACTAGAGAGACAAGGGAAGGTTGGGCTCAAAAAGAATTTGACAAGGCATTGTAAAACTGACAAGCAACTTACAGAACTTGTCTGCAGTCCTGAAATGCTAGTAAGATAATTTCTAGTCAAACACAACTGTCTGATGAAGGCCTTACTGCTAAGTGATTCTTGAATGAGTCGGCAAACTCTGACCACTGAGAAGCAAGAGTGATCAAGTCGCTCTTCTTTCTCTAGCTCAGTTAGTGTATTCTTTTCAAGATTGATTTCTCACACTGAGCATATGCTTTTCTCAGACTGTAAAAGGGAAATATAAATGAACAATGGTTCTTTGAGGCATTTTGATACATTGTACATTTCCTCCAAATACCTACAAATATATAGGTTTTCAGAGTAAAGCTAATGGTCTAGCTACAAAATAATTGCCAAAGTGAACAACAGGGCATCAGATGTGCTGGTTGTACTGTGGCATATTAAGCACATAAGCACCCATAGGGATTATTGTTCCTTAGAACGTTCCTATTTGATTTTCTTTCCCACAATGCCTTTCACCACCTGCATTTGAGAACTTGGACTTGTATAAAAGCAGTTTGTGTCATGAATTGTCCAAGACTATATTCCCTTAATTTTTGAAAGCTAAATTGCAATATCCTCTCAAGACTTCAAGTAAACCTGGAGCCTTATGATGACTTTAGGAAATAAGCTGAATAAGTATTGTTTGGCTGCTGATTGACAGCAGCTTGATAATTTATTTCTTTTCCATTATGTAACTGGAGGGATGGTTTTATTACTTAGTCTATGGTTTTACTTGTCTTTTTTTTTTTTCTAATTTTGCCCCCTCTGTCTTCTGTAATGATCTTGGAATAAAATAAGGAGACTAAGACAAAACATGCTGACATGCTATGTTAGTTCATTTTGCATTGCTATAAAGGAATACCTGAGCCTGAGTAATTTATAAAGAACATAGATTTATTTAGCTCATGGCTCATCAGCTCTGCTTCTGATGAGGCCTCAGGAAGTTTTACTCACGGAGGAAGGCAAAGGGGAAGCCAGTGTATCACAAGATAAGAGGCAGTGAGAAAAAAGGCAGGTCTCTGGCTTTTGTAAACATTCAGCTTGCATGTTAACTAAAAGAATGATAACTCGCTTATTACTGCGAAGACAGTACAAAGCCATTCATGAGGGATTCACTCCGTGACCCAAATGTCTCCCACTAGGCTCACTTTCAGCTTCAGAGGTCACATTTCAGCATGACATTTGGATAGGTCACACAACCAAACCGTATCACATGCCTTTCAAACCCTACATTGTAATTGAAATATAATTTGAAATGTGGGGCAATGTTTAGGTCTGTAAAAGAAAACCACCACAAAAAAACAATAATCTATGCACCAACTGGCCTGAACTAAACTTTCGGCAGTTAGCCGTAGCCTCTGCCCAGAACTACTTAAAACAAATTATTCTTGAGAACTTTCCCCTTAATAAATATTTAAGATAATGGAAACCAGCTATTTACCACCTATACTTACTTAATCTTTCAAATTGCTAAAGTATTTGTCCTTTTTCTAAGTTAATATCCATTTTTTTACTAGACTTAACTCTAAAAAGCAGTCCTTAATTTATCTCTGATAACTATCTTCAGAGCTGATAGATTCTTTCTAATTTTTTAATAGAATTCTAAAATGTCTTATTTCTTATTGCAGGGTCAGTATCTTAGTATGCTTTGCTTAATAGTTGCTATAAAGTGGATTTCTGAAGAGAATTTCTTGGCTAGATATTAAGAAAAAACTGGAAGCAGGACAACAAAATAATTGTGAGAAGATTTTCAGGTAATCCTAATTAAAAAGAAAACAAAAAGTAGTCATATGGAAATGTGCCTTCTGCTGATATTAAAAAGCATACCATTGGGTGTTATTGATCTGTTTGTCTATGATATAGGTCCTGCCTTTCCCCATTTCACAAAAAGAGGCATTTTATCTTGTCCTTCCTTGTTCCTCAGTTACTATTTAAATAGAAATTAAAGCAAAGTTGGCAAAATAAAATGCCAGTTACATTACAAGGAAAGAACAACCTGTTTCAAGGTCATATTTCCAAAGAGGAAAGAAAGTATGTTTTATTTGGCTTATAAATAAAGTAGCACTGACCCAGTGAAAGCATAAACGTTTTCGATTTTAATCTACTGCACTCTAGCCACATGTTATGCATAAGCGTGGATTGATCAGTTTTTAAATATCAAATTATTCCTAAAGTGAGTTATTAAATAATTTTCATGATTTCAGAAGAATATGACCATTACTTCTATAACCAATCAGAATTATAATAAATTTTTTGTACTGTCAGCTAAAAGAAAATGCCCAGAAGCCAGATAGCTGAAATTGTTATTTATTAAAATAACTTTTTAACCTATAATTACTGATTTTAAAAATAACTTAGTCTGAACCTGAGAACTGTGTTATGTATTTAAGCAGTATTTACAGGTTAGGAGTTTTGAGTGTTCGTTAAGGTCTTAGCACATTGCTGTATGCCTTTTATTGGCACAATTCCATTTAATTTTCACATCAGCCCTACGGAGTAAGTCTTGTTATACTCATGTTTATAGATGAAGAAGTTGACGTTCAAAGAGTTAACTTGCATTAAATCTTACAGACAGTAAAAGATAGTGTAAGTGCTTGAACCCAGGTTCATCTTATTTAAAATTACAGGACCTTTACAACTAAACTGCCGTAAAGAAAAGAAAGTCCTTACTGTTGAGGAATATGGAGATTAATGGGCAGGACAGGCATGTATGAACCAAGGACTGAGGAAGCACAATTAAAAGAGTGACTTATTCTGTTCAAAGTAGCAGAGGAAAATCAACTTGCATAAAATTCAAATAGAAGTCTTCCAGAAAATAACATAAACATTATTTCAAATAGAGTCCTTCACTAATTCACAAGCATGAGTGTCGACTCTGTGCCATCTGCTGCGCTCTGAAATATTATGCAAAAGCCCTTTGTTACTATGGTTAGTCTTGTGCTTGATACAGACATTCAAAGTGAAGTCAGCGTACTAATATCAAGAAAAGTGCTATGTATGTTCTGAGTGCTCATGATGCATTAACTAAAGTGAATGGATTTTGTTGGCATAATATGAATATAATAGTAAAGCAAAAATACTAATTCAAGAAATGAATAAAGGATGAATGAGAAAGAAGTTTATTAATTAAAATTTTAAGTAAATAACTTTTTTAAAGTAATGTGCAATGCTCTACAAGATTATCCCAGCACATTAGTTACTTCCTGTTTCTCTTACTCACTTTGGGCAGCTGCATTAAGTCAGTTCACAATGGAACCATTTCTCATACAGAGGCAGTAACTTACTAAACAGTCCTTTAGAAGGCAGCAGTGGTGAATGCAGCTGCCAAAAGTGCTTGATAGAACCTGGGATTAGAATTCACACTGGAAGAAGCTGGCTCAATGTGTCATACAAATATGAAATGCATGTAATTGCATGTTTCTAAATTGAAACTCTGGCATCTGTTGGAGTATTTTTCTGATGCCAAGAAACCAAATGAAACAAAAAGTCAAGAAAATCTGAAGTTGGAAACCCAAGTACCATATAATATCCGAAGTAATAAGTTGCATTGTTTCTTCTGTAACATTTGGCTTTGTAGCTCTGATTTGCCATAGAATGTGGTTTCTTTTGCCATAATAAATGATTTATGTGATGAGTTATAATTAGGACTGGGTTTTATTTATTTTTAATCTTTAGATAAATTAAGAAATTGAGTGCTTGTTGGACAGGCATGGTGGCTCATGCCTGTAATCCCAGCACTTTGGGAGTTCGAGGCAGGTGGATCACTAGGTCAGCAGTTCAAGACCAGCCTGGCCAACATGGTGAAACCCTGTCTCTACTAAAGATACAAAAAATCAGCTGGGTGTGGTGGTGCGCTTCTGAAATCCCAGCTACTTGGGAGGCTGAGGCAGGAGAATCGCTTGAACCCAGGAGGTGGAGGTTGCAGTGAGCTGAGATTGCGTCATTGCACTCTAGCCTGGGTGACAGGGTGAGATTCAATATAAAAAAAAAAAAGTTGAGTGCTTGTGCTTGTTATGGGTTAGCTTGAGTTGGAAATTTAAATTTTTAGAGCGCTGAAATTCTTTATCTTGCAGAAAATTGGTAACCAAAAATTAGGAACTGTAACTTGAAAAGCCACAAGGTGAAAAGTATAAGAAAAAGTACTCATTTCCTCCCCCAAAAGTGAAGTATGCATTTCCTTGTAGTCTTTACTCAAACTTAGTAATAAGTATTTTCCAAAGTATAGTCAGTTTCTATTTTTAAATCCAGGAGGTGCAATGACTTACATATTCTACTTCCATCCTACATGTTACAAATTGTTTTCAGAAGTTACTTAGAACCACAATTCAGAGTGTAAAAAGTTCAAGTAAATAGGTATTAATACAAAGGTTAAGACTATTGTAGTTTTTAGCAATGACTGGATAAAAGGGTACACACGGAAAAGGAACAGTTACGTAGTAGTGGAAAGATTGTCTAATTGATAGAAATTCCCCTCATGAGATATAACATTTTCATTCAGATAAGCAATTATCAACAATGTGAGCTGGTTAGAAAATCTCTTTCTATAAGTCAGCCTTCCATATTTTAGGTGTGCACTTACAAAACCCTGCAAAACTTTTGATAAGGTTTACCATGGACAAAAAATGTTCAAACTCTACTCTGTTCTCTTTTTACAAGTCTTGTTCATCCTCCTCTATTTCGCATCTATTACAGATATCATTATCTTCCTATTATAATAAAAATGAAATCTAGAAATCTTTGGCTCATCCTTCTTTTTTGTTTCCTATTCCTTCATCTTCTCACTCAATAACATACATACACATTGATTAAGTCACTAAGTTTATCCATTTTTTTTTTCTAAGCGGGTCCTTACTTTGAATTTAGCTTTTATATAACAACTTTGTAGGTAGTCTATATTACATGCATGGAATTTTACCTTTCTAACCATCAGAGTTATCTTTTTAACACACAAAGGCTTCCAAAGTTTGTTCCCAACTTAATTATATAATGTGTTTATTATTCTTTGCCTCAGAGTAAACTTACTGCTTTTCCAGATCATGTCAAAATCTCTTAGTACTCTGTTTCCTTGCCTTTATCTCAAGAATTACCTTTTCTTTTGCCTGTTGAATTATTGCATACATCTATTTAATCTCTTATAGTGATCTTCTAATGATATACTGCAAGTTCTATATAATATTTTAAAAAACTGTTTAGCAAGTTATTTTAGAAGTTATGTGTTATGCAGCAGTATCATTTTCCTTTCAAACGTGCCTACACAGAGCCATACACATATATGTATACAAATAAAAACACATATGTGTGTATAATATATCTCTATATTTTATTGGCATCAACTGATTTTATAAGTTCAAACTGATAAAATTAACTTTTATAAAGCCAGTGAGAAGACTGATAAAACTAAATTAAAAATTTATGATTATGAATGACAGATATAGTTTGATATTTCATTTTTGATTTATTACTACTTTTTAAATTTAAATAGCCCTTAGAAATTACTGGTTTATATACATGTAGTATTAAACTACAAATTTTTATTATTCATTTTGAAACTTCAGACAAATTTGACAATAAATAGAAATAGCAGAAAAAATAGACTAATAACTCCATTGAACGAAATAAGAAACAGAATTTAAATTATTGATGGACTTCATTGTGTTAAAATTTACTATGTAACATTACTGAGATCATTTTCTAAAGTATTTTATTCTTCAATAGATTTAGATTTACAGAAATATTTTGCAGAAGGTATCAGGGGAACCAGACCCCAATATTTCAACATAGGTTCTTTTCTATTTTCCCTAAGTGTCGGCCAGTCTGAGAAATAAAGGGAAAGAGCACAAAAGAGAGAAATTTTAAAGCTGGGTGTCCAGGGGAGACATCACATCGGCAGGTTCCGTGATGCCCCCTGAGCCACAAAACCAGCAAGTTTTTATTAGCAATTTTCAAAGGGGAGGGAGTGTACGAACACAGTGTGGGTCACAGAGATCACATGCTTCAAAGGCAATAAAATATCACAAGGCAAATGGGCAGGACAAGGTCACAAGGCCAGGGCAAAACTACAATTTCTGATGAAGTTTCAAGTCCCACTGTGCAAGCATTGTCGTCGATAAACATCTTAACAGGAAACAGGGTTCAAGAGCAGAGTACCAGTCTGTCTAGAATTCACCAGGCTGGAATTTCCTAATCCTAGCAAGCCTGGGGGTGCTGCAGGAGACCAGGGCATGTTTCATCCCTACCTACAACGGCATAAAGCAGACACTCCCAGAGCGGCCATTTTAGAGGCCTCCCCGGGGAATCCATTCTTTCCCCAGGGCTGTTAATTATTAATATTCCTTACTGGGGAAATAATTCAGTGATATTTCTCTTACCCATTTTCGGCAATAAGAGAAATATGACTGTCCTGCCCGGGTCCCAGGCAGTCAGACCTAATGGTTATCTCCCTTGTTCCCTGAACATTGCTGTTATCCTGTTCTTTTTCAGGGTGCCCAGATTTCATATCGTTCAAACACACATGCTTTACGAACAATTTACACAGTTAACGCAATCATCACAGGGTCCTGAGGCAACATACATCCTCAGTTTATGAAGACAATTGGGTTAAGAGATTAAAGTAAAGTCAAGCATAGGAAATTATAAGAGTATTGATTGGGGAAGTGATAAATGTCCATGAAATCTTCACAATTTATATTCTTCTGCCATAGCTTCAGCTGGTCCCTTCTTTCGGGGTCCCTGACTTCCCACAACAAGAAGGTAGTACAGAAGGTAGTACAGATTTAGAAGAAGGTAATATGCCCCCGATTCAATTTCCCTGTTATTAATATCTTATGTTGGTATGGGACATTTGTTGCAATTACTGAAACAACACTGATGCATAATTTTGAACTGAAGTTTATATTTACTCATTTTTTTTTTAATTTTAAAAAAGTTAAACTGTGTGACTAAAATTAGAATAAAATAGAATTATCAGAACACCTCCCTGAATCATTTGATTTCTGTGGAATAGAGCAAAAATCAGTGACCTTTCTGTTTTGGTCTCATGGATATATTGTCTGTCACCCTAAGCCACCATCCCTTTTCAAATTGTATTTTTCAATAAAGAATTGTTTTGGTTTTAATTCCCTAACTAAATTATATTGTTTAACGCCCCATTCCTATACTGATTCTTTGCTTGGATGGTCTCCTTCTGTCCTTGTTCGGCTAGTGAATTTTGATTAATCCCCTAAAATCTAGGGTAAAAACCATCCATCCTGTGGTTTCATTCCTAAAACTGCTAATAATCAGTTTATGATGGTTCTAATATTAACTGTTTTTGTCAAATTGAATACCCAAATTTCCATTGTATCTGGTTTGATTTATCACTTAATTTCTCATTTGAATAAACTGAGTAAATTTTGTTTCCTTTTAATGACATAACATACAGAATTTGAGAAAAGTATGCATTTTATAAAATTTTATAAAAGGAAATTTGATAAAATTTGATAGAGCAATGTCTTTCTTGAAGTGTGTGTGTGTGTAGGATCTTTCTCTTTAAAAAAAAGAAAAAAAAAAAATATATATATATATTCACACACACACTTTTCTACTAGAGTCAAATAAATAGAAATAAACTGAATTTAACCACTGCAAACAAAAGGCTTGTTTTAGGTGATTATTTTAAGTTTGACAATTTAATATTATTATAAGCATTGTAATAAAAATAATTGGATTAGGGGAGATTGAGTAAAATAATACTGGTAATATAAATTCTGTGAATTCAATATAATATATTTAGCATTGTAATCATGACAAGTGATAATATCCAGTGGGTCAGTGCTGATTTCTTTAAATGTGTCTCTTCTTGATTTAAATTGCAGATAGTTTACTGTTCTTCAATATTACCAGTAGAGAAAAGAGAGAGTAGCAAATTCGATTTTGTCCTTTTGCTTTTTACCACTTTTAAAGAAGAAAGATTACAGAATGCTAGGTGAGGATTTTCTGTAGGACTAATCATCCTGCTAAATCTTTCTATGCTTTGAATGAGTAATGAAAGTATGATGAAATTATTATATACTAATTCATTAAGTGAAAGAAATCCTGTCTATATGTTATTGTCAATTGAAATTTTCACCCTCTAATTGATCATCATCCAGTTGTAACTAGACTGGAAACAGAAAAAAAGATTATTAAGCTGGTTAGTAAATATTATTTTTTATAATAGCAGCAATCATTGACATTTCTGTAGTGTCCAAGATTTATTGGTTTCTTATTCATCATCTCATTTAATCCTGACAGAAATCTATTTCTGTTGGAGCTAAAAACATTATCTTCATTTACAGTCGAGGAAGCTGAAAGTCAGAGTGATTAGGAAGCTTAACTAAGATTATACAACCATTTATGTTTTAGGAGAAAACTAAAACTCGAATTTCACTGGAACTCTGGACTAACTTCTAGAAACAAATTCAGTTATATTCTTTTCCAGGGGATGTGCTAAGTTTAGGAATCCACAGATGAAAAGATGTATGTTTCCTTCTAATAAATACTTATATTATAAAGAAATTAATCCCAGTCCTCTTTTTTTGTTGTTGTTGTTTTGTTTTCTTTTCTCCTTCTCTGACTGGTGAGGAGTCTAAAGGGCAGTGCAGTACCAAAATGTTGAATATAAGAGGAGATTTTAAAATAAACACATTTGGGGGACATGAATTATGGAAGCAAGTTTTACACAAGTTATTGTAATTAATCTATAAAGAGCATATCTGAAACTGAACCAAAACAATCGGAGCAAGAAAGTGAGTACGGGGCAAGTTTGACATAGATTTGGCAAGAATTTTAACAATAGTTTAGAAATTGTTGTATACTGGGGCTGGGCATGATGACTCACGCCTGTAATCCCGTCACTTTGGGAGGCCTAGATGGGTGGATCACTTGAGGTCAGGTGTTCGAGACCAATATGCTAAAAATACAAAAATTAGCCAGGTGTGGTGGCCTGTGTCTGTAATCCCAGCTACTCCAGAGGCTGAGGCAGGAGAATCCCTTGAACCCAAGAGGTGGAGGTTGCAATGAGCTGAGATTGTGCCAGTGCACTCCAGCCTAGGCTACAGAGCAAGACTCTGTCTCAAAACACAAAAACAAAACAAAACAAAACAACAAACAAACCAAAAAAACAAAAAAGAAAACAAACAAAAAACAGCAAAAAATGAATTGTCGTATACTGGAAATGAAGAAAAGTGAGTACAGTAGTTGAGGAAGGCTGTTTAAGTTACTTTTCCCAAAAACAGGAAGTGATAGTAGCTAGTCTTAGAGTGAAATATAAGGAATACAAGTTAAACTTTGTCAGCACAAACTTTCTTACCATAACTCTCCATTCTCATTGATTACATCCTTAACTAAGTTTAAGCCTTGATTTCTCTACCTATAAATATTACAGTTCAGAGGCAGCCATCTACTTTCATTGGCAGAGGGAAAGTTTTCAGGTATCATCTACAGATATAGAATTTTTATATCACTAAATTCAGAAGAACATGAAAAGGTCACCAAGACCTTATAAAGAGTTGGACAATTAAGGAAGGGAACAAAACAAAACAAAAATATGTCAGAAAAGAAAAGTTGTTGTTACATTAAATGGAGCATAGTATTTGAGGGTGAATTACAAATATTCCACTCCCAACTGTCCTGGCAACAGGAATCCTTTCTTCCAGTAGACACCTTAAAATTGTGAAAGACACGGGCAACGCTACAAGGAGTAGTTAGAGTAGTCTGGCTAACCTCATCTTGGAAGGGTCTGGGAAGAGCTGGGAAATGATTGTATTTCAAAGACTAAGGTGAGAAACTGGACAAGTTTAAAGTGCAAAAAAAAAAAGCTGTGGGCTTGAGGTGGATGTTTGGTAATGATAAAGCATTGCTTTTTTTGCAGACTCTGACAAGTTCAGGGTGGAGAATAATAAATCTGTGATTACCTAGCTGCATCACCTGCTCAGTTGAGTCTTTCTATCTGAAAGAAAGCATAAAATGAATACAGACAACAAAGTTCACTCACTTGCTACCTTATGTAAATTGACCCTAAAGAGTGGCAATCCAGGGAGCCTGCCTCCTAAGCCATGCTATATTATAACAGTGTTCCAGAGTCAAATGAGGCCTTGATGCTTGTCCTCACCCTCCATCTCACAGACAAAGCTCCACCTTAAATACATACTCGATTCTCAACATTTCTACAAAATTCTGCTTTAAAAATAGACAATTGATATGAAGTACAGAATGAAGAATTTATAAATTTTTTTTAAAACTGTGTTTATGGAGCGGGGCGCAGTGGTTCACGCCTGTAATCCCAGCACTTTGGGAGGCTGAGACGGGTGGATCACCAGGTCAGCAGATTGAGACCATCCTGGCTAACACGGTGAAACCCTGTCTCTACTAAAAATACAAAAAAATTAGCCGGGCGTGGTGGCGGGAGCCTGTAGTCCCAGCTACTCGGGAGGCTGAGGCAGGAGAATGGCCTGAACGGAGGCGGAGCTTGCAGTGAGCCGAGATGGCGCCACTGCACTCCAGCCTGGGCGACAAAGCGAGACTCCGTCTCAAAACAAAAAACAAAAACAAACAAACAAAAAAAACTGTGTTTATGTGGGTTTCCTGTATGTCCATCGAAAGAATTACTTGATATTTTTAATCCTTGAACAATGAAACTAACATGAATAGTTCGTTAATCATGAATTTGATAAAACCGAAGATTTCATTCAAAAATCGGAAAAATTTAAAAACTGAAACTAGCTACAGTATAAATAACTAATATTTCATCCACAGTAGGTAATTCTAAACAAAATGAGAACTTTTAAAAAAATTTCCATTATTTGACTTTTCTATTACTTAGTTCTGTTGATCAGAAAATTGAATTACTGAAAATTAACAATCAGACAAAAATTTTGTGACCTATTGTTTCGGATAATTACATGCATAGTTTGTGTAATTTTCCATTAAGCACACAAAGTATTTGGTGAAAGTACCACTAACCTCTATGGGAAAGCAGTTTGTCAAATGATTCACCCCATTTCACTGCCTCTTCAGGGGAGACTCTGTACAAGAAACAAAATGTTTTATAATGGAGTGTGCAGAAAGTCTGTTTATGAATCTGTTCTAACATATGCTATTTTACTGCTCTTTTCAATTATATTTCACAGTTTCTCCTTTGATTATAATATAATGAAAATTGCATTTACATTAGAAACTTTGAAAACATTGTTCAATTTTCTTTTGGAATTTGTCTGTTGAATAATGTGTTGAAATAACATTATTTTTTTTCTCATGGATATGTGAGTTTTATTTTTTAATTAAAAATTAATCCTTTTTTAGGTTAAAGGGCACAGATAACAAATATAAAGAAATCAGGTCAACTATCTGTTTAAATTCAGCAAGTAGAAAAAAACTAAACTCACAGTATCTTTCAGTTAAAAAAAAATTATACTGCAATTTCCTTGAAGCTGTAACCACACTAGGCTGCAAATTTTTTTTTTAAACGGATACAGGAAGTTTGACTAATAAAGTTTCAAAGGGATAAGAAATATAAGATATTTTAATAGAAAAAATATTCTAGAGATGTTGGTAATGTGGAGAATTGAATATATTTTCTCGGATCTTTTTTATTATACTCTAATTTGGAAGAATTTGTATGAAACTAGTATATAAGGTTTTTGCATTTTCTTTTTGAATTAAATAAATGCTAAGTATTAAAAGACATTATTTGTGCTTTACTTGCTATAATGCGTGTGTTTTTTCAAACTACTGAAGAAAGAGATGAATATCTCTCTGCTATGACAATATTGCATTGTGAAAACTCTTAAATTAATGAGCATTTTATCAGGTTATAAGGAGTAAAACATGTCATTTAAAACTGACAGGTATATAATTTTAAAAGAGCAGCTTTAAGTGTTCACGTGATTATTCAATTCAAGCGATTTAATTCAAGTGATTTAATTTTATGAAATATTTCTAGTCTCTTCAAATGAAATTTCTAACTTTCCTTATATTGCTGTGTAATTTTCAATAAATCAGAAATCCCTAACTGCATTTTTCTTAAATCTTTAATGATAGAATCAGCAAAATCTTCCTCAAAATACTGAAAATTTATTCACCTTGTTTCTTTGGCCAAGTGCCCAGATCTACTGGAGCGGGTGTCTTCATGAAACTCAGGTTTCTGCACAAGAAGACTTAGTCTATTTCTTTTTTCCTTAGCTCTGTAATAAAAAGGCCTTCATGTCAGGACAATTTAGATGACAGTTAAAATCTCTCCTGCTGACTACCAGAAAATTTTGTAGTTGGTAAAAACCCACGCCCACCCATACCCACACACTCATGAATCCCATTTAAATATTGTATTTGTGGAGGAATTAGGGTAACATACGAAAATGTTTCTCCTTTTGCTCACCGACAATCAAGTATTTGAGATTATATTTCAATAAAGATTGCACTAGTTCCTCTATGTGGCTAACATTATTACACTTTTTTTTTAATGAGAACACTTTAGATTTCAGTTTGTTGTTTAAACCTAAGAAATAAAAAGGTGTTTTTTTTTCCCAAATTATAGCAATACAAACAATATATTTTCCACCCAATAGTTCAAAAACAAGAGGTAATGAATCTTCAACCTCAATTATGCTTTTAAAAGTATAAGGCTGACTTAAAATTGTACAATTTTACCTGATTTTGGCTTCTTTGCTTGTTTCTTCTTTTCCTGAACCATGTATTAACTTGAAAAAAGTTTTTTCTTTTGATTCACACATATTTATTTGAGAAAAGAAAAGCAATGTTGTTTCCATCTTCTCTCTAAAATGAAGAGATGTCTAATTTATTACATCCTTCCCTAGTTCATTTATTAATACTATTCCATACATATACATAGTAGAATAAAAAGTTATCACAACTCTTACAGTAATGTTTACAAAAAAGAAGTCAAGAGCTGCGTTTCTTTCTGTCTCTGCAGAAATGCAGAACTGAGGAAATGAAGTACAATTTGGTCCTAAGTTGTTTAGGGAAATGATACCACAAATTTGCAAAATGACTCTTGGTCTCTAAGATAAAGACTAGTCTTACCACAGTGCAACTTCTCGTTCAAGTTTGCGCAACCAGAATGATGCTTTAATAGACTCAAATAACACTGTCATTTCCCACAGGAACTTTTCAAAAAGTTTTTAAATGTGTGGACTGTGTGTTAAAATGTGTTATGGCAAAGTATTATATCAAACATTAGGAGATATTTTCTCCAGTTCTTAAAAAAGTATTTTTCTTATTGTTATTACATGAGTTAAGTAAATCACATTTAACTGACATAAGATTATGTAATGTTAATTACATTGGCTTAACATATTGTAACAAAATAAGACAATAGATCAGAATTTTATGGTTAAAAAAAGATTGTAGAAAGCATTTAATTTAACAGTTTTGGGCTGGGCACAGTAACTCATGCCTGTAATCTGGAGGCTAAGGTGGGCAGATTACCTGAGCTCAGGAGTTCAAGACCAGCCTGGGCAACATGGTGAGACCCCATCTCTACTAAAAATACAAAAAATTACCCAGGCACGGTGGTGTGCACCTACAGTCCCAGCTACTCAGGAGGCAGAGCCAGGAGAATCCCTTGAACCTGGGAGTCGGAGGTTGCAGTGAGCTGAGATCATGCCGGCTACTTCACTTCAGCCTGGGCAACGGAGCAAGACTCTGTCTCAAATAAATAAATAAAGTTTTAAGCACATATCTATAGAATGATTTTAGACATTTTTGAAATTTTTATCAGTCTGTGATGAAATGGAAAAAAATATGAAAAGTTTTTTTTCTTAAAGCTTTATTTTAATTCCTTTGATATAAAGGACTTGCTATTTTGAATTTGCTCTCCTGACTCTTTTGTTGTTAAAATGTTCTTTATAATGTAAAAATGTTCTTTATAATGACATGGATTAAGTAGAGATGGTAGTTTTTATATTTTAATGCCTTTATTAAAAAAAATGTTGACAACTCCAATTGGTTTAGCCTCCACTTCTTTCACTGTTTTATAGAATACAAAAGTCTTACAAATGCAGTTCTAGTCCATAATTCAAATTTTATTGAAAAATAAACCAAAGTTCACAGGCATTAGGTAATTTAATCCTACAAAGTTTCAGAGACAGGCCAGTGGAAAATCTGGAATTATCAGAGCCTTTGATCACCTACTATGTGCTTTAGTCCTTCCAAGAATCTTTGATCTCCAGTAGTGAATGCTTTAATCTAAAATGGTATATATTGAAAGCTGAGTTATACAAACCTAAAAGAAAATTTTATTTTCAGTCTTTTTGAATTATTTTTTTACCAAGACAATTTATCAGGGATACCAGCTAAAAGCTCAAAACATTTATCTATATGAAATTAAAGACTTTCTAGTATATATTTATACATATACCCCCTGATTCCATGACTTGTACTTTGAACATATTTTAAATCTCTCACCTTGGCTGAGAATTGAAAAATATTATGTATGATGGCATTTTGCATTGAGCTTCTGCTGGAAATGGATACTGATAATGCAGATTATGCTTCCACCCTGCTGTCCCCTAGTAATGATTAGTATCCACTGTGTTTATATCAGTTTAATCCTATGAAGGTGAATGAGCACAAGAGAAAATCATAGGAGCATGGACATCATCCAGTCACTAGGACTATAACTTAACTGTTAACTCAGAGAAGTTAAAGACATAAAATCAATATATTATTTTTCATAAGATATGTTAAATTTATGTGTGAAGTGTGCTATACACAATGCTGATAGAACCGTGGAAAAAGAAATTGTGAAAATACGGGCACAAGTTGCCGGGCACGGTGGCTCATACCTGTAATCCCAGCACTTTGGGAGGCTGAGGCAGGTGGATCATGAGGTCAGAAGTTCAAGACCAGCCTGGCCAAGATGGTGAAACCCCATCTCTACTAAAAATACAAAAATTATCCAGGCGTGGAGGCAGGTGCCTGTAATCCCAGCTACTGGGGAGGCTGAGGCAGAGAATTGCTTCAACCCGGGAGTCAGAGGTTGCAGTGAGCCGAGATCATGCCACTGCACTCCAGCCTGGGCGACAGAGTAAGACTCCATCCCCCTCACAAAAAAATAAAAAGAAAAAGAAAAGAAAATATGGGCATAAGTGAACTACTCCACAGGTCTGTGTAAAGTTCTGAAACAGAATTGGAAAAGAGAGGTTTGGCTCTACTCTGCGTATGTGGTCAGTTAGGAGCTGGAACCAGAGAGGAAGAAAAAGGTGGATTCTGAAGGTGACATCAGTTAAATATCATTCTTTTGGGCATGGTCAGTTATTATTTAAATATGTATACTTTTAATGATAAGGATTTATATATATATGTGTGTGTGTGTGTGTATATATATATACCCACGTGTTTCCCTTTTCTAGCTCTCTTCACTCCTTTGTGCAGGCCTGGAATCCTTTTCCATTAGCATAAAGACCTGTCTTCAATATTTTCTGTAGTGCATATCTGCTAACAATAAATATATTCAAGTACTGATTTTCTGAGAAAAATTTTTTTTTGTTTATATTATGAAACGGCTAAATCAAGCAATTTAACATATGTATTATCTCACGTGCTTATTGTTTTATGGTGAGAAAACAAAATATATGATTTTATGAACAATTTTCAAATATATAACATATGAAAAAAGTGTCTTTTTCCCCATCTTCCGTTGGAGAATATTTTCACCAGAAAGAATTATAGGATGATTTTTCTTTTCTTTAGGACTTTAAAAGATTTTACACTTTTGTCTTCTGAACTCCATTATTTCTGTTGAGAAATCAGTGCCAGTTTTCTATGTTCTAATATGTCTTTCTTCTCCTGTGACTACTTTTCAAACGTTTTTATAACTAGTTTTAAAACTTTGATTAAGATATAAATGGTGTTTGTTCTACTTGAAATTTGTTGAGCTTCCTGGTCTTGTGGGCTTTAGTTTTTATCAAAGTTGAAAACTTTTAGGCACTAGTTCTCCATTTTTTTGTTTCTCTTTCTCCTATCTTCAGATATTCCAATTACAGTATGTTTGACTCCTTAACACGGTTCCACTGGTCATTAAGGAACTATTCCATTTTTTTGGCCTCTTTTCTGTCCCTTTCTCAGGTTAGACTGCTTCAATTGCTGTGTCTTCAAGTTCATTAACCTCTTCTTCTCCAATAGCTAGTCTGCTGTTAAACTTGTATAGTAAAATATTCATTTCAGCTACATAAGTTCCATTTTTATAGTTTGCATTTCCTTCCTTATTATATTCTTGTTGGTTTTATATTCAAATACTTAAAAATATTTATAATAGCTGTTTTGAAGCCTGTTCTGAAAATGCATCTCTGTAATTCTGGGTCTGCTATTATTGACTGATTTTTCTGCTAATGATGGCGTATTTTCCTGCTTCTTCAGATCTCTAGTAACTTTTTATTGGATGTTGGGCATTTTGAATTTTATGATGTAAATATTCAGGATTCTTTCATTCTCCATTTAATGATGATGAAGTTGGTCTTAGCCAACAATCAATTGTGTATCACCTCCGTCTTAAAGACCTGTGTTTAAATTTGTTATACTGGATCTAGGGTAGTTTTAATTACTAAGGTATAATGATTCTTAAATCTCTAATGCATTCCCAGGGTGTTCGATAAGGCTTTTCTGCTTTAGATGATAAGAGCTTAAAAGTACCTGAACCCGGTATAATCTCTGTAAATTAACCCACATCCCTGGTGGGAATCCTTTGTCAGTACTCATGCAGTTTTGTTTTTCATCTGAGCTGCTTGGTATTCAGCTAGACTCAAAAGTACTCTTATATAGTATTTTTAGACTTTTTCTAGTACTTTGTCTTGTAAATTTCAGTCTTCTCAATCTCCTTGAATTTAGATCACTATTTCCTCAACTCAAATTAGTGTTTTCGCTCTATTTAAGGAGTACCCCTATAAACTTCTCAATTTCTAAATTCTAAATTTGAGATTTATGTTCCTTCTCTGCACTGCAGTCTTTTTAAAGGAAGGCAGGGCTTACTTTCTCTGTCTCTCTTCTGTTATGGATCACAGTTCTCTATGCCTCTCTATGCTTATTTTCAGTGGTAAAAACCAGTGTATTTTGTATTTTTACAGTTTTCAAGCTGTTTATGGCAGGAAGTGATGTATCAGTTGATCATAATAATCATGGTCATCTTTAAACATATATATATAATATGCATATACAATTTTTGTAAATGAATATTATACCCTGTTACCTGAATTCCATTAATACTGTTATTGTTCAACAAATTTATCATAGTTTTAAAATTAATTTTCCTATATTTCTCAAAAGATAGATTCATATAAATATTATTAATTTTAACAACTCTTTTTCAGTTATCATATCTTTATTTTCTAGCCTAATATCATTGGTTTACAACTTGAGTACAGTAAATTAATAATTGGAATCCTTGTCTTCTTTTCCTTAGCATTAGGAGAAAGTAAGGCCAACTAAAATGAGGCTAGGTTTCAGATTTATATTTTGTGTATGTGTGCATTCATATAGTTATGTTCCTTATTCTCTTATTATAACATTGCATAGAATTTGACCTTTGTACATTTCTATTATTTTTCATGTGAAATTAATTTTCCTGTGCTTTTTTGAATGAGGTGGATTTCAAGAAAGTTTCTTTGGTTTAATTTATTTAATATTAGTAATCACAATGGTAATAGTACTAGTAATCTAAAAATAATTTAAAAATGAATAATTAGTGGCAGTTCTAATTTATCATATTCTGTGTCCTTGAGAAAAAAGAATTCTTAATATAGAAAAAGGGACATGCAAATGCAATAGAGAATAGTTTAGTTAAAAGCACTTTAGTCTTGGAAATTTGATAGCAAGCATCAATGTAAACAGAAAATTGCTACTGTGTTGGTCATTGTTTCTAGTCTTTTATAGTGGACAGATCTGGGATATATATAATTCCTGCCTGTAAATGTTTTCTAGTCTTTTCCACTATAAATACTTAGAAACAATGACTAATGCAGTAGCAATGAGACCTAGATTGTGGTCTTGAAATGTCACTTCTCACTCCAAGAAAACTAGGTTTGCTAAAGATATCACTGATTCCAGGTCTCAGACAGGACATAGCAAAGCTAAGCCTAGCAAATATTGTCATATCAGTTAGCAAATAAGCTGGCAAAGACTGATCAATTTAAAATTCTTCAAGAATTTGGTGGGTTTTCTACTAACCAAGATGACACCATTTGAACTTCAATAATTTTAATAAGTGCAATGGATTGAACAGATCAAACGTACTTATATCTATGAGTGCATAATGCTATTAAAAAAGAATTGCCTACTTTCAGATTATCAATAGAAACTAATCCATTGTTATTAAAATTGTTTAAGAAAGGGAAAAAATTAAGCAGGTAGCCTGCATTTTTTATTAACTCTATCATGGATAACAAAATACTGCATGAGATAAATTTTTTAATAAAAATACTCTAACAAACACATAAAAATAAAATAATTGCATTAGAATCTCACCATTTTAACCCCTAACAAATGATTAAACTTAGGTATTGTGATTCAGTGGTTGTTAAGATCATATAAAGACATGGCAAAATTATGTGCTTTTTATAGCCTTGCTATACCCTACTTATAGGTTTTTAAAAAGACCAAACTTAAGTCTGATTCATTCTCTGGACCCAGCTGCCAATGAGTAGAAATGACAGAGGACAGAAGATGGAAGAACATGTTGAACTGCACCATAAATATGCAATCACCAGAATCCAGACCCTGGGGGCAACTACAGCAAAGTTCAACAGATAAATTGTAAGAAAGAGAAGCAGATTAAAATAAGAGGGAAATAGAATTGTCTCTGTGGATCAAGGGAAAAATGTAAAATTATGAACCAAATAAATATGGCTTTACAAATAAAGGACTAATTGCCTAATGAGTTCTGCCTGAAAGTGTGAATGTTTGTTTTTAGGTAGGAAACACCCATGTTCCAATACCTATCAAGCAGTCAAAATCAACATAATATTTTACTAGCTATTTTGAGAATAAATTTCATAAACAGCACGAGGTAAGGGAATATGAAAAGAATTTATATACCAGAAACCAACCAAGTCTCCCTTTTCACAGTTATCCCCAAACTACTCTCAATCATAGTAATTTAATTTTCTTTTTTCTTTTTAACACAGCGACACTGCAAATCCTGGATCACACTTGTCTTCCTACATTTATAATACTCCAATGGGGTTTCACCATGTTGGTCAGGCTGGTCTTGAACTCCTGACCTCAAATGATCAGCCCACCTTGGCCTCCCAAAGTGCTGGGATTACAGCCATGAGCCACTGCGCCTGGCTATATCTTTTTAAAATACAAATCCGATCATGTTACAATAAAAATACTACTACTACTAAGAGTAATAGTAATGAACAAAATATAACAAAAACCAAATTCATTCTTTCTGTAAAGCAAAAGTGAAAAGGACACACACATTCCTAACATCACACAATGAAAATGTTAAATATGATTTTTTAAGGTAGCTCACAGGCAGAGAAGCAGCAAAGCACATCCTTTCTTTCACACTTGCATCATTCCACATAAAAGGCTTGTCATGGGCTCAGGTGTGCATGACATATCGTGAAAGGGCTCCAGGTGAGAGACCTCACCTCATCCATTCAAAATATTTATAAGTAAAGACGGATAGATAGCATCTGTGTAACAACGGGAGTGTCCTGGATTAAGAAAGGGAGAACTCCAGAGTTTACTATTAAGTTGGTGCGAAAGAAATTGTGGTTTTTGCCATTACTTTCTCACCAACCTAATACATTCTTCTACTGAGCTATGTCACAAAATGTTAGGCAAATTTCTTCCTAAACTACAGATAAAGAAGAGGAAATGATCATCAGGGTTATCCAGATTTGCCTCTGCTCATTCCCTAATGACAAACAAAATAAAAAGCTTCACTCAGCTTCCTGATGTAGCCCCTAACCATCTTTTCAACCTCTTTTCTCACCTCATCCCTTCTATCATTTTAACTCCAGCTGTTCTGCATTCTTGCCCTTCTTAGGATGGGTCCTGCTGTTTTGCAACACCTGGTCTTCATGCTGACGGAAAAAATTACTCAAATACTTTGAAAGGGAAAAAGATTACTGAGTGTCCTATCCAGTATGCCCTTTGAAGTTATTTTCTCTTTTCATTGTCGTTTAGGTATTTTATAGTTCTATAAATCATTGAACACTGATAATAATGAGCATGCTTCTTCACATAAATGCAGATTTGTTCAGCAGGGAAATATTTGGTTATTTTCGTATGGATACTGATTAACTTTTTATTTGTTTGTAAACTTATTTCAACATTTTTGATGACCAATATGTGTCTGTTTACAGATTCTCTTTTGAATTAGCTATAACATCTTTTTTTTTTTTTTTTTCTGAGACGCCTCCCAGGTTCAAGTGATTCTCCTGCCTCAGCCTCCCGAGTAGCTAGGACTAAAGGCACCCACCACCACGCTCAGCTAATTTTTGTATTTTTTAGTAGAGACAGGGTTTCCCCATGTTGGCCAGACTGGTATTGAACTCCTGACCTCAGGTGATCTTCCCACCTTGGCCTCCCAAAGTGCTGGGATTATAGTCGTGAGCCACCGTGCCTGGCGAATTAGCTATAACATCTTAGTGATTCTCTCATTAATTAGTGAGTTAAATAAAATTTTATTTTATGTTATTTCATTTTATTTTTTGAGACGGAGTTTCATTCTTGTTGCCCAGGCTGGAGTGCAATGGTGTGATCTTGGCTCACTGAAACCTCTGCCTCCTGGGTTCAAGAGATTCTCCAGCCTCAGCCTCCCGAGTAGCTGGGATTACAGGCGCCTGACACCACACCTGGCTAATTTTTGTATTTTTAGTAGAGGTGGGGTTTCACCATGTTGGCCAGGCTCGTCTCGAAATCCTGACCTCAGGTGATCCACCCGCC
The DNA here is from genome assembly GCF_000001405.40 of Homo sapiens. Lineage (NCBI taxonomy): Eukaryota > Metazoa > Chordata > Mammalia > Primates > Hominidae > Homo > Homo sapiens. The sequence continues at coordinate 192,150,491 of NC_000001.11, read as the reverse complement.
TTGGCCTCCCAAATTGCTGGGATTACAGGCATGAACCACCGCGCCCAGCCCAAATAAAATTTTAAATATTTAATATCTGCAAGAGAGTCATGATTTTGCCTGTAAAGATATACTTTGACAAAATAACCCATTCCTTCTACATTGCTCTACCTTCTTGTCTATTGGATACAGTGATTACTCTTTAAATATTAAGCTTAGGCATTGCATTATTTCTTTTTTTATTTTTATTTATTATTTATTTTTTATTATACTTTAAGTTCTAGAGTACATGTGCACAACATGCAGGTTTGTTACATATGTATACATGTGCCATGCTGGTGTGCTGCACCCATTAACTTATCATTTACATTAGGTATATCTCCTAATGCTATCCCTCCCCCCTCCCCCCACCCCACGACAGGCTCCGGTGTGTGATGTTCCCCTTCCTGTGTCCAAGTGTTCTCATTGTTCAATTCCCACCTATGAGTGAGAACATGTGGTGTTTGGTTTTCTGTCCTTGCGATAGTTTGCTCAGAATGATGGTTTCCAGCTTCATCCATGTGCCTACAAAGGACATGAACTCATCCTTTTTTTCTCAAGGATCTAGAACCAGAAATACTATTTGACCCAGCCATCCCGTTACTGGGTATGTACCTGAAGGATTATAAATCATGCTGCTATAAAGACACATGCATTATTGGGGCACTATTCACAATAGCAAAGACGTGGAACCAACCCAAATGTCCATCAATGATAGACTGGATTAAGAAAATGTGGCACATATACACCACAGAATACGATGCTGCATTATTTCTTTTCAAAACTATTTATGACTTAGCTAGGCAAAACTGACCACCCCATCCACTGGGCCTCATTTTATCCAATGTAATTTTATCATAACAATTGCCGGATTCTGTTGCAATCATTTTATCACTTATATTCTTTCCTACTTGATTCTAACCTCTGGGTATAGGAAATTTCTTCATATTTGTTTTTGTAAATGGAGTACATAGCATTCTGCAACACAGGAAGATTTTAGTACACATTGTAATACAAAAAATGTTGAAAACCACACAAATGTTTGCTATAAAAATTATTATAAAAGACTAGCACCCTTGTAACTATTACCCAGGTTAAAAAAAAAAAAAAGTACTTTGCCAGACACCCAGAAGACATGTGTCCCACTACAATGACAAATCCTCCATCTCTCCATGGGTAACTATTATCCTGAATTTTATAATGATCACTTCATTATTATAGATTGTAACCCAGATATATGTCCTTTGATATATTTCTCCTTTCCATTTTTTTAACTTGATGTGACTTTTAAGTCTTTTTGTTTTGTTTTGTTTTTTGAGATGGAGTCTCGCTCTGTTGCCCAGGCTGGAGTGCAGTGGCGTGATCTTGGCTCACTGCCAGCTCTGCCTCCTGGGTTCAGGCCATTCTCCTGCCTCAGCCTCCCGAGTAGCTGAGTAGCTGGGACTACAGGCGCCCGCCACCACGCCAGACTATTGTTTTGTATTTTTAGTAGAGACGGGGTTTCACCATGTTAGCAAGATGCTCTCAATCTCCTGACCTCGTGATCCACCCGCCTCGGCCTCCCAAAGTGCTGGGATTACAGGCGTGAGCCACCGCACCCGGCCTTAAGTCTCTTTTAATAGCGCCCTATCAATTTGTTTTTTCTTTTTTCTTTTTTCTTTTTTTTTTTTGTGACAGTCTCACTCTTGTTGCCCAGGCTAGAGTGCAATGGTACGGGGTCTTGGCTCAATGCAACTTCCACCTCCTGGGTTGAAGGGATTCTCTTGTCTCAGCCTCCTGAATATCTGGGATTATAGGTGCATGCCACCACGCCCAGCTAACTTTTGTATTTTTAGTGGAGATGGGGTTTCACCACGTTGATCAGGCTGGTCTCGAACTCCTGACCTCAGGTGATCCACCCACCTCAGCCTCCCAAAGTGCTGGGATTACAGGCGTGAGCCACTGCGTCTGGCCCAATTTCTTTCTTTTTCTTACAAATTAACTGGTGATGAACAAGGCTGTGGTTTCCTGTACAGTCTGGATCTTGGTGATTGCACATTAATGGTACAGTTCAACATATTTCTCTGAGTGACTCGTTTGAATGATACTTGTAAGTAATAGCCTATCGGTATGGTGAATATTTCAGGAATTAAAGGACTAACTGTTTGTGGTCATTGCAATTGACTATATGTACATACATTGTAGTTGTCTGATAATTTATTTCCTACCACATGCAATGACTTGCCAAAATGAGACTTTAAAGCATATGTAATACCCAAAACTATTCTTACTTCCTTTTTACAACATATTTTAATTATTTATGTAGTTGTCAAATTTGATACTTCATTGAATATATCCAAAAAGATTGAAAAACTTACCTTTGTAAATTCATAGAATTATGTAATCACCTGATGGGTTCTTCTTGCCCACTGCACAGATAATGCTGATTCAATGGAACAGTGGTATTCCAGTAGAAATAAAGTTTAACAACTGCAGGGCTAGCCAAGAAGAAGAATGGGAGTTTATTATTCAACTCAGCCTCCTGGAAAATTCAGAGGCTAGGGTTTTTCAAGGATAGTTTGGCAGGCAGGAGCCTAGGTAATGGAGAATGCTCATTTATTGCACCAGGGATGAAATCCTAGGGAGTCAAAGCTGTCTTTTTTTTCACTGAGTCAGTTCCTGGGTGGGGTCACAAGACCAGCGAAGGAAGTTTCTTAGTATGAATTACTACTCCAGGTGGTGCCACCTGGTCCAACAGAATACAGGCTCTGAAAAATACCTAAAACACAAATCTTAAGTTTTACAATAGTGATGTTATCTATAGGAGCGATAGGGGAGATTACCAATCTTGTGACCTCTGGCTTCATGATTCCAGAACCATAATTTTAACCTTGTGGCAAATTGGGTTAATTTTACAAAGGTGGTTTCAGTTCCTGAGTAAGGAGTGGGTTAGTTTTGGAAAGGGGCTGTTATCATCTTGGTTTTAAACTATAAACTAAATTCCTCCCAAAGTAAGCTTGGCCTATGCCCAGGAATAAACAAGGGCAGCTTGGACGTCAGAAGCAAGATGGAGTTATGTCAGATTTCTTTCACATTCATAATTTTCGGAAAGGCAGTTTTAATCACAGCTGTGGATGAACGTCATCCCACAATTGAGAGAGTTAAGAATGAGAAAAATTAAATGACTTGCTCACTGTCAGCATATTATTAGCATGGTTGAAACTGGAATATTTTCATAACTCCAATCCTTTCCTAAGCTTATCTGCAAGTGGCTTAAAACAACTTTTGGCTGAGAAAATGTTTTAGTGGTTTCCCATGTTCAGCATCTCTCTCTTTCCTTGTGACTTTACTAGACCTCTGTGAGGTTCCTTTTCCTCTGCCATTGAAGTTTTAATCTGCACCTGGATAAAAGATATGAATGGCCAACCTTTCTCTTGGTTTCTGACAAATCTCCCACTCTCTATGCCCTACTATCACACAGTTTCATGGTGTCCCTGCTTACGTGCAGTCCTGTGAAGGATTTCTTTTCTGATACGCAACTGTTAATTTTGTTAGAACACAAGTAATATATCTATATTTTTAAACCCATGTATTTTTAAAGCCAATCAGAAGTTTATTTTATTTTTAATAAGTTTTCTTCTTAGTCTGCTTGGGCTTGTATAACAAGATACCAAAACTGGGTAATTTATAAACCACAAACATTTGTATCTCACAGTTCTGGAGACTTTGAAGTTCAGGATCAAGGTGGCAGCAGATTCAGTGTCTGGTGAAGGCCCACTTCCTAGACAGCCGTCTTTTCATGTGTTTTCACATGGCAGAAGGGATGAGGGACTCCCGGGATTTCCTCTTATAAGGGCACTAATCCCATTCGTGAGGGTTCCACCCTCATAACCTAATCACTTATCAAAGGACCTACTTTCAAGCACCATCACATTGAGGATCAGGTTTCAGTATATGAATTTGGGGGAGAATAAACATTCAGTCTACAGTAGCTTTTTTTATTTTGTAAAAACTATGCATTTACTGAAATGTTATAAAGGGAGTATGGAGTTCCCATATGCTCTAGCCAGTTTCCACCATTATTATCTTCTTAAATAATCACGGTACATTTGTCAAAACTAAGAAACCAATATCGGTGTCTGGCTATTAATTAAACTATATGCTATTCAGATTTCATTTGTTAATGTCATCTTTCTGTTCCAGGATCCAATCCAGAATTCCACATGCATTTAGTAGTCGTGTCCCATTAGTTTCCTCTATCTGTAATAGTGTCTTAGTATTTTTTCATTTTTCATAACCTTGGCAATTTTGAGGAATTGGGTTGGGTGCTTTCTAGAATATCTCTCAGTTTGGATTTGTCTGATGTCTTTAACATGACTAGATGGATGTTATGGGTTCTGGGGAAGAATACTACAGAAGTGAAGTACCCATTGAACCATATAAATGCATATATACCATCAGCCTGACTTATCATTGGTGAAGTTGGCCTGGATCACCTGGCTGCAGTTGTGTTTGATGGGTTTTTCCCCTGAGAAGTTACTTTTATTACCCTTACATACTATATTCATGGGAAGCAAGTCACCAAGTTCAGCCCACCCTCAAAGGGGAAGAGGGCAGAATTAAGGTTCACCTTTAAAGGGGAGAGTATCTACACATGTTATTTCTAATTTTTATAAGGTAGAGTTATCTTTTTTCCTCTATTTATTTATTCAATACTTTATCAGTAGAGACTCATGTATACTTATATTTTGAGTTATAATCCAGTACCACATTATTTATTTTGGTGTTCCAGCTTTGGACATTGGTAATTCATTCAGATTGGCTCTTTGTTGCAGCAACTATTAAAGTATGGAAAGTAAAAAATTATTAGATAGCAACAGGTTCTACAAAGAAAATTTTAACTTACTGTGATGTATTTTGCTTATTTTTAAAAAATAACTTGAGAAAAAAGTAATACATTTTTTTTTCTTTTGAGGTAGCGTTTCACTCTGTTGCCCAGGCTGGAGTTCAGTGGTACCATCTGTGTTCATTGCAACCTCCCCCTCCCAGGTTCAAAAGATCCTCACACCTCAGCCTCCCAAGTAGCCAGGACCTTAGGCGCATCCCAACACACCCAGATAATTTTGGTAGTTTTATTTTTTTTATTTTTACTTTTTTTAGAGAGGGGATTTTGTTGTATTGCCTAGGCTGGTCTCAAACTCCTGGGCTCAAGTAATCAGCCTGCGTTGGCCTCCCAATGTGCTGGACTCACAGGCGTAAGCCACCATGCCCTGTCTATGATACAATTTTCACTAATTTTCACTGCATTTTGAAAGTAGATAGAATAGTATATTGAGTCTCCATACAATTAACTCCTGGTTTTAAAATTAGCAATGTTTTATTATACATTTTATACTTTTTTTGATGAAATATTTCAAATAAAAATCCAGACATTAATATGTATCTTTTAAAACTTTAGGCAGAGCACAGTGGCTCATATCTGTAATCCCAGCAGTTTGGAAGGCCGAGGCGGGTGGATCACGAGGTCAGGAAATCGAAACCATTCTGGCCAACACGGTGAAACCCCATCTCCACTAAACTACAAAAAATTAGCCAGGTGTGGTGATGCACGCCTGTAGTCTCAGCTACTCAGGAGGCTGAGGCAGGGGAATTGCTTGACCCCAGGAGGCGGAGGTTGCAGTGAAAAAAAAAAGAAAAAAAAGAAAGGAAAAGTTGCAAGAAAAAAATAACACAAAAAACAACTTTAGTATGTATTTGTGAAGGTTATTTTCTACAATGCCATTATTATACCAAAACTTTAATATTCTGATACTCAGTACATATTCAAATTTCTTTGATTACTCAAAAATGTCTTCATATAGTTTGACACAGAATCTTAAAATATGTCCAAACATTGCCATTGTTATGCTTCTTAAACCATGTAATAGAATATACTTTGTCCCCTCACTCCCCCTTTTTTTCATGGCATTTATCAGTTAAAATAACTGGGCGACATACAGATTTGTATCCATCGCCTGTGTTCATGTAAATGAAAGTTACAACTAAAGGCTTAATTGCATTGTTTATCCCTTTTTAGATAAGAATGTTTCACAGATGGTGATGTTCACCTAATAATGTATCACATCAAGAAGAACATAATGACTGGAGATCGTAAGATAGTTAATTGATTTCAGGAGGCAATAGCACGGCTCCTTCATTGTAACATAGTGCTTGTTTCCCCACTGGTCAGCATGTTAATACTTTGGTAGTATATGAATATTATTATCATTTACCAAATATATTGATGATCATTGCCCAAATCTATTATTTAGATAGCAATCACAAAATCATCTTTTCTAATTCTGTATCTTCTATTTGATTTACATGGATTTTTTTTTCTTCTTTTTTTGAGACAGAGTCTCACTCTGTCACCCAGGCTGGAGTGCAGTGGCGTGATCTAGGCTCACTGCAAGCTCCACCTCCCAGGTTCACGCCATTCTCCTGCCTCAGCCTCCCGAGTAGCTGGGACTACAGGCGCGTGCCACCACGTCTGGCTAATTTTTTGTATTTTTTTAGTAGAGACGGCGTTTCACCATGTTAGCCAGGATGGTCTCGATCTCCTGACCTCGTGATCCACCTGCCTCAGCCTCCCAAAGTGCTGGGATTACAGGCATGAGCCACTGCGCCTGGCCTACATGGATTTTTTTTAATAACTTTTCCAAGCTGGGAGTGGTGGCTTATACCTATAGTCTCAGCTACTCAGGAGGCTGAGGTGGGAGGATTCCTTGACATTAGGAGTTCTAAGTCAGTCTGGGAAATAGTAAGACCCCGTCTCAAAAGAATAAAATAAAATAAAAAGAATAACTTCCTCATTAACCAGGACTTTTTGTTTATTCTGACATACAGTTCGTACGAAGGACCAGACAAATAATTTGTCTCCTATAATTATTAATTTTCATGGTATTGAGTTGTTTCTCTAATACTCATGGTATTTTGTCTCTGTTTGTTTTTATTTTCTCTCTTGCTTTTTTACTATCATTATGACTTCCTGGGTTTTTATATAGTCAATGTGTTAGGTATCAATTTCAGTTATTTCTCCTCTTAATACTCAAATCGCCTTATCCTGGCCCAGGCGAGCAACTTCAAGGTGGCTCCTGGGTCATTAAGGAATTAACCCATTAGCTTTTTTTCATTTTTTTATAAATGAACCCATTAGTTTCATTTATTTCTGGCACACCCAGATGTTCAAGCTCATCTGTACATTTCTTGTCCCAGTCCTAAAATCAGTCACATTTCCAAGGAGCTCTAATTCATTTAACTTGGAAATAATATTCACAATCCAAAATGAGGGCACGATGGGCGTTCTTTGCTGTAGAGTTGTCATTGCTTCTAGAATAAAATATGTATTTTGAAAAGTAAAAAGATCATGCTTTGATTTTATGACTTTACATGGGAAATTATTTCCTAAAACCCTTATTATTTCATATATCCTACAATGCACATAAAATGGTTTAGCATTATCAGTAACAATGTTACCACCAAAATAAGGCTACTGAATAACATTTAAATTTTCTTTGTTTTTCCTTTTGTTCTTACAATATATTCCACCAAGGATATGTATTCAAAATATGTGGTTCTGATTTTTTCCCGATATTATTATGTGACTTGGTATTACTCAAAATATATAACAATATCAGGGAAATATTACTTCTATCCATGTCATCCTTCTCTTTTCATTCTTTTCATACATACATACTATGCATATATATGTGTATATATATATCTTCTTTATACAGATATATATGTATCACTTCATACAGATATAGATATATGTTCTTCTATATCTATAAATAAATATACATATATGTAACTCTTTGGTTTATAAAAATAAACCAAAGAATAATAAGTATGTGTATTTTTTTAGTGTTTCTTTTTATAAATATAAACATGCCCACACATATTTAAAGTTTCCTACCTTACAATACAAATGCAACATTCTATCTGTATTTCTCATCTTACCTTTCAAAAGTTTCCGTACACAAACTGTTCTGTAAACATTTTTATTTACCTTGCTGCTTTTACTTAACAAATATATGCAGGAGATTATTGCGTATCAGAAAATAGGAATCTCCATTATTTCTTTTTCTACTAACTTATATGAGCATTTTGTAGTCTAAGGTTATGTGGGTTGCTTTGAATCACTTGCCGATATAAATAGGCTGTAGTCAATAGCCCTGTGCTATGTCATTTAATTTTTGTGCCTGTGTATTTTGGGGACAGATACGAGTTTGATGAATTTAATGCTAAATAATAAATGCTGTGCTGAAAATCTCCCTCTCTAAAGGTATTCTATTTTATGTTCTCACCAATAATGAAGGAGAGTGTTTGTTACCCCAGGCCTTCACCAAAAATTGCATTATCAAGCTTTTGATAACAAATTGCGTTATCAAGATTTTTACCATGTAATAAATATGAAGTGGTTCTTCATCACTTTGTTTTGTTTTGTTTTAGTGTTTTACACTTGATTTTTGTTTAAAAGGTAACCTTTTATTTGGAAATGATTACATATATAGAGAAAGATTGAAAGCATAATAATGTGAATTTATATATACCTTTCACCTAGCTAGCTGTAAAGTTTATAGGTCAAATAATCATGGCACAATTATCAATACAAGGAAATTAACACTGGTAGAATACTATTCACTAAATTATAGGCTCTATTCAGATTTCACCAGTATTTCCAAGAACTCATGTCCTATAATGTCTCTAAATGCGTATTTAATTTCACCATCTCTTATAACCGAGGGTGACTATAGTTTCACATATTTAAAGTCCATTTTATTTTTTTTCTGTGAACTCTGTTGTATAGCTTTTGCCCATTTGTCCCTCAGGTTTTGATCTTTCTCCTTTGACTTGTAAAAACTCTTTAAATGCGGGAGATATTAGCACTTTTTATATGTTCTGTGTTCTATTTGTCTCACAGTTTGTCTTTTGGCTTTTGCTTATGGTTTTCTGGTGTATGTTTTAATAAAATTCTCTTTTTAATATAGTCAGATTTATCAAGTGTTTGAGTTTATTACTTTTGGATTTTGAGTTATATTTAGGGAGATTTCTATCTTCTATGAGGTCTGAATGAAATATGCCCAAGGGTCCTGTTAGCTCTTGTATAGTTTCATTTTTAATATTTAAATCTTTGGAGCATTTGGAATTTATTTTCTTCTAAATACAAGGTAAGAATCTAGATTAATCTTTTTTTTAGTGGTTATTCATGTGTCACACCATAATTAATTTCAAAATTCCATCTTTCCCCACTGATTTGAATTCAACTTTCTTTTCTTAGATATCAAATTTCTCTACATATTTAAATCTATTTCTAAACTTTGTATTTATCTTATTGGTCTATAAAAATGCAGGAATGGTACGTTTTAAGTTGTGGAGACTATAATATGTTACATACTTAAAAAACTCAGTCTTCTTCCTTTTGTGTCACGATTTTCATGGCTATACTTGTTTTTTTTTGTTATTGTTTAAGTCATTGTCTGGTACTGGACTCTGTGGTAGGAGTGTGGCAAAGACATTGTATCTTTACTTAGATTTTATTTATGTTGTGTCTTATTTTATTTAATATTATCATATTTAAAATTGTCCTGTGTGTATTTCAGGTGTGTTTTAAAGTTTTGACTCAGATGAATTTTACATATTTTTGTTATTTTGTTACCCTTTCAAAGAGGGGAAATCATCTCTAAATGGGAATGTTGGAAATTGTATTACTGTAGTAATGCCTGTATAAATATGGTACATAAAAAATGACTTGTGACTTCCAGTTTCAGCCCCAATAAATAAAATGCCTAGAAGTCATCATTTCCATTTTTACAGCGACAGTAAAATAACTGAACCATGATGTCTTGGACTCATCAGAGAAATGAGGTCACAGGGCAAACCACCACTTGAAAGTCTGGAGAGACAAGTGCATCTAGAGAGAGACAGAAACTGAAATCTTCTTACCTGGAACAAAAGCTGCTGGAACTATGAACTGATAGGGATACTTAAGTGGTAATTTTAATGAACTGCTGGAGGTCAAGTGAAGACTAGTGTGAGGATGAGAACCTCCTTGGGGCTACAGTCTTAGGGAGCCCCCATATTTCTGTGGGCTTTCATTCCAGGAATGCCACCAGATTTTTATGACGAAGGTCCAAGAAATATCCCTTCTTGGCTCTGGCTAGGGAAGGAGAAGACTAACCACTATGAACATGATCATAGCCTTCTCTGCAACGAATGCTTATTTTCCAAAGAAAAGGATTTTGCCAGTGCTCAAAATTCTGAAACTATCTCAGCTGAAGGAAGATAACTTCCTTCTGCCTTCCTGTCTTAAGTGGTGGAAAAACATAAACATCAGGAATCAAAGCTTCACAGAAATAGATTGAGAATGGTGCAGCCAGAGAAAGGAGTAGGGGGCTGAAGATAAAAACAAAACAAAACAAAAACAAATGAGCAAACAAAACCTCTACCACTGAAGAAACACTTGTTTTTATTTTATTTTATTTTTTGAGATAAGGTCTCACTCTGTCACCCAGGCTGGAGTGCAGTGGCACGATCATGGCTCACTGCAGCCTAGATCTCTTGGGCTCAAGCTATCCACCCTCTTCATTCTCCCATGTAGCTGGGACCATGGATGCACACTACCACTCCTGGATAATTGTTTGATTTTTTTTATTTATTTTTTATTTTTTTTTAGAAAGGGAAGGTCTCACCATGTTGCCCCATCTCATCTCAAACTCCTGGGCTCCAGCAATCCTCCTGCCTCAGCCTCCCAAAGTGTTGGGATTATGGGCATGAGCCACAGTTCCCAGTCTGAGAAACACATGTAACATTTGTGAAGGTCACAGCTCCAAGATCACCTAACTACCTCATCATCAGGGTATAAAATAATCATAAAAATGAATTATTCCTGAAAGAGCTGCAGGATCCAGACTTTTGAACAAGAGTACTTAGGGAAGCCCAAAGTCAAGTGAGGAGACAAAAACAAGGACAGTAGAATAACTTGATTTTAAAACTCTCTCATGTTGTCTCATCATGTGAGATGCCGGATATGACTTTCTCTTCTATAGAATAAAATCTCTTCATGGGCAGATACCATATTGTATCATCTTGGCATCTTCTGTTCTACAAAAGAATAGGCTGTCAGCATAGCTTTTAAAAGTGAGAATATGGGTAAATAAAACACTCATGATTTCATATTTTGAGAATTTATACATGAATGATAGAAAACCCAGAGACTTAAAATCCTGATTCTAGCGTGTTTATTATTGCATCCAAAATATCCATTTGTAAATGTTGATATTTCTTCCTGTGCACATTGTTCACATTTACTATAGATGAGTGGGTAAATCAGAGGAGGCCAGTAATGACTAAGTGTGTACTGTAGCTGGCATCTCTGTTGGAAAGTTTTTCATAATTTCATTATTTTTAATTTTACAAACATTTCACACAGAGCCCTGGAGTGTTTGATAATGAAATTCCCTCCCATCTCCACAGGCGCATGTTCATTCACACCACTCTTTTTTAAAGATAAAGATGGTTGCTGTTTTGGTGAGGTTTGTACATTTCCCTTCTGTTCTTGATTGAACTTGCTGACATTTATCAGTAATTACCTATGACTCGAAGTTTCCTTCAGTGATGAGTTACTGATTATTCTTAGGAAGTGTCTGAAAGGAATGACTTTTGAAAAAAGTTTTAGTGAAAACCTTCTTTGGTCATAGCTTTTATTCTGTTCTTGGAACCTGGCAACTTTCATGCCTATTTTCCTTAAATGATTGTCAAAAAGGTTTTGTTTATTTGCTTTAAAAAATACTAGAATATACACAGCTAAAAGGAGGTATATTTAAGTTACAGTGCTGATGCCAAAATTAAGGAAGGTAACTATCAATAATCAAAATATGTGTATGTGTGTGTGTGTGTGACAGAGAACCAGAGAGAGAGAGATTTTCTTCAGAAATGCTTTTGTTTAAAATATTGCTTATAAGTGGATTATTAATGAACACAGGAGATCCTCAAATTCCACATGACTGAGTTTTATCCTTGGACATAATAACACTAAAATTTATATATATATATATAGTTATATATATATAGTTTTATATATATACACATATATACACAAATACATATATACACATATATATGTATTTGATATATATATATATATATATCAAATACATTGCGGTTTTTCTGTATTTTAAACCTGTTTCATAATTTTGTATTAAAATGTTTCATATGAAGTTCATAGAAATGATTTAAATACTAAAATTGGACATTTTTCTTTTCATTTAGTCCAAACAATGGAGAGAAATTGTATTTCAAGTGACATTATGCTCTGCTTACTGGAAAGTTAGATTTAGATTTTGTTCAAGCATAGTTCATCACACATTTTCATAATCTGGATAAAATAAATTTTGAGGCTGCTATGGTCTGAATGTCTTCCAAAATCCATGTGTTGAATTTTTGTTTTGTTTTTTTTGAGATAGGGTCTCACTTTGTCACTCAGGCTGGAATGCAGTGGTGTGATCTCACTCACTGTAACCTCCTCCTCTCCAGCTGAAGAGATCCTCACATCTCAGCCTCTCAGGCAGCTGGGACTACAGGCATGAACTACCACACCCAGCAAATTTTTTAATTTTTTGTTTGTACTTTTAAGTTCTAGAGTACATGTGCAGGTTTGTTATGTAGATAACTGTGTGTCATTATTATATCACCCAGGTATTAAGCCTAGTACCCATTAGTTATTTTTCCTAACCTACTCCCTCCTCACACCCTCTACCCTCTGATAGGTCTCAGTGTGTGTTGTTACCTCTATGCGTCCATGTGTTCACATCACATAACTCCCACTTATAAGTGAGAACATGAAGTATTTAATTTTCTGTTCTTGCGTTAGTTTGCTAAGGATAATGCCTCCAGCTCCATCTATGTCCTTGCAAAGGACATGATCTTGTTACTTTTTATGGCTGCATAGTATTCTATGGTATATATGTATCATATTTTCTTTTTCCAGTCTACCATTGATGGACATTTAGGTTGATTCCATGTCTTTGCTATTGTGAATAGTGCTACAGTGAACATACACTTACATGTGTCTTTATAATAGAATGATTTATATTCTTTTGGGTATATACCCCAGTAATGGGATTGCTGGATTGAATGGTGTTTCTTTCTTTAGGCCTTTGAGGAATAGCCACATTGTCTTCCACAATGGTTGAAATAATTTACATCCCCACCAACAGTGTATAAGTGTTTCTTTTCCTCCACAACCTTGCCAACATGTTATTTTTTGACTTTTTGGTAATAGCCATTCTGACTGGTGTGAGGTGGTATATTTTTGTATTTTTCATAGAGATGGGGTTTCTCCATGTTGTCTAGGCTGCTCTCAAACTCTTGAGCTCAAGAGATTCTCCTAATGTGCTGAGATTGCAGGTGGGAGCCATCATTCTGGGCCCATGTGTTGAAACTTAATCCCCACGGTGGTGGTATTAGAGGTAGGTCCCTTTGAGAAGTGATTAAGTTATAAGAGCTCTGCCCTCATGAATGTCTCAATGCCTAATAGAATGGCTGGGGGAAACAGCTAAGGCGCTTTTAGCCTTTCCATTCTTTCCAACATTTAAAGACACCTAGATGGTAGGCTATTTATGAGGAATAGACTTTCACCAGACACCAAAGTTGCCAATGCTTTGATCTTGGAATTCTCAGCCTTCAGAATTGTGAGAAATCAATTTAAATTGTGTATAAATTACCTAGTCTGTGGTATTTTGTTACAGCACACAGATAGACTAAGGCAACACTCTTCTAATTCTTTTGTTCTTTTTCTTTGCCCATTGAGCAAACGCGCTTTCAAACAGTCTCAGTTGCTGTGATACTGAAAAGGATACGCTTTTAGCAGAAGACTCAGGGAAGAAGGGCATCTTGTTTTGAACACATAAATTAGATTTCTGGTTTATCTCTTTTAAGTGTGGTTGTAGAAGTCGATCCTCTAGGGCCTAATCAACTCAGAGGGTACTGTCAAAATTTGGTTCCTCACAAAATGTATATCAGACCTAGGAATGAAGTTACCCTGCCCCCTGTAGGGGCTCTGTACAAGCTACTGGCTAACCTTCCTCTATGCTAGGGGTCCCCAGGTCCCCAGTCCCCGGGTCATGCACCACTACTGTGACTGTGGCCCCTTAGGAACCAGGCCACAGCAGGAGGTGAGCGGTAATCAGTGTTATCACCTGAGCTCGGCGTCCTGTCAGATCATCTGTGACATTAGAGTCTCATAGGAGCGCGAAACCTACTGTGAACTGCACATGCGAGGGATCTAGGCTGTGCACTCCTTATGAGAATCTAATGCCTGATGAGGTGGAACAGTTTCATCCAGAAACCAGCACCCCTGCTGACATGGAAAAAATTGTTTTCCATGAAACATCCCTGGTGCCAAAAAGGTTGGGGACCATTGCTCTTTGCTGCTCTCTTCTGCTCTCTGCTCTCTTTTTAGAGAACAAGGGTTTCTTTTATATTTTTTCCCCTCTTGATTAATCATTAATCCATTAAGAGAGACAAATTTAAATGAAAATCAAATGACTAAGCCTTTTTTTACACTTGAATATATGGATCTTTTTAATAACAAAATTATAGTTACTCAGAGCTTCAACTGCCTTTCCCAGCATAATTTATAGTTTTATTTGTAACTTTACTCCTCCACCAAGGATTTCTTCTCCCTCAGAGAGTCCCAAAATCCTTCATAGATCACTCATATTTTCCTATAAGCCATGTGCTTTCATTAGTTCTGCCCACCTCTGTGCAGAATCAGGACTATAATGACCAAGTCAAAGGCCCAAGTGGTCCTAAAATGGCCATCAGTTAATCCCACTTGGTAACGTACTTTTGCTTTTCAACAACAACCTAATGCACAGTTGTACATTTCTGTCTCATTTCTACTGGCTTTTTTTTTTTTCCTGAAGAGAAGCAAGGCACCTGTGCTTATTATGTATGTGATGGTCAGTTCCAAAATAAAAGCCATTATGTTCAACAATTACGTGAGGAGGGGCTAAGATAATTTATGATTTCACTTGTATTCATTCCCTGTTCATGAAAATTTACATTTATCAAATGCATATAACTTAGCCCACTGTATTAGTTTCCTATTATAGCGAGGGCCAAGGTATAGTATATAGTGTGCTAAGATATATGCTGTAACAAATTACCATAGATTTAGTTTTTTTTTTTTTTTTTTTTTTTTGAGGCAGAGCCACGCTCTGTCACCCAGACTGGAGTGCGCCATCTTGGTTCACTGCAACCTCCACCTCCCAGGTTCAAGCAATTCTCCTGGCTCAGCCTCCCGTGTAGCTGGGACTACAGGTGTGCACCACCATGCTTGGCTAATTTTTTGTATTTTTAGTGGAGACGGGGTTTCACCATGTTGGCCAGGCTAGTCTCAAACTCCTGACCTCAAGTGATCCACCCACCTCGGTCTCCCAAAGTGCTGGGATTACAGGTGTGAGCCACTGCACCCGGCCAGATTTAGTTTCTTAAAGTAATACAAATTTCTTCTCTTACAGTTCTGGTGGTAAAAGTATGAGATATGTCTCATTGGGCTGTAATCAAAGTCTTAGCAGGGCTTCTTTTTTTTTTTCAGGATGTTCTAGGGAAGAATCTATTTTTCTTTATTTTTTCTTTATTATTATTATTATTATTATTATTATTATTATTGAGACCAAGTATCACTCTGTAACCCAGCTGGAGTGCAGTGGTACAATCACAGTTCACTGTAACTTTAACCTCCCAGGCTCAAGTGATCCACCCGCCTCAGCCTCCTGAGTAGTTGGGACAACAGGTATAAGCCACCATGCTCAGCTGATTTTTAATTTTTTTTTGTATAGATGAGGTCTCACTCTATTGCCCAGGCTGGTCTCAAACTCCTGGGCTCAAGCGAGTCTTCTGCCTCAGCCTCCCAAAATACTGGGATTACAGTGTGAGCCACTGTGCCTGGCCAAGAATGCATTTTCTTGCCTTTTCCAGCTTCTAGAGGCTGCTTGCATCCCTTGGCTCATGGCTCCCTCCCGAAGCCAACATTGGGGGTTTCAGTTTTTCTCCCATGGCATCATTTTAATATTGACTTTTCTGCCTCTATCTTCCATATTTAGAGACACCTGTGACTACATTGATTCCACATGAATAAACCATGATACTCTCTGTTTTAAGGTCAACTAACTAGCAATCTTAATTTCATCCATTACCTTAATTCCCCTTTGCCTTGTAACTTAACATACACATAAATTTTGAAGATTGAGGCCTGGATGTGTTTGAAGGTGATTCTTCTTCTTATATCCATTTATAGCAAAAAAAAAAAAATTCAGAAAACAGGGTGCGGGTAACATTAAATAATGTTGATAGTTGAGATTTTGGTTGAATGACAATGTGCCACATCCAAGGTAGAAGTGATTTGGAGTCTACATGCATTTTGTTTTTCAGACAGATTTCTGCTATGGTCTCTCTGACTGACGCTTACATTTTAGAATTCAGATCTCTAATAAAATGTGATTGTGGAAATAAGAATAATTTTTTTTTTGTCTTCACAAGTCATTTATGTCCTTTACCTCCTCACTCCTGGTACAAAGTGGTTCTTTTAATATAGTGATATATTAAAGTTATTCTCTGAGTCACAGATGAGTGATACATTCAGGAAAATATGACTAATTTGCCTGTTAGCGACAGCCTTTCAGAGCAGTTTTTCCCAACTATTTCAAACACAAATATGTTTTTATAGTATCAATATAATCTTACACCATGCTTGTTGTGGTACTTTCAGCATCTGTTGATTGAGAAATACACCATGACAAAAACTACAGTGATTTTAGTAATGCTTTTAAGTAAGTATGTACACTATTTATCATGGCATTTATGTGTTTCAGACAATGAGATATATAAGTGCATGATGTAATATTACATATTTATTTTACATCCATGACTTACATGCAAAAATATTCACCTTCACTTTGTAATCACTCTGCACTTCAGAAATCCATGGTATACCAGATTATAAACTACTTCCTAAAAGTCAAAACCACTCAATTCTATCTCTCCAATCCTCATCAATGATTATGTTTTTGTTCAAAAATGCCACTGTCTTATTTCTGACATGTAAATAGAAGAAGCAAGATCTTAAACTTACATGGAAAAAGTGTTGAAACTTCTAAAGAAGTATGCAAGTAAATTGATTTTTCATTCTTATCTCTAGTAGTTGTCTTGCATAAAAAAGATATAATTTTAAACTAATATACAAAATTAAATAAGATATTCTCATTAAATTATACTTAATAGTTTAGCCCACAGCTCTCAGAACAAATCCTTAAAAACTGTTGAGCCAAATGCATATTCAAATTTTACACCTGATTGAAGCCTTCAAGAAACAGGATGCCTACTTTTGATAAACCCAACTTCCATGAAAGCGGGAGTATTTTGTAGGCATTTATAATAATATTAAACTCTCCAGCAGAAACCTGAAACATATTATTGTTTCATTGAGT
Organism: Homo sapiens; assembly: GCF_000001405.40. Lineage (NCBI taxonomy): Eukaryota > Metazoa > Chordata > Mammalia > Primates > Hominidae > Homo > Homo sapiens. The sequence continues at coordinate 192,132,963 of NC_000001.11, read as the reverse complement.
TCTCTATATTGGAGAGATTGCTTTGGTTTATGGGATCATAATTAGAAAGTAACTTTTAAAAATGATGCATTTGATTAGGTTCATAAATTCCTAATTATCAATGGACAAATAGTGCATTTTCATAGGCTTCTCATTTAATTTTTCTTTTTCTCTGCTTTTCATTTTCTGGTAAAATTACTATTTACTAGAATATTTATTAGAAAAAATACAGAGAGTTAAAATTTTAAATAATCATCATAATACAAATATTTCTTGTTTGCTTATTGAGATTTACTTAGAAGAATGTAGAGAGTAAATAATGTAACTAAAATAATTGCATAAAAGAGATTGTTAAAAATTTAGATTAGTAGAAAGTAAAGGTCAATGTTAAATTATATGATTTGGCTAGAAAAATAAATCACTTCAACTTGTTCCATTCATTTTTTTTTTAAATACTGCCTTTAGAAGTATTATCTTTCCATTGAGATTTGGCCTGAAGTTCCTAGATATGTAAATGGTTCCCCAAGTTTACTTAGATGATGCATTTAAAGTTGTTTTTACTAAAATATATCTTGGAAGTAGACTGTAGGCTTTTTTGATCAGGTGACAGTGGTATTATTTTATTTTGAAATAACCATCTGGATTTAAGATTATTGTGGGCCTACTAATGCAGATATCATGTTAAAAATTTATAACTTTATAATAGTTAAAATTTCCTGAAATCTGATGGAGAAAGACAATTATATAAGAGAAAGCTACTGGCATATTTCCATTGCTAGGGGCTAAAGGCACAGAACATTTACAGATTAAATAGTGCATAAATTTTAGTTTATGTGCCTATTATAGCCACTGTCGACAGGAAACAGGATGCACGCAGTGTGAAACATGGCTTGCAGTGCCACTGGAGGCTTGTTCTCTGAAATTCACCGAGTATACTGCCATTAACAGCATGTGTACTAGCAGCCTCACATTTTGGGTTTATTTACAAAGCTAAACAATGTATTGAAAGTTGATTATCGATCATAAATATTTTCATAAACAGTCATTGAATTTTTTTCTCAAGAGAGTATTAATCACTAAAAACCAGTAACAGGTAAACAGAGCATCTTATTTTTCAGACCGTCAAGTAAACTTTCTAAGTAAATTTCTGGTACAGCAGGAAATCTACACTAGTTACTTAAAAGTCATGTGATTTTTTAGGAATGCTGTGATGAAAGTATTTTATTACCAGTGCTTTTATAAATATCATGTGATTTGAGAGTGAATTTTAGTTTCTTCCTTTGAAAACTATGTAGAGACACAGAACAGAGTTTAGCCCAGATTAAATACCAAAATGCTAAAAAATTGTGTGTTCTACTGGTTAGATGTTATTGTTTAATATTTAACTCGAGAGAAGCAATGATAGGTAGCTTTGAAGAGCATAGATTTGAGCCTCAGCCTGTCTTGTGCTCATCAATTGCTAGTTAAGTGAACTGCAGGCCAGTTAGCTTCACTATGCTTCAGTTTCTTAATTTTTTTTTTTTACATGATGATACTAATAGTACTTACCTCAAAAAGTTGTCATGAGGATGGAATACAGGTATAGCACTTAAAACACTGCCTGACATCTTATAACTGCTTTTTGAAAAAAAGTATTAACCCGTTTATTATTTTCAGTGTCTAGTACATGACAGGTAATGTGCTACCCTGGAGTCCCAAAGCCAAAGTGTTCTGGCTCCTTTTCTCAAAGAACTTACAACGCAGTCTAAAAGAAATACCATTTGACACAGCCATCCCATTAATGGGTATATACCCAAAGGATTATAAATCATGCTGCTATAAAGACACATTCACACGTATGTTTACTGCCGCACTATTCACAATAGCAACGACTTGGAACCAACCCAAAAGTCCATCATTAATCAGACTGGATTAAGAAAATGTGGCACATATACACCATGGAATACTATGCAGCCATAAAAAAGGATGAGTTCATGTCCTTTGTAGGGACATAGATGAAGCTGGAAACCATCATTCTCAGCAAACTATCCCAAGGACAAAAAACCGAACACCACATGTTCTCACTCATAGATGGGAATTGAACAATGAGAACACTTGGACACAGGGTGGGAAACTTCACACACCGGGGCCTGTCATCGGGTAAGGAGAGCGGGGAGGGATAACATTAGGAGATATACCTAATGTAAATGACAAGTTAATGGGTGCAGCAAACCAACATGGCACATGTATACATGTGTAACAGACCTGCACGTTGTGTACATGTACCCTAGAACTTAAAAATATAATAAAAAAAAGAAAAAAAGAGAAAAGAATGCATCTTAATAGATCATCTCAATATAATGTGTTAAGGGTTCTAACATGAAATTTGTGCTGGTTGCCATGGGAGAAGCTTGGTTCTGTTTTAGGTATAAGAGAAAGCTTTCTGGAACATAATATCTGAGCTGCTTTTTTGAAGATAAGAAGTTATCTGAGTGAAGAAGCAGAGGAAGAGCATCTCAGTCAGAAAACAGCACGATAGAAGACACAGAGGCATGTAATAATCTGATGTATGCAAGGAACTTCAAGCAATTCCACATCAGAGAGATTAATCACAGAGGCCTACACCTGGGTATGACAGCACCCTCCTACCCCCCACCCTGCCTCCTCCTCTGTTTGGTATAACTCAAATGCTTTTATATTGGACATGGATGCTCCAACTCAACAGGGTGTTTACTGCTCATTTAAGGTTAAGTAAACCCAGGAACAAAGAGTTAGGAACAGGTACTTTTTGTGAGAGATGGTCCAGAAAACAAGAGTAAAAAAACACTGTAAAAGAAACAGTAAGGAGGAAAAGGAGACAACGTATGTGTTAATAAACGGGTGGCTATTTTTGGCATCGAGGTGCAGGTCTGTTGGGGCCTTATGAGGAACTATGTAGGACATACTTCCAAATTGTTCCCCAGAAAGATGGAGAGGCTAGGCTATTGAACAACTTCCACTCTCCCACCTCATTCCCCTGACAGACACACCATTGGTTGGATGTTGTGCCTTGAAGCAGTTACTCCTCTGAACTTCAGTTGCACCTGGTCTTAGCCAGCAAGCTTTCATGGGACTGGAATTTGCTCTCGTGAAGACGAGAAGAGAGATGCAGCATTTAGAGTGGAATGTTATCAGCATGGCCACAACTGTTTTCTACAGCTGAAGATGAATTCAGAGGTGGACTTAGGAGTTAAGGTTGTAAGGACCAACTGTGGGCACACATTTCAGTGAACTCTCAGTCTTCTAAATACCTTGATTCTGTGGACCCTGGAATAAGGAAGGAGGCAGGAGCTGACTGGAGAACCGAGATACAGGTGGATAAGTAAGGAGAGAAGAGATCATTGAGTATTTCACAGATCATGCAATACTTGCAATTTATCTTGTATCCTGAAGAAAGATTTTTAAAATGATTTCAACTGAATGCAAAATGTTTCGATTTGCATTTTGGATCATTTTCTTAGGTTGTAAACATCATCCTTAACTAGAAAATCATATAAATTTAGTTATTTGGTTGAATATGATATAAAAATGGGTCTTGGCCCACATATGAATATCTAGATTTAGCAAAAGAAAAAATATTTGAATTCTGTATTATAATTTCTATAGAACTAAACTTACTTTTTAACATATTTTAAATGAGTTTAAAGACTAAGTAAACCATAGTGTTTTTAAAAGCATAGAGTAACATTTACATATTATAGAATTTCATCAGTCTCAATCATAATGTCATATACTGAATAAAAATGCAAAGATGCACTGCCTATATTAACGAATGAGTGCATTTAGAGCCACGTGTTATGCATAATACCTGATGAATGCAAGCAATTTACCTTTTTAATTTTTACTATAACCATATGCTATTTTGCGTACAAGCAATAGGATAAGATAGCTTTATAACATGAATTCTAGGTGTATTCCACTTACTCTGCAGTCTGTGGAGACACTCCAGAGAAATGACTGAGAGATAAAACATAAATTACTTATTTCTATACAATCTGGCTTCAGTTATAGGATTTAATATTGATTTTATGCCAACAATATTGTAGGTTAAATGAAGGAGTAATTGCTTTAAAAATGATTTTTAAACAAAGGAATAGTCATTCATAACCAGTGTGACCAAGTTACTTGAAGTCAGTATTTTGAATTTCTGTTGACAATCCTTTTAATAACCCTGCTGTTTTCTATGTTATAAAACTTCTGTGTACTGCTTTTTAATCTTAAATGCAAATGCTTTGACAGGGGAAGAGATTGCTCTGTGCCTTTCTCATTGACATTATTTAATATGCACATTAACCACATTAAATAATTTCTTAAGGTGGAGATAGTTTAAATTGGGGAATTCATATATAAATCAATCAGAATAAGCCTGAACATATTTACTAAAATATATTCAGTTATATCAGACCAGTTATATATTTGTTTACATTATATTTAAAATTTAAAATAGTTGTTGTTGAATTCTTAGCAAAAAATGTTATTTCTCTTAAATGTTCATGAATGTATCATGTACATATATGTCTTGGAGTGTGCATTAATGTGTGTGTTATATGTGTATCTATAGAGAGATATGCACTATTATTATTTTGGAAGATAATTTACTTTTTGAGTATTTTTTATGGTATTTAAAAAATTCTAAGAAGATATTATTTTCATTGACTAATTGTTGAGAGCCATCTAAATACTAGACTTTGACTAGGAAATAAATACACTTCCTAAATTTCCATATGGTGGAGAAGGATGTAGCTCTCTGCGTCTCCAACTTGTTAGTGGCACTGCATGTTGCTAAGATGTAAAACGGAGAGCTACCAAAATGGGAGACAGGTAGCTTCTCATGGTCTTCAGTGTAGTGTCTACCAAAACAATACGTGCTTCTTTATAAAAAGTACTCTTTCAGACACTTCAGGAAAATTAACACATAAGCAAAGTTCAACTATAGGTTCTCTCGGCCTTTGCTACATAAACATTACACAAACACAAATGCACAGTGCAATGGCAGTGGGTTGCATGACATTACAAATCAATCTCGCTAAGCTATAGCACTTCTCAGGCATATAATTTATTATTTCAACTGGGCTGTTCTGATGGCAAAGTATACAGACCCGTCTTAAATTGTTCAAGTAATTTTTCAACAATATCATTGCTTATCCTTTTTTTTCATTGTTGGATGAATGAAAATTTCATATGGAACAGAATTGTTCTGTAATACTTCTCTTAGTGTTTACATGCTTAGATTCAGAGAGAAAAACTACTGCTCAACCAGTGATTCTTTACCACTGTCATTTTCTCTGATTCATTCAGGCTATCTCACTCATTTTTATAAGAGACTCTACTGCTTTTGGTCTAATATTCTAATGAAGGTAATTTGTACTTTTAGGAGAGTTTGGGACCCCATAAAGATTGACTCGTGTGAAACATGTGTCTGCTTTCACTCAGACCAATGTTTATACAGCTTGCTTTGATTTACTTACCTTTCTACAGTAAAACCATCCATGTCCCTCAGAAAAGTCAATTTCTTCATTAAATGTTCAAGATGTATCTCACCAACTAACTTGTTGTATGACATAAACTCTATTTATAAATGCATTTTTATCAATATTTTTTTGTCCAGGATTCCTGACACTAAGATTATTCTTTTCTCAGAGCAGGGCACTGTCACATTACCTGCAAGCCATGGCCTATCGAAATGGAAGTACAGAAGGGAATGTCTGGGACAGTTAATAAAGGAAAACAGGGACTCTTTTTAGCATATTAACATACCAAAGTTAATGTTGAGTGGTAGACAATCTTAGTTATAATGAGATATGTTTGCCTTGCAGTAACTGGATTTTAAGTTTGGACTGGGAAGATATATATATATATTTCTCTTCCCACCTTAACTGACCTAGGCCAGAGTATGAGAAAAAGTCAGATCCTGGGGGAGATTGGAGGTGTTCAGAGATGAAAAGTACATTGAGAGGAGCACAGAGGAGGAAGAGTGGGACTCTGGGTTCACTTTTATGCCAGTTTAGTAGACTGACATAAAGGATAGGCAAATATTTATACATGTGACAATATGTATATATTATTTTACCAAATAAAAATAAAGATCAAGGTGAGAGATAGCATCTGTTGTGCATATTCACATGCCACCTATTTTGCATATATTTTTATGCAATCTTCAAGCAACATTGAAAGAAAAGTGCTACAACCAGCCCCAGCTTGCAAATGAAGAATATGTTGCTGGGAGAGGTTATATAACCTGCTCTAAGTCGGCAAATAAGTAAAGCAGTAAGGATTCCCACACTGGTCTCTCCACTAATTGCTTGAATTCAAATCTTTCAAAAACAATTTTTTGGGGGAGATAAACTTATACAAAGTTTCTTATGTTATAAAGTGTATTTTCCTAAAGGCAATAATTTTAATTTTCTTTCTTTTCCCCAAATCCCACACCATTCAGTTCTATTTCATTTGTACCAATGAAATTACCAATATGATTTTGCTAAGCTAGCATATTTAAATGCAAGTTAAATGACTTCGAATTAAAAGATATTCATAAACATTTCCTGAGGTATTTTAAAATTGCATAAACTTTCAGTTCTTTACGGATTTGTGAGAGGGTATCATATTTACTAAGCTAGGTTCTGTTCTTATTAGCAAAACAAAGTCTTTTCTCTCTCACTTGCTTTTTATATTAAAAAAGAAAATGCTGTACTTAAAGACTACCATTGTTAGCCCACATCCTGTCTTTCCAAAGCCTTTGTAAAAAATGCTGAAGCAGCAGAAATAAATACCTGGGTAAATCTTGTATGCAATGAATAAGTGTAAAACTGTTCAATTGCTTCTTACTCCTCTCATAAGATCCTAGAGCTACCTGTAATAGCCAGTTTTTGATGCTCACAAACCCTGACATAGACAAAGTCTACTCAAATAATAATATACTGAAATAATCCAATTTTAGAAATTCTAGTTTATTTCCTGATTATGCTAACTTTAATCCTTCAAAAAATGGTCTTTTTATATCAGGGAATTATTGAACCAATCTTCAGAACACCTTGGAATTTAATCATAAATGTAAGCACAAGTTTGATATCCTGCTGTATACAAATCTTAAAGAATAATATTTACTTTACTAAGCATGTAACTTTTTAAAAACTAAATTTCTCACTATCTTTCAAAGAAATATTTGCTATAGCCAATACCCAGATAGGCACGTGGCTCTATTTCTAACACCTATATATTTGACATCAAATTAATTAATCTTTCAGTTTGACAGTGTGACCTTTCTTATCTCATCCTAGAACAATGTTGATCACAAGTTATATCATACTATAAGCAAGATCAGAAATATAATTTGTGGAGCCCAGTGCAAAATAAAAAGGCAGAACTTCTTGTTAAAAAATTATTAAAAATTTCAAGATGATGACATCAGAGTATTAAACCAAATGCTGGTATTTCTAAGCACTGGGCTCTCTACAACTGTATAAGCCCCTTGGAAGCCAGCTCTGCCTATAAAATTTCAGCTACTTGCTTTGTTATCATGTTAATTTTTGCTAATAATCTCTATTCCAGGTATTCTATAAAAAAGCTGCTTATAATAATATGTGCGTGTGTATTCGATTTTAAGAGCACCCCTGAAGTATACTCATGGTAAGTAAACTTTCTATTAGAGTTGGTAGTATAAAGAACCAAAGCAAATATTATGATCTATCAAACTTATTTTGAGCCTTAACAAGTAAAAAGATGACTGGATGCTGAATGTCTTTAGGAAAATGTCGTTTTTGTCATCACTATACTAGTGAATGTCTCTAGCATTCTCTACAAAATGAAGATGTCATTTTCTCAGATTTCAGGCTGACCATCGGGATGTTATTTTCTATTAGAGTATCCCTGACACATACTATAAGGATTATGACTCCTGATATTGATTTGCTCTTCTCATCTAGTGTGTCTCAATGTATATTTTTCATATGTGAGGATACATAGGAATCATTTTAATGATTTATTCCAGACTAGCAATTGTTGAAGTGTGATTCATTTTTCTTTTTTTTCTTTTCTTTTTCTTTTTTTTTTTTTTTTTTTTTGAGACAGCGTCTTGCTGTGTCTCCCAAGCTGGAGTGAAGTGGCATCATCATGGCTCACTGCAGCCTTGACCTCCTGGGCTCAAGCAATCTTCTCACCTCAGTGTCCTGAGTATCTGGGACCACAGACATGCACCACCAGGCCCAGCTGATTTTTAAAATATTTCTCTAGTGATGAGGCTTCACTGTGTTGCCCAGCCTGGTCTTGAACTCCTGGTCTCAAGTGGTCCTACCACCTTGGCCTCCCTAAGTACTGAGATTACAGGAATAAACCACCACACTCAGCCTGAGTACTTCTTATTACATAATTAGTATATTTAGTTTGAAGGAAAATAGAAAATTCAAGCATAAAAAAGATTAAATTGCCCCTCTGACTTACCAGGTTTGGTTTTGTTTTGTTTTGTTTGAGATGGAGTCTCGCTCTGTCACCCAAGCTGGAGTGCAGTGGCGCCATCTTGGCTCACTGCAAGCTCCCTCTCCTGGTTTCATGCCATTCTCCTGCCTCAGCCTCCCTAGTAGCTGGGACTACAGGCTCCCACCACCAAACCCGGCTAATTTTTTGTATTTTTAGTAGAGACGGGGTTTCACCGTGTTAGCCAGGATGGTCTTTATCTCGTAACCTCGTGATCCACCCGCCTCGGCCTCCCAAAGTGCTGGGATTACAGGCGTGAGCCACCGCGCCCGGCCGACTTATCAGGTTTTAATATTGGGATATGCTCCTCTATTTTTTCCCTGGTATTTAAAAAAAGGAGAGAATACTATATGTATTTCTTTAAACTTTTTCTATTAACAATATATCAGGGACATCTTTGTAAATCAATAAATGTAGTTTTATATCATTTTTAATACTTGCATTTCATTCCATTATTTGGTAGCAGTGGAATTTACACAGCTCAATTTCTGTTGCTAGAGAGTTGGGACCTTGGCTACCAACATTTTCCCGTCCTTTTTTCTCAAACTGTCTCTCTGACCGAAGTACTCTTATATCTTATCTTTCAGCTGCAGCCTTCCCTTTTCAATCATCACTTTATTTGTAAGAAAGCCATTGCACAGTTTTAAAAGTTCGTTTCTTATATAATGCTGTTTCTCTCTCAGTTACTTCTTGGGTACATTTCACTCAACTGGCCTCCTGCCCCTCTTCACCGACTGTGGGTGGCAGTTTCCAATCTGATGTATACTGACTTCAAAAAAGGGACCTTGTTCCCTAAGGGGTCACCTTGCTACACAGAATATTAGTATTTTTAGGAAAATATAAATCCCTGATGATTTTTAAAAATTTGGTGTCATCTACCCTTTTTGCCTCTGGCCCATGATTAGCCATCATTATACACTCTCTTACCCATGGATTTCTACATAGGTTGGCAATGTAGAAGAGTTAAATTCACATTGATGCTTGCAATTAGGAGAATCTCCTTCTGTGCTTTTAGATTTGGAGCTTGTACTTGAAACCGCTATTTGCTTTCTTTGTCCACAACTTCTGAATTTGTCCAGCCCATCTTTCTCAATCAGCCACTACAAAAGTATCTCTTTGTGACTCTGAGTCAGCTGCTTGAGGTGATATCTACCTCTTTCTCTTCAGTGCCCTAGTTACCCATAAAGTGACTTTCATGTATGCTACATGGCCTGTATTCCAACATACCCTCCACGTTTGATGAAAATCCATCTTCAGTGTTGTATTTGTGTGGCAGGGGTCTATCAACTTCGTATCACTTTGAGGTATTTCTCATGTCTCTGCAAAATAAATTTTGTCTGTGCTACATAAATTATACTCTTCAAAATATACTCACATTTGATGAAAATCCAAATGGAATTTTATGTGATATGAGTACAAATTTCTATGTTGGTAAGTATATTTTTCATTAAGTGAATACCTTCCATGCAATAATTTAATTTTTAAATTTTCTTGACATTATTAAGAATTTTATCATAAAGGATGTATCAATTTTGGTATGTGTAAGAAAGCTGTGACTCCTCTTATTCACCTTTTCCATTCAAATACACTTAATAATTAATTAATTCTACCACTTAATTGTAAATTAATTAATTGATTAATTATTAATTATTAACCATTTCTACAAGGTAACTTTTCTACAGATATATTAATAAGCCATATGATAATGCATTTGTTTAATAGGGATTTATTTAGTTTCCTCTTATAAGGCACCATTTTTGGCTCTTGGTATGCAGCAGTGGAAAAAAATGACAGAAAAAACTCTCCTTATTTTATAGGAGGCAAATGGAAAATAAACATATAAATAAATACTTTTAGATCACAAAAACTGTTGTTAATAAATGTAATCAGGCAAATGAGTCACTTTACCTCAGTCTGGCACGGAATGCCTTTCTTAGGAGGTGATGTCTGTGCTGAAAGAAAAACAGCCATGCACATATCTGGAAAAAAGCAAGGAGAATATCAAGTGCAAAGGCCCAGAGAGCACATAGGATCATCAGTAATGTGACAATTGGGAGGCAGTAATGCAATGTTTTAACAATCACTGAACAAAGACTTGAGAAACAAACTCATGCTAAGAATCAAGATAGGGATGTGGATGACTGGATGAGGTCAAGTAAAAAAAAAACACAGATTTTTCGAGTTGATGAGGCTAAGAAACTGAGAAGCCAGGATGTTAAGTAAATTGTCTTCACTGATAATGAAGACTCCAAGAATAATGACAAAAATATTGGTAGAGAAGTGCATCAGAATTAGATTTGGCTGCTAAACCAGAGACCTGAAGGCTTCCACTTATATATTTCACCTGCAGAATATAGTAAGGTTGCTGCAATATAGAATACAACCAAATATCTTACTAAAAGTGAGGGGAGAACAGATGTTAGGGAGGTAAGGGTAAGTCCTTGCCTCATTGTCTTTACTATAAAGTATGAAACTTCAAAAAAGCCTTCTACACATTCATCAATAAGTTTGATGAAAAAATTTAAAGTACTAATTTGTGTCTTGATATTGTTTTATCTCTACTTCAAAGTTAAATCCTGAACCATGGGTGATCTATACCTATTTATAAATAAAAGGATCAATGAAAAATGGTAGAATGATCATTACTTATCAAACTTAAGAAATCTCTACTTCAAATTTCTAGTACTCTGAAAATTCACGACAGTATTCTTATACCATCGTCATACACAGCAATTGCTCAATGCAGTAGACAGAACATAGACAAGCTAGATTAAATGCTAACTCTACTACTAATAACCAGTATGATGGAAGAGAAGTTATTTAATGTAAAAAAAAACTTGAGTTTTCTTCTCCTGTATAATCATGACCTGTGCGAAACACCTAGAAAAATTTAATGGAAGGTAAACAAAAACTCTAAAATACTGCCTTCTCATATCACTGGTTTGGAAGCTATGTTATCTATATTTGAAAGACATAGGTCCTTTAAGTTAATCGTATCTACACATTTTCTAATTGTAGGCTATGTAGGAGTCATTGACTAAACGACAAATATTCTCACAAATATGTTAGGATTGCAATTTATGACCTACTATTGTTTGGTGTAGCCATGAGAGTAGTTTGAGCCAATAGGTTGTGAGCAGAAGTCAGTTCTGGGCTAGACATTGAGTGTGAGGGCAAAAAACTTGCAAGTTCTCATGTTTCTTTTTATAATGCGTGGTAGGCAGAAATCTACAATCCATTACCCTAAGATTCCTGCTGCTTGCATAATTCCCATAGATCTTCCCCTCCCTGTGATGTAGACAAGATCTGTGAACATGGTGGCTTATCATTCCTGTGGTAGATTATATTATATGGCAAAGTTGATGGGATTTTGTAAATGTAATTAAGGTCTCTAATCAGTTGACTTTGTATTAACCAAAATTATTCTAGGTGAGCTTGACCTACTCAAGTTATCCCTTAAAAGACATATTCTCCTGCTGGCCTTACCTTAATGAAGTGAGCTATAATTTTGTCCATGAGAGAGACATGTGATAAAAACTGTGAGTGACACTTAGGACCTAAAAGCATCCTCTGTCTAGCAGTCAACAATCAAAATGGGGCCTCAGTCCTCGATCCATAAGGAATTGAATTCTTCCAACAACGATATGAGTTTGAAAGAGGCCCGTGACTCCATAAGGAATGCAGATCAGCTGACACCATGACTGATATCTTGTGAGACCCTGAGCAAAGAATGCAGTTAGACTGTGCTCAGTTCTTGACCCACAAAAACTCTGAAGCAACAGAAGTATATTGTTTTAAGTCACTGAGTTTGTGGTAGTATTTTACAAAGCATCAGAAAACTAATAAATAATCATCAGTAAACTAATAAATAAAGTATCAGTAAACTAATAAATAAGGTGAACAGCAATATTTAAGATTGTCTGCTCTGGCAGACAAATTTCCTCAATGAAGATTATGTGTACAACACTCTTGCCAAACCACAGTGTACTTATAAGAAGGGAAAAAAGACCAAACCATTCTTTTAAAATATTGAGATTTAGAATTTTTATCTTTTTCTTTTTTTCATCTATAGCCTAAAGTAGCCTATTCTAACTGATACAAATTTGGCACCACAAGCAAGAGACTATAATAACAAAATAACGTATTTTACATTGCTTCAAGTGATTTGCTTAGGTGGTGAGAAAGCTGTTGTTAGTAACTAGAAAGACATTTATTTATGTTGTGTAGTGGAGAAACACATGCTAAAACTGTCAAATGTGATAATTTGCAATGTAGATAATTTATCTTCTGACCCTGCAACTATAGGAAAAGTATTTGAGAAATAGAATGTTAGAAATGTATGTTGGTTACTGTTGGCTGCATTTGAGTAGATAACACAAGAAAGAGATGGATTCAGAAAATAATTGGGCTTGTTTGTAAGCAGGAGTGAAAGTCTAGAGAGAGTCCAACAATGTGAGAAGTCATAGGATTGGAAAAGGCAGTTACTTGTCAACGCTGACCAGTACAAATTAATATAGAGAAATTCTCTGAATAAAAAAGGTCAATTACAACAGCTATGCAGCAAGAATGCAATTAAGGGTTTTGCGATCACATTCACTGTTGTAATCTCTTTGTGGATTAAGATGATGGGAAGTATATCCATTTGAATGGACAAATGCCTTAGCAAAAAAGACTAAGGGTATGACTTTCTCACTAAGCCCAAAAAAGTCTCAAAGTACCTATAGTTAAATTGAGAGAGAGGCATATTTTGAAATTGAGTCTGACTGTAGCTCATGGCACATGGAACTGGCTGTCATCAAGTAGATCTGAAGCTAACTTATTGAGAGTGTTACACTATCAAAGAAACTCTGATCCTAGGCTAAAAACATTTGTGACTATTTAAAACTTAACTCTTGTGTCCTCAACTTTCTACAGAAGCAGGTTAAGAAAGCTGATTAGCCCCTAAAGAAGTCAGACTTCTCAATGCCCATTTCAGATGTAGTGAGATAACAAAAGAGGAAAGATATCTTTGGAGGCAGAGCCAAAGATCAAAGAGACCAAAGACCGGAACTTCCCAAGACTAGAACCAAGCCTAATTGAGAGAAATTGACCACAACAAATAAAGGGTCTTCTCATGAATTTTGCCCTCTGAATTTCAGAATTGATGTAGACTAATAACATCTGTGTATTTCCTTTCTTCCCATTTGTGAATGGGAGGCTTATTTTTGTCAATCATTGCATATTTATTTGAGGGAAGGACATAAAGTTTTGTAATGTATGTCTGGCTCAAGGTTCAGGGGTCATATCTCGACCCAAGCAAGTGACTACTGCTAATTGGAAACATGGACTTTGAGGTTTGAAATTAACTTTATGAGACTTATCTTCCTTTGAGAGAGAGTAGGTATATTTTGCCTTGGAAGGGGAAATGAGTCAAACAGATGGCCAGACAATCGACTGTCCAGCAAGTAATACTGTTCACAAAATATTTCTGTCTCTGTACTCCAGGCTTACAGCAGGATTATGTTTTATAGGTCAATGTTGTTGGGTATAATCATGTGACCTTTTATGTCCAGTGCCCTGTGGGCAGAAGTGGCATATCACTCTGTGGATGAGCAGTTGATTCACAGTGTAACAAACTTCAGAACTCATTGTATCTTACTAGATTTAGATAGAAATATAGCACATTGCTATTATTAATAATGACTGGAAACCTCCAAAAGAAAAAATAATAAATAACTCCGAAAATGATATATCATGTATGATGGAGCTATGGGGTTAGAGATAAGAAGAGAGATTGGGAGCCATAAGGAAGAAGAAAGACAATTAAACAGAAAATTAAAAAAAAAAACAATATAATGCATCTGGGGAAGAGGGAGGTTAGGTGAGCAGTGGTGCGGCATTGTTCCCAGACAGAAAGAGCAATTGTGATGAGGTGGCCCTATTGGTACAGGGCCTGAGTGGACTGCAATGATCTGAGCCTTATGTCATTCCCCTTACTACACATGTAGTGCAAACTAACACTGCAGTATTTTGGATTTAAGTCACTGAGGTTTGGGAGTTACTTGTTACTACAATATAATCTTACCCATTCTTACTAACACAAAAATAAAGTCTTAATTACTGCCCCAAACATAGCTTGTAAGAAAATATATCATCAGATAACCTAATATGGTGTTTAGAATCCTTCAAAAGTTGATGTTTGGAATGGAATTTTGACAACTAATTTTAAACTTCTTTTTACAAGAAATTATGATTATTATCCTGTTGAAAGTTCTACAATGAAATAGTTATTAAACATTATTACATTTAAATGAGAGGGGATTGATATTGCCAGAAGTAACATAGAAGCTGCTTGTTTGATGTGACTCTATTCATATTATTAAGAAAGATTTATTTAAAATTTCATTTTAACTTTGATGTAAGTTGAAGTACTGAAAGTTAAATTTACATGCTTTGAATTAATTTACCTGTGAATTAAGTCTAGTACTCATAGGAAATGTTTCAGCAATTTATTCAAAATCACATGAATATTCATTTTAAGTTTAATTCTACTAAAATCCTTAATTATGCCAACACTTTTATGATGATATGATTGTGATGAAGAACCAACATAGCATCATTTTATTTGTCACCAGAGAAAAGCTATGTTTGTCTCATCAACAAGTTTCAGGGCAAAATTTTTTTTTGAAAGTTTAAGTAAAGGAAATATTATGTGGAGTTGAAATTAAGCATTTTTGCAAAGCATAGCATCACTTTCAGTTAAATCTTTATAAATATTTTGTTGTAGTGCCTTGACTTTTCTTAAGTGTAGTATGTTTTAAAACCATAACATTTATTATATTGCAACTTAGAAGTGATGTGGTTCTCTGAGGAATGAACCATATGCTAGGCCTGTCAGTCATTTTCTGGCTTGGTGAGCTTGAGAAGGTAATTTGACCTCTTTTTCTTCTTTTAAATCTTTGTAAGTGGGAATAATAGCTTATGGGAATGTTACAAATCATAAACAATTTTTACCTACCTGTAGCATTTTATAAGGAAAAAAATAACAACTTAAATTAGAAGTTACGTTAATACAAAGAAATGGATTCAGCTATAGAGAATAGTAATGACTGGTTTTACAAGTAATGCAGAATCAGGTGAAGAAATAAATGTAGAGTGGCAGTATCAGAGGCAGATCGCCAGAATTGGGATACCTGCATTCTGAACGCCAGTTGCTCCTTCAGCTGCTGAGAGGAACACAGTGAGCTTCTCAGACACATTTGGCAGCATTTAAGTGGAGGGATACTAGAGGGGATTAAAAGCAAATAAACCCATTCTTACATTAGATATAATGGAGAAATATAGGTAGGAGTGACAGAATGGGAATTATGAAGGAAAAAAATAAAGCAGGGAAAGGGTGAGGAAGAGAATGCAATTGAGCAGGAGACAAGAGAAGTACCTCGTTAAATAATTTTGAAGACCTTTTGAGAAAAATTTATAGTGAGAACTTATGCTGCCAGATTGTTCTTTCTACTTTTTATTTCAGTTAGTGTAGAATCAATGACAATGTATTGTGTTTGAAATCACTGGAAACAAGGAGGTCTATGAGCACTTAAGGTCTACTGAAAAGATGAATCTGTTTTGGAAATTACATTAATAAAAAGGAGGACATGAATATTAAAACTATTTCATGGCATTTTGTCCCTAAAGTTGATGCTAAATGATGATTCTTACTGAATATGATCTATGGAGAGAAGGAAAGGTCATGGAATTGCTTCAAAGAATTCTGTGACTATTCATGATTTCGGTGAAAGTTAGAGACATATTTGGACAGGGAAACATGGTGATTAAATATAGTGACAAGGTAAAAATGGGAATAACCACCACAAAGGTGCTTTTTATTTAGGGAGAGAAACTATTGATGACATAGAAAATAACCAAAGATATATTATGGAAGTCTACACAAATTGAGTATAATGTGAAGTTGGGTAGAACATAATACTAAGAAAGGAGGATAAGAAATAAAAGTACTTTAGGTTTTACACTTAACGGAGGAATAATGGTGTGTAAACATTTCTGGCTGGAAGGAAGTTCTAATATCTATGCAAATCGTCAAAGACAATGCCATAAAACAGCGACAGGCATTGCTAAGAAAGTCAAGTGCCCAGAAATAAGTGCAATAAAAATCTTTAAGAGTAAATCTTACACAAATAAATGAGAAGAATAAGTTTAGTGTAAGAGAAGAGACTGAGAATGATCATAATACTAATATTTATAAATACTATACCTCCCATTTGTTGAGATGGATAGCTTAGTAGTCAGGAGAAGTTTCTCTGGAGTCATACTGCTTAGATTTGTACCTTGGCTCTACCACATACTATCTGTATTAGCCTATTTTCATACTAGTAGGAAGAAATTCTCAAGACTGGGTAATTTATAAAAACAAAGAGGTTTAATGGACTCACAGTTCCACGTGGCTGGGGAGGCATCACAATCATTGCAGAAGGTGAAGGAGGAACAAAGGCACATCTTACATGGTGGCAGGCAAGAGAGCATGTGCAAGGGAATGCCCTTTGTAAAACCATCAGATCTTGTGAGACTTATTCACTATCAAGAGAACAATATGGGAAAAACCCACCCCCATGATTCAATTACTGCCCAAGGCATCCCTCCCACAACACATGGGGATTATGGAAGCTACAATTCAAGATGAGATTTGAGTGGCAAACCATATCACTATCTGAGTATGACTCTTCCCAAATTGGTTAACACTCTCTGAGACTGTTTCCTCACCTAAAAATTGGGACACAAACATTACTTATCTATAAGATTGTTATGAGAATTAAAGTTACTCTATATGTATTTATCTTGGATTAAACATGTGCATAGCACTTAATCATCTGATATTCCCTTTATTTATATTATTTTAAAGTTGTATATTATCTATCTCCACTTGCTACAAAGTAAGCTAGATTGTGTCAGGAATATTATCTATCTTCTTTATCACTAAGTCCCTAGGAATTAGAATAGTCCTGGCTGACGACAGGTGCTCAATATATTTTTGAACAAATAAGTGAATGAAGGCTTACAGTATTGGTTACATTTGATTGGAGAACAGGGAAAAATTGAGATCAACTCACAGGAGAAAGAAACTCATGTTTTGGGCTGAGATAGGTTTAAAAGAGAGAAGGAAGATAAAAGCAAGGTAGCGAACATCACGGTAAAGGAGCATCAGAATAAGTTGTGAGACAAAATTCCTTCATTTCTACCTTAGAACCAACACCCTGAGGTACAGGGTGGCTGGAAAGATCCAAATAGGTGCGGGGGGATGTACAAAAACCAGTCTGTGAGCAGTTCCCACCTTTCTTCTCTTTCTCTTTTTCTCTCTCCTTCCTTCCTTCCTTGTTTTTCTTTCTTTCTTTGTTTCTTTGTTTCTTTCTTTCTTTCTCTTTCTTTCTTTCTTTTTCTTTCTTTCTCTTTCTTTCTTTCTTTTCTTTCTCTCTTTCTCTCTCTCTCTTTCTTTCTTTTTTTTTTTTTTTTCAGAGTCTCAATTTGTCACCCAGGCTGGAGTGCAGTGGCAAGATCACCGTTGACTGCAACCTCCGCCTCCCGGGTTCAAGCGATTCTCCTGCCTCAGTCTCCTGAGTAGCTGGGACTAGAGGCACATGCCACCATGCCTGGCTAATTTTTATATTTTTAGTAGGGACGGAGTTTCACTATGTTGGCCAGGCTGGTCTGGAGCTCCTGACCTTGTGATCTGCCCACCTCGGCCTCCCAAAGTGCTGGAATTACAGGCATGAGCCACTGCGCCCTGCTCCTTCCTTCCTTCGTTCCTTCCTTCCTCCCTCCCTCCCTCCCTCATTTTTTCTTTTCTCCTTCCCCACTCCCTCTCTTGTTTGCTTGCTTTCTTCTTTTCTTCTTTGTTTCTTAGAAAATTCTCATGTTAGGACGGTACTGGGTTCAAAATCACACAAGATTAATAGAATAGCAATTGCTGAGGAAGATAGTTGGGCGTAAGGACAACTTTACAGAATCCTTCACCCTAGTAGATAGTATAAAGAAACCAGGTGAACATTTTTGGACCTTCATGATATTCAGAAGTGGTGAGACAGTGGGATGGAAGAGTCTGGAGTTGGAGCAAGGTAGCGGCAGATAAAAAGTTTCCAGACCAGGGACAGTGAGAAGGCTTGTGATTATCAGTAAAATGTGCTGGGATTACGACAAAATATCCAACCCTGACAAAGAACAGCTAAGCAGATACCATACTAGAGAGGTTACCCAAGGAGCAGCTGGATCCCTGCACATTACAATTTCTTACAGTCAAAGCTGACTTTAGTACTTTCCTTAATTTTTTGTGTTCCTGACTTTACATAGTTTTTGGCCCCAGTAATTTTTTTTCTTTCAGATTGCACATTAGTTTGAAAATTAAAATTTTATTTGGGATTTTGTTGGGATAATTGAACCAGTATACAATCATTGTACTATTGGAGAAGGAAATGGAAGACAACTTTTTTATGATGTTTGGCTGTGAATGTAAGACTATTTCACAGAGCTGAAGAGAAAAATACATAGGTGAATATCGGGCAACAAGAAATAAAAAAAACACATGGAATAACAGACAGAAGAATTGAGCAATGCACTCAAGTGCTTACAGAGTAAAAATGCCTCTTCATCTAATGGTCTTGGTTATGAGCAACGACTTCTAAGGCTTTTGAAATAGAAGCTGTCCTGCTTATTTTAGTGATATATCGGAAGAAGACGCAATAACCAGCACAGTGATACAAGGTGTGTTAACAGTGGCATTTATGATATGAGAGGGAGGCCATCCAAACTGCAGCCTCTGACATTATTCAACATTGATTTAGAAAATTTCTATAAAAGTTCTGCTGCACAGGTTGACAAGAATATCAGAGGCCAAGATTCACCAAGCCCAGTGGTATATCACAAGTGGCCAGAAAATTGCAGACTATTTGTTGAAATTTAGGAAAATAAATAAAAGCATCAAAGTAGTTTAGAATACTTTTTCTGATGTTTATAGAAAGTTTGTGCTTTTGGTCAGACAAGTCAAGATTGTTTTCCTTCTAATTATGCAAAAATAGGCTTTTCCAGGAGGAAACTACCGGAAAAATAAAGACAAATGTATTATCCTTAGAATAGTGTTCACAGGTTTCGAGATGGGTATAAGAAAAGAACATAAAATAACCAGATAGATGAATATAGGCTGCCAATATAATTCCTTACTATATTGTATTTAGCCCAAACATCCCCTTCAAAGAGGGGCATATCACTGTTTATATGGTATTAGTTGAAGAGGATAATAAATCATCAGTGAGTTTCAGCCCGATCTAAGTAGCTCAGATATATATGTATATGTCAGATAATCTAGACGGAGAGTTAAAGAAAGAACGTTTAAATGGGAAAAAAATTAAAATTCAAAGACATTGAGGGAGCAAGCATAATTTCTAGTCATAAAAATCTTTTACACACATATTGACAAGGAATAATGTGTTTTTAAAAATCGGAAACAAATATCAAAAGATGAATATGTGAGGTTGAGTTTGAATGTTTTGACCAAAAACCTAATTTTATTTTGCATTAGTTGAAGAGCAGTTTCCACAGAAATATTGATAATTTATCTAACAAATTCCTCTGGATTAGCCTACGGATTAAAAAACAAATAAGTGTGTGGCCACATATTTCTTATAAAAAGAAAGATGAAGTATAGATTACTGAAGTATAGATCACAAAATTTTAGTTCGGCTTTTCTAAGCCCATTTTTTAAGTAAGCCTCATTCTTGGGTCTGTCTTCAACCAGATGAGGCCACTTTTAGGATAAATCCTGCTAAGTTAGTTTAGTAAGAATCCCCCCACACCTGATATCTGATCACTCTAGCCTGCTTTCAGCAAGAATTCCAGTAAATCAGTTGAGCTAGGATTCCTCTATCCCTGAAGTCTCCTTTTAATAATTTTCCATCCACTGACCACTTGAGTATGCTTGCTATCTATAAATCTTCACTTGTCCTTATGTTTTTGTAGTTGAGTCTCACCTTTCTCCCCTATTGCTATAGTCTTGACACTATTGTAACAGTCCTGAATAGTCTTCTTTAGTGTTTTAAGAAGTGTCAGTATAATTTTTCCTTCAACATTATATATAATTATTTTATCATATAATACTATTTCATTAAAATAAGACAACTAATGAAGTAAGTTGGTAAATTGACAGGGAACTTTCCAGTTCCACTGCCCACATGTAGAAAGTATGGGCAAGGGAGTATTCTACTGAAAAGAGATTTTCTATTATATCAAGAGATGACCTATGAAAAGGACATTTCAGATTGGAGGATAAAGGTCAAAAGCCTGGGAGTCATAACCTAGAAATAATATTAGACAAATGTCAGCATTCTGTTGAAATAAATGAAGTGAGGATGAAGCCAATGGATAAGGATGCAAAAAAGGTGAACTGTGACATTTCAGGCCTGTCATGGGAAGGCTTTCTCTGAAAGACTCGTAGTTAAACCCAAAAGTGAAGAACTCAACTCAGCGGTAATTCACTCATAAGGAATAAAGTAGATCCATAAATATTTTAGGGATATAGATAAAACCTCCATAGTTTGACTCAGTGCTTAAATTTGAATTGATCACTTATCACATAGTCTCAAAGTATTTTCCAAATAGATTCAGAGACCATTTTCATTAAAAAAAATCTAATATAGCATTCATTTAAAAACTTTAAGAATTATCTTTAATTAAGTTTTAACTTGATCTTTGCAACTGAGAATTCCACAACATATTTCAAGGGTCGTATTTTTTTTTATACTCTCTTCTTGCTTATAAAAATTAAATCATTTAACTCTCATCCCTCTAGTGCACAGGTTACATTGTTGAATAATTTTATAATATTCACTGCAATTCATCAAATACTTAGAGTGCCTACATAATATATTTTCATAAACTTAAAGCTTTTAAAATATAATGACAGTGAATACCTGTAACTGCTGTTGTTCCATGTAACTTCCAAGAGGTAGATACTCTGAGAAATAGATTGTGATTAAACAAAAATAAATTTACATTTACAAAACAACCACAACAGAGAAAAAGCCTTCAGAGTAAATCTGAAATTCTTCAGCTTTATATCCCAGGTCCTTGTGAATTACTTTCTCTTCCTTCCTTCTCACCTCTTGCCATCAGACTATACCTTCCCTAAACCTCTCTCATACTAAATACTGCAGTTCTTTGTATTCTGTCTGTCTCTGTGGTTATGCTTTCATAACTGTTCTTCTCTGCCTAGAACACACTCATCACTATCTTCAACTGCATATGAATTGTGCACATAAGGGCAATTGCCCCAACAGAAATTAAGTATGTAATTTTTTTTTCTTTAATGAGAGCAGATGTCAAATATCTCACAGAAATATCACCTTACAATTGTGGAATTTCCCTCTCTTTTTGAGAATTGCACTCTTTGGCATTAGAGAAGATAGAATTTCTGAGTATAGGGGCATGGGTACCAATTGTTTTAGAAGAATGTATCAGTATTACTCAAAATAGGATTATTGGTTTTGTGAAGAGCAGACCTCTGTCTCAGTTTTCTCAGACCCAGTAACTACCATAAACTGGGTGGCTTAGATACCAGGAATTTATTTCTCACAGTTCTAGAGACTGAGAAGTCCAAGCTGACTGAGAGTCCTAGTGAGGACCCTCTTTCTTAATCTGCAGATAGACACCTTTCTGTATCTTCACATGGTGGAGAAAAAGTGCTCTGGTCTCATCATCCCCTTATAAAGGTAATAATACCATTATTGGCTCCATTCCATGACCTTATCCAAATCTAGTTATATTATCTTTAATGAACTTGATGCTTGCCAATTTTCTTTTCCTTAAGAATACTGCACAATGTTCTCATTAGGGAGATGTGGCACCAGTGGAATGGAGAATTCAGTCATGACCCTTTATTATGGGTTGAACTGTGTTTCCCAAAATTCATATGTTGAAGACCTAATTGTCACCAGTACCTAACAATTTGACTTTATTTAGAGATAGGGCATTTAAAGAGGTAATTGAGGTTAAATGAGATCATACGGGTGAATCCTAATCCAATATAATTGGTGTCCATAGAAGAGGGGATTCGAGCACAGATATGCACAGAGGAAAGACCATGTGAATGTAGAGAGGGAAGATAGACATCCACAAGCCAAGGAGAGAGCCTTTGGAAGAAATGAACACTGCTGACACTTTGATCTTGGATTTCCAGCCTGTGAGACAATCAATTTCTGTTGTCTGTGCCAACCATCTGTGGTGCTTTGTTTTTGTTGTTGTTGCTGTTCTTTTTGAGATGGAGCCTCACTCACTCTGTCTCTCAGGCTGCAGTGCAGTGTCATGATGTCAGCTGATTGCGACCTCCCCCTCCTGGGTTCAAGCGATTCATGCCTCAGCCTCTTGAGTGACTGGAAATACAGACCTGCACCACCACACACGGCTAATTTTGTATTTTTAGTAGAAATGGGGTTTCACCATGTTCGGCAGGCTGGTCTTGAAATCCCGATCTCAAATGATCCACCCGCCTCAGCCTCTCAAAGTGCTGGGATTACGGGCATGAGCCACCATACCTGGCCTTGTGGTACTTTGCTATGTTAGCCCTTGAAAACTAATACATCTCTGTACCCAAGACTTAACACTTTGATAAAGCTTCACTGAAGTAGGCAGCAACTGCCTGCCCTAGGAAGTTGTCAGAGCCTTATCCTACACTTCTGAGGCACTTCACAATCAAGAAACATTCCTTTGGCACTCAATGGCCTGGAGAACATGCTACCTGAATCTTTTCAACCTCCTGCCCATACAGCAACAGAAACCTGATAGACCTTTAACTCAAAGGGCCTAATTAGGTGTGAATCTTCCCATAAGTGTTACACTGTGGAGTGAATGACTTTGTTTTCTGATTCCCTAATACAAGGGGTGAATCTGCGTTAGCACATTTGGACTTTATAGAGGCCAGGAACTTTGTCAGGGCCTCTCCTTGCCAAGCATCAGTCAGAATTTAGTTTTCTTTTTTTTTTTTCTTCATTCACCTATGTAGAAGTGAACTGGACCAGACTGACTTTCCTCCAGAGACTTGAAACTCTAGGAGAAACCCAAAATAATGGATAGAAATATTGTCACTGAACTACTGTCCTCCCTACACTTATTAGCATGTGCAGATTCAACTACACTTACAGAATGGATTGGAGCTGTACTATTTCATCCACTCAAGCTGTGCAGAAAGACAGTCTAGTTACATTCCTTAGTCTTAGTTCACCCATTAATATAAGCTCTATGAGCACAGAAGCTATGTCCTTTCATCAAGTCCTGTTCCCAAGTTCTGGAATAATGTATTCTGGCACATGGTATACTTAAATAAACATTTTAAGGGTTAAAAACTAAATATAAACCAAAATATTATAGTCTTTGTTTCAGATACAATATACTTATACTTGTAATTTTGTGTAAAATCAAGCACGAATCAAGCATGAACTGGTAAACATCTACAGAAATTCTTAGATATTTTGAGGAAGACAAAAAGATGCTTTGAACTGACAAAAAAATTGTGGGGTTTTTTTGTTTGTTTGTTTCTTTGTGTTTTCGTTGTTGTTGTGGGTTTTTTTGTTTTTTGTTTTTTGTTTTGTTTTGTTTTTTGGAAAAGAACTGTACCTGCATGACTGAAGTAAGAAGTAATGGAGAAGGGCTTTGAAAAGCATAAAGGAACATTCTCTTTAGTAGAAGGTCACTGGTTCTTGGTGGTTTCTACAGACCTTTGCTGGAGACTCTTTAAGGCCTCTCCACTACTAAGCCTCAGGCTCAGATCCCACCTTATTTTCTTCATTCCTGTTTTATATTTAAAGATACAGTCCTGGGACTCATGCTGTGTCTGTGTCCTCTTATGGTCTCCGGAGATGAAATGCAATCTTCTGTTTTCTATTGTTACAGAAATAAGCCTAAGATGGCCTCTGTTTATTGGCCACTATGTTCTCTATTCCTTCACTTGCAAGCTGAAGCCCTTAGCTCAAAATTCTGCCAGTTCTAAACTCAAATTTTTACACATCTAATTATTTAAAAATAGCCCAAGCAAGCAGATTTTTAGCCATTTAGGGCCCGCCTGCTTTACATATCCTGCCAAACCTCACCACCACCCCCATCCGCCTGCTAGCAATGGATAAGATAAACCCCAAGCTTTGTTTCTACACTTCTGGGGCTCTGTGACTGAGAGACTCCCTAGTGTGCTGCTGAGGGATATCACCTGGAGAAGTAAGTCTCCTCTCTAATTCCCACCTTCCATAGGAACTCCACTGTCCTCCTCTGCTGGATGGTGGCCTTCACACTGTATACTTCTGGACAGTCTCTTGCTGGGAGAGACATCACCTGTTATGCAACCATGTCTAAGTGCCACCTGCCTCATGGTTATATCTTTTTCCTGGATCAGCTCCTCAATCACTTGAACCCCTGTATACATACTCCATTTCAACTCCTTTTTTTTTTGACACTCTTAGCTAAATTTTTAAAAGTAAGATAGATTAGCCTCTTTACCTTTTCTAACAAGGCATTTATTACAATTGTAGAATAATATTAGATTGGAGCAACTCATGTGATAGTGGAAAGTTGTGTGCTTTGGCATCAAATTCAGTGGTCTTCAATAGTCTTTATAAATAGACTACCCATCTTTCCAGGGTTCTATTCTTCCCCTCTCTAGATATATAGCCAGTTTTAAATTTCTCAGATGCAGTCCAGGCCAGTGGTCACAGATAAACTGTTCCATGTGGCCTTGTTGGTCTGAGACTTGTGTATTGTGCAAAGAGGCCTGTGTAGCAGGGACAGTCATGAGGGCAAAATCCAGGGTGGAATTTTCCACTGATCAAATTAAATCAAAATTATTCACTAATAGTACATTTTTGGATGGGCATTGGTATGTATATGAGAAGGATGACAAGAGAGCAAGAGGTGAACATTAGCAATAGCTTGTTGCTGAAAAATACACCTTGTTTAACTGAAGAAATTCCTTTAAAAAAATAAAAAGATTTGCATGTAAACATTACAGAATTTTTAATGTTTTTCTAGCTCTTTCAATCTTGATCCATGACCTAAAATTCTGACATATTTCTATGACGTGAACCAGAGATTAGACTTCCATACATACTATTTTTCTAAAGCATATCTCTTCACAGTTCTTACTCCAACCCCATCTTTAGTGAAATATATTCTGACCATTATCAAGCAGTAGGTCTGCAGAACTCAGTTTCTTTTGGGAAGACATTTAGACTGAGGAGCATTCATTTCTCTGAGCAGAGTCTATACACAATCAATTTATTTATTTCCTCATAAGAAGGTAATGCTAATTAGAAATGACCTCTGGTAGAAAAAATATTTATGAGACAATATGGTAAGTCACATGTGTATGAGTGTATTTATTAAAAAGCAGAATGGTTGTTTTTAATAATGGTGCAGTTTGCTATGAGGTTTCTTCTCTGACTGCAGTCAGGGAATAGCTTCACAAGGTCATATATGAGTAAAATTTTAACAGCTATGGAAGAAAATACTAGAAGAAAAGAATCAAAGACATAGATAAATAAAACCAAAATGGTTCTAGAAAAATGATGAGTAGCTCAGGTCCCCTGGAACAAATGGAGTGTAGAGAAGAGTAGCTGGATATAGCAAGTGTGGCTTCAATTGAGAACACTTGTGGTTATTGACCTTAATTTTACGGTGGGAAAATACAAAGAAATATAAGGGAAGATACTTTTTTATAAAACCTGGATGAACTTTGAAAGAATTTTATGCATTTCAGCAACATAATTCAGAAGGTATATTTTTCACACAGTTTAACAATCTTTCCCAGTGCCCATCAGTGTGCACAGCTTAATGAATATTTATTGCATGCCAACAACATTTCCTTCAGACAGCCAAAGTGAAGGTTCCTATGTACCAATTTCCTATTCACTTTGCACCCTATATTTTACTAGATATAACCTGTGTGGAATATATTGGTCTTGTATATGGAGACATAACCTGTGTATTAGTCCATTATCACGCTGCTAATAAAAATATATATATGAGACTGGATAATTTATAAAGAAAAGAAGTTTAATTGACTCACAGTTTAGCATAGCTGGGGAGACCTCAGGAAACTTACAACTCTGGCAAAAAGGGAAGCAAATGTGTCCTTCTTCACATGGAAGCAGAAAGGAGAATTGCCAAGCAAAAGAGGAGAAAGCCCCATTGTCGAACCATTAGATCTTGTGAGAACTCATTCACTATCAGGATGACAGCATGAGGGTAACTGCCCCCATGATTAAATTACTTCCCACTGCGTCCCTCCCACGACATGTGGGGATTATGGGAACTACAATTCAAGATGAGATTTGGGTGGGGACACAGCCAAACCATATAAACCTGCTTGCTTCCCCACATGGCTCTAAAAGGCAGAA
This sequence comes from Homo sapiens, assembly GCF_000001405.40. Lineage (NCBI taxonomy): Eukaryota > Metazoa > Chordata > Mammalia > Primates > Hominidae > Homo > Homo sapiens. The sequence continues at coordinate 192,106,087 of NC_000001.11, read as the reverse complement.
CTATAAATCATGAGTGGAATTTGCAAAGAAGACGATTTTGCATAGAATTTTCTGATGCATAAAGCTGGCCACAATGCAATTATGAGCAGTAATACAATAAAGAGCCTTCACAATTAGTTTTCACCGAAAGGCTAAAAGATGTTCTCTCACTGCAATTTGAGAAAGCTGATGTAGATGGTTTCCAGGGCTTTTCCAAATATAATTTCTTTTGAGTCTTTTGACTGTTATAAACACAGAATCCTTGGAAACAGGACCTATTTCTACAGGTTTCTCTTTTGCTGTCTCCCTGTTATAGCCTGTTAAACTCAAGATCTGCTTTCTGACCCTGAGGAGAAAATTATTCCTTGAGATGGTTGTTAACTGGCAGAGATACAAAATAATCACTAAATTTCTCAGCATGTGCATTATTCTTCATGGTAACTGGAGATTAAAAAGTAAAAAGTCATATTCTAAACAAATTTATTTCTACTTTGGTGCCTTTCTTTTTCAAGAACTATCTTATTCTATATGAACTAAAGAACATCTACTTGTGTAAATTTATCCATATCAAGAAAAAAAAAACAAAGAATTGTTTTGTCAAGTTTACCTCCTCACTATTATGTTTGCAAAGGTGTGGTCTGGTTGTCTAGAAAAAGGAAGGCACTCTATGGAGCAAGAGTGTGCCAGTGGAAGCTGTAACATAGGGAAAAGCAACGACTGAACCAGGGATCAAATAGTTACCCACTGCTGCTTGAGTCCTGCCTTGCAGGTAATTCTACTAATTGCTGTTCATCCATCAGGCTTTCTCAGAAGCCCTGGTTCTAGTATAGATCTCCTGTTACCTCTTTCCCATGTTCACCCAGACACAATCTTGGAAGGGCAAGATCAGAAGGAACCATATTAGAGCTTTCTGCTTCACTGGGAGGCCTGAAGCCTCTGAGCGGCTTGAGGAAAAAATACCAAAGTACTTGTGCAAGCAATAACCATCCTTTGCAATGTCTGTGAAAGGAATTTAAGATGAGGACATGATTCTGCATTCTTTTTAAAGTATGCTCATTTCCTGAATGCCAGTTATTTAAGCTGTTGTATGTTTGATTAGTTTGAAATTGCATGCCTTTTATATGTGTTGGTCAATTTATCTTTAGGAAACTGATGTTTCCCCAAGGTCACAGCAATTATATGCTGTTTTGTTTGCAAGGATGTGTTGCTGAGAGCAAAATGTTAACATCAGTCAGAGATCACCCCATCAGGGTTTATTCCTGAAGGTCTGAATCTCCATGCTAGCTGCACTAAGGGCAATAACAATATGTTATTTTCTTATATAACAACAATAAAATGCTACTTAGTACAATATTATACAAGCCTACTTAGTTTCTAGTTTCTTCTGTAATGTCCCCCATAGCATTGTGTTTTTCCAAGCCTAAGTTCTGGTCTATTGCAAATATTAATGGAAAATAATTACACACAACTCTGCCAGATAGACCATTACTTTCAATTCCCTTTGACTCATTTAGACAAAATAGAATGGATCTTTCTTGATTATTTAATTATTGGGTATAATTACTATAATTACTTAAAATATGTAAGAGGTCTTCTTATGTTCACTGAAGAACAGATAATAAATCAAAAACTACATCTTTAACATTGAGTATTTTCCAAGATTAACATAAAGACAAGAAAAAATAAATCCTGTGATAAGCATATTAGTTGCAAAATTCCTTACAAAAATTTACTAGATATGAAGGTAAGATCTTTGCTTTATTAACTGCTTCATCAGCAGAAACTTGAAGACTGACATTTAAAAGGAATTCATTAAATATCTGTTGAATGAATGAATGAAATTGATTTAAACAAATGCTTAAGCCTGCCATTTAACACAATTCAGAGTTTTTAATATGAAACATAGAAGTGGAGCTTCTAGAAAGGAGTTTGTTTACTGTTTTTGCTTTTGATTTAATAGTAAAATGATAGACTAAGTTACGTTTTTAGCAGCACATTTTTTGAAATATCTTTGCCAGTTGTGTTATGTGTTCAATGGACTTATAAGATCCAGAAAGCTGAGCTGCTCAGGGTACTTGTATCACCTCATCAACAAGGAGACACTAAATATCTACTGTGAATTTATTTCTAAGAAAGAAAAAAAAAGAAATATAAACTCTTGTCTACCTTTAAGGAGAATGGAGTTCAATTGGAGAGAAGTGGACCATGAATGAAGAACTACCAAACATTACAAAATAGTATAATGTGAAAAGCTAAGCTATTTAATGAATTAATATCTTATATTAAAAATACAACACAAAATGTTTTCTTGTTCAAGGAGAGCAGAAAGGACTTTTGTAAACCAGAGGTAGCAATTGGCTGCCTGCAGGCAAGACAACAGACTTCTTTTGCTTTGCCTGCACAATGTTGTAACAGAATGAATTAATATTTAAATATGGAAGATTTTAGATTAATATATGTTTAGATTTCTTCTATGAAAATAATTTCTGAAAACCTGGTATCATTAGACCAGCCTTTTTTTTTTTTTTTGTAGATGAACAGTGGCCATCACCTTTATAAGTACTGATACCTTCACACCAAATGATACTACTTTATTCATTCTTGTTACTTTCATTGAGAACATATGAGTTTGCTAACTCTAGTGTTAACTCACAAAACGTTATCTCCAGACTCCATTGTTTCATTTTAACTTTTTAATACATAAGACATGCATGCCTACGATCTCTTATTTCAGGACAACCAGAGCAACAAGTTTTTTAGGAAGGTAGGTTCTTAAAAGTAGAGTGTGTATTGGACACCTGTGCATTCTAAGTAGTAGAATAGCATTGGGAGATATACCTAATGCTAGATGACACGTTAGTGGGTGCAGCGCACCAGCATGGCACATGTATACATATGTAACTAACCTGCACAATGTGCACATGTACCCTAAAACTTAGAGTATAATAAAAAAAAAAAAAAAAGAAAACAGAACTAGAACCATCATTATTCATCCAGTGCTTTGCATTCTGTGACTTTTCATGTTACTTCAGTTTTAGCAGTTTATCATTTTATTAACTTACAGAAAATTGATTCTCAAGGGGAAGAGTCATTTTTTACAGTGGACATTCTGTTTTGGTGGTGTTAAAATTCTAAGGGGTTGATAATTTAAGCTGGAAGAATATTTCTTTCATTTGGTCATATCAGCTTCTTTTCCAAAGACATACAAGCCTCACCAGCATTCTAGATAGCACCACAGATTTATTTCCTCTACCATTTTAATTTATATATTCTGTAATTTTTTTTGTCATGGAAAAATTTGTTGAAATAGAATTGGTTGTAAAAGATAAATTTGTAAAATAAATGTGGCGGGAAAGGAAAGGAAGGAGGGTTGGACTTTGGTGTGTCCTTTGCCAGCTTATGATTTTCTACTATATGCAACACCTAGATTTCCTTTTGGAGACTTAACTTGTCTTGTTTCCAGTAAAATATACACACGGAGAAAGAGAAAACTGAAATATGTTCTTTTTTTTCATGAGAGAGCGGTGTATTACAATTCAGGTTAGTGCGGCTTCATATCTCAACAATATCCCAAGGATAAAGTAGTACATGTTTTACCATCGGGAGGTGAGAAAACTTAAGTCAGTGGTATCTTACTGTTTGGGGAATTCTAACATTCAGAGGAAGCCATTCAAGTTCAGTCAATCGGTGTAAAAGTGCTTTCCCTCTATATCTCTTTACAGTTATAATATTGTTGAAAGTAACAAGTACTTCCAAACCTTCTAGTGGCTTTCAATTATCAAAGAAACACAGTTAATCAAAGCTACAATCACTGTGTTAGATGTTGAGCCATAAACTGTAGACTCTATTCTGAAGAGCTCACATCCTAGGGAATATACAAAAACTAAGCAGGGAAATTAAAAACCAGTTTTCTCTCTCTCTCTCTTTTTTTTTTTTTTTTTTTTTTTTTTTTTTTTTGAGACGGAGTCTTGATCTGTCACTAGGCTGGAGTGCAGTGGCACAATCTCAGCTCACTGCAACCTCTGCCTCCCGGGTTCAAGCCAATTCCCTGCCTCAACTTCCCGAGTAGCTGGGACTACAGGGGCACGCCACCATGCCCAGCTAATTTTTGTATTTTTAGTAGAGACGGGGTTTCACCTTGTTGGCCAGAATGGTCTTGATCTCTTGACCTCATGATCAGCCTGCCTTGGCCACCCAAAGTGCTGGGATTACAGGCATGAGCCTCTGCGCCTGGCCACAAACCAGTACTCTCTTTAGGTGGTAATGAGGGAATAGAAGGAAAAAAAAAAAAACCCAGTACTCTCAGTAGTAGAATAGATACTAAAAGAACAGAGGAAGCACACATTACTTGATCTTGAGGTAGACACCAAAACTTGCTGGAATTGTATAATATATACATTATAGCTCAGGATATTAAGCAAATGTCAAATGTTGCTGTGTATGCTGAAGAATATACTGTGCAGTTGATAATAAAGAAGAGTCAAACATCTTATGATATTTGAAATTTTGTTTGTAAGAAAAAATTTTCTACCTGACAGAGCAGGAGCACTGTCATCTTGGACAAACACCGCCATTTTAAGTTCCAGCTTCCTTTGTAACCTCATGCATTTCAAGGAAATCACTTCTCTTCTAACAACAAACAGCCAGAAAGAGCAGACAGCAAAACATGGATAAGGCAGCTTGGCACAGAAGGAGGAGGGAAAGTCTTTTGGGTAACTACCAAACTTCATACTTATACAATGGGCCCCAGTAAAACAGTGGGCCCTAATAAACACATTTCCTTTTCCTTTAGGTGCACTAAGATAGGGAGTGGGCCCTAATAAACACATTCCTTTCCTTTTAGGTGCACTAAGATAGGGAAGCTAAACGCAGACTTTGGTGATATGCCTGCAGGTGCAGAAAGACGTATGGGAACAGACACAAAACCTCTCCCTCCCAGATAAACAAGACAAAGAGACACAGACTAAAAGTTGGCCTATGTGGTCTGAGAATGGAGTGAGAGCTGATGAAAACTCTGCTCTATACAGACAGCACATCTGGTCCTAACTGAACCATCGGGCCCTAGGAGGATAAGGCATCCCCTCCTCATGAGCCCCTGAACCCTTAAATACCCTTAGTCTGTAACAGAGAAGGCTCATGACCTAACTCGGCCAGAAGCCTCTGTCAAGTTTATTCTGTAAAATAAACCTGTTGAGCAGCTTTTCGTGTTTCTTCCTTCCTTCTTCAACTCTTACACTACCAGTCTTGATGATTTAATGGATGTGGAATGAGATGGAGACTAAGATGACTCCTAAGTCTTTGAGTGTCTTTTGGTAAAATTATCTACAAAGGAGCTGTGGAAGAGTAAAACCTGAATTTAGTGCTTCAATAGCAGGCGTTCAGAGCAGTAAAGATCAGAATTTCATCCTTGCATGAAATGTCTATGAATTTCAAGTGGAAATGTCTATGAGAATGTTGGAAATAGGTATATAGAGCTCATGAAATGATCACAATTAAAAATGTAGACTCTAACGCAATCAGTATAGAGGTAATATCTGTAAAATCACTTACGGGTAGATTCACAGAGGGAGAAGAAGAGAAGAAGAATGAGTTTAGGTCTTGGAATCCACAAGAGCTAAATGAAATGGCTGAAAACTATGTCAAAATAGCCAAGAAATATATAATAGTCAATAAATCTAGAGAAGAGAACAATTTAAACAGAGATTTGAACATTATGTAATGAGTGTAATACTGAGTCACTCATAATCTTAAGAAGGTAATTTCAATGAAGTGGTAGGTGACAAGTTAGACTGCTCTAGTTGAAGGTGTTAGAATGAAACAAGAGCGTGGAGACCGCAAGTGCTTACTTCTTCAAAGGAACTTGGTTGGTCCTGAAGAGTGGAAGGAATAGAAAAGTAGAAGGAAGAAAATAGTGAACTAAAAAGAAAAAAGCCTCGAAGGAAGGTGGTTGTAATTAGTGTCTTTGGTGTGTAGGGAACAGGACTGTCCTTACTTCTCCTGATCTCCTTAGAGCTGTGTACTAGTTTTCTAGGTCTGTAGTACAAAGTACTACAAACTGAATAGCTTTAAAAAACAGGTATGTATTGTGTCCCAGTTCTGGAAGCTTGAAGTCTGAGATCAAGTTGTTGGGAGGGTTGGTTCTTTTTGAGAGCTGTGAGGAACCATCCCTCTCAGCAACTATGGCTCTCTCCTAGCTTCTGGCAGTTTGCTGGTGATCTTTGATATTCGTTGGCATGTAGAAGAATCACCCTTATTGTGTTTATCAGGTGTTCTCCCTGTGTGTGTTTCTGTGTCCAAATTTCCCCTTTCTATAAGGAGAATCTGTCCTATTGGATGAGGGGGCCAATCCACTCCAGTATTCCTTCATCTTAACTAATTAAATCTACAATGAAAGTATCTCCAAATAAGGTTACATTCTGAGGTACTAGTGGTTAGGACTTTAACACAGGAAATTTGGAGGGACACACAAGTGGAATGGTTACACCTGGATAATCCTAGGATTAATAGTGAAATCTGAAACTTAAGAATGAAAGTTCAAGAATATTAATGGAATTTAATAATTATTATTATTATTTAATAATGATTAAAGTGAATTTCTTAAATTATTTAATAATTAAATTATATTTCAAAAATTATTGAATTTCTCTTAATTCTCTAAGATATTTGTCTATTTTCCTAAATAATCATAACTTACTGCTCTACTCCTTTCTCCTCTCCATAGAGGTGAAGTGAATTGTTTGAACTAATCACACAAACATCTTCACTGTGGGCTATTTAGCTCTCTTTCTTTTTTCTCTTCCATCTGGGCACAGACAGGGTTAATAAGGAATTATCAGACCTGTTTGGGTTTCACTGCAATGGTACTTTTATAACCTTTTTCAGTAAATAAGCTATTGATAGCAGTTTTATTCCTCAACCTAAATTTCTAAAACTTACAGAATAGAACAGAGTGTAGACACATTGCCATTTCCTTAATGCTACAACCACTGTTTCTCTTTTTGTTCCTTCTCCTTAGCTTTCTAATAACTGCTGTTTTTTAATTTTTTTAGATTGCACAGTCAGATGCTCACTGTGGATATCTTTCTATTTAATAAAATATGATAGACTTTTTACATCTCTGTATTGCAGTATATTAATCTTTATTTCAAGTGGATTATTTTTGATGCAAGGTAACTGTGTTAACTCACTTATACCTTTATCTACTCACTTATTCAACAGCTATTATCAGTCTTTTAGCTATCTAATTCTGAGGAATTTTCTAGTTAATGAGTCTAGGAGAAAAGTCATCCATTTGCCTTCTCTGTCCCCAGGGAGCTGAGGCGTATGCACATGGCCTAAGGGTGACTGATTAGAAGTAGCCCCTGAGATTTCAAATCTAAGGAAATGGATTCCAACAATGATAGACTGGATTAAGAAAATGTGGCACATATACACCATGGAATACTATGCAGCCATAAAAAATGATGAGTTCATGTCCTTTGTAGGGACATGGATGAAATTGGAAATCATCATTCTCAGTAAACTATCGCAAGAACAAAAAACCAAACACCGCATATTCTCACTCATAGGTGGGAATTGAACAATGAGATCACATGGACACAGGAAGGGGAACATCACACTCTGCGGACTGTTGTGGGGTGGGGGGGAGGGGGGAGGGATAGCATTGGGAGATATACCTAATGCTAGATGACGAGTTAGTGGGTGCAGCACACCAGCATGGCACATGTATACGTATGTAACTAACCTGCACAATGTGCACATGTACCCTAAAACTTAGAGTATAATAATAAAAAATAAATAAATAAATAAATAAAAAAGAAATGGATTCAAAATGAATAGAGTGAAGAGTTGCTTCTGCAAGTAAGTAGAGTGGCAGCGACGTCCCTTTCCATGGGTGGCAGGGCCAGCAGTGATAGTGACAGCAGCTTGGGGCCAGTAGCACCTGTGTGGACCCAGCCTCAGGTTCCGGGGTGTGGTAATGGCAGCAGGCAGTAGCACTATCCCAGAGCTCCATATTTTGGAGTGATTTTTACTCTGATTTTGACTGCATAGCTTTCCTTTGCAGATGCTCCAATTTTCCAGCTTTCCCTGAAACCTTAGAAACTACTAAATACCCAATCCAAACTCCATTTTTGCTTAAATCACCTAAGATTTGTCTTTGTTGACTGTAATTTAGTGTTATGATTAATCTGTGATGATATGTAATAGTATTGATAATTAGTGCCAAACATTGTGTTAGCTACTAAGGAAATTTAAAAATAGAGTAAGAGTCATGATCACAAAGCATTAACAAAATCCAAAGATTCCCTCAGAAAGAGTTTATAGCTTAACATTCTCAGTCACTGTAAAGAATTTCTGTAAATTTTTGTGTATAAATTTATAAAGCCTGGAAGTTGAAACACTCGCTTAACTAGATCAAGAGATTTTAACAGAATTTTGAGAATTAGGGTTTTCTGTAGGGCTAGAGAGGAGCTGCTACATATCACTGAACAAACTGCAGCACCATAGATTCTTCAAGTGACCCCTAAGAGACCATTTCATCCAAGGGCCTACCTGACTCATGAAACTTAAGAAAATATTTGTATGCTCAAATTGTTGCAGGCTGATAATTACCAGGATTATGACATATTACTGTTTTTTGGTTGTTGCCTTTTTTTTTAATGAGCACAGACACTTTCTTCAATATGTAACATTTATAGAAAGATTCCAGGGTAGTCTTTCAGTTAGCAAGACTGGCGGTGGAGCAGTGCTTCACTGGACAGACATTTGAGCGTGGAACAGAGTGACTTAAATAGCTTAACTGCACTTTGATGCTTCATGCTGTTTTTCACATATCTGTGGTTTTGATCCTTATGAATATAATGTACATTTGTTGAAATGACGATACAAGCCAGCTCAACTTAACCACTCCTTTTCATCTCAAAGCTGACATAATAAACTTAATCAAGGTATTCTTGAATAGTCATGACATCTATATTTGTTAAAAGTTGAGGACGAAGACAAGTTCGATTACATTGACAGGTGGGAATTAATCTCTTCTGTTAATCTCAAAAATTTCTAAATTATCTTTGGGCTATTATTGCAAAAGTACCTCTGGTTTTGATCCATAAGCTGATTTTCTAGCAGTTATGGAGAAATTCTGACTATTTCAAGCATTGCGTATATGCTTCTGGAGAAAATAGTGAATTCATCAATGGTAATGTTTTGTTTCATTTGCAGGAAGAAACTTGTTGAACAAGAAAGTTATCCTCAGGTGATAACTACACACCTGGGTAACTCTTGTATTCCTTGAAATGCTCACTGCTTTACGGCTTCTAGACCATTAGTTTCAGAATATTCTTTCACATTGTAATGAACACTGTAGGAATAACCTCAGTGGCTGTGTTTTTAAGCTAATAAAGCTGCAATCGCTTGAGTGGGAGCTTATTATTGTGCCAGATTCTCTGCTAGGCACTTTTTATATATATTACTTCCTTTAAAGGTTGTCAGCTGGTTCAGGCACTTATCTTTCAAATCATTCATCTAGCTCAGGTCTAGTCAAACTCAAATTCTATCCCTTCATTATTTCTACTAGTTTTCCCATTCTTCTATTCTATGTCCATTGCCTTTATCATTGGAAATTTAAACACAAATTGTAAGAAAGAATGAAAGTCACTTTCTAAAAATTTCACAAAATAAAACCTACCTTTTCACTGACATACCTGGTATCTGAATATGTGCTTTTTAGTTTCTAGAACAGCATTACTCTACATACACCGAACAGTAGTGCAGGGCAGCATGGCACTAATATCCCCAGATGGAAATACAATACACTTATGTACCACATAACAACATTTTGATCAATGATGGATTGCATATGTGACTATATGACAGTGGTCCCACATAATTATAATACCATATTTTTACTGTAGCATTTCTATGTCTAGATATATTTAGGCACACAAATACCACTGTGTTATATTTGCCTACAGTATTCAGTACAGTAACATGCTATACAGGACAGTAAATGCAATAGGCTGTGTCCTATAACCTTGCTGTGTGGTAGGCTATACCATTAGGTTTGCGTACGTACACTCTGTGATGTTTGCACAATGATGAAATTGACCAAAGACACATTTCTCAGAATGTATCTCTGTTTTTAAGCGATGCATGACTGTATATCAACATTTGACCCCAGCTCGACTGAGACTGTCAACCGAACAAGTCACTTTAACTCGCTATTTAGATAGGTGTTTATGAAAAATGATACAATTAAAATAAATAATTTCTAATGTCCCTTCGATCTCTTACTTCTATAATTCCATGATCCCTCAAAGACGTACATCCAACCCTAACATATATTTGTATTCCAGTTGTGTTTACCCAAGTGCCTGGAAGTGTCTACTTGAGAAACTCAGAGGCATCTCAAGTTGCAACATAATCTAAAACAAACATTTTTCCATCTAGATGCAATCCACGATTCCTAAACTTATTCTTGATAGAACTACTTGCCTTATAAAAGAAGCAAGAATTGGATATATCCTAGGACTTTTCCTCCCTCACTCAGGGCATCAAGTTTGTCACCAAACCCTGCCAAATCAGTTCCAAAATCTCCCTCCAATCCACTTTAGTAACTTCTATCCATTTTCACTTCCTCTACTCAATTCAAGAATCTCCAGTTCCCGTCCTCCCCACAAGCTTTATGACAGCAGCCTCCTACTCTAATTCTCCCTGTGCCATGCCTTCTCACTTATTTTCACAATGTTATGAAGATCAAGTCTCTCCCCTCACATGTATACAGTCTCCACTAATCTACCTGTCAATATCCCACATCCTCCCAAGACTAAACCAGGAAGAAGTTGAATCTCTGAACAGACCAATAACAGGCTCTGAAATTGTGGCAATAATCAATAGCTTACCAACAAAAAAGAGTCCAGGACCAGATGGATTCACAGCTGAATTCTACCAGAGGTACAAGGAGGAACTGGTACCATTCCTTCTGAAACTATTCCAATCAATAGAAAAAAAGGGAATCCTCCCTACCCTTTTATGAGGCCAGCATCGTCCTGATACCAAAGCCGGGCAGAGACACAACCAAAAAAGAGAATTTTAGACCAATATCCTTGATGAACATTGATGCAAAAATACTCAATAAAATACTGGCAAACTGAATCCAGCAGCACATCAAAAAGCTTATCCACCATGATCAAGTGGGCTTCATCCCTGGGATGCAAGGCTGGTTCAATATACACAAATCAATTAATGTAATCCAGCATATAAACAGAACCAAAGACAAAAACCACATGATTATCTCAATAGATGCAGAAAAGGCCTTTCACAAAATTCAATAACACTTCATGCTAAAAACTCTCAATAAATTAGGTATTGAAGGGACGTATCTCAAAATAATAAGAGCTATCTATGACAAACCCACAGCCAATATCATACTGAATGGGCAAAAACTGGAAGCATTCCCTTTGAAAACTGGCACAAGACAGGGATGCCCTCTCTCACCACTCCTATTCAACATAGTGTTGGAAGTTCTGGCCAGGGCAATTAGGCAGGAGAAGGAAATAAATGGTATTCAATTAGGAAAAGAGGAAGTCAAATTGTCCCTGTTTGCAGACGACAAGATTGTATATCTAGAAAACCTCATTGTCTCAGCCCAAAATCTCATTAAGCTGATAAGCAACTGCAGCAAAGTCTCAGGATACAAAATCAATGTACAAAATTCACAAGCATTCTTATACACCAACAACAGACAAACAGAGAGCCAAATCATGAGTGAACTCCCATTCACAATTGCTTCAAAGAGAATAAAATACCTAGAAATCCAACTTACAAGGGATGTGAAGGACCTCTTCAAGGAGAACTACAAACCACTGCTCAATGAAATAAAAGAGGATACAAAGAAATGGAAGAACATTCCATGCTCATGGGTAGGAAGAATCAATATCGTGAAAATGGCCACACTGCCCAAGGTAATTTACAGATTCAATGCCATCCCCATCAAGCTACCAATGACTTTCTTCACAGAATTGGAAAAATCTACTTTAAAGTTCATATGGAACCAAAAAAGAGCCCACATTGCCAAGTCAATCCTAAGCCAAAAGAACAAAGCTGGAGGCATCACGCTACCTGACTTCAAACTATACTACAAGGCTACAGTAACCAAAACAGCATGGTACTGGTACCAAAACAGAGATATAGATCAATGGAACAGAACAGAGCCCTCAGAAATAACGCCACATATCTACAACTATCTGATCTTTGACAAACCTGAGAAAAATAAGCAATGGGGGAAGGATTCCCTATTTAATAAACGGTGCTGGGAAAACTGGCTAGCCATATGTAGAAAGCTGAAACTGGATCCATTCCTTACACCTTACACAAAAATTAATTCAAGATGGATTAAAGACTTAAACGTTAGACCTAAAACCATAAAAACCCTAGAAGAAAACCTAGGCATTACAATTCAGGACATAGGCATGGGCAAGGACTTCATGTCTAAAACACCAAAAGCAATGGGAACAAAAGCCAAAATTGACAAATGGGATCTAATTAAACTAAAGAGCTTCTGCACAGCAAAATAAACTACCATCAGAGTGAACAGGCAACCCACAAAATGGGAGAAAATTTTCACAACCTACTCATCTGACAAAGGGCTAATATCCAGAATCTACAAGGAACTCAAACAAATTTACAAGAAAAAAACAAAAACCCCATCAAAAAGTGGGCAAAGGACATGAACAGACACTTCTCAAAAGAAGACATTTATGCAGCCAAAAAACACATGAAAAAATGCTCACCATCACTGGCTATCAGAGAAGTGCAAATCAAAACCACAATGAGATACCATCTCACACCAGTTAGAATGGCAATCATTACAAAGTCGGGAAACAACAGGTGCTGGAGAGGATGTGGAGAAATAGGAACACTTTTACACTGTTGGTGGGACTGTAAACTAGTTCAACCATTGTGGAAGTCAGTGTGGCGATTCCTCAGGGATCTAGAACTAGAAATACCATTTGACCCAGCCATCCCATTGCTGGGTATATACCCAAAGGACTATAAATCATGCTGCTCTAAAGACACATGCACATGTATGTTTATTGCAGCACTATTCACAATAGCAAAGACTTGGAACCAACCTAAATGTCCAACAACGATAGATTGGATTAAGAAAATGTGGCACATATACACCATGGAATACTGTGCAGCCATAAAAAATGATGAGTTCATGTCCTTTGTAGGGACATGGATGAAATTGGAAATCATCATTCTCAGTAAACTATCACAAGGACAAAAAACCAAACACCGTATGTTCTCACTCATAGGTGGGAATTGAACAATGAGAACACATGGACACAGGAAGGGGAACATCACACTCTGCGGACTGTTGTGGGGTGGGGGGGAGGGGGGAGGGATAGCATTGGGAGATATACCTAATGCTAAATGATGAGTTAATGGTTGCAGCACACCAGCATGGCACATGTATACATATGTAACTAACCTGCACATTGTGCACATGTACCCTAAAACTTAAAGTATAGTAATAATAAAATAAAATAAAAAGAAGAAGAAAAAATATCCCACATCCTTCCTACAGTACGTTATATTGATTTATGTAATTTCACTAAATTTCTTACCACCAGCCCCAACCAGTCAAGATTATTTTTCCTTTTGTTTGCTCTATACCTTGGACTGTCTTCCTTATCCCTCACTTTTTCACCTGGGTGGTTGAAGATTTAGCTCAGAAGTAGCTTCTTCTTGGAAGAGTTAACAGGCTATCCCAAGGACTCTTCATCTGAATTCTCACAGCATCCTCTACAAGTCTCTACTGCTATCCTTATCAAAGTGTTTGTTTACTTACTAAGCTGAACTTTCTTCATTCTTGATTTCCAAACTTCTTGAAAACAGAGATTTTTCTCTTTCATCCCTGTCTTCCCAGTGCTTAGTACTTGGTAGTTTCTCAATAAAAATACAGTTTTAAAATGAAAATGCAATGAATATCTCAAAGATCTTAAAGGAGGTAGGGACAATAATAGTACATTGTTGAGTTATTCAGTATCCAGAAATCTGAATACAAAACCTGGTGGAGAGTTCCCAATTCACTGCTGTGATCAGCTTCAGCCCATCCCTGCCGCTGATTACGACTGTAAATTCTGTGACTCACAAAATCAATTACATGAGGACTTGCAAACATAAACAAAAGCAGGCAGATTGTGGAGGAGAGTAAAAAAAAGAAATCTCAAGATTGTGTTCCAACAGTAATTCCCAGTCAGGGAACCACACTCTGATAGAGGTAAAAATGTTGATAGAAATTATGTCATTCTTAGGGCCAGAGAAACCAAGGAAAGGAGCCCATGCAGATTGGAGAACAAACAGGGAAGAGTAGAGAAAAAAGGGAGAAAACAAGATAAAGAGATCCTCTACGTCTATATGTGAACACACCAGTTCCAGGCTAGCTTCTTATCCATACATGTATAGATCAGACTCAAATCAGTGTAGCAAAGACTTAAGGTCCGAACTGAGATTGGAACCAACCCACATAAAAGTGACACAGAATTGAGAGGGTAAACCCAACAGTATTCTCTGCCTTCTAAAACAACAACCTCAGTAATTTTCAGAGGTTTAAAACAGAAGCCAGAGTATACATGATATTGTATTTGATCATGAATATATAATATTATATTTGCTCAGGGAAATGTGACTTATTCTCAAGAAAAAGACAATAACAATATATCATCTACAAGATAATCCCAGATATTGAAATTACCAGATAAAAATTTTAAAGCAGATTTTATAATTATGATACATGAAAATTAATAAAACTTTAATGAAAAATCATTTGAAATATATGAAAAGATAAAAAATATCAGACTATAAAAGGCTATTTGTTGTCTCTTAAGTTCCACAGGTCTCCAAGTTGATAAGCGTGTATTTGTTCACTATGTTCCTACATTAAACTATGAATCTTCTGTTACATTTGTAATGATTTCTGTTTTACATTCAAAACTGTATTTATTATTTGTATGTTCTCATTCTTTGCAGAGATTCAGCCAACTCATTGATCTTTCCTAAAAATCAGTTTTTTTAAAAATTTGTTAATTTTCTCTATTGATTTGTTTCTGCTTGTTGTTTATATTATTGACCTCTACTCTCACAGTTATTATTTTCTTCCTTCTGTCTCCTCTGGGTTTGCTCTCTTCATTTTCCATCAACTTTTAAAATTAGAGATTTTGATAATTTTCTAGAATTCATCTTGCTTTTTGCTAAATATATGTAAACTCATTTATTTCCTTATTAGTCCTATCTTGTCTGTTGATCCTTATACTTTTGAAATTCAGTGTTACCATTTTCATTTGATTCTAAGATTTTAAAAATAATCTTTATGATTTTATTAAAAAAATAATATATATTTAATAAAAACATGTACATAATATGCATAAAAGTTCATATTTTACATTTACAGAATTATATACATTTTATATGTGCAATTTATATTTAATTATTTCCATTTTTATTCATTGTCACCATCAGAAAAAGTTGAAGTTGCTAATTTTGTCAAATTTGTTGAGATTTCCTTCTGGACAGTGTACAATTTTGTTTTTTTTCCAAATATAATCAAAATGAATTTGTGTTTCTTTGAGAAATAAAGTGTATGTATACACAACTCACCTGGATATATTTAGAGATTAATAGTACTGTTAACATTTTTATACCTTTAGTTAGTTTGATAAATTTCTCAAATAAGTATAAGAATATCTGCAAATACATGTACTATTTTTCCTGTAATTATATCTGTTGTTTTATATATTGTGAGACTCTTGTTATTTTCAATATGTATTTGATTTATTTTTCCTTTTACCTATGTGATGCAGTCCCTCTTTTTCTTTGCTTTTACATTTAATTCTTTTCTACCTGAAGCTTTCCTTCATTTATTTTTTCATCTCTTGTTGTCAACTCTTACCTAACTTTTAATTTATCTCTTCCAAGGTAAAATATTGCTGAATTATTCTGTGTAATGATCTGAGTCTGTTTTTTTTTAATATATGAGTTTAACTCAACTATTTTGAAATTACCATTATATTTGAACGTAATTTTGCAATTTACTTTTCATATTTTTATTTACCCTATTTATATCTTATATTTTTCCCTTTTCTTGGCTTTCATTAGATGGATCAACATTTTATGCTATTTTTAAAAATACATATTTTATATTTCTATGCATACACGTTTATTTTTATCTGTTTCAATCTGTTATGCTCATAACATGTGCTCTTCTCTGTTTTCTTCATTTACCCAGCTGTATTATCACGTGCACTTTAGTTCTGATTATAATACATGTATATTTTGTTTGATGGTTTTGTTTCTTTTCCACATGACAATAAACTGAATTAAACTATTAATTCATTTATACTTTTAATATATTTATATAATCCCCCTTGATTTGCTTATTTTCTTGTTGGAGTAGTTTATTTGCATTTGTAGCACCACTCTATTCGATATGAATTTTTTGCTCAATATCCAATATTCACATATAGATATTGAGCAAAAAATTCTGTACACAGTGCTGTTCTAGAGAACATAGTATTTTATTCTTCCATCGAAATACTTTGTCTGTGTACAAAATATTAGGGTTGGATTTTGTCTTAAATACTTCGAAAAGACTTTTCTTGCACCCAGTGTTGGAACATTCAATGATAGTTTCTTTGTTGAATATATAATCTTACTCACAAAGCTTTTAGAATCTCCTTTAAATTTAAAATTTTAATTTTAAAGTGGTCTTGAGATTATATTGTTTTTGGACTGTTAGTCGTAATTTCAATACTTTCTTCCTCTCTCCTTGCTGTTTTGTGCCTGGAAGTTGAGGTATGAGAATATTGATATGCCTACTACTGGACTCCACATACCTGTATTTTTCTTTTGCATTGCCAACCTTTTTTTTAAACATTTTATCTTTATTTCAGGAGTTCCTAGAGATGATTTTCCAGCTATATGCATTCTGCTCTTCCCTTAGCTACTATTTTTATGGTACTCAGACATGTTTTCTATAACAACGACTTCATTTGTTTCTACTTGTTATTATTTGCCTTTACCTGTTTTCAGGATATTTTAGACCTATTTATTATTTTTTAAAATCTCTCAGTTACATTAATTCTGTTTTGTGTAATATAAATGATTCAGTTTGTAACCTTACAGTTATATGCATTTTTGTTCCTCAGATTTCTGATTATTTCCCTTCACAAGCTCAGTTTCAGCTACCTTATGTAGCTTTCTTATATGGAGAAAAGGAGGCTAACAGTTTAGTGTTAGTTTTTGTTCTTCTTGGAACTTCAGATATGAGTTTGAGAAATATGCTCCAGGGCAAAGAGCCCTCAGCACCACCAACAGAACATAACCATCTCACCATGCAGGTGGCTGTCTCAGTCTGTTCCAGCTGTGATAACAAAATACCATAAACTGCATAGGTTATAAACCACAGAAGTGTATTTCTTATAGTCCTGGAGGCAGACAAATCCAAGGTCGTGGTGCTGGTAGATTCAGTGTCTGATGAAGTCCTGCTTTTTGGTTAAGGGATGGCACTCCCTCACTGGGTCCTCACGTGGTAGAAGGTTGAGGCAATTTTCAGGGGCACCCTTTATAAAGGCACTAATCCCATTCATGAGGACTGTGCCTTCATGAATTAGTCACCTCCCAAAGACTCCACCTCCAAATACCATTACATTGGTGATTAGATTTCAACACACAAATTTTGAGGGGTTATAACATTCAGTTCATAGCAGTGACATTGCCCTTTAGAATATCCCTGAGCTTCATGCTGGGTGCTGTTCTGTTCCAAAAGATTTTACTTCCCATATTATAATCTTCTAGCCCAAAATATGAGGTGATAGGGTTGCAAGAGTTTTAATCTTCTCTTTCTAGACATATGTTAATAGTTCCTCATTTCGCACACCCTTTTCTCAATCCCAGACAGACCTGGGTTGTAATTTGCTATTTTGATTCCAATAGTCATTCTGCAGACAATGACCCTTCCAGCATATATACAAGTGAGAAAAGAGCACAGGAGCTTTCCCTAAGCCTAAACCCTGCACAAGGAATCAGACTTCACTCAAAACTGTCCGCTGACCTTCTTCCCTGCTACCCCAACATTCACCTCAGATCACAACTGTGTTAATTGTATGTCTCAATTTGACTGTGTCAGGGGATGTCGGGAGAGCTGGTAAAGCATTATTTCTGGGTATATCTGTGAGGGTGTTTCCAGAAGAGATTGGCATTTGAATGGGTAGATTGAGTGAAGATTGACACGTGCCAATGTGGGTGCCATTATCCAATCCATTGGGGGTCCGAATGGAATGGAAAGAGGAAAGGAGGTATTATCTTCCTCTCTCCTCTTAATATGGGATTTTTGTCATTTTCTGCCCTTGAATATTAGAGCTCCTGATTTCCAGGCTTTCAGATTCTGGGACTTATACCAGTGTCTGCCTTCCCTTCCTTCTTCTCAGGCCTTCAGCCTCAGACTGTATTATACCACCAGATTTCCTGGTTCTTCAGCTTGCAGATGGTATATTGTGGGAATTCTCAGCCTCTGTAAACATGTGAAACAGTTCTTATAAAAAATCTCCATATATATATGTGTGCGTGTGTGTGTGTGTGTGTGTGTGTGTGTCTCCTACTGGTTCTGCTCCTTTAGAAAACCTTGACTAATACAACAATTTATCTGTTTCTTGTTCTCATTTTCACATTAGTTTCATGAACCCACAAGACTATAATTTTCATAATCAAGAGAGGAGAGTCACTCATACATTCGGTCTTTTCAAGAATCATCAGCAAGTTACAAAGGCAGACCTTACACAGAATATGTTTATGAAACTTTAAAACCACATTTTCATGAAAGATGAAGTTTGCTTGCTTGGGAGTTTTAGCAATAAACTTATTAAGCCTCATAACTGAGAAGAATGAGATCATTTGATATATACATTAAAATTTGTGGCAATATAAATAAAACACAGTCTGCATTTATATAATTAATTAATTTCTCCTTGTTTTATGTTTGACTGAAGGCAGATAGCATAATTTAGATAAAATCATGACTTTAGGTGCAAAGCAAATTGTGAGAGATTGCTCAGTAAACTTTTCAACTCAATGGCTCAATGACAATAGTGACAGGTTTTGCAATTAGTTTAGGCTCTTTGTTTCTTGAGGCCACTGTAAAACCTACAGTCATGTGTTCACTTTCCAACAAAATTGGTACACATCATAAAAATTGTAGTTGAGTTAATTGGTGCATTGGCTGACAGATTCAACAAAGAGGCCAAGCCCTGAGCCATCCAGTTATTGTTTAAACCGCTCTGTTGTAACTATATTGGCTAGGATCATTGAGAAGGCTCTGCTTCCCCAAGGCTTATATAAGGCAAAAATTGAAAACTTTGGTATCTAGGGAAGTCAATCTGACACTTTTCATAAGCATCAAACACAAATTACAAAAACACAGACATGTTCTATATAAAGATATTTTTAAAATATTAAGTAATGATGTTATGTTGCTCAAAAGTGTGTAGCAATAAAACTTTCTGCTAACTGATGAAAAGATGTCACAGATAACATAAAATTTATCTATTTTTAAAAATTAAACATTCCTTTATGAATTTCATAACAGTTTAATGCTTTAATGTTCAAGTAATTTGGCATTTCTTCCATATTTGACCTCCAAGTCCTTCTCATTCACTTAGTGGAAATAAACTTAGAACTCATTTCAGAAAGTTGCCTATTTTAAGTACTCTTGCAAAACAAGGATTCCTGGTGTGTTTATTTACAAAGTACTTTTCAAAGAACAACAAATGCCTTAGAATAATTATTCTTAAACCTGCATATTTCCCCTTTAGGAGAGCATAATTACAGCTAAAGAAAAATAACCTCCTCACCGATTTTCAAAATCACCTATTGTAAATGAAAGAGAATATTTCTCAACATGTACTCAGGACATTAAACATTAAAAAAATGAAAGCACCTTTGAAAAAAATATATTATTATATATCAACCCAAACTGTCAAAGTTTTCAAAAAACAGATAATTCCAAGAAACAATATATTTTTCAATTTCTAGACATTGACCATTGGTAGTAAAAAGGCATTTAAAACATTATCTTATTCCCTGAACATAGTAAAATAGTAAGCCATTGAGCATAGCATTAAACAAATTCTAATGTTACATCTAAGCTCTTGTAGAATAATTTTATTCTCTCCCTGATATATTAGATTGATTCACACCTATATATAGCTTTGTGGAGACACTAGCATTTTCAGCTTTTCTGGGAGATTTGGATCTGTCACGTATGGTAACTAGAGGTGGATTTACAGTGAAACCAATGAAGCTTAAGCTTCAGCACCTTCACCTTGCAGTATCTTTACATGGGATGTGAGTAATGTGTTCAATGGTCATATGTACTTGAAATTTTGCAAAGTCTGAATATTTTTACTGCATTGAGTCAGGGCCATTGTGTGTTTCCCCTTCAACTTTCCTTCTGCTATATATCCCTTTATGTTGGGTGGCCCTGGAGGGCCAACTTTGTGAAATCTGGTTAAAGAAAAGTTGAGGTGGAGATACATTTAATTTTACAATTATCTCTTCACTTATCTAAATAAATATATGAACTTATTCTTAAGTGTATTTCTATAATTTGCATTATTTTATTAAAGAGGTTCCCCAACTTGCCAGTGCTTTGGATCCCAAATCCTGGGCACACCCCTGACAGAAACCCTAATGGTAACCCTAAGGACGATTTAAATTCATTAGGCTCCTTGCAGTTTTTCCTGTGATCTGGTTTTATTTCCAGCCTCTATGGACTATTTATTTTCTGCTACTAGTGAACTGAATTTCATGTGACCACAGAAGTCTTCATACACTGAATACTGACCCATTCAAATACTTTCTCCATTGGACATATAGGGTGCACTTCTAAAGAAGAAAATCTTGTCTTTTATAAAACACTACTGTTCATATCCCTCGCATAAAGTTCAAATTCCTAACTATAACTTGTAAGAGAATGGATTTTTTTCTCTCTTTCCTGTGCAATCACACTTCCTCATCTACCCAACCATAACACTCTATGCTCCAGGGGTAGAGGAGATGATCTTCCCTTAGCAATTTCTTCCTACAGAAATAAGCCCTCAGGTTTGGACATAATTTTCAAACTTCATGGCATTTCTAACCCATTTAAGGTAGGGTTGGATTGGATAGGGAATCTGATGACATGGGAATCTGATGACATGGGAATCTGATACCAAATACAATTACTTGGATTTGGGGAATGGCTCCTGGTCGGATTCTGCTGGGTTTCTGAAATGAGAAGTGACATAGTGAAAAAGCAGGCCAGGCATGATGTTTCACACGTGTAATCCTAGCACTTTGGGAGGCCAAGGTAGGTGGATTGCCTGAGTCCAGGAGTTCCAGACCAGCCTGGGCAACATGGCAAAACCCTGTCTCTACAAAAAATACAAAAATTAGCTAGGCATGGTGGCACGTACCTGTAGTCTCAGCTACTCAGGAGGCTGAAGCGAGCAGATCATTTGGGGCAGGGAAGTCAAGACTACAGTAGCTGTGATTGTGCCACTGCACTCCAGCCTAGATGACAGAGCGAGACCCTCAGGGAAAAAAAAGAAAAAAAAAGCTAGGCTTGGAAAGCAATGTTTCCACACTAAAGTAAAGGAAAATAGAGCAAAAACAGACAGAATCAGCTCAAACTGGCTGGGCTATGACAGTCCCTCATGGGGTGGGGCCGGCCTCCCTCCCTACTTTGGATTATGTTAGACACTCCTGAATCCTTATCATACATCCCTCTTTCTTAGTTAGACATAAGTAGGTTTCCTTTTGCTCATGATAAAATGATCCCCTCAGAACTGAATTACACCGGGTTCCCATTACACTCTGTGATCACTTGCCTCCACACCTCTGTCTATTCCTCTACTTACAATTGGTGAATGGGATACTCCCCATCACCTTCAGTGACGATCTCCACATCTACCAAAATAACCCCTTCCTAATCATGCCTCTGGACTTGTCTTCAAGAATATCTATCCTGGCAAGCCTTTTCCAAACAGTCTAGATCGAGACAAATATGACACCCTCTATTTTCTTGTTTACTATTCTGCGTAGAGAGTAAGCAATGTGAGGATACAAACTTATTCTGTTTACAGTCTTATTTGTAACACTTACATAGTGTTTGGTCCATAGTGGATGCCCCATATTTGTTAAGAAAGAAAAGAAAAGTGAGAAGACAAAAAGGAGAAGAAAAAAAGGAAGAAAAGAAAGAAAATAAAATAAACGAAGCAGTTCAGTAACTTGTAAAAGTCATGTAAGTAAATGGCCAAGCTGAGGTTTGAATTCAGCTCTATCTGAAACCACAAATAGGTTATCTTTTATACACTAACCTGCTCCACTCTATACCGTAAGATATAGCACATAGAAGGTAATACATAAGTGTTAATTGACCTTTACCTATACTATTTTGCTAGTCTGTTTAAATAATGTAGATCTGTGTAAGAATCACCTAACTTTTATTCATTTCCTCATTCATTTACTGTAAATATACTTTGTATTAGGCACTAAAGAAGTGTAGGAAATATGAAAATATGTAGCCTATTATAGTAAAAATAAAAGAAATTACATAATAAAGCATGCACATCTTTAGTTTATTATATTATCAGATTTTTATTTGATTATTAAAAGGCAAATGTCAATTGCTTCCTGAGAGGCCTTCTTGTATCTATAATACACATATTCAGTTGTAAATATTTTCCATATATACTAAAAAGAAAAACCTACTAAACAGTCATTGTCATAGTGTCACTTGGAAAAATTATCAGTGCAGAAAATAAGCTCTAAAGAGTGTGGGATTGGCTGCCAATTCCCTATTGCAGTAGCAACAATGCAAAAGAGTATATTCATTTTTATAGATACTCTTTAATAAAACAGTAAGAAAATTATGTGAGATCTACAAGTGTTAATACTAAATCAATCAATAAATAAATGCTGAGAACCTACTTTTTTTTCAGTCCTTTGTTTGTTTTGTTATATAGCCTATCCCTTATCTCCAAAACACCTTCAAGGTATTAGAAATCCTTGGAAACAGACTCTGAGATGGAGATTTGAGTGCAAGAGTTTTACTGGGGAGAACTAGAAAATATTCTCTGTATGGGCATGAGAGAACCAAGATTCATTACAGGTACAAGTTAGGTGCAATTTGTTTTAACAAATGTATCAATTAATCCCACAGAGAGCTTTAAACCTAGAGTGGTCATGTAAATCAATATTATGTACTATAGGTGGTACGTGCAATATTGATTGAGAGAATAATAAAAACTAGGTCTTTATCTAACCTGCATCATTGGATAGAAGTTGCCCCAGTAAAACTGCATAACCTGGGGCAAGGCAACAGCCTTCCACAGAGGGCAAATCTGGAGAGGACAGAGTCCACACTTCTAGCTGCTTGAGAAAAAAGCTCCTCAGTCCAGAAGTTAAAGCTGAGCATCACAAAACAGCATACACTACAGCCAGTTATTTGGTGATCGATTTGCAGTAATAAAACAAACAACAGTTGATCTAAAAAATAATATTTTTGTACTTTTATCTTTAGGAAAGAACTGATGGTACAGAGGCACAATTTCTCACACAAAAAGAAATGAAGAATTGTTAATTAGAGTAAAATCTTTTCTGTTGAGGATAACTAAATAATTTGATGTGCAGTTATCTAAAAAATTGTATTGACTTTTTAATTCAGTCTGGTTATATGACTTATTAAAGTATCAGTGAATGCTATGTTAAAGTATACACATATCCATATATGTATTTTTGAAATACTGCAAAAGGTTTTCTGCATGTTGAAGTTTCAGGGAGAGAACATACTTGTCTGGGAGATTACAGACTTTTGTTTATTCTTTTTTTCTTGTGATCAAGGCTTACCATTCACCCCTTAACCAATGGACATCAATTCTAATGAACTAATCAGTACAATAACACATTACCCTAATTTAAAAACACTGATTTTTAATCACTTAAATTAGATGAATTTGCCTAATAAACAACTTGATTTTAAACCTGCCAGCCAGGATTGTGTAACAACAGTATCTAATTCACTCCAAATGCAAGGATAATTTTCGGCAAAAAGTCTTCGATTGTGTTACTCTCAATTAGTTGCCTCTGTCTACAGAACTGAGGAGGCATCAGTAACATCTAAGAAAGTAAATCTCAGTGTGAGAATCATTTGCCAGATCACTTTCTTCTCAAATTCCATTCAACAATTACATTTGTCTGCAAAGCCCCAAAATGTGCATGTTAACTAAATATATAAAAGAAAAAAGATGAAGGTCATGAATTACAAACATTTTATATATACATAGTGATGAGTGAACCCTGCTTTTGGTAATGTAAAATTTTGATAACTGCATCATTTCTCCTAATTGTGTGGTTTATATCTTGTCTATAAAAATATAAAAGCTGCTAACTTTCCCTTATACTCTAGTATGCAAAATATACTGCACAGATGGATTTTAGATTCTTTTTTGCCAGTGGAGCTTCAGTAAGGATCAAAGACAAAGGAAGTTGCACAGTTAAACATGAATCCATTCTTCCTGTTTGCTTCTTGGCAAATATTAAAAACCAACATGTTATTTTTGGAAAAAGGCTTCTTAATTAACATTTTTTTGCCTTAAAATTTTTGTCAAGTTTTATAATATAATATATCTTAAGGTCTAGCTCATGTGTAGAAATATGTACTTGGGGAAAAATAGGGTATTTTTAGATTTCCAAAACTTGGTGGGGTGCCTGGGTTTCAGTAGGTGTTTATTGAAGGTGATAGAAATTAGCTAAGTGATAACAGAGGCCAACTAATTGAGTTTCTGTGTACCAAGTTAATTTTAGTGTTTATACTTATGAACACTATAATGTGATACTCACCCTTGAAAAACCGTATGTGGAAGTAACTTATTTCATTAACTATGTTTATATAAAATAATACTTGTTTGAATAATTTCTATATACAGCATGGATATTTAATTGCTTAAGTAGCATTAAATGTGATGGGACATGCATATTATTAAAATGTTCTAGAGGACGTAAATTACCTTACAAACTTAAATTTCTAGCTATATTACTTGGCATATGTTTCTGGCATCTTTAAACACACTGATAACTAGCATGGCTGCTTGAATCCTGGAACAGAGCTCTAAAAATAGTTGACATTTTGCTGTTTCTATAGTAACAAAGAAAATGGCTTCATACTCTAGCACTGCTCCCACAGAGCTTAATGCTCTCTGTAGATTGCCTATACACTATACTACCAGGTTATTGTGGTAAAAACTACCATTACTCTTTTCTTCATGTCTTTGCTGTGCCTTATAACAATATGATCACTCGTGTAAAAATCTGAGTGTTTACCTGACATGGTCAAAGCATTCCAGTTATTTTTTTTTTTAACTGACTTTTACCCCAAAAAATGCTAAGACCAAGTTAAGCTTTTACATGGTATGATTTGAACTGTACTGGAAGGTTTCAAATATTTGTCTACCTCAATATCTAATATTTTACCAGTGGAAAATGATTCTTTTGGATTAAAGAATTATCCCTCTTTTGTTCAATGAATGGATCACCACTGACTGTTTGGGAACCCCTAGTAAGTCCTGTAATTTAGGATATATTTCTTTGTAACGTTAATACCAATTCCAGTGTACTTTTTTCCTCCACTGAATTATTAACTTCATCAAAGTGGGGAATTTTCTGTCTTGTCTCCTAAGGAGTCTTCAATGTTGTGGATAGAGAAAGTACCTAATAAATGTTTTGCCGATTGATTGAGAGGTTAAATACAAATATATTTGCTCTGGAAGTGGGAAATTAATTTCAATATGGCATTTGCACTTGTTAAGGTTAATTAAATTCTAATATATATCTCTTTATCCCCTGACAACTCAATGGGAGTAGTACCTCAGTTGGTGAGTGCGGTAGGGAGAATAAAGTCTCCTCAAAGAGGCCCACGCCCAAATTGTCAGAACCTGCTAACATGTTAGGTTACATGCAAAGAGGAATTAAGATACAGATAAAATTCAATTTGTTACTCAGGTGACCTGAAATTAGAGAGATTATGTTGGATTATGCTGTTGGGCTCAATATCATCACAAGAATCCTCAAAAGTGACAGAGGGAGACAGAAGAGTTTCCTTGGGAGAGCTAAGGAGAAGTGGTTGGCAGGACGGTGCTGCCTTTGAAGGTGGAAGAAGGAACCACAGGACAAGAAGAGCAGATGGTCTCTAAAAGCTGGAAAAGGCAAGGACACAGACTGTCTCCTATAGTCTTCAGAAGAGATATGGCTCTGATTTTAGCCCAGTAAAACCATTTTGAATTTCCAGCCTATAGAACTGCAAGAGAATGAATTTGTGTTGTGCTAAGCTACTGAGGTTGTGGTATTTTGTTCCAGCGACTGTAGGAAACAAAAAAGAATTTTATATGATAGAAAATGGACCTATTAATAGAGGATTAGATAACTTTGTTTATTGGAAGCCTTCGAGTAATAAAATGATTTGAGAAGAGAAAACATACTGCCTCTAGAAAAGTCAAACTCTAGTTTAAAAATAAAATGAAAGTAAATACATCTTTATAAATTTTCATTATTCCATATTTTAGATATTCATTTGTTGCATATTTTTATTGGAAAAAATCCAAGTAGAATAGTTTTTATTGCTATATTTGAATAACAAATGGATTAAACAAATGCAAGATGAATAAATGAGAAGCTAAATCACCCATTTCATTTACTGTTAGAATATGATCCAATGTATTTTGTCCTGTTGATTCACCCTTTATTTTAGGGATTATTTCTGTGTGATGATGTACCACAATTCACCTACTCTGCTGCCTTAAAAAATATGGTTTTATTTCTAACTTTGTGAATAATATTCTATAAATATATACGATATATAAAAGATTTTTAGTCTTTAAAAATTCACCGATATTTAATATCTCATCTTCCACACATCAATACTAGAATAATCACTCCATTTATATAATACAACATGTTCCACATTATTAAAACATGGGCATTTCATTTTATTTTTAAAGCTAACTTAACCTTTAATACTGTTACACTTCCTGAGATCCTTGAATAGCTTCTCACTTTGGAAAATGTGATGGTGATGCATTTGTTCAACACCATATATTAAATACTATTTGCAACTCATATGGATCAAAATTTTAAAGAGATAATGTTCTGTTTCTATGGCTTGTGCTTCATAAAATGAGCAGTTGTGTGATATCAAAATATCATTCTGGCCAAATTTTACTGATTCCAAAACTGCTGTGCTTCAGTTACATTCATTTACAATTTTCCTATCCAGATTTGCTCACTTAAAACACTTATTACATGTCTATAAGAGGACAGGTATCAGGAAAATTTTGCAGTGTAGACATTCATATAAATAGATTATTTCTAATTGAAAATAAATAGTTTGCCAAAAATCATGCACATAATACCAGGAGAATATAAAAAATAGAACCTCATCTGACCTGAGTAGAATAAGAAACATTTAATTTTACCTAATTTGAGTCTTGAATTATAATAGGTTATGTAGACAAATAGGAGTAGGGGGAAGGCAAAGGTTTTCTAAAAAAGAAAATAGCATGAACAACAACATTCAAAAGAGAAATACGTCACTTCATTGAGAATATGTAATTGGATATATATTTTTTCAACTGGAAAAATAAATAATTTGGAGAGTACATAAGACTAGTGAGTTAGGCAAATGAACCTGACAGAGAGTATTGTATGTTATGCAAAGGAATCCAGATTTGCTTTGTAAAATTGAGGGCAACATTAAAAGACTTTAAGCAGAGCATTGACATTGTCCAAATTGCATTTTAGCAAGATTATTCTGGCAGGATTGCAGAGCATGCAAATGAAGCAGAACCATGTTGGAAGTAGGAACATAGTTTAGATAATAATGCAAGAATTTGGGAAGATAATAGTCTGAAGTAAGGAAAGGTAATGGGAGTGTTGTATAATTTTTTAAAAAATGTGACTGGCCTTTTCCCTGATTTCTGGGAGGAAGCTTCCAAACCCTTGGCATTTCACATATGCTGGGAGCATCTTTGTTGTTGAGTAGTCTCCTCAGACTATACCTGAGTTTATGCTAAGGAGGAGACGCATGGTGAACCCCTAGATAATTTATGCTAATAAGATGTCTTAGGATGGCTGCTTGTCACATCAGAAAAGCCAAACTTGTGATTGGAGCATTGGAACTTTGAGCCACATGATATCTGCCTGAAAGCTTTCGGGGGGAGAGAGGAGACCTGGAGATTGAATTCAGTGCATGACCAATGATTCAATCCATCATGCCAATGTAATGAAGCCCTAATAAAAGCTCTAGACATCACAGGTTGGGTGAGCTTCCCTTGTTGACAGTACTATGTACACACTGTTACTTACTGATGTGACAAAAGAGTGATGCATGTTGACTTTCTATGGGGAACTCCTCATTTAGGACCCTCGTAGTCCTCATCCTATGTATTTCTTCTTTGGCTAGTCCTGATTTGTCATAGTAAAACTGTAATCATAAGTATAGCACTTTTCTGACTTTTATGAGTTGTTTCAAAAGAATAACGGAAACTGAGAGGCTAGTGGGAACTCCCAAATTTGTTGTCAGGTTGTTGAAAGTGACGGTGCCCTGGAAACCCCAAGGAATGAGGCTGGTATTTGAAGTGAAGGCAGTGTTATTGGAGCACTGTGTCCTTAACTCATGAAGTTTGACCCAACACTGGGTGGTTATTATCAGAATTTCATTGCAGGCAGAAAGAGAGAAGGGAGAAGAAAACTTGGGTATTTCAGATATAAAAGAAACTGAACTTGATGACTGGTAAAGTTCCAAACAAAATAAATTACAATTATACCCTACGTTAGGTTATGGTATAAATTATACCATATAAAAATGTCAGATTTTATATAAATTGGAGTTAGATTATCACCTAAAAATATTTAAGCAGATTTACTATCATGAATGTCTGGTGGAACTCTTTAAAGTTGGCCAGGCTGCATTTTCTGTTACATAGAACCATCTCACAGACCGTAGGTCATCTAGCATAATGGACTCTCCCCACTAAACCTGCTCCTAAACTCACTTGATAACCGAAAATGCCCCAACAAATTTCCAAAATGTACTGAGAACCACTGACTGACATAGAGTGAGAAAGAAATAAAACAAATAAAAAACTATGTAGACAAAGGTGAAAATGCTGAGGGAAAGCAAATTCAAGCATGCAGAGAAAAAGCAGGCAAGGCACGGGCCCAAGAATGAACAGTAAAAGTCATAGAAGAATAAAGAGAATATGATATCATGGAAGCCAAGGGATTTTGTTTAATAAATAGCAAACAATAATTCAGACTGTTTTTGAGAGATATATAAAGGACTATTGGTGTCTTTCACATAGTAAGATAGTTTTTACTAACAAGCAGCAGGAAACTTTTCTGACTATTGATCACCTTGCTCTCTGTTTTTCAGAACTGTGAAGTTTTGGCTAAATAATATCCAAATATTTGTGTTCAAGTGAGAAACTCTCTCTGGAAATTTACAAATCCAGATATCTAAAATTAAATGTTTGGTGCAGATAGTGCAAAACACCCAGTATGTCCTTATATCTACTTTGTAACTTATAGGAATAACAAAGTCCATTTTTTCCTATACTACTGTCACTTAACAATCAACACAGAAGACTTCCATAGTAAAATGCGTGGGGGTCTTTCCTCACACATCAAGGAAGCAAGCAATTCTGCAGCAGACGCCAGCTGTGTGTCCTTCAATTCAATTCCAACACTATCTATTTGGAGAGAGCATCAAATCCCACCAGTTGAGTGCTCAGTGTCACAAGATTGTTCCATACTTTCAATGCCAAACACAAGTCTCAAGTTGTTTTACCTATGCTTCTGATCCACCAGCTAGCTGTAAATCAGGGTTCCCATCACCCCATTTATGGGTTTGATTAATTTGCTAGCAGATCATATAACTCAGGGAAACATTTATATGTATTATACGATATATTTTATATATATGTATGTGCATATATATATGTGTGTGTGTATATATATATTTTTTTTGAGATGAAATCTCACTCTGTTACCCAGGCTGGAGTGCATTGGTGTGATCTCTGCTCACTGCAACCTCCTCTTCTTGGGTTCAAGCAATTCTCCTCCTTCAGCCTCCGTAGCTGCTATTACAGGTGCTCGCCACCACCTCTGGCTAATTTTTTTTTTCTTTTTGTATTTTTAGTAGAGATAGTGTTTCAGCATGTTGGACAGGCTGGTCTCGAACTCTTGACCTCAGATGATCTGCCTGCTTTGGCCTCCCAATGTGATGGGATTACAGGTGTGAGCCACCATGCCCAGCCAGGAAACACTTATATTTACTGATTTTCTACATAAGATATTACAAAGAATATTCAATGAGTAACTGATGGAAGAGATGAATAGGGCAAGTTATGTGGGAAGGGATGGGAAGCTTCCATGACCTCGCCTGGTGCACCACCTTCCAGGAATGTCTGTATATTCAGCTATCTGCAAGCTCCATGAACGCAGTCCTTTTGGGTTTTTCTGCAGGCTTCATTATGCAGGCATGATTGATTACATCATTGTCCACTGGTGATCAACTTAACCTTTAGCCTTGCCTCCCTCCTTCCATATTTGGGAGTGGGGCTGAAAGTTCTAACCCTCTGCTCCTTCCTTGGTGTTTTGAGTGATCATCATTGTGAAGCTATCTAGGGGCTGCCAGCTAGGAATCAACTAATTAGCATACAAAAAGACACCTGTGATTTGGATAGTCCAAAGATGGTAGGTGTTGTATGCCAGGAAACTTGATGAAGACCAAAAATATATTTCACAATATCAAATCATATATATATATGAATATCAGCATATATTATGATTTATGTAAATAACTAGAAAAAATGTATAATTTGGCAATAATATTTTTCACTCTGAATCCAGATGTTTGGTTTGTGTTTACATAGGACATAAAATATATTTCCAACTTATTACAAACCAAAGATAAATATTCTACATCTCTAGTAAATAAGTAAGTATAAATTTTGTGATTTAATTTTGTTACCTCTGAATTCAGAAAAGTCTGTGGTTTTTTCCCTGCTACTAATATAAGGTGATATCTCAGCATTTTTTTGTGACTTTTATCAACTTTAATTTACCTGTTTATTTTTATTTCAGTATAATTAGGTGAAGAATCAAAAGGAAGCATAAAGTTTTCCCTATTAATTGAAATTGAAGAAGATATGGCTTAGACATTAATTTGAGATGATTCTGGAAAGTCATTTACGTTTTATGACTGCTAGGCAGTGCTTACTTAGAAAACTAGATTAAAAAAATTTCAATTGTGTATTTTTAAATCATGGTGCTAAATAATATTGCTACATATGTGCACATATTGCAGAAAAATGATGCATTTCTTATAAGAATTATTGTCTATGTATTTCCTAATTGTGTTTCATTCTGTTGTATATTATTTGGAGAATAAATCACTGTTCAGATAGCATTTGCTATTTGATATGGTTTGGCTTTGTGTTCCCACCCAAGACTGACCTTGAACTGTAATCCCATAATCCCCACATGTCATGGGATGGACTTGGTGAGAGGTAATTGAATCATGGGGGCTGTTTCCCCCATGCTATTCTCATGATAGTGAGTTCTCACAAGATCTGATGGTTTTATATGTGTCTGGCATTTCCTTGCTAGCATTCATTCTCTCTCCTTCAGTCCTGTGAAGAGGTGACTTCTGCTATGATGGTGAGTTTCCTGAGACCTCCCCATCCATGAAGAAGTGTGAATCAATTAAACCTCTTTTCTTTATAAATTACCCAGTCTTGGGTATTTCTTCATAGCAGTGTGAGAATGGACTAATACACTATTGTAATTGCACAGATTTATCAATAAATCATTCTACCAAAAATAAAAAAAGAAACAATTAAATGAATTTATGAAATTAACAGATATATTAAATTGATTTACATGAACCATTACCTCATTTGAAATTAATTAAATTTAGGTATATTGATTTATTTTTGTCCTGTGGACTTTATAATGAATTAGATGATATTTATCTACTCCATATCAGTCTTCTGTATGGTTGGTTTCAATGTAACTTTAATAATTTTAATTCAACTTACTAATATCTCTTTCATTTTAAGTTTTCATGTAGTAATATGCTAATATCTTATGCTATAACTCACTCTTCAAATAGAATACATACTATACTACAGGGTGGTTTTTCTGTTTGCTTTTGTAGATATAATTTTTCAGTCTATAAATGAGTTTAAATTTTACTAAGTACATCTTTAATCTTTAATATAGTAGACCAGAAAATACATAATTGAGTACTTTTTGTACATCACGATTTTTTTTTATTAGTTATCTCTTCTTATTTTCTACCTGATACATCCTTCAAGGATTCTAGCAAGACAAAAAAAGAATGCATTCAATGAACTCCAGTGTGAGTGTAATTTACTTGTAGATTATTTTAAGAACCTTCAGATGATCATCTAAAATATGTTCCTCTGAACAGACACAACATTATTTTTTTTTGTTTTACTAGAGCTAGTAAAGTTTGCCTCCAGCCTGGGCAACATAGCGGGACCCCAGTTCCATAATTAAAACAACAATAACAACAACAAACAAGCTGGGCATGGTGGTGCCTGCCTGTAGTTCTAGATACTAAGAGGATGAGGTGCAAAGTCCTCTTGAGCCCAGGAGTTTGAGGTTACAATAAGCTATAACCCTGCCACTGCCACTGCACTCCAGGCTGGACAACAGAACAATGCCCTGTTTCTAAAAAAAATAATAATAATACAATAATAAATTAAAATATTTGCTTTATCAGCACAACAACCAAAAATGAGAACAAACACAAAAACACCAAACACATTCATACACAGACACAAGCTCAGAGAGAGGGAGAGGGAGGAGGAAAGTCAGTGGGTGTAGAACACATTGCAAAAAGAGAAGAGTGCTTCCTATTTTCTTCCTGTAAATCTGTTGAATAGTTATGGCTTAGTTCTTGCCTGGTCTTTATGCAAATAATTACGTGGCATAATTTTACTTTCCTTGATAGGTGAGTATTTCTTCTAACCCTGGATATATTTTTCCATAATGGGAAATTTTATATATATATTTTTTTTCCTTAATAGGAAATTACTGGGTTTCTAAGAGTAAAACACAGATTTTACACCATTGAAACTCAAATTTTGTATCAGGAGATATCTTTTGAAGACAAAAATGGACTTACTGCCAGAGTAGGAGCGATAATGAAAGCCCCTCACTTCATTGGTTAAAGCAAGCGGGAAGCTCAAACGCTTCATCTGTGCAACTATCCCCTTTGATACCAATTCTTTTTTTTTTAACTTATCCACAGGCATATTTGCAATATATAATGCACTGGGGACATCAAGATGAAACAGGACTGGTCCTTGTTCTCAAGGAGCTGACACTTGGAGGTGTTTCTCATTATGCCCAGCTAATGTCTTCTAGGCTTCTTAATTTCTGCCATGATTGCTATATTCAACACCAGATACTGTATTTGTTCTGAGGGACTTCTCAGACACACCCTCCTCTACCATCACCCATGGGCCTGGTTATCTTTCTAAGCTCCAGCATAGATTTCTTCTCAGATTATTTGGCATTAGCACCTTCATCACTCATTAAGTCTAACATCTGAATCCAGGCCTAATAAGGATACTACTTCCTGTGCTGGCCAGATCAAAAAATAATATACTCACTTTTTACTTAGTTTTTAAAATCAGTTTTGGATAACTATTTCTGATGGTAGAATAGAACAAAATTCTCACAGTCATTGGGTATTTGAAGAGTAAATACAGACTTTGTTGGGTCAGTCTTTAAGCTAATTTAAGACAAAAAGTTTATCTCCACAATTCTACCTGAGTTTTTTTGTAACTGACAGCTTTCTCCCATTTTTTACTTTTCAGAAAAAGGGTTCCATCAGCTTTCAAAATAATTTTCAGAGGGTTTCAGAGAGGCTAGAGGAAGTACACTTGCAATGGATCTCATCACTTCCCAACTGATGGGGTGAGAATGAAGCATTAACTGTGAGCTGAACGCCACGGTCTCAAGTGGCCAATGTGAACATCTTCCTCATAATAGTTGCCAGTTTCAGTGACCACATAAACTGTATCCTGCAGCCTTCAAAATATGCCCACTACATTTTCTGACATTCCTTTTTCACACCAAACTAAAACCACAGATCATCTCTATTCCATAACCCAAAACCTTATTTTCATTGCAGTAAATGATATGGAAGAATTTGAAGGTTATTGCATCTTAAGACTTCTGGCTTGAATGGAGAATGAAAACACTAAAAATAAGTACTGGACATAGTTCAGAACAATTGACTCAAGAATTTCAATTTGTTTTCAGGTCTCTAGACTACAATAAAATATATTATTCTAGGCAGATTTCTCAATTAGGTAAAAGTATACATTATTAATAACAAATCACATGATATGAATTCAGTTTTACTCACTTGAAATATTTAATGCAGTGGCCTTACATCTGTTTGTTTTTTTAATATAAAAAGCTAGAGGACAGAATATTTTTAAAAAATTATTCAAAATTTTAATGGATATATAGATTAGGGAAAACATAGCATAGCCCCTAAAAATAGAAATAAGTTATAATTTCAGTTCTTTCATAGAAATTAGATAATTCAAGCAGAATTATACTCATGAGTGAGAATAATACATATAATTTGTCTTATACATGGCAAAACTAAAAAGAATAAGGTTTGAGGCAGTAGATAGGTCATTGGAGAATGTCACTTGTTTTTATCCTAAGTTTCAAGCTTTATAACTAAAATTTAAGGTTTTTTTTCCGTTAGGGGAATAAGAATTTTACTTAAGATTTAAATTAAATAAATTTCAAGGCACTTTATTTCTGTTTCATTTGACCAGATACTATGTTGATCTTGAAATTTTTGCATAGTAATTTTCACACCAAAAGTTAAAAAGCTTATTAGTTTTGCCCAAATAATAGACAAGCAGTACCGATTTTAGCACCTTTCTGAAATATGTGAAAAAGAGTCATAAATGTCCTCAAGTATCAGATCTTAATTTTCTAACTCCCCCGACCTTACCATTGTAGGATAATGGGTGTGGAATATGTTATTACTTTAACAGGTTATGTCTCTATGTTATATGTTTTGGAAAATTGTTTAATGAATGTTCAGGGTAAGAACTAAGCATCTGTAGTGCTATCCAGTGACTCCTAGTCAAATGTTGCTTGAAAAAATAATAAAAATAAATCATTATCATCATCTTAGCAGAGAAGGATAACTACTATAGAAAAATAAATACACCATTTTAATGGCAAACATAATACAATTTGATTTATCATTTGATAATAGTCCATTTTCTGGTTAGGCAGGTCTTCTTCACATGTAGAATCTTTTTGCTCCTTCAGTTACTATCTGTCAAATGGTACCTTATGTACCTTCCATCTTTCGGGGTTTGTCAAGTTCTGGAACTTTTGTTTCCAGCCCCTGACAAGAAAAGAAAGAATGAATATTGCATATTTGTTTTGTTTGGTTGTCTGTGTATTTGAATCAGGTCTAGATGGTGTGTATTACTTCTACCTTTATTACACTGAAACTCAGTTCTATGGCTGCAGCTAACCACAAAGGAAACTGTGGGACACAATCTAACTGGGTTCCCTTAGAACATGGTAAAACAATTAAAATCCAGCCAATCCTTGACACTATAGATTAATCTGGTCACCAAATATCCACGTCACTTCTCCTCTATACATTGGACATATTCACTTCATTCTTAAGTGAACTAACTCAAAATTCCATCCAATAATCCCATTCAATAACTAGTTTATGTTGTCCACGTGATGAGCAGCTCTTCCTATGTAATCTAGATGTTGCTTGTGGTATGAACTGAAAAGTCATGTTATTTAGAATTAAATTCACATCTCATGCTCAATATATAACGATAAAGCACGAATGTAATTCAATACAATTTGCTCATCAAGAGCAGAATGGAAGACCCAGAGCAGTCACTGCTTCAAAGCAGTTATTAAAATCTTCTCAGCATCTCTTACAAAAACTTCTTAATCTGAAATTAGGAAAAGGTTTTGTACACCCTGATTTTGTTCTCTGATAAAACTCCCTTTGACAATATTTTTCATGGTTTCTTCCTCTGCCTTTTAGAAAGTGTGTCTTTTTCTATTATTCTCCATGGCCCTATCTAGAGTGGATGATCGGGAGTATGTCCTCTTTGGGGAAACATAGCTATGGCAGCTCTTTTGCAGTTTGTGTCAGAGGCTCATGAAATACCCTTGGGTTATTTCAGTAGAGAGTTTAAAGACTCAGCAAACAGCCATATACTCCTTTTAGACAAGGCTTGCAGTTTCTTTGGCAATACAATTTCCTCAAAAACTTAGGAAAATTTTTATCTATTTGCTTCCAGACAGTTCCATGTGCCAGTAAACACGATGTTTTACCTAAAATTATTTCCCAAGCTTGACTGTTTCCTTTATTTTCTCTACTCACCTTCTTTCTGATTAATGACAGCCATCTTGAGGCTACATAGAACAAGGGTCTTGAGTAATATTCTTAATTAGATTTTTCCTGCTAAACTGAGTCACTT
The DNA here is from genome assembly GCF_000001405.40 of Homo sapiens. Lineage (NCBI taxonomy): Eukaryota > Metazoa > Chordata > Mammalia > Primates > Hominidae > Homo > Homo sapiens. The sequence goes on along the minus strand of NC_000001.11, from coordinate 192,069,428 downwards.
GGCTTCATTTAAAAGCTTTCTTGAACTTTTGCTGCTCAAGCCTTTTATCCCCTTTTGTTAAAAAATTCTGTCTTTGTATTTTGGGTTTTATCTCTAATTATTTATGGCCCAGAAAAGTTAGCTTTTTAAAACTTCTAATGCCATTGATTGGTGAACTTTCTCTTTTCCCACCCGTCTCTCCCTAAAAGTCAGTCACTTTTTTCGTCAGCATCTCACATTTTTGTAATGACTTCCAAAAAGCAACTTTTAATAGCCAGTGGATACCACTCTGACTCTTTCAAGGCACTATCTTAAAATTATAGGCTCAGTAAGTATGCTTTCTTCATTTTAAGTAATCACAGGTGAATTTTTACTAAACGTTTTGCTAGCCAGGCTTCCAGCCTGCTTTTTCTAGTTCTTTCGCCTCCTGCCGCCCAACCACTAAACCCATGGTGCGTAATCGATTTCATTTTTGTTTTTATTACAAGTAACACCATCCTTCTAGGTAGAAACTTCTCCATTTGCAGTGGCAAGCCTCTGTTGTAACAAACAACTCCAAAATTTTAGTAGTTTAAACGAACTAATGTTCCTTGGTTATTCACACAAGAGTCTTACATATTTGTTATTTATTGGGTGACCCTCATGAAAAGTTTGCCTCCAAGTCAGTGATTGAGGGACCCAGCTGCCTTCAAATATTGTCACTGTCACACTCTGAGGTCTTAGTATCGATTGCCTCCAGCTTGGCAAATAAGGAAAGAGAGAAAGTGGAAAATCCTGCTGCTCTTTTTAATGATCCAGGTCTATAGGTGATGTTCATGACTTCTACCTCTATCTCACTGGGTTGTAAGAGAAAAGAAGTGGTCAAATGTAACTCCAAAATTCTTGGCCTGAACAATTGAGGAAACTGTGGTTACCCTTTAATAAAATAAAAACTGCTAGCTGAGATGGAGTGGGTTTGGAGAGTAAGGATTCAAGTGTTCAATTTGCACATGTTACTTGTGAGATATTTAAAAGGAATTTAAATGGAGATGTTAATTAGATAGTTGTGTGTGCAAGTTTGGATTTGAGGGGTGATTTCAGTGTTGGTGATATACATTTAGGAGACATCAAGAGATAGAAGGCATGTAAAGCTAGAGGACCGGGTGAATTCACTCTGGCATTGTTTGCAGGTGGAGAAAATATGAAGGCCAAAAACAGAACTTTTGCATCCTCTAACATTTAGAAAGATGTTGGGAGAATCCAGCAAGGAAATCTAGGAAGTTGTTAGTGAATTAGAAAAAAAAAAACTGGAAGATTAGCAAGTCCTGAATTTTAAGTGAAGAAAATGTTTCAAGAAAGAAGTCAATGCTCTATTATGTCAGATAAGAAAAGGGCCAATAAGAGACTACTGAATTTGGTTAAATGAAGACCCCTAGTAACCTTAACAGGAGTGCCTTTTGAACAATGAAGACAAAACCTGGATCTAATTTGGTTTTAGAAAAAATGCAACAGAGAAAGGGTCATTTGCTGGAAGAGGAGAGGGTGAGCTACCTTAAGGAGTGAAGTATGGTAGCATATTTGTAAATGATGCAGTAGAGAGAGAGAAACTGAAAAGACAATAGAAAAAAGGTAATAATTAGAAGGAAAAATGGAATGAAATTTTTGTACATACAAGGAGGGTTTGCTTTAGAAAAAGAGTGCATCTTTTTTTTTTTTCAGGGAAAAAGATGAGTGTGGATTTCTGGTGAGTAAAGACTTTTTTTCTGAATTTTTTTTAACAAAAAGAAGGAAGTAGGGTAACCAATTTATAGTGAGGAGTAGGAATTTGAGATGAGAAGGAAAGGAGAAAGCATTCTTCTTAGAAAAGGGTACACCGTTCACAGTAGTGACTCAGGGATTTGCAGGCTTCAGCAGACGCATGAAGGTCAATGGGGCATCAGGAAAGGTGCAGGCCTGGGTGGTGGATGAATCTCAGCTGGATGCTCCCCACAAGGTGGGAGGGTGCTTAGCCTGCAGTGCTGGTTTAAGCAAAAGCTTAGTTTTTTCTCAAGCTCGGACAGCTTCAGGGTACAAGCTGCTGCAGCTCAGTCTTGAATTTTACAGATACAATTTAAGCAAAGGCTGAACAATAGAGAAAGGAGTCTTTCTTTATACCAGGCTTTTAGAAATGAAGCTACTTTTTAACTTCAAGGCAGCTGATCCCCACATGCCCTATGGAGCAGTGCTTCCTAAACCAGCTTTGCTATAAAAGTGGTTTATAAAATTTTTATGTTTTTAACATCAAATTAATCTTGGACAAATACTTCTATAAAATAAATCAAATTACTAATTTAAAAGTTGAATAAAATGTATACAAAATACAAGTCTCAATGTTTTTGTCGTTGGATGTAATAGACATAGCCAAATATACTCAGTAAATCTAATAAGAACAAATATAAAACAATGAAAAATAATTATAAATTTAAACACATGATTCATTGAAAATATTTTATACATGAATAATATAGAGAATAACTCCTATAGTCAAAACTATGTTATTCCTCAATTGGTAGTTAGTAAAATTATACGTGAAATAGGCATTATTCATATTAAGCACCTAAAGATACTATTGGAAAAAATCTATGTATATTAATATTTAAAAGTTTTACAGTGACAAACATTTTTCTTTGGCTTGTTAACTTACATAATGTAGGATAGATGGATACTATTTACAGGAGATAATGATATATAAACTTGTTTTATGTTGTTTTTCTTTCTCTTTTCTTTTCCTTGCTTTCAACATTCAGCGCAGCCACAAGCCTCCTGTACGTATGTTAGAAGAAATGGAAGAAGAGATTTTGAAGCAATTTCAGGCTGAGAACAGTGGCTTATGCCTGTAATCCCTGTGCTTTTGGAGGCCGAGGTGGGAGGATTGCTTGAGTCTAGGAGTTGGAGACTAGCTTGAGTAATACAGTGAGACCTCATCTCAAAAAAAAAAAAAAAAAAAAAAAAATTGGCTGGGCGTGGTGGTGTGTGCTTGTAGTCCCAGCTCCTCGATAAGCTGAGGTGGGAGGATGACCTCAGCCCAAGTGTTCGAGACTACAGTGAGCCATGATTGCATCACTGCACTCCAGCCTGGTAGAAGAGTGGAAGAGTGAGTCCCTGTCTCAATTTAAAAAAAAAAAAAAAAAAAAAAAAAAAGGAGTTTCAGTAAGCTTGGGATATTCATTTTAACTTTTAATCAAAAAGAAGCAAATGATACTGAATTTTAAAATTTATCTCTAATCTTTTCCTAGTAGCCAGCTCTATCAATTTATCCTGAAAAAATATAGTTGTATTTAAATTATATTCTGGTGGAAGAATGAATACTGGATCAATTAATTTCTTATTCATGTATCTTCATTTGATAGAAAATAAAATTTAAAATATGCTATCAAATTTTCAAGGTGCTAGGTGATAGATTTTCACAGATTTGCAATATCAAAATTATCACCTACTTCATGGATAATTGTTGTTTATAGAATATGGCAATAATAATCAGTAGAAACTCTGTTCTTTCAAGCTTCTAACATGCATTTACCCTTTGTAATAAATGCTTTTGGTACCACATCCAGACCTCCTCCCTCAGATTCCCTCGCTGCTGTGTTTGCTTCAACAGCTCACAGTTTTATCCTGTGTGCCAATTCACTCCAGAGCACCTCATCAGGTCAAGCTAAGTCTAGACTTCAGCTAAATGCCTGACTTTGCCTAGCTTCCTCCCCAAATATATTCTGCTTTTCTAATTCCCTTATAGCTTTCACTAGAGAGCTATAAATCAGCAATAAATCACTGGAGAAAAAAACAAACAAACAAACAAAAAACTACATCCCAGGCTCTGCTTTTAGGGAACTTGACCTAAGAACTGGTGACAAGAGCTGTCATTATTCTATATGTTTAAACTTTACAAGAAGTCAGCAATGTTCAATAGCTTAGAAAGAAGATATGCAAAATTAGATTTTTCTCCCAGAAATAGTTATTGCATATTGGCAAAATTAAAATTCTGCTAGGAATTTTCTCCTAGTTGAATATAAGTTTATAAGTATGATAGTCTGAAAATATCCTGGAGGGGATTGATCTGATATTTTATTCTCCCAAGCCTCTTTTTCCCAGAGACTGCCGAGCCTCTGCTGCGGTCTTTGGCAATGCTAAGTATGAGATTATAGGAAGAGAATTTTGCCTGAGGAACTGCTTTTGGGAAAAGGGTTGGCTTGCTTTTAAGTTTGGTAAGTGTGAGACTGATTCTAACTTAATTTTGCATATGTTATCATTTTAGGTGTTCTTTTAAAGTTTTGTTGACAAATATAATCGTATATATTTATGCAGTAAAATATGATGCTTGGATACATGCAAAGCTGACTGATTAAAATATCCATCACTTTACATACTCGTCATTTCTTTGTGGTGAGAACATTTAAAATTCACTTCTTTAGCAATTTTGAAATATAAAATATATTATTGTTAACCATAATCATCTTGCACAATTAGATCACCAGTACTTTTTCCTCTTGTCTAACTGAAATTTGTATCCCTTGATCAACATTTCCCCTTTTCCTGCTCACCCTCCCCTTTCACCCCTCAGCCTTTGGTAATTTTTAAATTCCACATATAAGTGACATCATGTGATATTTCTCTTTCTGTGCCTGGCTCATTTCACTTAACACAATGTCCTCTAGATTCATCCATGTTATCTCAAATAACAGAATTTATTTCTTTTAAAAGGCTGAATAATACTCCTTTGTGTATACATACCATGTTTTTAATGTTCATTCACCTGTCGATAGACAGGTTGCTTCCAAATCTTGGCTATTATGAATAATGCTGCAATGAACATGAGAGTGCAGAAATCTCTTCAACATACTGATTTCAATTCCCTTGGATATATACCCAGAGGTAGGATTGCTAAATCATATGGTAATTCTGTTTCTAGCTTCTTGAGGAGCCTCCATACAGGTTTCCATGATGGCTGTACTAATTTTCAATTTCACCAACAGCACACAAGTGTTCCCTTTTCTCCACATCTTTGCCTGCACTTATCATTCATCTCTTCAATAATAACCATTCTAACAGGAGTCAGGTGATATCTCATTATGGTTTTAATTTGCATTTCCCTGATTATTAGGGATTATTAGGAATGTTGAGCATTTTTTTTTCATATTTCCATTGACCTTTCGAATGTCTTCTGCTGAGGGATTTTCATTCAAGTCCTTTGCCCATTTTTGAAATTTGGTTATTTGTTTCCTTTTTATTGAGTTGTTTGAGTTTCTTGTATATTCTGGATTTGTGCCCATTACTAGTGAGGGCATCAGAAACTTGACATGAAATTATTTCAATTTGTGAAGCCATAAAATTTTATAATAAATTTCATTCCAGTGAGAGACAAGCCTAACAAGTCCATACAAGCATTAACAGCCTTCTGGCTAAGACTGAACAAAGTATGAAGGTGAAGAGGATGTTTTCTTGCCTCAATTTCATTGGATTTTAACTAATGGGAAAAAATGATTTTCCTAATCATTTTAAACTTAAACTTACAAAGGTATTTGATCTATAGATAATTTTTTCTCTACCTCCAGAACAGAGTGAAGTCTATGGAGAAATTAGGAGTGTTAGACATAACGAAATTTGATGTTGGTGGTAGGCTTATATGTAAATTTTGGCCATCTCTATCAAGGTGATATTTTATTTTTGAAGTATTTTAATTTGTCATTTGATTTCATTACAGAATTTCTGCTAGACTATCTTGGGCTGCATAGAATATAAGAATATGAGATAAGTAATAAAACAGTAAATTGGAAATTTGTCTTTTTAAAAATAAAACAAATTCTGTTTTGACCTAGTTCAGAGACTTCTGTGGCTAAATATGATCTGTTCATCAACAGTCTTAGAAGAATCCTCAAAGAAAAAGTCCTTGGCATTGGAGGACCTGATCATAATATGGGTGCCGGACTTTCCAACGAGATGGCTTAATCTCCATCCACAGGTGCTGGGGCTATAGACTATAGGTCTAGATGGATAGATGTATTGGGTAAAGAGAACCAAAACTTGTTTTCCAGAATCTGCAACCATACTAACTTTTTATTTTGCTTTACAAAGTTTTATGGTGATATTCTTACATAGCATTAGGTAATTGTAACACTCCCATGTCAGGGGCCTGCCTGGTGATGTATCAGACATCAAATTTCAAGGATACACAACAGCAATTTAGGCTACTTTAGAAAAAATCTTTTTAAGTCATTGTGAAATATAAACAATAATGATAAACAAAATATTATTTAAAACTCTAGAGATAAGAAGCAGATATTCAAGGGAACAAAAATCAGAAGGACAACTTAAACGACAGTGTGAAATAAAATTACCTTCAATTTTTACACATTGATTCAGAATGTTTATCTCTGAGAGACTTTTTGAAAACTTATTATAGCAGAAAAACATTCCATTAAGAAGAGAAATACTTTTGGCATGAAACTATAGTATATTGACAGCAAGTAAAGTATATAATAAAATGTACTTCTTACTAACCAAATAATCCAGTTGATATACATTTATAATATAAAATATGAATCTAATATTGGATAAGAGCAACATTCTGGTAGTATATTTGAGAGAGACGTAAAAGAGAATTAAAAACATGTTAAACTAGACTGTGCAAAGATACAGGTACTGATTGATAAGAACTTAACATAATCTAGGAGACTATATAAGGAAAACTATTTATTACTATATAAAAATTCATATTAAATACAAATTAGAATATCTCACAGATTTTATGATATTGCTATAGAGTTTGGGAGACCAAAAAATCATGTTAGCTGGGAAATTCTTTTAAAACATGGATCACAATCACCTGTAAGGCTTAGTAAAACACATATGACCAAACACCAACCCCAGAGCTTCTAATTTATTAAGTTTGGAGTGGGGTTTACGTATTGCATTCCTAACCATTTTCACAATAATGTTGATACACAGGTCCAGGATTTACATGTTTAGAAGTTCTACTCTACATTATTGACCATCAGGGAAAAACAAATTAAAACCGTAATGAAATACTATTTTCACTGACTAGAATGGCTAAAATTAAAAAGACTGATAGCAGCGAATTTTGGTGGCAATAAAGAGCAACTTGGACACTTGGTAAACCCCTTTGGAAAGCTATTTGATAACTTTTTGTATAGTTAAACATTCACCCTTTATATAGTTAAATATATAAACATTTAACGAGTTAATAAACACTCACCTAGGAGTCACCTATGCTCAACAATTTCAATCCTTTTTATTTTCCCCTAGAGAATGGAAACATATGACCCCAGCCAGAATGACTTGTTGAAGACTGTTTATACAAGCTTTATAAATAATAGCCCCAAACTAGAAACTATTCAAATATTTATCTCTCATGCCAACCCCTATTATCTTCAATAGGGATAGCACCCTGTTTGAAGGCCAAGGAAGAGACCTGGAGCCAGCAAACAAAACATATGGTCTATTGAAAGGACTTACAGGTAAGGTGGTCCAGTGGTTGCAGTCTGGGCAGGAGAATCACTACTGTTTATAAAAAGCATGTAGTTCATGTAGCATTTTCACTTAGCACCCTCCCTCTAGCAACCTCCACCTGGAAAACTTTAACAGATGTTTCTCATAGATAAGGAATTAGTCTCAGGTTTGGCCACTCCCAGATTCCTTAGCTCAGAACTCCAAACGTGCATTCCTTTTAGAAGATAGAGTCATTCCCAGCGTATGCTTAAGTTATTTATGTCAGGTGCATCTGCCATACAGGGTCATTCTCAGGATATGCCTAAGTTGCTGCTGTCAGGTGTGTCTGCCATACACCATCAACAAGAGAATAAGTAAATTAATCATGGTATATCATATAATGGAACATTACTTAGTTATAGAAAAAATGAACTGATACACACAGCAATAAGGGTGGTTCTTAAAAATATGACAGCAAGTGAAAGAAGCTGGATGTCATAGAGTATACATTTCATGGTTCCTGTTACGTGGTACTCAAGAACAAGTAATATTAATCTATTATTATAAAAATAAAATAGTTTCCCATGGAGCATGTTGACTAAATGGAAGGTGGTACAGAGTGATGAAACCTGATATTTTGGAAATATGCTATATATTGGTTTAGTTGGTAGTAACCACTATATATATTTATCAAATCTCTTTGAACTGTGCAATTAAGATTTGTGCTTTCACTATATATATTTTTATTTTATAAATAAACATCAAATTTATTTGTATACCAATAGAGGATGAGTAGAGCTGAAGTACTAGAAAAAAGCCTGATGATATCCTAAGGAGCTAACAAGCTACATCACTGGTCAACAGTTCCTCATTAAGTACTCTACATTTGATAATGTGCATACTACCACACTTGTGCCTAGTTGAGAAAACTTGAAACACGTGTGGCAACCAGGAAGGAAAAAAGGATATAATTTCAGGAACTCCGCAAATTGGATTGCTAAGAAATACCCTAAAGTTCTCAGTAAGGCTTTTGGCTTTTTTTTTTTTTTTTTTTCCTGATTCAGGTTTGCTTCTTATGTATCTTCTCTGAGATAAATACTTCTTTAACCGTGGAGGCAATTTAAAATCAGCCAAGGAGCTTAAAAAGCACACAAGCAAGCCAACAAGAAAACAAACAAAATCTCACAATCCAAGACTATTCTAAGTTAATCAAAATCTATGGGGCAATGTATATGAATTTGTATCTTTTAAATGACCACCCTCTCCAGCCAAATGCACTAAACTGAAGAAAAGTTTAGCATCATGGCTTTGTATATTGATCTGGTATGAGATCTCTCTTTCCACTGCATACAGATTTGTTCTCTCTTTATGACATCTGATATTCTGCCTATTTGGAGATAATTATCTGCTTAAGTTCTTATAGCTGCTGAAGTCCTGAGCGATTCTGGCCTATTTTCCCATGGCTAATTATTGAGTCTTCTTATTTGCCAGTTTGACCCTGTGTAGGTCCAGTTCAACCTAAATCATCAGGGCTGTATTACTGACGTTTTCTTGTCTGACAACTGCTGATTCTATAGTAAACAAGCCTGAAGGTAAAGCTGACAGGAAAATCATTACTACATATTTTATCTGGACCTTTTTCTGATTATATTCACCCTTTGATTTTTTAACACCAAAATTAATGTGGAAACAAGGTGCCACGGTCCTTTTAATGAAACTGTTTGAGATATTAAAGAGAGAAATACTTTTCTGTTTCTAGCTCAAAGCATGAATCCAAATCAGCTTTAAAATCATATGCCAATGCTCATTAGGCAAAAACCATATTTGAAAGAGTCGGTTGAGTAGGAATGTGGGTTGAAGTGCCAAATCTATTCTTTTTTAATATCACTTAGGATATTTAAATGGTAACTGCTTTTAGGAGGGATATTTCATTTATAGCAGCATTGGTTCTAAGAGTTTGCCAAATCTTCCTCTTACCTGTTAGTTTTTTAAATAGGTACTTACCATTCTAGCATTCCATTACATACATAATTTTGGATATGGCCGACAAATTAATGAGAATAGCTTTCTTTGGCTGTGTTGTAACTCAGGAAGACAAATTCCGGATCACAGTGGGAAGAAAGACACCTATATTTCCTGGAAGTGGAAAGAAGCTGGCTGTCCTAAGGGAGGAGGTTTTGTTAAATACAACATATAACTGTGCCAAAGTTCAGACAGATTTCCTTTCATTCATGGCAATTCAGGCATAGGCATCTTAAAGTAATTATGTGAATTGACAAGTACTCACTCTTAATTCGATGTAAACAGTTGTTAAGATTGAATTAATACTGGGATACAATCTGCTTGGATGATTCCCCACCTGCTTAGGAATCAAAAGGCCATAAGGAGTGAAATGAAACAAGAAGTTTGTTTGGCATCTCCATGTGTCCTTTTCTTCATTGTCATTGCCACCTAACACAAATCTGATTTATTGAGGTTTTAAATCTGCATTCCCAGCACTATTTACATTGGAAAAATGTAATTTGCATGTCACCATCTGTGAAAAAAGATTATTAAACAATAAAGGATTAAGAGATAAACAGCAAAGCCTTGTAGCAATACATTGAGTCCAAAATATAAATGCTGAGACTCTAAAAGATTTGTTCAAGAGCTTCTGAATTGTTTTAGGGTGCTGACTCTGTTCTTGAAATAGAAAGAAGTATAAAAATATGCAAAATGCTTTGTTCTTAGATAACTAGCTCTAAGAGTTTAGCTTATATTTGATTAATATAATTATGTTTTAATTTTAAATATATTCTATGCAATTTTGTTTCCTCTCTCACTTTAATAGTGTAATTATTATTAAATTCAATACGTTTCATGGGAAAATTTGCATCCTCTATAATGCTTGGAAAGAAACTGTTATCTTCATTTAACATTTATCCTCAAAACTAATTTCTCTCTGGCTCATACTTATAGTTAGAATAATAATTATCAAGGTTGCCAATTGTGATTCTTTTAAATTTTTTTTCACAGTTAACAATTTGCCTGCCTAATTGTCAGTTTTTACTTTCAAGTCAACTATTTATAAAATTGAAAGAAATATTTTTGTGTTTCAGACATGTATTAGAATTTTACAGACAGTTTTAAATCATTGGTAACACCTCCAAGACATCTACCTCAGATAAACTTTCCTGAGGTCACATTTCTAGGCAAAGCAGAGTGAGGCACCTTTGAGGTACAAAAAAGTTAATTTATCACCACAGTCTGTTAGTAGAATGCTATCGGCTCTAAGCATGATCCAATTTCAGATTTTGTGAGTAAGCTTGGTAAAAGTCATTCTTTGTAATAGAAATTGATTAAAAATCAACACAAAATGAGTAAGATAAAAATACTACCACCACCACCAAACAACAAAAAGCACCTTGATAAATGATATACTTATGTAGAAAAAGTATCTTCCATTTCTCAAAAATGAGTAAAAATGTAGCTGTTGGGAGTTAGCTAGTAACTACAAAATGTCAAAACTATATTGTTGTAAGATCAGAGTTAGGCTAGAATATACAAGAAAGGAAAATGAAAGAATAAGAAGCTACCCATATATGTTATTTATCTACAGTGGGACATGCCTGCTTTTGCTAATCACACTCTACAATGTAGAATTTTTTCTGGAATACAGAAGAAAAATTAATCAAGCCAATATTCCTTTATATTTGCATTATACAACATCATGAACTCAATTCATTCTGATTTTACAGTTGCCAGAACACTTTCTGATTTGTAATATCATCTATACTAAACAAGAGGTATGCCCAGTATTAATGACAGATATAACTTTTTTCTTTCTTTTTTTTCTATTAACAACATCTTGTATTTTATAGTTTTGCTTATAAATGTTTATATTATGACTTTGGTTAATGTAAATGATTATCACCTAAGAATATAACTGAGATATTCTCTATTGTTATTTCAGAGAATTACAAGTGGAATAAAAGGCAGGCTGTTTTCAGTCCCTGATGAGTGTAAGTGTCTCAAATGCCAACTCGCAATTCTCCACCCCCAAATGTCTGTATGGGTATTAATAGCGACATAAATTGTGTTTGCCAAATGATAATCATATCAACAAATATACTAATAGGTGGCAAGTTGTTCCACCAACAGAGAGGAGAAAATATGAAGGTCATATATAATTTTCACCATAAAATATGTTAATCAAAATATACAGACTAAGACCCATCAGAGTTTGTAGGATATGATCAGAGAAGAAAGTGATTAATATGGATTTATTCCAGTAAGACCGTACTTTTTACTAGAAGAGAAATTGAAAAATATTCTAAGTGGATTATTATATAAGTTTCCTTTAAAACATGAAATAAAATTTTCAAGTAAAAAAAAGAGTCTAATAGATTAAAATAAGACAAATGTCAGCTCCCCTGGAGAAGAGAAAGATAAGCTGCAAAGTTGATCCTTTATGTGGCTATCCTTCACAGCTCGCGTTACAAATTTTGCTTTTTATATCATCTGTCTTAGGAAGACAACCAAAAATTACTAGTGTAGGCATTTTGTTTTGAGCTCTAAACTAATTTATTTTTAAAAGGTATTTGAAGTACAATCTTAATAATAACACATTTTAGCTTTTACGATATATTTTATTAAACAATATAAATAATGTCAAATGACTGTTTAAATTTAGTGTTAGGTTTGTTTTCCATAGTGATAATTTTGGACTAAAAATAATAGTCCATTCTTTTATACTTACATCATTGCAAAAAACAGCAGGCTTAACACAACACTTTTATGTTTGTGGTGTTTAATATTATTTTCAGAGGAATTGATGCATGTAACACTAATATCTGTCCAGATACTTTCATGCACATGAGCACTGAATGATGGATCATGTATAGGTTATTGCTCTCAAGATGTTAATAAAAATTATGCCTAAGTGAAGGATTAAATACACGGAACTAGAAGACAGCAACAAAAAAATTGTGTGCATAGTGGATAAATTGAGCTAGATTGCTAACTAGATTTTGAGGAGATAAGAATATAATTATGTATATGTATTAAATTGTTCTTAAGAAATGTAGCATTGAGAGATGTGGTTGGCTGAGGATAGAATATCTGGTACATCAGTGTGAGCTGGTTGACATGAGAAGGACTTGCTGTTTGAATGAAAAACCTCAAAGCTGAAGCTGAGTTTATCAACTGCCCAGAAAGAAGGTATGTATCAATGTCATACCAGTTCCTTCAAAGTGAAATCATTACCTATAATATAAAATTAACTTGGAAAGAGATTTAAAACAAGAATCTATGCCTATGTATGACTGAAAATATTACATTATCACATAAATTTTTTGTGATAGCCAGGATGTTACCACATAATATAATTAAACATATAGGTCTTTCTTTAACTACGTTTACTATTATGAGCCAAGTTAAGTATACGTTGGATATGGTAAATTCAAGTAGTATTTTAAAATATTAACCAGCAAACCATTTCTTCAAACAAAATATTTCATGGAAATACAGTATGTAAAATGAGAGAATGTAAAGGTGATCTGATTGGAGTGCTACATAAACGAGGAGTACCAACAACTCTTCTGTCTCCACCACACAACCCCTGTCATTTTAGGGAAACGTCACGTTTTCTAGTTTCTAGTTTCTAAAACTACAATGCATGTAGTTTTAAAATTATTGATTAAAAGTCAGTGACAATCTGCTATGTAAGTCTGATAACAGGTGTCTGGTCAACCAATCACATTCTAGAAATTATTGAACTTGTCATCAATAGCGAAGCAGATTTCTGACCAACAGAATTATAAAGTTCATATAATTTTAGATCAAACTCAAGTTACATAATTGATGAAGATCTTACAATCAAATATATACTTTTTCTTAGATTAGAAAAATGCTGCATACATAGTTCAATGTACTTTATACTATTTCTGCAAACTTCTAGTTGAGGGCCACTTTTCAAGTTCTAATGTTCTCAACTTACATTATTCTATAGAAAACTGATACTCAACAGCACTATTTTGGGAGGAAACACAAATATATTTTTTGAAGAATGAATTTAAGAATACATGGCACAGGGCCCGGGTGCAGTGGCTCATGCCTGTAATCCCAATAGTTTGGGAGGCTGAAGCAGGTGGATCGCCTGAGGTCAGGAGTTCGAGACCAGCCTGGCCAACATAGTGAAACCCCATCTCTACCAAAAATACAAAAAATTAGCTGGGCTTGGTGGTGGGCGCCTGTAATCCCAGCTACTCGGGAGGCTGAGGCAGGAGAATCGCTTGAAGCCGGGAGGTAGAGGTTGCAGTGAGCCGAGATGGTGCCATTGCATTCCAGCCTGGGCAATAAGAGTGAAACTCCATCTCAAACAAACACACAAACAAAAAAATTAGCAGGACATGGTGTGGGCACCTGTAATACCAGCTACTCGGGAGGCTGAGGCAGGAGAATTTCTCGATCCCGGGAGGTGGAGATTGCAGTGAACCAAGATCGCACTCCAGCCCCCACGACAGAGTTAGAGTCTGTCTCAAAAAAAAAAAAAAAAAAAAAAAAATGATGGCATGGATGTCCTCTTGGTTTTAGAATTAAGCGTTCCAATGTGATCAAAGGAAGTAATTATTCAAGGTGGAAGCTTAAAATAATATAGATAATAATAATAAAGATAAAATAATATAATATACTTGATATATAACATTATACAAGCTTGTAAATCTGTATTTATTTACATACAATAGTGAATATCTGGACATCGTAGATAATTATTTAATTAAATGTAATTTATTTATTTATCTCCAGTGTGTGCTATGCAGTATATACATGAATAAATGGAAAAATTGTTTGGCTCAATATTTTCTATGTTTGTGTAATCTAAATTACTAAGCAATTTTGGTATTTTAGGATGTCTAAGAGGCAATTCAAACTGTCTTTAAATATTTCAAAGACCTTCCAGATCCACAATGTGACTAAAAAAAAAAAAAAGAAATTTTACTTATTACCTATAGAAAGAGAGTACATCGGGGGCCGGGCATGGTGGCTCACGCCTGTAATCCCAGCATTTTGGGAGGCCGAGGCGGGTGGATCACCTGAGTTCAGCAGTCGGACACCAGCCTGGGCAACACGGTGAAACCCTGTCTCTACTAAAAACACAAAAAATTAGCCGGGCGTGGTGGCGGGCGCCTGTAGTTCCAGCTATTCGGGAGGCTGAGGCAGGGGAATCGCTTGAACCCGGGAGGCGGAGCTTGCAGTGAGCCGAGATGGCACCACTGCACTCCAGCCTGGGGACAGAGTGAGACACTAGCTCAAAAACAAACAAACAAACAAAAAAACAAAGAGGGTACATGGTACATCCTTTACATTTATTTACTAAGCTGTTTGTTTTGTTTTGTTTTCTTGGTGCATAAACTATCACTCCATGAAAACCTTGAGGTTTTTGGAGTAGAACACCATAATATTTCAAGCCACCAGTGTGTTGTTTCCTATATTGAAGCAGTAACTTACAAAACGGTGAACAAAATATTAATTTGCTAAATGATATCCAATGACCCAAAAGAATAAATATAGCTACCCAAGGATCCTAATTCCCAGGGTCTAGTTTATGCATTAATGGACTTCAACTTTTTGTACAGCTTCAGACTGGTTATCATTGCATATCCAAATTCATTTATCTCTATAAAAAGCAAGAACAACAACAACAAAAAACCCAGAAAGCAAGAATATTGAAAAGAGAAGTTTTTGTGTGTTTAAATTTGAAAACTGCTTTACTGACATTTTCATGACTATGATTATGCAAGTTTGTATTAATCTCTTAATTTTACTGTTGAATAAGCTGAGCCACAAAGAGGCTGTTACTTTTCCAAGTTTAAATAGTAAGAGTGAATTGTTAGCAAATCTGGAATTAGTTCTATGGAGTCCTCAGTCCATTACTTTGCTCACTGAATCACTTTGCATTTCTGCTTTTTGTGAGGATTGTTTTACTTTAATTAAGGAGCCTGACAATAAACACTCATTTACTCATTTTTGCTTTTTATAATGAAAAATGGTGTTGAATTGAATGCAAAAAAATCTTTACTTTGGCATTCACATTAGCTCAAAACAGCTGAACTGGATGTTTGTCAAACTTGGCAGAACTGAAGTCTGACAGAGAGTAAACTCATGCCAAGTTCCATTTGAAATTAAATGTTCTGCCAAAGTTATAAGCTACTGAAAATTGGGACTTCACATTAATCTGCCATTTCAATATACTCTACCAATGTCATAAAATTCTTATTCTAATAAGTAATGTTGATGCTGTTTTAAAATTTATACGCCAAGTTCCTTAGTACTAGACCTCCCAAGGAGAAGGACTCTCCGAAGTTTAGTCATTGGAGGCTCATTAGGTATTCAATTTATACTGCATGCTTTTTTTATTACTCTATTTGCTCATATGTAGCTTTATCTTCCCATGCATGTTTTGACACCATTCCTAAATTTAAATCTGCTTTTACTAGTGCTCTTGCTTTCATTTCATTCTCATGTGAAATGCTTTAGAAATATCTAGTTTTCACTCTTTTTAGTAACTTATATGAACTAATTTACGACATATGCCTTGCTGCCCACTAAAGGCAAAGTTTAACATAAATCTTGTACCCTTGACTACTTTCTTCTCTTTTTCTTCTCTTTACTGGAGGTAGAAACTATTTTCACCTGAAACTTCTTTTAGAAATGAAAAGGCTAATTGAAATTATGTACTGCATTGGCCAAGAACTTTAAAACCTGGATCGTGTATACTACTTCTGAATTTTTCAGAAAAGTTAGAAGTCTAACAGGTAAGGATATGTTGAAATAGTCTCACCCTAATGCCTTCACAATTAGGGTATCCTGCTGATGCTGTCAATTACTTAAGGACTTAATAGAAACTGGATGTGCTGCCCTTTTTCTGGCTTCCTCTAACCTGTGTCCTAAAGCAACTACTTGGCAGAGATCATTGATTAACCCTTTCCCTTTGACCCTCACATTCTGATCCTCCTCATTCTACTTTCTAAACATTTCTTGATTCCCTTTCCTCTTTCCTATCTCTACTGCCATTTCCATTTTCTTAATCGGAATCTCACCTTAATGACACAATAGATGGAGTCTTCCTACCTCTCCCTACACTTCCCTCCAATAAAATCTTGTCTTGCTTCCAGAGTGATCTTTTAAACAAGAAAAGTCTGATCTATATCTACCCCTTCATTAAAATCCATCCTTAGTCTCTTTCTGCCCTCAAAATAAGATCTAAACACCTAACTCTACACAGGACCTTCCACTATCTGGTTTTTGTTTTCACTCTAGATTAATCTCCTGATGCTCTTGTGTCAAGCTTTGCATTAGATCCCTGTTGCTGTTGTAGGTCCCTGCACTATGCTACAATGAAATCCCAAGCCGGAGTTATGTTGTAAACATCTTCTAAATATTCTCCTTTCTTTTTATGAATAATTCATGTACATATTTCAAGACTAAACAAAGATATGTGTCCTCAAGGATGACTCCTTATCTGTTCTTCCAGACTCTGGCAAGTGTCTTTCACCCTGTGAATATTTGTATCACTGCATTCAACACACTGTAAAAGAGTGGCTTGTACCTTGTGTGTTTCCTTCGCTAGCTGGTATAGTCTTCAGGACAGGGAGCGGCTTATCCAGCTTTGTAACTTTAGACTCCACAGTGCTTCCTACATGGCAGGTATTCAGGATGAATTTCCTAAATTCATGAATGAATGAACACATCTTTTTCCTCTGTGTGCTTCCATATGCTCATTCAGCTCTCCTTACCAGTCTTAAAAGGCAAAACTTCATATGTTTCTTCTGGATAATTAATGAAATAAATTGATTAGGAACAAATGAGCTGTATCATAGGTAATAATTATCTTAGAGCAAATTACTTGGAAGGCCCTATTCCAAGAATTTTACATACATTTTTTCACTTAATCATGGCACAGCCCCATAAAATAGGCCCCATTAATAACAACAGTTTACAAATGGGGAAAGCAAACTAGGACTTTAGAAGGTTAAGTAGCTTACCTGTGCAAAATCATATGTTTGCTAAGGAGCAGAATCCATATTTTATTCCAGTCTATTGAATTACAAAGGCTATGCTCCTAAGAACTATATTATACTGATTTTATCCTAAAATCTCCTACTGTTAGCTTCCTATGACTATGGGTGTCAACACAACTTAGCTGGAAAAATTACTAAAAATCTGTCAACAATAAACTTTTGCGATGATACAAATAACTTTTGTTTTACATATTTATAATTATTTTTACAGGGCATAGGAGAGGGGATACTGCTTAAAACCACCTCACTCACCTGACTGATTTTTGTTCATTCTTTTTTTTCCTCTGTTTTGTAGCTATAGACCTTATTTATAATCCTTTGTCCAGTTCTTTCCTAATATTTCTTTAAAGGTTAAACTCTCAAAACTCTGAAAGAGGAAACTGTTGAAAACATTAGAATGGCATCAGTTGCAGTTTTAACATTTTTTCTATTTTTATCTTTCTGAGGTTTCAGCAGCCCTTTCTTTCTCTCTTGATAGTTTGAAAGATTACTTTTTAAGCTAGTTATATCACCACAGTGCATAATAAAAAATACTGGAGGCACTTTTATGACAACAGAATCTTTTTCATTCCTTTCCAATATTAGCAGCTGAGATTGCTCCTAAGAAACGTTGGGAGAAAAGGTAAAAATGACAAAAGTGATAAACACTTGGGGAATGGGAAGATACATAGCCAATCTTGTTTACTTTTGTTGACTCACGAAGGCCTCTCAGGCTAAACTGGTTACAATAATAACATGATCCTCCTGGGATGGAATGGAGATGGGGATAAAGACGTAGGAGACTTCTTCCCCATCATGAAAATTTACAAATATAATCTCCAAAAAGGTTCCTTTTTAGCATTCTGAAAGACTGTCTGGCATGTCCTTATGGGGAGCATTCCTATAATTCAGATATGGATTTTTGATATTAATTTTCTACCCTATGCTCAGGGTACAGTTGCCAGACACCTCAAATAAAAATACAGGACATCCAGTTAAACTTTAATTTCAGATAACAGATATACTTTTTAAGTGTAAGTGTGCCCCATGTAATATTCTATGTACCATACAGTACATATACTATAAAAAGTATATCTGAAATTTCAAGTTTAACTGGATGTCCTACATTTTGTCTGGTAACCTTAGTTCGGAATCTCAGTTTATTTACATAGATTTTTCCATCAGTTTCTGTGAGAATACACAATATATAAAGAGAAAGGAAATAAAAAAGGGGCTTAAAATCTGTTCACATTTTCACAAATCAATTTGGCACGCCTGAATGAATTTGTGATAGTTGGCACGTCACCACTAGTTTTTATTTATTCATAAAATGAAAGAAAACATTAGACTTTGTATTTCTATGGTTTCCTATGAAGTTTAGTCTTTATATGTTTAAAATTCCAGACAGATAACATAGAACAGATTTCTAGTTCCACTAGAGGTACAAAATTCAACACACATACAGCATGGGCTCTACTGAGACTTCGTTTTACAAGGGGTGCTGCTAATCTCTGGTACTCCCAGCCTGGCTACCAGGAAGAAGACTTCAAAAGCTGATTGGATTTAGTCTGTTAAGGTTTTACTCGTTCAATCCTTAAAAGCTTTTTGTTTTACCTTGGGATTTTTGTATACACAACCCAGTTATCGTTTGACAATTGTACAACTAAAGATTGGCTTAGTCTCTTTGGTCATCTTAAGCAACGTTTAAGATTATGCTATGCTTTTACCTGTTGCCCATCCAATAATACGCAGTTCAATATAAAACACCACCAAGCTATAAAATAACAAAAAATATGCCCAAAATGTTTGTTTTGCCATATTTTTTGGATATATCAAATTATTTCAAATTTGTTTAAAATATTTAATTTTAGTCCCTTGATTTTGTTGGTATTTTAAGCATATACTTTGCTATCATACAATCTAGCATTGGTATTATTACACTATTAAATAACCAATAAACCACTTAGTAAGTAGTTCATAAATATAAATCAACTGCACTGGGGACAAATAATTTTTAAAAATACTCATTTATAATTAACGTAAATGGTATTAACTATCTGCAGCAATTTTAGACTATGTACTTACCTAAACTGAAAATGTATTTCCCAAAATTCCCTTCCCTTTAGGCATTGGCCACAAGATATTTTGTGCCAGATTTGAAAGGCATATTTTAAGCTCTGAAGATGTGGATGCTCATGTACCTTTGCTGATCTGCTAGCTCACTTTGACAGAATGGGACAATCATGAGACCTTCATTTCCCTCAGTTCTCATCACGTCTGCAGCTTCTTCAGGTTTTGGGCCAAGTGGAGTGTAGCTTTTTGGCAGAGTGTCACCTTTTGTAGCCATCAGGGCATCATGGTTACAGGTGGTGACAGATAGACACTGATTCCCCTCTATCCTTGTGGCTATCAGTAGCCGCCCCTTCATGGATTGTGATTTGTTTCTGCAGGTCTCAGCTACCATTTTATTTCCCAATGGCTGGTCAGGCTGACCTAGAATCACGGCAACAGACGATAACCTGCATAGATTGATCTACCTGTTCTCACCATTGCTTGAGGTCCCACTCATACAATAAATCAGTACTCTAGATTACTCCTACTGTGTTTGCTTCTCTGATGGAACACTGATACAGTCTTTATCAGATCTCTGGAGAAAATGTTTATGAGGTTTTTTAATGACATTGTCCATCCTGAGTTATCTTCTTCATACTTTGTCCTGGTCCTACATTTCTTTTTCTAAATTCCTAATCTTCCTGATGATCCATACTCTTTGTTACAGCGGCACAATCAGTAACAAATTATTGCTTTTTTTGGTCAGAATTGATAAAATAAATAACATTTTATTGTAACTTTGCTGTTTGTAGTCAGTCTGTTAAAGGAGTCACTCAGACTGCTGTTAGCTATGGCCTCTGAGGGTCTTCTGTGATCCTGCAGTTAATTTAACTTGAATTTTGTAAAGAAAACTAAAGAATGATTTGAGAATAATATAAGGCCCACATAGAATAAGCCATAAAATATTTGCTCATTAGCCAATGTATCTTCATCAAACTATAAATAATAGGTGGTCAGTCCAACAAGTAATAATTGTACCTCTTTCAGCCACTGATTTTTCCTGGAAGAACTTGTCTTCTTCTTCTTTTTCTTCTTCTTCTTCTTCTTCTTCTTCTTCTTCTTCTTCTTCTTCTTCTTCTTCTTCTTCTTCTTCTTCCTCTTCCTCTTCCTCTTCCTCTTCTTCTTCTTCTTCTCCTTCCCCTTCCCCTTCTCCTTCTCCTTCTCCTTCTCCTTCTTCTCCTCCTCCTTCTCCTTCTTCTCCTCCTCCTTCTCCTTCTCCTCCTCCTCCTCCTTCTCCTTTCTTCTTCCTCTTCTTCTTCTTCCTCTTCTTCTTCTTCTTCTTCCTCTTCCTCTTCTTCCCCTTCCCCTTCCCCTTCTCCTTCTCCTTCTTTTTTTTTTCTTACTCTCTCTGGCTATAACAATCAATAGAAAATCTGTGCTGCACCCTGTAACAGATACTGCCTGGTCAGGACATTGTTTGTGACCTGATTCTTGCCCTTGGTTAGCAGGCAACAATGACAAACGCAGAGCCCTACAAACTGTTAAGTTGTTCCCTGCTTTGACTTTGGTGTGCTTAAATCTGATTTTACTTCCTCTGCCAGTGGGAGACTCTTTTTCTGTCTAAAACTCCTCTTCAGTTTATAACAATGAGTTATTCATTACTGTTCGAATATTTATATTACAAATGTTTAATATATTTGAAATCTTAACTTTTTTTACCAGATTTTTCTTCTAAACATACACACTTCCATCCCAGACAAACTATTGTTGGCTGGCTGTGGCTTCTTATGTCACAGCAACATAAAGCAAAGAAAAGTTAGTTCTTTTACTAGCTTTGCCTATCAAAAGGAAGAGACAAGAAACTGGAGTTTCAATGGATACCAGCAAGGACAAATAAAACAAAAAAAAATGAGATGTTCCAATTTTCTCATACGTTAGAAATACTTGTTTTTTAAAATTTAGACACAACTGTGAATAAATTTGAGAACTCCAAATTAGCTCAGATGAAGTTTCTGTTATTTCTGTTAAAAGAGGATTCAAAATTTAAAGTAGACTCTTTAAACATCTGAATGATTGTCATATCACTAGTATCTTGTTGTCTTTGTTCATCACGTTCCTCCCCTTATGGATAGCTTGTTATCTGTATTCCCTGCAACTTGTGTGTCCCAATGACTCATTCTTCAATGTGCATCTTTGATTCCATCTCTGCTCCCACACCCTGTCCCTGGGCCCACCTCCCCAAAATAGGGTGACAAATTGTCTGAAATTCAGTAGAAAATTTGGGCACTTTAATTTATGGCACATGCTATAATTTTCTTTTATTTTTAGAGTCAGATGCAAGATTTTGTTTTTAATAATTAATCCAAGAGGCATTTGCTGAAACCTACTCTCTTGTCAGGAACTCCTGGCTTGTATAATCATTTCAACTGATTTAACCTGCAGAATAACATCTTTATCTACCATTTAAAACAGAAAGGATTAGAAGAAGCTTAAAAATAAAAATGGGTTAGGGAGGGTTTTAAAATGTAGAAAAAAAATAAATATTGTCTTTTTTTCATTACTAACATATAGTAAATATTTCCCAATATATTTGAAGCCCCTTGAGGGAAGAAATGTTATTTTTCATATCTTTGTGTGTCCACATTAAAAGCAGCAGTGAAGATGTAAGTGTTGTTGGGAAAGATAAATATACTTATTCTCATTCACTAATAATTGAACAGAAATTATTTCACTATTTTGCAAATGACTACAGAATTTTTGTTACTATTTAAAATAATGAGGAGATAAAATAAATATAGATTGTATAGGACGATTTCTGGCTTGAGGGCTGGGAAACCCATCCATGTTAGAGCAGCCACTCTGACAACAAGGAGCTATCATCAGGGAATTAATTACTGGCAGAGAAAAAATAAGGAGGGGATGAAGGATATGAACATGTAGTACATGCAGTCAAAAATTAACTTTTCCTATGATGAAATTTACCTGTTGTATATCAAGCTTGAATAATATAAATACCTACATTTATAGACAACTCAAAAGTAAAAATAAGCAATAAAGATAGCTGCCAGCACTTAAAGAATATATATACCTGTGGCAAATGTGTCAGATGCTTTACATACATTGCCACTGGTGCTGATACACAGTATGGTTTATGCATGCCCCACTTTATAAGTGAGGAAACTGCATTCACAGAGGTGATGTAACTCTCCTAAGGTGACATAGGTAACAACTGTCAGACCAAAGATTCTAACCAAAATTTGTCTGAGTTCAGAACACATACTTTATCTAATATCATGCTGCTGCTCAAAAACTAATTCTTCTATGTGCATATTTTACTGAATTAAAAAGGCAAAATTATTATACTCAGATTTGCTAATAAACATTTATTGAGCACCATCCTCATGTGAGGCATTGGGCTATAACCTGAGCACATAAAGATAGAAAAACAGATGTAATAACTGTCTTCAAATTTATAATTTGCTGAAAGTCATGATGCTTCTTATTAAAAACATGATTCTGTAAATTCAATTATTGTTATATTTTATGGGTTATAATCTCCTGTTCTCTAAAAGAAATTAAGTGGTTATAGAAAAATATGTAGTGAAAAGTATAGTGAATATAAAAATATCCTATATGAAATTTTAAAATGAATGTAAAATTACAGAAGGAATAACATATTTAGGCACAAAATGTATCCAAATATAAAATACAGATAATTAAACTGGCTATGGGTATTTTTATTACCTATAGATAAAGAGAACTGTTTGTACTAATACACCATATATTTTATGGAATTCTCTCCACTACCTCTTTTATTCTTTCATTGTGTTTCTCTAATAACGAATTTAAACTCTAGAGATCATTTTGTGTACTTATGTTTTTAGATATTTTTGATGCAATTACATTTCTGCAGCACTAAATTGACATATTTAACCAATCTCTCTCGGAATTAATCATGTGTATCCCACCCATTTTCTCAGTCAAAAAAAGTAAATACTTTGTTTAGCATTTTGGTAAATGCATTTAAATAAAATTGTTTACAATTTGTTTTTCTTCTTAAATGCTTATGGTGAATATCAATATTAACTAGCAGTATTTCTAATAGAGTTTTTATAATTTGGATTTAAATCCAATATTTGAATTAGTTGTATTAATTTGGAGTCACTGAAGACTGAAAATGTGATAAAATGAAAGAAATATCAAAATATTACCGAAGGAAAAAGGGAAATAATCTCCTGAGGGGATATTCTAAGGATAGAATTGTTTAAACTGTTTTATTCAATATTAACTAATCTCTTGGAATTTTTTTTTTAACAAAAGCAGTGAAGGTATTAAGAGAGTACGATGCTGAAAGTATGTTAAAATTCCTCTACAATTAGCAGAATTCTTTTTCATGTTGTCAGAGTTGAAATAATCCCTTATATGATTTCTTAAACGTTTGTCAAAATGTCAGCAGAAGCAAGGAATTTTTCCGGTAATTAGATTTCTATATAAATGTTAAACAGGGGCACAAAGCTCACTAAGACTATGCCACTGGCTGATTCCCAAGAGTATTCAGCTTGGAGAAAAACTGTAAATTATAAAAGTTACTTCAGCACTTCCATGATTTTTAACACACTCTACTGGTTGTAGGAGGAGGAAACACATGTGTCTGCCTGACAGCCCATAACGCTAAAGTGAACCAGAGCAAGAAAAGACAGGAAGACAGTTCTGATTCAGGAGTTCTTGCCTGCTATTGAGTTGTATGAGTTTCTTATAGATTTGGATATTAACTCCTTGTAAGATATATGGCTTGAAAGCATTTTCTTCCATTCCATAGGTTGCCTTTTCCTTTTATTTATTGTTTTCTTTGTTGGGTAAAAGATTTTTAGTTTAGTGTAGTCTCACTTGTCTACTTCTGCTTTTGTTGCCTGTGCTATTGGGGTCATATTCAAAAAATCATTGCATGGAGGACATTATGCTAAGTGAAATAAGCCAGACACAGAAAAATACATGCTGTATGATATCACTTATATATGGAATCTAAAAAAGTCAAACTCACAGGAGAGAGAATGGTGTTTTCCAGGAGAGGAGGCAGTGGGAGAGGTTGGGGATGGAGTTGATTGATGGGTATAAACTTTCAGTTATAAGATAAGTATGTTTTGGAGATGTAATGTACAGCATGGTCAGTATAGTTAATAATACTGTATTGTACTTGAAATTGAAATTTGCTAAGAGAGTAGATGCTAAGTGCTCTCAACACAGCAAAAAAAAAAAAGAAAAAAAGAAAGAAAACTATGTGAAGTGATGACTTTTTAAACTAACTTGATCGTAATAGTCATTTTACTATATATATACACACATATATGAAATTGTCACATCGTATACTAGCAATTAGCAATATAAACAACTTTTATTTATTATAATTCAATAACACTGGGGAAAAAAAGGTTTTTCCTGGGAGAATTACTACATAGATTTGCTGGATTCTCTGAAACAAACGACTTGATCTCTCTTTATCTTGGCTTCTTTATAGTTAAAATCATGAAAATTTGACCTTATCTTACAGAATAATTGGGAAGAATTGCTGATAGAGTAATAACAAAGTTGTCAAAAACATTGAGTGCTTAGATCACATGGAGAAATCATTTTTTACTCTCTTTATATAATAATGTTTTAACTCGCAATGTTTTGAAGCCATAATTTTAAAATTGTTGGAAAAATGACTGTTTTCTTTAGGATGCTCTCCTCTATAAGAAACTAAAAGCCAGGTGTCGTGGCTCACACCTGTAATCCCAGCACTTTGGGAGGCTGAGGTGGGTGGATCACAAGGTCAGGAGTTCAAGACCAGTCTGGCCAGCATGGCAAAACCTCATCTCTAATAAAGATACAAAGAATTAGCCGGGCATGGTGGTGTGCACCTGTAGTCTCAGCTACTTGGGAGGCTGAGGCAGAAGTATTGCTTGAACCCAGCAGGCAGAGGTTGCAGTGAGCTGAGATCATGCCACTGCCCTCCAGCTTGGGTGACAGAGTGAGACTTCGTCTCAAAATAAATAAATAGATGATAGATAGATAGATAGATAGATAGATAGATAGATAGATAGATAGATAAATAAAATGCCCAAATGGCTTAAGGCTTTATTATCTCCCTTAACAAGCTGTCTGGGGAATGCACGTTTGGTGGGTTGGTCAATTCATTGACTCAGTGATGTCCTTAAAGACGGAGTTCTTGTCATTCTTTCTTCTTTCCCAGAGCTCTGCATTCCCTCATTCCCTTTTTATCTATTTGGTCAATTCTCAGCGAATCTCTGATTAATAGAATGGGGAAACATGATTGGATTCGTGTATTTAGGATTTATTTGAGTCAAGCAGAGGTCGAGTAGTGAGACCCGGAATAACTCATATCAGCTGTAAGAAGAGAAAATGGTCATTGACTAAGCAATGAACAATGTCTGCTCCAATTTCTTTGGCTTATATTCTGTTGTTTCAGATTCAATTTAAAAAGTACTGATTTTGGTCAGGTGCGGTGGCTCATGCCTGTAATCCCAGCACTTTGGGAGGCCAAGGCAGGCGGATCACGAGGTCAGGAGATCGAGACCATCCTGGCTAACACGGTGAAACCCCATCTCTACTGAAAATAGAAAATATTGGCCGGGCGTGGTGGCAGGCGCCTGTAGTCCCAGCTACTCGGGAGGCTGAGGCAGGAGAATGGCGTGAACCCGGGAGGCGGAGCTTGCAGTGAGCCGAGATCGCGCCACTGCACTCCAGCCTGGGCGACAGAGCGAGACTCCATCTCAAAAAAAAAAAAAAAAAAAAAAAAAAAAAAAAGGACTGATTTTTACATTAACAATATTTTATACATTTTCCTGTAAGGAATACTCAGCCTGCTATGGTTTGATGCTTTTCCAAACTCTAGGAGGATGGGGTATTTTGTTGCCTGTAGACGTACTCTTTCCCTCAGAAGCTTATTATTCCATGCTCTGGTTGATTCTTCCAATGCACCCATTTTGCATCTACCATGGGGTGATGGAAATAGTTTTATGAGGAAACTCCAATCTAAACTCTCTATGCCTTACCTGACTGCCATCTTTGGTGGCTGTACAAATGTAAGAGCACATATTTTTCCCCTTTCTATCTAAAGCCTTGCCATGATTTTAAATAATTGAACATATACGCACTAATTAGTCTTACATTTGAACCTCTTAATTTTGTGACCGTTACTCAGTACAATTCTTCTGCACTCTGATTTAGCCATATATTTCCACAGTCGAACACTGCTATGAACTAAGATGTTTTCTCTATGAAATATTAAATTTAAGTGTTGTCCTCTCAAATTATAACTTCCAATTATTTTTGGTCTCTGATTTAATACCACTCCTGCATTTTCTCCAACTGTTCTCAGACTTTCTTCCCCTAAATGTTTTTTTTTTTTTTTCTGTAAATTTATCAGTCTTCTCTTGCTTTGACTTCCTACCCTATACGCTGTGGTCCCCATTCTTCAACACATTACACAATACAGTTTTCAATTGTAACATATTTCGTTTCAGAAAAGTGTGATAGAAGATCAAATGAAGTGTTTGAAACACAAAAACTGCTACATCAAACAGAAAATTCACGAAAAATGTAAAATTAAAAAGTATCTTGAAGGAGTTAAGAAAAAGAATGATGTGTAACTTCCAATAATAATAGCTTGCCCATATATTTTAAAATAGACAATCATGGATAAATCACTCTCGTATTTAGATTCCACTGGGCACTTTTAAAGAGTGATGTAACTATTTTATTTCAAAATATCACTATTTATGTACAATAAAAAATTTTATACCTTTCTAAATCGAATTAAAAGTTTTAGATGTCAATCTGAAATATATGAGATATGCATAGTTTTTCAAAATTATTTTACTGTGTACCTCAATATAAAGGTTTGAAAATGAGTAGTTTTAAAGGAATAAATTTCATAATCTTCAAATTCCAAATGTATTCTCTTCTAACAATGTAAATTTTCCTTTCCCACCTAGCTTTTCATATTTTCTCTTTCTCTACCTTATAGAGGGAAAAAGATACGTACAATTTACTCATCCAGAATCTTATTATAGTACATTTCTTAGTCATGAAAAATACTTTGGGACATCTAAAAATGGAAAATTATCTCATCAGAGGTCTTACTGCCTCTTCTTGTCTTAAACACATTGCTATTACACACAAAGCATGACTTCAGAAATAACTTGTTTTGGCACTTGTTTGGATCCTTACAGAGTATGTGGGCAGCAACAGTGATGGGAATTTTGTTTTAAGGAGCACACATCTTTCATCCACTGGCTTTCAAAAGAGGCAGAGACCTCATGGAGAAGATAGATGAGGGAAAGCAAAAGGAGTGTTTGGTTCAAAATATTAAATGAAAATAAATGGTCTTTTCTTCCACCTACTCACAGGTGTGCAATTCATTTTGTATATATTCATGCTTCTATGTTCTGTCATTAGCTGGAAAGTACTTTTTAATAGATGAAGAAGTATATGTTAGTGTAATTGACATATTTGAAGATAACTGTAATGTTTTAGGGACCACAAAAATTTTAATGTTCCAATGGAGAAAAATTGCAGATAAAAATATGAATTTTTTTGTCAGCTCAGTGTGCATTTCATAATCAGTTACTGTGTTGCATTGTGTGATGTCAACTGGGAAAAAGCAGAGAGCTAGATTTCCAAGAAATCTCTTTTCAGTTTGTTTTAAGGTTAGACACGATGCCTGGAAAGATGCCTGGAACCCCTACTTGTCCTTGCTCTCCTCTGCTCTGCCTCTTCATTGCTGTCACTGCTGACCAACAGCAGCCTGGGCCACCACAAGGAGCTTGGACTTGGCAGCTCCTGGGCAGCTACCACATGGAGGCAACTCCTGAGGTAGCTTGGGCAGAAAACCATCCCAGGTTCTTAGATTTTCTAGCAAGTCTGGACTTTATTTACGCGCATTAGTTCTTACAGAGGATTGATTAATGACAATTTCTTTGAGCTTCTGACTCTCCCCTTCTAGACCTCCACTTTCTAAGTTCGCCCCACATTCATAAAATTTTTAATTCCTATAGTAATTTCCTCATTTTGATAATACTCCTAGAACCTCTGTTTTATTTACTGAACCCTCACTGATAAATTTAACTAAGAGCCTATTTTATCAACTATGTCATGAAGACTTATTCCAGCACAAATCAATTATTTTTTTTTATATTTAATAAAATGATTAAAATTTTCTTATACTTTCTTATAGTTATCAACAAGTAAAATTATACATTAGATGTTGAATGGATTGCTTTTAGAAGTTCAAACATTTCTGCTTTATTAGTTTAGGCATAATGCATAAGAAGGTTAATAAAATTAATTAGGAATTTTATTCTTGACATTTATATTTTCTTAAAAAGTCATATACAGAAAGCAATGTTCCCAATCAAACTTTACCAAAATATTATGCCTTTTGTCATAATCTCACCATGTAAATCATTTATGATTTTAACTATATATTATATTCCTTTATTACAAATAAACAATAAGGAATAGCACATTGAATACATATTGTGATGGGGTCTTAAAATGAATTAACAATAATATAGCTATATAATTTTAATCTTGATTGATTTTAGTAAAACATCATTAAACAGGTGTTCCAATTTGTTTCTCTTCAGTTTTTATAATATTTGGTTTTAAAATAATATTCCTCCAAACATATAGTATATTGTATATTTGAAATAAATGATGAAGTTAGGCTTTTTCTAAAAAAAAAATCTGATTTAGATAATTTATTTTAAAATAGGGTTTTGTTCATATTAGACATTATACATAAAGTAAAAGAGCTGAATATGCAGCTCATAGTTGTTCAGAAAAATATATTTAAAGCACATGATAATAATAAAGCATTTTGTCAACATTTATTGTGTTGATAAAGATATATTGAAATTTAACAAAATCTTAATTCTCTCATATTATTTTGAAAGACACTAAAATATGTAAAATGCCTCTATGTGAAACTCTGTTGGTGGATTCATAGAACTAATACTGTTATATCTCATTCTAGCATTCAAAATTATTCATTTAGGGGATGTAAATTAACTGGACAAATGTCACCTTCATCATATGAAAACGAATACAATTTTACTTATTTTAAAAATTCAATATCATGTTTAGCATTTTAATAAATTTCATGATAATTAGAATACATCATCTAGAAGATTTTCATGTTTAGTCTTATAATCATAAAAACAATTTTAAAATAATTTCTATCATATTCCAATTTTGTTTCAGGAAAGTTTGATAGATCATCAATTGAAATTCATGAAGCATAAAAATTACATTAAACAGAAAATCTGTGAAAAGAGTAAAATTAAAAGTAATTTTAAGGGGTTAAAAAAAGGATGATATATAATTTCCAATAAGAATAGCGTACCCCACCAAGCGCGGTGGTAATCCCAACACTTTGAGAGGCTGAGGTGGACGGATCACTTGAGGTCAGGAGTTCGGGACCAGCCTGGCGAATATGGTGAAACCCTGTCTGTACTAAAAACACAAAAATTAGCTGGGCAAGGTGTCAGGTGCCTGTAATCCCAGCTACTCAGGAGGCTGAGGCAGGAGAATCACTTGAACCCAGGAAGTGGAGGTTGCAGTGAACTGAGACTGCACCACTGCACTGCAACCTGGGTGACAGAGCAAGAGTCCATCTCAAAAAAAAAAAAAAATAGCATATCCATGTGTTTTTAAAATAGACTATCATGAATAATTCACCCTGGTATTTAAATTTCATTAGGTACTTTTAAAAGAGTGATGCAACCATTTTATTTCAAATATCATTACTTATATACAGTGGAAATTTTTTGCTTTATTGTTTTTTAAAGTGTGATCAAAAGGTTTAAATGTTAGTATAAAAATGTATGAGATGTGCACAGCTTTTGAAAATTATTTTAGGGTATACCCAAATATAATGGTTTGAAAACAACAGAGCTATCCTTTATTTTTTCAGACTTTTCTCTCATCATTCTCCTCTTAAGTCCTCTCTAACCTAGCTATATCAAGCTTTTTGTTTTTTCAAAACAAAGTTCCTTTCCTTGTTTTGAAATACCTACTTTAGACAACTTCCTCTGTTGATTGCTCCATAAAGTTTCCATGGAGAATGTAGTGTGTACCCCACATTCGTAGTTAAGGAAGCATCATAAGCTTGTGTGAACATTGTAGAATACATGAATGCTGAGTTCTTACTGATCAGGGACCACATTTTCAGTGTCAGAACTACCTAATATCTTTTGAGTAAATCATCTTTATACTTATTTTTATATATTTCATCTTTAATATGTCTTTCAATATAGAACACAGAATGAGGGTCATGTATTCCACCTTGGCCCCTAGGATATACTTGCTAGGAGTGCATTGTTCTTCGGTGAAAAGACATTGAGGAAAACATTAAGAAACAGCCTCCTAATGGACATTAAGATGGTCTGTGTAAGGATAATGTCCTAATGGACACTCTATTAAGTGTTTCTTTTTTCCTTTTCCTTTTTTTTTCTTTTTTTTTTTTTTTGAGACGGAATCTCGCTCTGTTGCCAGGCGCCAGGCTGGAGGGCAGTGGCACAATCTCGGCTCACTGCAACCTCCGCCTCCCGGGTTCAAGAGATTCTCCTGCCTCAGCCTCCTGAGTAGCTGGGACTACAGGCGCGTGGCATCATGCCCAGCTAATTTTTGTATTTTTAGTAGAGACGCGGTTTCACCATGTTGGCGAGGATGGTCTTGATCCCTTGACCTCGTGATCTGCCCACCTTGGCCTCCCAAAGTGCTGGGATTACAGGCATGAACCACCACGCCCGGCCTCAGTGTTCTTTTTCTGTAGCATTTATTTAATAAATTGCTTTAAAGTGTTGGAATTTGGAAATAATTGTGTCTGCCCTTGGAAATGTGGTTTGAGATTTATTGCAAAGCCACTGTGAATTGTGTATCAAATCAAGATTTCCTTTTTAGCTGACAGCTGAAAATCAGAGTCCAAATTGCAGATTCCTCTAATAAACAGTATAAAGTGCTTCATAATATGCATATTTGTATATGTTGTATTTGGCTATGTTTAATCTCACTTTTTTCCTTTCTCACCTATTTTTAATTTATGCTATCTTTCTATATATTATTTCATGTTTTTAAGCTGTCTTAATTTATTTTGGGAACAAGGTGGGATTAACATTAATAGCTTAACAGTTTTATAAAATTGCTTTGATGATTTATATTTCTCATTTGCTAATATTCCCAGTGTGGGAATTTGAACCTAACTCAACTTATTTCTGCCATAAATCCTTACACTATACAGTAATGCTTATGTTATACATTAGTGCATATAAAGAACAAATAAGAGCAGAGACACATACACTCCAACTACGTATCACAATCCATAGGGATTTTACTAAGACCTTGCTGTTCAAGTTGGAATAAAACAAATATTTTTGGAGAGGAATGACATCAGAAGGCTAACATAAGGTCTCACAAAGTTTATTGTAAACATTGTCAGGAATTAATTCCCAAACTTACTCATGCACAATGGTTTCTCATTATACCCAGAAACAATTAAGTCATGAGGGCAAATTTACCTTAAAGCATATAAAAAGGTAAATGAATAAACCAAAATATTAATGAGATAAATGTATGTATTTCATACTGATTAAAAATGTACTAATTTATGAGCTTATAAAAAAGAATTTTAATAATCATGTTATATCAAAAACTATGTAAATTACATTTTCTTATATTGCCAATATCACTCTATATACATGAATTTGGCCTTTGTGCTGGGTATACTGATTTTTATTCATTTAGGCCATAACACAACCACCTGAATATTTCTGGAATATTGTTCCTTGACTAGCCTGGTTACTACCATTGACTTTACCTGTAGTGATTGAGACTGTTTAGTGACAAGTAACAGAAATCCATTGGGAACATTTGACAAAAAAAAAAAGAAGACAGGGATAGATATGTTTCTAGGTATTAAAAAGAAAATGGAACCAGGAAATACAATGCTACCTAAACCAGCTAGACTAAGATCAGAATTTCATTTCCGAATTTTGCTAAAGAAGGGGCTCATTGTCAGGGCTTGATTCAGCACAACTATGGACATAGAAGAGCCACATTGTCCAAATGATAGTTGTATGCAGGATGAAAAAAGGTAGTCATTCTTAATTAGAATGCTTAATTTAATACTGACACTAGAGTTAAAAATAGGTCTTGTTAGATTATTTATCAGAATATAATTTGAAAATCATAATCTTATTTGGGAAAACTAACCTTGTAAGAACATATGAAATTTTCATTGGAAATACATAATTATAAATATAAATAAATTCAGATGTTAACATGGTAAAACTAAGATTAACCTATAATGTCTATTAACCTATAGTGTCTAGAGTGCCTATGAGTTTACATGTGCATACACTATGCATTCTTTTAAGACTGGCACCTTTGCTCAGAACAAGCTTTTGTGATTCATCCCAGTTGTCATATGGATCAGTAGTTTGTTATTTTTATTGCTGAGTAGTAGCACAGCAGAATTTCCTTGTCCATTCTCCTATTGAGAGAGAATTTGTTTTCTTCTCATTTATTTTTATTTTTATTTAGAGGTAGAGTTTCCGTCTGTCACCCCAGCAGGAGAGCAGTGGTACAATCATAGATCACGGCTCACTGCAGCCTGGAACTCCTGGGCTCAAGCAATGCTCCTGCCTCAGCCTCCCTAATAGCTGGTACTACAGGTGTGTGCCACCACACCTGGCTTGTAGTTTTAATTTATTATAAATAAAGCTGCCATGAACATTTTTGTAAAGTCTTTATGTGGGTATATATTTTTACGTTCCTTGTGTAAATACCTAGAGATCATATGGTAATAATCTGTTTGTTAAATATATAAGAAACCTATACACATTCACAAAGTAGTTGCACTATTTTGCATTCCCACCAGCAAAGTATGAGTATTCCAGTTGGAATACATTCTCATCAACAACTCATAAGGCTTATCTTTTAAAAAAATTTTAGATAATGTGATGAGTGTCTAGTGATATCATGTCATGATTTTAATTTACATTTCTTTTACAAATAACATTCTTGAGGTTATTTTAATGCACTTACTGGCCATTCATATTTTGTTTCTGTAATATTTGAAAAATCTGTTCAAATATTTTCCCGGTTGATTTGTGAAAAGTATATATTAAGACACACTTCTGTTGACAGATATATTAGGGTGAATGTGTCTGTGACTATTATATGGCTTGTATTTTAATTTTCTAACAGCGTCTTTTAAAGACCACAGGTTTCTTATTTTGATGAAGTTCAATCAATCAATCATATTTTATATAATGATTCATGCTCCATGTGTCATATCTAAGAAATCATTATCTAAGAGTGAGGTTTTAATTTTTCCATATAGATATTTAGTTGTTCCAGCAACATTTATTGAAAAGACCATTCTTTACCATTGAATTGCCTTGGCATCTTTGCCAAAAACAACTGACTATATACATAGAGCATTTCTAGATGTCCTATCTTATTTTATTGATGCATGTATCTTTACACCAATACCATTGTCTTTATTACTATTCTTTTGTGATGAGTAGAAATCAAGTGGTAAACGGTTTCCAAATTTGTTCTTTTAAGAATTGTTTAGCTAGTCTATGAACTTTGTGTTTTCATAAAAATTTTAAAGCAAGATTGCCAATTTCTAATTCTCTCTTCCTCAAATACACTCTTGAAATTATGCTTCACATTGCATTGGATCTATATGTTAGCTTTGGGAGAGTTAACAATATTTATTCTTCTAATTCATGAACATGATGTATCTCTCCATTTATTTAAGGATTTAAAAATATTTCTCTTGACAATGTTTTATAGTTTTATTTTTATGTCTTTCACATGGTTGATTAAGTCTCTTTATGATTTGGCTATGTTTTGGGAATTAAAAAATTAATTTTTAATGTTTTATTAATAAACTATAGAAACATGAACATTTTGTATACTTTATAATTTATGACCTCTTTAAATTTAAATATTGGTTCTACTAATTTTATATGTATTCTTTAGGTTTCTTTATTAACACTGTCTTGTCATATGCAAACACTTAAAATTTTTTTTTTTCCCTTTCTGCTCTGTGTATTTGTTTTTTCTTGCTTTATTGCAATGGCTAGAACCTTTATGGCATTTATTTTTTTTTTTTAAACTCAAACCTAAGGTCCTGAATTCCAGTCTAATTGGTTTCGCTTAGACTGAAGAGAATGGTCTGGGGTGGATTTTCTAATTCTATTCCTTCACTGTGTGCAATACATCACAGCTACTTTGACATTTGAAGAGAAGTGATCAAGTTTCTCTTATCTTGCTCTTCCTTCCTTCTCATTTAAATGGCAAAACAAAATATCGTAAGAAGTATGTGGCTAATCTGTTAGGTAAGAGGGCAGGCTGATGAGGCTAATTTTTTTTAGCTGATCAAATTGCTTAGTAGTAGTACACTGAAATGTAAGGTGATATGAGGCTAGAACTTCATTTTTTCCCATTCACCATTGTTTGTCTGATGTGTTACCATTATCTATCTATTGTGTCAGAACAATGCCTAACACAAAATAGAAATTCAATATACATTTGCTGGCTAAAGTGAATGATTATAAGCGATAACTCTCAGTCTTAGCTTTGTAACGATGGAATGTCTGACAAAAATATATAGTCATTAAACATAACTTTGTAAACAAATACAAGGCACTGTTGTAGGCAAGTTAATTCTTGAAACATTTTCATAACCACATAGGTGGAAAATACTAGTTTATGTATTCTTTCTGTGCCATGCATTTTAAAGCTGAGTGAATTCTTTAAAACATGAAATGGTATGAGTATAGAAAATTGATAGAATCTCTAGACCAATTATGAAAGTTTTTCAGTGAGGCATATGCTTAGTTGATAAGATAAACTGAAAAGGCTGGGTACAAAAAGTCACACTGTTTAGGCAGAAATAGTCCCAATGATGCAGGTTCCAGGAGGCCTTTGAAGAGGAAGCCACAGAGATATGAGAAATTGAAAAGGTTAAGGATAAAAGTACTTCCCTGAGGTGGAGAATAAATAAATGTATAAAACGAAGAGCAGAAAGTCAGGAGCAATATTTCTGAACTGGGTGTTTAATCTGCTGTATTATTTGTTGTTAACATGGAGGTATGTAATAATTGTTTAATATACTCACATATAGTGTTTTATAATGACTCAAGTTATTTTGATTGTATAAATTTGTTTTAATAAGGCACTGTGTGCAAAAAAATGACATTTTTGTCAATTGTACAGACCATTTACTCATATTAAAAGATCCTGATAAAATGAACTGCCATTAAAAAATATGTACTATATTTAATGAGTCTCTTCAAAATATTGACAATTCTTTAAATCTGGTCATAGGTAAATAGGAATTGTTTACTTTTAACTTTTGTATATCTATAGACGTCTTCAAAATATTTAAAAATGGCTACCTGTAAGTCCCTCAATTGCTCATTCTACAACTATTTAGGGAAAACCTACTAAATGACAGTAATTACTCTATGAAGTTGGGATACAGCATTGTACAAAACAAAGTCCTTTCTTTCATGAAACTTAAATACTCATGAAAACAGATAATAATTACACATCAATATGAAATATAATATACATATAAGTATTAAAAAAGAGGCACGAAGCAGATAGAGCATAGAGTGATACTGGATGCTCTTTTAAATCAAATAAATTCTCTCTCATGAGATGACATCTGGCAGCAGCATAAATGATGTAAAGAAGAAAGCCATGCAAATAAAAAGCCCAGAGTATTCCAGGTAGAAGGGGTAGCAGAAGCAAAGGCCACAAAGAGAATAATGCTTCATTTGTATGAGAAATGCAAGACCAGTGCTGTTCAAGAAGAGGTAGAAAATGACAGAAGAAAGACAGCCAGGAGATGAGTTATTCAGTCTCTTTCGAATTCTGGCAATAACTTATTCTAAGTCTGACAACATACCCGGATATATTTAACCAAGTGAGTATATGATTTCAGTAGCTATCTAAAACATTAATAGACTTTATTATTTAGAGCACTACAGAATTATAAGGAAAGGAAGTGGAAAGTACAGTTCCTGTATGACCTTCACCCTACCCCATCCCCATAGATTTTCCTATTAATATCTTGCATTACTGTGGTACCTTTGATGAGTCAATGTTGATACATAATTATTAAGTCCAAAGTTTATATTAGGGCTTACTCTTTGTATTGTATATTTTATGAGTTTTGATAAATGTATTCACCATTATAGTATCATTCAGACATTATAGTTTCACTGACCTAAAAATCTCCTGTGCTCCACCTATTCATTGCTCTCAACTACTGATTCATAGTTACGCCTTGTTCAGAATGATATATAATTGGAATTATATAGCAAGTTGCTTTTTCAGACTGATTTCTTTTATTTATCAATCTGTATTTAAGATTCCTGTGTCTTTTTGTTGCTGAATAGTTTGTTTCTTTATTATTGAGTAATATTCCATCATATGAGTCTACGCAGTTTATCCAAGCACCTGCTGTAAAGCCTTATGGCTGCCTCTAAGTTTTGGCAACTGTGAATAGAGCTGCTATATTCACAAATGTATTTTATGTATACACAAGTTTACAACTCATTTGGATAAATACCAATGAGTGCAATCGCTAGATCATATAATAAGAGTTATGTTTTGTTTTTTAATAAATTGTCTTGCTATCTTCCAAAGTGGCTGTATTATTTTACATTTCCATCAGCAGTGAATGAGAGTTCTTGTTACTCCATTTTCTCACTAGCCCTTGTTGTTGTCGGAGGACTTCAACCATTGTAGTATCTCATCTTGTTTTAATTTGTAATCCTCTAATGACATATGATGTTGAACATCTTTTCCTATGTTTATCTGTATATCTTCTTTGGTGAGGTGTCTGTTCAGATATTTTGCCTGTTTCTTAAATGAGTCATTTGTTTTCTTATTGTTAAGTTTTAAAAGTTCTTTGTATATTTTGCATACAAGCAATGTATCAAATATGCATTTTGCAAATCTCCCAGACTCCTAGTATGTGGCTTGTCTTTTTATTCTCTGAAGAGTGTTTTTCACAGCAAAAGTCTATAATTTTAAGAAAATCTGACTACCAATTTTCTTTCATGGATTGTGCTTTTGGTAATATGTCTAAAAAGTCATTGCCAAGCCCAATGTCATCTACGTCTTCTCTTTTGTTATCTTCTAAGAGTTTTATTGTTTTTGCATTTTACATTTGGGCCTATGATGCATTCTGATTTAAATTTCATAAAAGATGCAATGGCTGTGTCTAAATTTACTTTTTTCTAAATAATTTTTATTAGCACTATAAGTAAAGTGTGGAAAAAGTTTATAGAGTGAGAAGAAGAGAAGCAGGGAAACCATTCTGGAGGATTTTGAGGTCATTAATTAGCAAGAAGGATAAAGCCTGAGTAGAGGGAAGTAGCGAAATTTGTAAAAACTTGTTGTATTTAAAATATTTTAAAGTTGGAGTCCATAAGCATTTAAGAGAGAATATCTATGAGATCTGGTTAGTAAAATAGGCAATAAAAACAAGATTCTAGGCCTGAGCAACTGTTTGAAATATGGGGCATTTGTCAAAATAGAGAATATTTGACAAATCATGATTTTTGTTTCTTTGGAGGAGGTGTCATAGAAATCAACATCACTTTTAATATATGATATCTGGGTTTTTATTTAGCATACAACTGGAATATCAAATACAAGATTGTTTCTATGAATTTGGAGTTCAGGAAAGGGGTGAGGGGGAAAACATAAATTTGGGAAATATCAGTATATAGGTGACAGTTAAGGCCTTCAGACTAAATGAAAATACCAAGAGAGTGATTACAGATATAAAGAAAATTATCCAAGAAATCTAGAGTATGTCAACATTTAGAGTTTAGCTGGAGTTGGTGAATCCAGTAAAAGAGGCTGAAAGGGAGCTGCTAGTTTGTTAAGGAAAAAGAGAAGGAAGAGCAAAAAGTGTGTTTTCAAGAGAAAGAGAATGCACAAGGTCGTTGAACACTGTCTGAGTGCTAATATCTGCAACTATATTTGCTTTTGTCTATTTTTATTTCTGAGAAGCTTTGCTTTGCTTTCATAGAGTTTGAAGATATATTATGAAATGCATACAAACTGATTTTTATCTTGAAGTTCTATATATAAAAAACATTGCTTTAATATTTATATATAGTTAAAAAGTACATATACTAAATATAAGGTATATAAATAATGCATATAAATAATGCATATATGTAGTATGTATATTATATAATATATAAATGAATGTATATTATATATATAGATTTTCATTTAAAATAGTATATATATTTTTTAATTTTTTTACAGGAGGAGGATACTTACAGAAATCTAATGATTTTGAGACATGCACTACCTCAAAAATTTTATTTTACGCACTATTTGGTTGATGTGTTGTGTGAAGATCTTTCATAGCATCTAATCAGGTATAATTCCTGAATGACACTGAGTTTTATAATTTTTCTCCCACCCTATTCTCACTATATATGAAATCCTTGATTCTCCATACTCCACTTGTTTTTAATATCAATACACATTTTTCTCCTAATGTATCACTCTAATTGGCAATAGCCACATGACCTAGACTAGAATATTACTTAAAATATTTTGACTGTTATAATTAAAAGGTAATTATTTTTATAATTTGTGACTGCAAGTCAATTTCACAGAGCATGTACCATGCCTTGAGATTGGGGAATAATACATTTTTGAAAATTTAAGAAAAACATCTAATTTTGTTATTAAATAAAGAATTACATTCAACCTCTTTTGGTATTGAGGTACTTCTTCATTTAGTCTCATTTTCTGATTAAATGCTTCACCTTATCTCCCCTACTTGTTGTTCTAAGTTTTCTATGTCTTCCTAAGTTTAGTTTCACTTTTTAGACTCAAACAGCTGTATTATTTGTATGAACTCTGACTTCTGGCTATCCTATGAAATCTGGGAAAAATATACTAATATTTTTGAATCTTAAGTTTCATCTTTAACTTTATTAATCAAATATTATCAAGTGTATAAATTTTATTTATCAAATTGGACACTTACTGCATGATTATCACTAATGACAATCTGGCTATACAGGTAAGTAAAATACCACAGCTATGGTTAATTATGTACAGATTACAACATGCCTAATAAAATAAGCTTGCTAAGAAAAGCAAGTAGTAACATAATAGAGGCTGATAAATACTAGTTTTTATCTTCTGACTTATTTTAGATTTATCTGTAATGAAGAGCAATTTTTAGATTCTTATATTCAAATGAAAGCATTTGAATGCTTTTATTTTTAGCATTGACTTGGTTTTCTATCTTCCCCAAATACTTAATCATCGGATTAGATCTCCAAGGTCAAAATGGAAGAAAAAATGTTATAGGTACCTAGAGATAATAGTCAAATCACCTACAAAGGGAGGCCTATCAGATTAATAGTGATCTCCTTAGGGGACAATATTCAACATTCTGAAAAAAAACAAATTCAAACCCAGAATTTTGTATATGGCCAAACTAAGCTTCATAAGTGAAGGAGAAATAAAATCATTTTCAGACAAGCAAATGTTGAGGGAATTCATTACCACCAAACCTGCCTTACAAGAGCTCCTGAAGGAAGCACTAAATATGGAAAAGAAAGATTGTTAGCAGCCACCACATAAACATACTTAAGTACATAGACCAGTGACACTATAAAGCAACCACATAAACAAGCCTGAATAATAACCAGCTAACATCATGATAACAGGATCAAATCCACAAATATCAATACTAAGCTTGACTATAAATGGGCTAAATACTCCGATTAAAAGGCACAGAATGGCAAGCTGGATAAAGAATCAAGACCCATTCGTATACTATCTTCAAGAGACCATTCTCACATGCAAGGCCCATACACATAGGCTCAAAATAAATGGATGGAGAAATAGCTACAAAGCAAATGGAAAACAGAAAGAAGCAGGGGTTGCAATCTTAATTTCAGACAAAACAGGCTGTAAACCAACGAAGCTCAAAAAAGACAAAGAAGGACATTACATAATGGTAAAAGGCTCCATTCAAGAAGACCTTACTATCCTTATTATATATGCACCCAACACAGAAGTGCCCAGATTCATAAAGCAAGTTCTCAAAGAACTTCAAAGAGACTTAGACTCCCACACAATGATAGTGGGAGACTTCAACACCCCACTGACAGTATCTAAAAAGTCATTGAGGAAGAAAGCTGACAAAAATATTCAGGACCTGAATTCAGCACTGAAATGAATGGACCTGAGAGACATCTATGGAAATTGTTTCCCCAAAACAGCATAATATGCATTCTTATCATTGTTACATGGTGCATACTCTAAAATCAACCACATAATCAGACACAAAACCATGCTCAGCAAATGCTAAAGAAAATATATCATAACAACCACTCTCTCAGACCACAGCACAATCAAGTTAGAAATAAAGACAAAGACATTCACTAAAAATTGTACAAATACATGGAAATTGAATAACCTGCTCCTGAATGACTTCTGAAAAAATAATAAAATTAAGGCAGAAATCAAGAAATCTTTGAAACTAATGAGAACAAAGTTACATCATACTAGAATTTGGGACATAGTTAAGGCAGTGTTAAGAGGGAAATTTATGGCACCTAATACCCACATCAAAAATTTAGGAAGATCTCAATATAACAACCTAACCTCACAACTAAAAGAACTAGAGAAGTAAGAGTAAACCAACATCAAAGCTAT
Organism: Homo sapiens; assembly: GCF_000001405.40. Taxonomy (NCBI): domain Eukaryota; kingdom Metazoa; phylum Chordata; class Mammalia; order Primates; family Hominidae; genus Homo; species Homo sapiens. The sequence continues at coordinate 192,028,098 of NC_000001.11, read as the reverse complement.
AAGAAGGCAAAACATAACCAAAATCAGAGCTTAACTGAAGGAGATTGAGACACACAAAAAATCGAAAGATCAACGACTCTAGGAGTTGTAGCTTTTTTTTTTTTTTTGAGAAATATAATGAAATAGACTGCTAGCTAGACTAATAAACAAGAAAAAAGAGAAGATCTAAATAAACACAATGAGAAACATCAAAGGGATATTACCACTGGCCCAAATAAATACAATAACTATTAGAGACTACTATGAATAGCTTTATGAACACAAACTAGAAAATATGGAAGAAATGGGTACATTCCTGCACACATCACCCTCCTAAGACTGAACCAAGTAGAAACTGAACTCCTGAACAGGCCAATAACAAGTTCCAAAATTAAATCAGTAATAAATAGCCTACAAACTAAAAAAACCCAGGACTAGACAGACTCATTGCCAAACAAAGAAGAGCTGGTAGCATTCCCACTGAAACTATTCCAAAAAATTGTGGAGAAGGGACTCCTTCCTAACTCATTCTGTGAGGCCAATATTATCCTGATTCCAAAGCCAACAGAGACCCAACAAAGAAAGAAAACTTTAGGCCAATATCCTTGACAAACATTGATGGAAAAATCCTCAAACAAAATACCTGAAAACCAAATCCAGCAGCACCTCAAAAGGTTAATCTACCATGATCAATTAGGCTTTACTCCTGAAATGCAAAGTTGGTTCGACATACGCCAATCAATAAGTGTGATTTATCACATAAACAGAACAACAGACAAAAATCACATGATTATCTCAATAGAAGCAGAAAAGGCTATCAATAAAATTCAACATCCCTTCATGTTAAAAACTCTCAATAAACTAGGTATTGAAGGAACACACCTCAAAATAATAACAGTCATCTATGACAAATCCACAGCCAACATTATACTGATTTTTGATCATACTGAAAAATCACAGTTTTCCCCTTGAAAACTAGCACAAGACAAGGATGCTTTATCTCACCTCACCTTTTTAACACGGTGTTGGAAGCCCTGGCCAGAGCAATCAAGCAAGAGAAAGAAATAAAGAGCATCCAAACAGAAGGAGAAGAAGTCAAGATATCTCTGCTTACAGATGACATGATCCTATACCTAGAAAACCCCATAGTCTTGGCCCAAAAGTTCCTTAAGCTGATAAATAACTTCAGCAATTGGGCATGGGGGCTTAAGGCTGTAATCCCAGCACTTTGGTAGGCCAAGTTCGGGAGTTCGAGACCAGCCTGGCTAACATGGCCAAATCCCATTTCTACTAAAAATAGAAAACGGAGCTGGGCATGGTAGCATGCTCCTGTAATCCCAGTTACTCAAGAAGTTGAGACAAAAGAATCGCTTGAACTCAGGAGGCGGAGGTTGCAGTGGGCTGAGATCATGCCACTGCACTCCAGCCTTGGCATCAGAGCGATTCTGCCTCAAGAAAAAAAAACAAAACAAAACAAAACAAAACAAAAAAAAACTTCAGCAAAGTCTCAGGATACAAAACCGACATACAAAAATCACTAGCATTCCTATACACCAACAATAGCCAAGCCAAGACCCAAATCAGGAATGCAATTCCATTCAAAATTGACACAAAATAATAAAATACCTAGCAATACAGCTAACAAAACAAGAGAAGTGATAGATCTCCAGAGGGAGAACTACAAAACGCTGCTCAAAATAAGCAAAGATGACACAAACAAATGGAAAAACATTCCATGCTCATGGATAAAAAGAAGTAATATTGTTAGAATGGCTACAGTACCCAAAGCAATTTACAGATTTAATGCTATTTCCATCAAACTACCAATGACATTCTGCATAGAACTGGAAAAAAACTATTTTAAAGTTCATATGGAACCAAATAGGAGCCTGAACAGCCAAGGAAACCCTAAGCAAGAAGAACAAAGCTGAGGACATCATGCTACCTTACTTCAAACTATTGTACAGGACATACAGTAACCAAAACAGCATGGTACTGGTACTTGCATGTAGAACAATAGAACAGAATAGAGTGGCAAGAAATAAGGCCACACACCTACAACCATTTGATCTTTTGACAAAGCTGAGAAAGAAAAAGTAACAGGAAAAGGACTCACTATTCAATAAATGGTGTTGGGATAATTGGCTAGCCATATGCAGAAGATTGAAACTGGACCCATTTCTTACACAATATATAAAAATCAACTCAAAATAGATTAAGACTTAAATGTAAAGCCAAAATTTATAAAAATTTTTGGAGGCAATCTAGGCAATACCATTCTGGACATATGAGCAGGTAGAGATGCAACAGGTAAATGAAAAAGATGCAAAAAGCAATTGTAACAAAAGCAAAAATTGAAAAATGGGATCTGATTAAACTAAAGAGATTCTCCATAGCAAAAGAATAAATCAATAGAGTAAACAGACAACCTACAGAATGGGAGAATATATTTGCAAACTATACATCTGACAAAGGTCTAATAGCATATATAAGGAACTTAAACAAATTTACAAGAAAAACACCCACCCATTAAAAAGTGGGCAAAGGACATAAAAAGACACTTATCAAAAGAATACATACATGTGTCCAACAAACATATGAAAAAAAGCTCAACATCACTGATCTTTACAGAAATGCAAATCAAAACCACAACAAGATATCACCTCACACCAGTCAGAATAAATATTATTAAATAGTCAACATAGCAGTTGCTGGTGAGGCTGTGCAGAAAAAGAAATGCATATACTGTTAGTGGGAGTGTAAGTTAGCTCAACCATTGTGGAAAACAGTGTGGCAATTCCTCAAAGACCTATAAACGTAACAACCACTCCACCCAGAAATCTCATTACTGGGTATATACCCCAAGGAATATAAATTGTTATATCACAGAGACATACGCATATGTATGTTCATTGCAGGGCTACTCATAATAGCAAAAGATAAAACATCATTGTAAGTTGCCCATCAATGGTAGACTGGATAAAGAAAATTGGGTACATATACACCATGGAATACTATGCAGCCATCAAAAATAATGAAATTGTGTCATTTGCATAAACATGGATGGAGCTGACCACCATTATTCTTAGCAAACTATTTTAGGAACAGGAAACCACATACTGTATATTTCACTCACAGGTGGGAGCTAAATGATAAAAACACATGGACACACAGAGGGGAACAGCAGACACAGCGGCCTGCTTGAGGGTGGAGAGAGGAAGGAGGGTAAAGATCAGGAAAAATAATTAATGGGTACTGGGCTTAATACCTGGGTGATGAAATAATCTGTACAACAATCCCCACAATAACACAAGTCTACCTATATAACAAATCTGCACATATACCCCTGAACTCAAAATAAAACTTAAAAAAAAAATGACTCCCTAAAAAGAGAGTATGTTCATTTCTATTTCACCAACTTTCTTCTACTAAATTTTGGTGAATTGTTAAGATGAATGACATCACATAAAGCATATATTTTGTTTTATGAAAACTTGGGCTGGAGTTCATAATTATTAAATATATGAACCAGCCAGGCATGGTAACTTATGCCTGTAATCCCAGCACTTTGAGAGGCTGAGGTGGGTGGATCACGAGGTCAAAAGATCGAGACCATCCTGGCCAATATGAGATCCTGGCCATCTCTACTAAAAAAATACAAAAATCAGCTGGGCATGGTGGTGCATGCCTGTAGTCCCAGCTACTCAGGAGGTTGAGGCAGGAGAATCGCTTGAACCTGGGAGGTGGAGGTTGCAGTGAGCTGAGATCATGCCACTGCACTCCAGCCTGGTGACAAGAGTTGGACTCCGTCTCAAATAAATAAATAAGTAAATAAATCTAAAAAATTTATGTGCATTTCTGAGCAACGATTTATTCAATGATAAAATAGTAATGATGATGATAATCACAATATGAAAAACAGTCACACCTGTTTGAGAAGGTTCCTGTGTGAATCACTTGAATGAATACACTTGAAAAGTGTTTTGCAAACACTTGAGAACAAGATGTATATTGTTGTTTGTGAACCAATGATAATTTATAGCACTAAAATATTTCTAGCATTATGTTTCAGACATATTATTTAAGCACAAATATCATAACTCAGATTTCCTTACATTTCATTCAATTCTTCCATTATAAAAGATTTATGAAATTATGCAGAATTCAAATATAGAAAACTATTATCTGGTGACTACCAACTTACTGAACCAGACAAGGTCACCTTATATTTAAGCCGAGACATGTTTTTAAACTTACTTTCTTGCTTTCTAGATGTCCATATTATTTCCATTTCCAGTTGTCTTTTTGTTAAAATGAATTATGCTGCATTTTATTATTTTTATTACTATTTATTAGAATTACTTCAGTTTGATACCACTGGAAATAAGCAATATAGCCTTCATATAATGACCTTTTTAATCATTTTCAGAACATACCCTACTTCTTAGACCTAAGTACTTTTGCTGAGGCTATTCCTTCAGGAGTAGCCAGGAATTCCTTTTTCTATTTCTTTCCTAATCAATTCCTGTGTAGCTTTTGCAGATCAATTTATACTTTACCTTTTCTTAAATGCTTTCTGTAATCCTTCTAGTTAACCGTGATGTCTTTGTCTTCTGAAATCTGTGACATTTATTTAGATACTTTTCTGTAGTATTTCTTGTATTGCTATGTAAACCTTGGATCAGTTTTTCTCATCTCTTCTCTTCAATTAAACTAAAACATTGAAAATTGTTCACAGGCTTTTCAGCATGTGTGTGTGTGTGTGTGTGTGTGTGTACGGTATGTGTGTGTGCCCAATTAAATGTAAATATATAGTACTGACTTGAATAAAATTTGCTAAAAGATAAAAACATTGAAAGTTTTTCTTTCGACAGTCATTTGGACATAACCTGGAGTCTTAGCCATACTGAGTTTAATTTTCTTTTATGACTCTCAGCTTCAGAAAAACAAAGTGGAAAAGATATACATTAATCATAATGGTGACCTTTCAACTGAGATAATGTATTAATGTTTACCCAGTAAAAACTCAGCAGAGAGTACTGTCATTTGCCAGTAATGCACACTGCTTGTTTCTACATATGTCACCAAAAGGATGTGAAAGTTGTGAATATCTGTCAGCAACTATCACTATAGGTTTTGAATTGTGTAGAATACTTTCTTTTGCTGTCATTTGATGCGCTAGTTCTATGAAGCTTTTAAAAAACAGTGTAAAAGAGGCCAATCTTGGAATGCATTTCTCAAACAAAAATGCCGGATGTTTCGTTGACTAGGGAAAAATATGAAATAGGCTCTAGGTATGTTAGGGACAAAAATTGACTAAGATAGTCATTCATTTTAGAATCAGTGATATAATGTTATATATTAATACTTAATATTTGAATGTGAAAAGTTAGGTATTAATTGATATCACAGTCATATAATTCATTGTATTTTGCTGCTTTTTTATCTTTAGTGGATGGAAAAAAGAACAATTCATAGATAAATCAACTAGACCCTACTATTAGGACATATAAAATGAGATAAAATATATAGCTTTCGACACAATCTAATGATGCAGTACATCTATTCCTTGTTAAAAGTAAATAAATCTATCAGTTATTTGAGTAACTTCTTTTGCATCATTTTCTCTATTACTGCCTTAGAGAGAGCTCTAAGCATCTTTCATATTCTTTCCTAAAATAGTCTTATAGGTGGCTTTTTACTTCCAGTCACTCACTCGAACAATCTACCTAGCATATTACTCCAGAATACTCTTTTAAATACTGAAATATGATCATTTTATTCCTTTGATAAGTATTTTTAATCATAGCCTTAATCCTAGAGAATATAGTTGAAGCTCAAAATATGCTTTATGATACAACCCTTTTCTCCTCTTCAGGCTTCTTGTCTTCATTTTCTTTTTTTCTTTCCTCCCCTCTAAGTTCAACCCATGGTAAATCACAGGCATCTGCTAAATGTGAGACACGGTTTTATATTTCTATGTCTTTGCTAAGCTTCCTTTTTTTGCCTGCCGAATCTCTCTCCCCTCACCAACCGGTGAGTACGTAGTTATAGTTCAATATTTAGTTCAAGAACCACACCTATCAAGCCTTTTTTAGTCCATCATTGTTCCCAGGTGAAAATGACTGCTTACCACTTCATGCCTCCATTGTACTAGGTACACATTTCTATCCACATAATAGTGAAATATATTTATTTACTTGTCTGTTTGTTAACCAGTTCTGCACAAGTGACCTGTTCAGAACAGGAACTATATATTATCTTTCTTGAGTGCTTAGCTCTTAACAGTCATTTCTCAATTGATAAACCTAATGGTACCAATAAAAATGAAAAACAAATTCAGCCTAAAATAATTTAAACCTGGAGCTCTCATTGGCAGGAATGAAATTCAGACAAAGGTATGATTTGGCTCACAACTCATAGTCTTTAGAAATTCTCACATGTAAGTTTAGTACCTGAAAATACTAACAGTTTTGAAAGAGAAAATAATTGTGTGCCAAGAGAATTGAAGCGATTTTTATTTTTGCTTTTTTCCTTTTCCTCCCTCACTATTATAGGACATAGAAAGTATATCAACGCATACTGTTCTAATCAGACAAAATTGTGTTCCAAGTGTTCAGGACTCTGTTAAGAATATCAGTGTAAAATGCCAGGGAAAATGTAGTTCCTGCAGTCCGTCCACACCATATAAACTGACACATTTTGAAAAGAACAATGACTAAAGAGATGATACGTACACTTTACAAAATGATTTCCATCTCATTTTTTGCTGTCAAACTCCCAAGACTTACACAGTGAAACGTTGCTCATCTGCCTACCAGCTTTGTAAAATTTATGCTGGGAATCCCTAGAAAGCCATGCCTATCTCTCATCTTCCACTTATGCTTTATTACTTTGATAAATTGTCTCTAAAACAATACTCTAACATTCTTTTGCAACATGACTTTGCTTCTAACAGAGGTAGAATCTATTCCTCTCCCTTAAACCTACACTAGTCTTGTGACTAGTTTTGATCAACAGAATGCAAATGTAACAATGCATTGATTAGAGGGTTAGGTCTTAAGAGATTTTGCAACTTCCAATTTTGGGCTACTGAAACTGTCCTAAGAACATCACGTATGAAAGTTGGTTCAGTCTACTGGTGGGAAAGAGATCATATGAAGAAAAATGAAGGCATCCTAACAGCCAGTACTAACTGCCAGACATGCAGTTGAGGCCACTGAAAACCTCTAGCCCAAGAGAACCCTTAGCTGAATGCAGGGCATGAGTAAGCCTATGTGAAACAAAAAGAAAAACCTCCTAGCCAGATACAGAATTATGATAAATAATATATTCCTGCTTTGAGATATCCTGTTACTCAGCAAATGATAGCTGAAACAGGTAACCTTGATTTCAATGCCTAAGGTAAATCAATAATTCTTCCCGTAATTTATTAATAGGAGAAGATTGTCTTTCTACTGTCTCAATGATGATTTTCAAACATTAATTTGCTGCTTCACATTACTTTTCCATGTTTTCTTCAGGCAATCAAGCCCCTTCTTTTTCCATTCTCTATTGTTATAGTAAGAAGAACTATTTTATATTTCAGTACAAAGGTATTTTTTAGCTCAGGACAAAAAAGTACATATTAAAGGGAGTATAGATGGAGAGCAGGGATGGGTATGACTTCTCTGAGACTTACTCTTAGGATGTAGAACCTTTCTTGCCTATGCTTAGACCTCCCAATTATCTCCTGTCTTTGTTTTTAACGTAAGCCTCTTTGATGCCAGAAATCCAAGTACTGCTAACCAAATTATTTATAAGTCAGATGCCATTGCCGCTCAACTTGTTCCTCTTTGCTTCCTTTTTATTATCCACTCCCTCTCCAGAAATATGGAGGTCAGGATTTGTTGGCTAGCTACAGAGCTATACTTCACAGTGTAAGTCCTGCAGTCCTCAAGACCGGGCTAATGCTCAGTAGTCAGCAGGAATCAGGCTTACTCAAGAGGCGAAGGTGGAGGATGGTGAAAGAGAATGACATTTGTTTGACTTTTCACATACATCGCCACAACACTATTTTTAAAAATTTTACAGCTGAAAACATGGAAGCAGAATAGTAACTTTCCTAGAGGTTCACTAGTAATCCTTAAATTTGAGAATCAGAACAAATGTTCTAAAGAATTATTGGGACTTTGGGCAGCACAGCAATAACTCAAGCCCTAAGTTATGTGTGACAAAGGAATTCCTTCTCTTTAACAATTATATCAGGGCTTCTGCCCGTTAGTATTTCTTTTCTGTCCATTAGTGAATATGTAATTATAGTAGATGCAATTGCATGTCTGTAATTCTTTCAGAACCAAACAATTCATTTCCAAATCTACAAACAGTGTTAACTGTAGATGACTTACAAATGACTTCCTCTGTGGACTTTGTCTTTGACCATGATAAGGGGTATCACCCAGGATCATGCCCCTTCCGCTAGGGCAGCCTCTACTTAATAAATGATCAATGATTAAGTAGAAAGGCCCAATGCCTTGCCTTCAATCAGTACAACTCTAATCGATCATCCCAACTAAAAAGTTCCCAGGACATTAGTTTCAAACTCTTCCTCTGCCCAATTGGATTGGTGCCTCTCATCTATTTTGGACAATTATCAACTTTTCCCTCCTACCATGCTGACTTTGTCCTTCTTTAGAATTCATTATCTTAGGTTGTACTCTGGCCTTTAAGTACGTGTGTGTGTGTGTGTGTGTGTGTGTGTGTGTATGTGTGTATGTGTGTGTGTTTGTGTTTTCCTCCTTTATTTTCTTATATTTCTTTGCACTGCTTTGAAAAAAAATTTTTTTTTTCAAATTTTTTTCAGTTTGATAGTTTCTTTTAGATTGTTTGTTATGGGTTTTGTTTCTTGATATTTTAATTTAAAATAGTGATTTTTTTTCCAATTTCATAAATTTTTTAATGTTTATTTTTTATTATACTTTAAGTTTTAGGGTACATGTGCACAACGTACAGGTTTGTTACATATGTATACGTGTGCCATGTTGGTGTGCTGCACCCATTAACTCGTCATTTACATTAGGTGTATCTCCTAATGCTATCCCTTCCCCCTCCCCCCACCCCACAGCAGGCCCTGGTGTGTGATGTTCCCCTTCCTGTGTCCAAGTGTTCTCATTGTTCGATTCCCACCTATGAGTGAGAACATACGGTGTTTGGTGTTTTGTCCTTGCCATAGTTTGCTGAGAATGATGGTTTCCAGCTTCATCCATATCCCTACAAAGAACGTGAACTCATCATTTTTTATGGCTGCATAGTATTCCATGGTGTATATGTGTCACATTTTCGTAATCCAGTCTATCATTATTGGACATTTGGGTTGGTTCCAAGTCTTTGCTATTGTGAGTAGTGCCGCAATAAACACACGTGTGCATGTGTCTTTATAGGAGCATGGTTTATAATCCTTTGGGTGTATACCCAGTAATGGGATGGCTGGGTCAAATGGAATTTCTAGTTCTAGATCCCTAAGGAATTGCCACACTGACTTCCACAATGGTTGAACTAGTTTACAGTCCCACCAACAGTGTAAAAGTGTTCCTATTTCTCCACATCCTCCCCAGCACCTGTTGTTTCCTGACTTTTTAACGATTGCCATTCTAACTGGTGTGAGATGATATCTCATTGTGAATTTGATTTGCATTTCTCTGATGGCCAGTGATGATGAGCATTTTTTCATGTGTCTGTTGGCTGCATAAATGTCTTCTTTTGAGAAGTGTCTGTTCTTATCCTTTGCCCACTTGTTGATGGGGTTCTTTGTTTTTTTCTTGTAAATTTGAGTTCTTTGTAGATTTTGGATATTAGCCCTTTGTCAGATGAGTAGATTACAAAAATTTTCTCCCATTTTGTAGGTTGCCTGTTCAGTCTGATGGTAGTTTCTTTTGCTGTGCAGAGGCTTTTTAGTTTAATGAGATCCCATTTGTCAATTTTGGCTTGTGTTGCCATTTCTTTTGGTGTTTTAGACATGAAGTCCTTGCCCATGCCTATGTCCTGAATGGTATTGCCTAGGTTTTCTTCTAGGGTTTTTACAGTTTTAGGTCTAACATTTAAGTCTTTAATCCATCTTGAATTAATTTTAGTATAAGGTGTAAGGAAGGGATCCAGTTTCAGCTTTCTACATATGGATAGCCAGTTTTCCCAGCACCATTTGTTAAATAGGGAATCCTTTCCCCATTTCTTGTTTTTGTCAGGTTCATCAAAGATCAGATAGTTGTAGATATGTGGCATTATTTCTGAGGGATCTGTTCTGTTCCGTTCGTCTGTATCTCTGTTTTGGTACCAATACCATGTTGTTTTGGTTACTGTAGCCTTGTAGTATAGTTTGAAGTCAGGTAGCATGATGCCTCAAGCTTTGTTCTTTTGGCTTAGTATTGACTTGGCACTGTGGGCTATTTTTTGGTTACATATGAACTTTAAAGTAGTTTTTTCCAATTCTGTGAAGAAAGTCATTGGTAGCTTGATGGGGATGGCATTGAATCTATAAATTACCTTGGGCAGTATGGCTATTTTCATGATATTGATTCTTCCTGTCCATGAGCATGGAATGTTCTTCCATTTGTTTGTGTCCCCTTTTATTTCGTTGAGCAGTGGTTTGTAGTTCTCCTTGAAGAGTTCCTTCACATCCCATGTAAGCTGGATTCCTAGGTATTTTATTCTCTTTGAAGCAATTGTGAATGGGAGTTCACTCATGATTTGGCTCTCTGTCTGTTGTTGGTGTATAAGAATGCTTGTCATTTTTGCACAATGATTTTGTATCCTGAGACTTTGCTGAAGTTGCTTATCAGCTTAAGGAGATTTTGGGCTGAGATGATGTACCTACTCCATCATACTTTTATTAACACTCTTTATTTTTAAACATGCTCCATATGTGTTGCTTCTAATGATCATATTATTTGCAGAACAGAGTGTGTAGATTTACCTTCGATTTTTTCTCCCTAACTCTGCTTTATAGTTGTTAGTTTCTTTATCGGTTGCATTTCTCATTTGTAATTTCATTTGTAATTTGTATTATTATTTTCTGTAACTATTCCTTGAGATATTATTAGTGGTCTTTAAGACCTGAAACCGAAGAGCATTTTCTTTGATTATATCAGTTGCCAAAGAAAAACTATAACTTGGGATCACTTTAAAATAAAGTGTTGGCTTTAAGTGCTAATGAACCACATTTTTAGAGTAATTTCTTGCTTCCAATTAAGTTAGTACAATTTGTGGTAAAGAATTCTCAGAAAAGATATCTGTTTTTTGTTTGTTTGTTTGTTTGTTTGTTTGTTTTGGTTTTAGTCTTGTTTTTTCCTATCTCTCCCAGAGCCAGGGTTGGGCAGGGAATTTCCCTCAGCATACTTCTGTAGATTCTGTGGAGTGGAGAGAGAGACGTTTTAATTCCTCCATTGAATGACATGTCCTTTAGGGTCTCTGTGTGCTGGACACGAACCCCAGCTCAGCTCCGTGCATTGTTTCCTGTCATTCACAGGGGAGATTTATAAATACATTTTAAATGCACGTCTTATAAGTACATTTTGCATGTTTGTTTGTTATGCCTTTTCCTCACCTAGATTACAAACTCCATGAGAAAAACGGGCCAAGTATGTTTTATATTTTAGGTAATAGGGGTCCAATATCATGGTATTCACTGAATTAAAGCAGATTTTATTTTGATACAGCTGAACTTCTCAGTGAAGACCTCTGACTTTCACCAGAACATATTTTGTTATTCTTCTTTTTGTTCCTGCAATCTTGTAAGAAACTTCTACTTAGCTATTTCAATGTAGTAAGATAAGTAGATAAGGTAATAAATATTTGACTTTTTATCACTCATAATTTTACTTACAAGAGCCAAACACCTAATTTGTCAGCCAGCCAAATATTCCATGCTCTAATTATCTATAATAATAGTTTAAATTTTCTAAGTACATCTCCTTCATTTAAAAATGAAAACCAATGCGTGTCACGTTTATTTATTTTTATTTATTTAAATTAAATTAAATTAATTTTAATTTTACTTTAAGTTCTGGGATATCTGTGCAGAATGTGCAGGTTTGTTACACAGGTAAACAATGTGCCATGGTCGTTCACTGCACCTATCAACCCATTTTTAAATGACCAAGTCATGAGGTGGAAGGGTCCTGTGCTTCCTGAAACACTGCCTTAAAGGAAAGGAGCCTACTCATTGGAAACAGGTCAATTGGATGACTGGAAAAACATACTTCTTTTTGTGCTTGGGCAATTTTTAAATTGTGATTTGTTTGTTAATCAATTTTTGAAAACTAAAGTGTATGTCTTCCATTTACAGAAATTCTTCATGCATGCTAAAATGGCAATAATAAAAATGAAGTACATTTTAATGGATAAAAGAAAACCTGTGACTATAACAAAAAACATATTCAAATAGATGTTTTATATCCCTTTCAAATCTCTAAAGTTTACCTTTTGAAATATTAATTTTATTGAAGTAATTATCCCTACAAGAGTGATCTGTGTAAAGTCTATAAAAGATGACAAAATTAATATTTAAACAACATAAGTCCATGTCCCCTGGCTCCTGAATAGGACCCAAGAAAAATGTTAGTCTTGAGGTTAATACTTTCACTTAAGATTGATGCTCTTTTTAAGAAAAATAATAAAATAATTACTAACTAGGCTGATATACTTTTCCTGTTGCTTAAGATTAATTATACACTATGTGTGGCAGTTTGAAATAGTGGTTTCTTGTAAAGTTATTTAATGTAGGAAACTGTTAAACAAGAACTATATTTTAATTGCTTTTGTGTTGTTGCTTAATTTTATTCTGGAGATAAAAACTAAAATGTTAGATAATGAATGTGTTACTGGCATCTAATTCTCAGGTGAGTTCAGCTAAGAGATTGATGTTAACAACTTCCTCTGAAGAGTAATTGTTTCAGGATGGATAGATGAGTATTCTCAAAATCTCTTTCTCACTTTCTTATTGCCATTTATGATTGCACTATGCTCACATTAAATTTTGTTACATGCTTGAGGATGCCACTTACTAATTAAAGCCTCAACAAAAATGAGACTATAATGAGTTTACTTACTTAAACTAATGTGGAAATATTTTTTCCTGTGCTAGCCTGGTCCACGCCTGCATTTAAACTAGGATCCAACACTTTGGGAATTGTTCTAGTACTGACACCTAAACTACAAGCCATAATTATGTTGTTCTTATTTACAGTCAGCAATTCTATTGTAACGCCATCAAAGGGGATTCTGGAAGCATAGTGTTGTCTTTAACAAGGGCAGTATTGCATTATTCAAATTGTTTCTCAAGCTGCTGCTGTCTACAGCTATATCATCCTGAATATGCCCTGATCTCAAATTGTTTCTCAAGACAGCATTCATTTTTATTTGACTGTGTTACAATTATTATCTGAGTTTATCCTTTAATATTAAATAACTATAATAGCTATATATATAGTACTTTGAATACATTAACAGATCCTGTATTAGATAACCAAATTGTATTTTCTATTAGGCAGAAGTGTAGAATGAACTGGCAACATCACTAGCAATTGGCCACATATTAAATTAGTGTCAAGAGATGAAAAATTGATTACTAACCATTTTTTGTACTAAAGTCATTCCTTTTACTCATTAACATATAATGATCACTACATGGATCTTTTCTGGGTTGGGCTGGTATAAAAGAGACTCATGTATATTTAAATTTTACACATAATTATATTTTAATTATATTTACATATATAACATATTGGTAAGCTATCAAAATGGCCATAATAATTAAAGCGTTATTAAAAATTTATCCATGCATTTGCATTTTAAAGTAGAGTCCGAAAAAAATTACTATTTAACATGATGCCTAACAGAAAATAATAGGACAGAATGAAACCTGCTAATTAAATATATAATTTTTAGCAATGGTAATACTAAGCACTTCTTCTGGAAGTTAAATTGATAAAGATTTTTAAAAATCTTAATTATAAGTTAAGCTATATAACAACAAATTGAACATTATTATTATACATATTTAAAATTACATGAAATAAAACAATTCCTGAAATTATAATATTATTTTCTATAAGGTTTATGAGTGACTGTTAAGGATAAATGCCATCCCATAGTATTCTATTCCGAATCCATATTACAGGGCAAAAAATTATTTCCATCATCAACAATATTGATATTATTGGCCCACCCATGTTGTCTTAGGAGCGGTTTAAGTCATTTCTTTGTCACCTACAACTTGGAAGTAGGATTTACAGCTCAGCTTTAGAGATTAACATGATTATATTAATATGAGAAGCTTTAAAAAGCCACTAGAAATCTGTTTATTTTCTAATCAGTAAAAACCAAAATAGTTCATTTTAAAGTTTTTCTTTGTCTATTTCTATAAACATTCTGAATAGCCAAATTAGAAACTTTAAAAATATGTGCTCATCTCATTAAAAAAATCAGTAGTGTAGTCTCTTATACAAAGGGTCTTTCTTCAAAAAAATTTATAAATAAAGTTAAAATGTTGATTTCTTAACACGTTAAAATTTCATACATTAGGAAGTTTTAAAAAATATATATATCTAAATAATCCCTTTTGCTCTAATTTAATCTACCTGATTTTCTGATTACAAAAAAAGATAATAAAAAGTCTTTTAAAAAATTAAACATTAAGTTTTGAAAAAGAAACATATGTTTATGTTAAAACATTCACAATGTATCCAGAACAAAAAGAGGAGAAGCCTAGCTCCCCTTCTTTATTCCAAAAGGCAACCACACCTGCCAAGTTATTTTTACTCTTTCAGAAATAAAAGTATATTAACATATGCTCAACGTGTTGATAATGTATTGAAGACCATTGAATATAGGTTTCAGGAGTGTAGAAACTGTGGGGTCTGACATAGTGTTACATGGACCATTTATTTTGTATATATGTAAAGGATACTTTCACTCCTATTGACATAAAATGTAATTGGAAAACGTCTCTTCACAATCCTAAGCACATATATCAATATTTATCTATCATTCAACTGTTAGACAAATTACTTCTCTTACACAAAGATATTTTAAAGAAAAAGGAAAGCAAATAAAAAAGTGGCAATTTACTAGTGACAATTAATATAAACTTGTAAAATACATATAATATATATGTTATACATATGTGTGTGTGTAATTTTTGAAAGAATATAAACAAGAACTCAATGGGAAAGATTAAAATGCAAATACATGCCCAAATACACAAGTCGAGTTTTATAATTTAGTGAATAATTATTTTTAGACTATAAATTAATGAACATCCACCATTATGTTTTGTGGGATGGTCACTGGTTTTAAGAGGTCACCCAGTGAAAACTGGGATAATGAGATTTGTAAAAGTAGAAGCAGCAGACATGCAATTAATTCCTGCATGAAAAGTCAGAGGTTGAAATTAAGGAGTTTAAATAATATATTTATTTTCCCTTACAAAGCCTACACACACAGTTAAGTATAAAACATTTAAGAAATAATTATATTTTGTTTAGTTAAGAAAAAATAATGAATAAATTTACTAGAGGTTGTGTTATCCTATTACTAGCCATTGTTACATTTATTTTGAACATTACAATCTTAAAATTTTTCCATCATACAAATATTTTATCAAAGTAGAATCAAAGCTGTGTATTATGCCCATGAAATTATTCTAAAATTTAAATATATTGACTGAGTATCTCTATAGGCTGATTTATTTTCCTCTTTTTAAAAATACCAATAATAGATGCAATGGAAGAAATTCCCAGAATACATTCAAATTAAAAATATCTCTTTTTTTTGCAATTGCAAATACCCTATATTTCTGAAAAATACCTAAGAATCCAATTTGTGAGGCAATAATATGTACCTATAGACATCAGGATTTCCAAATTTTTTGGCATTCTAACATTGACTATAGCAATATGTAATCCACCAATCCCCTAAATAATGTTAAAATAATTTGATTTTCATGTAGTATATTATAAATATAATATTTTGAATATATTTCTAAAATTTGGGGTTACCATTTTATTAAACTATATATAATGTATTTAATTGTATAACATGCATAAACTATAATATTCATACAATCTTCAACTTTTTCCATTTAATAACAGAGATGTGTAATAATTAAATGTTTACATAAGGAAATAATAATTTGTTAATAAATCAATTTTAAATTGACAGTTTATATTACATTTGGTTTTGAAACCAAAGGGATATCGAAAGGCAAAATAAAAGTTATTATATTTTATAATACAGACACTCTTTTTATTCCTTATTTATA
This sequence comes from Homo sapiens, assembly GCF_000001405.40. Classification (NCBI taxonomy): domain Eukaryota; kingdom Metazoa; phylum Chordata; class Mammalia; order Primates; family Hominidae; genus Homo; species Homo sapiens. Next base: position 192,011,825 of record NC_000001.11, on the reverse strand, counting down.
ATTATTGCATTTTTATTGAAAAATCAAACCAGCCGGGCAAGATGGCTCACGCCTGTAAACCCAGGCAAGGCCGGCGGGGGCGGGAGGATCACGAGTTAGGAGATCGAGACCATCCCGGCCAACATGGTGAAATCCCGTCTGTACTAAAAATACAAAAATTAGCTAGGCGTGATGGCATGTGCCTGTAATCCCAGAAAAAAAAAGAAAAAAAGAAAAAGAAAAAAAAGAAAGAAAGAAAAAAGAAAAAGAAAAAGAAAAATCAAATCATTTAAGTTAATATTTTGTGTTACAAATGAAAAGATGAAAAGTTTCAGTTTGCTATGATTTTTAAATGCCAAACTTCTCTTAATCACAACTATATTTACTCTTTTAAGCGTTTGTGTATTAAATTATTGAAAATCTTGAACTTTTTAAATGTCAGATTCCAATGGATATAAGCATTTCAAGAATATCTAGGGGGAAGTTGCAGAATTATTAGAATTGTGCCTTATGCTTCCTAATTGTTTATCAACTATCAATTATAAAAGTTAACAAGAATTTCAAGAATAAATGTAATATTTAAAGATCTTTTTCACAACCTTTATTTAGGTTTATCTTCCAGTCAGAAAAGTAAAACAAGTATAAGCATGCATCTTAACACAGTTTAAAAATTTAAGGATACTCATATAAAAACACTGAAATAAACAAACAGAATATATTAAGAATAAACAAACTCCTTTAATCCTCCCTGCTTTTTAAAGTGTTTCTAATGTTAAATCAACTTTCATTTTCTAGGATAAATACAACTTCGTTCTGATGTATTTTTATTATTTTTACATAATGCTAGATTTACTTAACTTCTTAAGATTACTGGATCTTTTGTTCATAAGTGAGACTGGCTTTAATAGTTCTTTCATACTCTTTGTTCACTTCCAGGGCTAAGATTTTCTACTCTCAGACTGGGTTGGGGAATAGATCCTTTTCTGTCTTTTGGAAGTGTTTAAGATTAGAATTATGTCTGCAAACTTTATTCAAATTTTTCCAGTGAAACATTTGTCCTGGGTGTTTTCATTATTTTTCGTTGTATTATGGATAACTTAAAAATATACAAATGTCATGTCTCTACAAATACATGCAATATTCTATGTTATTTATACTGGAGCAGTGATTCAGAAACATTAGCTTGGATCAAAATTACCTAAAGGGCTTGTGAAACCACAGGCTAATGGGCCTCATGTGCAGAGTTTTGGTTACAAAATATGTGGTTTCCTCAGAGTTTGCTTTTCAAACAAGATCTCAAATGATCCTGTTGCTGCCAGTGCAGGGATCATCTTTGAGAACCACTATGCACAAAGGTTGGGACAAAGATTATTTACCACTTAGCTTCAAACATTATTAACCCATGGTCAATCTTACTTCATATATGTTCTTACCATATCCTCTTATCCAGATTCCTTTGAAACAAACGTCAGATATTATTTTATTTGTAAACGTATCAGTGCTTAACTCTAAAATACAAACACTCAGTTTTTCTTAGTATTAGTACAGTTATGCACTACATAATGACATTTGGGTCAACGACAGGCCGCATAGACAGCAGTGGTTCCATAAGATTAAAATGGAACTGAAAAATTTTTATCACATATTGATAGAATAGGTGACAAGCTATCTTAATGTCCTAGCCCAATGCATTACTTATGTGTTTGTGGTGATGCTGGTGTAAACAAACCTACTGTGTTAGTAGTAGTATAAAAGTATAGCAGTACAATTTTATACAGTACATAATACTTAATACTGATAATAAATGACCATGTTTCTGGTTTATGCATTTACTACACCATACTTTTGTCATTATTTTAGAGTCTGCTTCTACATATATATTAAAAATAAAAAAAGTTAACCATTTTAAACAGCCTCAAGCAGGTTCTTCAGGAGGTATTCCAGCAGGAGGTGGTGTTATTATAGGAGATGACACAGCTGCATGGACATATTGTCCACGAAGACCTTCCTGTGGGACAAAATGTAAAGGTCCAAGTCAGTGCTATTGATGATCCTGACCCTAAGTATACAGTGTTTCTGTTTGTGTCTCAGTTTTTAACAAAAATGTTTAAGAAGTAAAAAAAAGAAAATAGCTTATAGAATAAGGATATAAAGAAAGAAAATATTTTGTACAGCTGAACAATGTGCTTGTTTTAACTGATATTATAAGAGAGTAAAAAAGTTAAAAATTTAAAATTTATAAAGTTGTAAAGTAAAAATGTTACAGTAAGCTAAGGTTAATTTTGTATTAAATATTTGTTTTCTAAATTTAGTGTAGCCTAAATGTAGAGTTTATAAAATCTACAACAGCGTACAGTAATTTCCCAGTTTTCACATTCACTTACCAGGTCATTCGTGGTCAGTGCCCCATACAGATATATCATTTTTCAAAATTTTTATACCATATTTTTACTGTACCTTTTCTATGTTTAGATACACAAATGCTTAGCATTATGCCTACAATACTCAGTACAGTAACAAACTGCATGGGTTTGTTGCCTAGGAGCAGGAGGCTATATCGTATTGCCTAGATATGTAGTAGGCCATACTATCTAGGTTTGTGTAAGTATACTCTATGGTCACATGACAGCAAAACGCATGTCTCAGAACATATCCCTGACATCACATGACACATAAATATATAGAAAAATGCAATTGTGATTGATTTTTGTGTGCCCATCTGTATCCTGTGACTCTGATGAGCTCACTTAGTTCTAGGAGAGTTTATTTTTCTTTTGTGAATTTCTTGGGATTTTCTTCATAAATAATAATGGATATCTGTAACGAGAGAGAGAAAGAGTTTTATTTATTCCTTTGCAATCTCTATGTCATTTACGTCTTTTTCTTGCTTATTGTAACAGCTAGAACTTCCAGTACTGTGGTGAGTAAGAGAGTGAACACACACATACTTGTCTAGTTTCCAATTTTAGAAGGAAAGTTTTTATTTTTTCACCATTGAGTATGATGTTAGCTTTTTAGGTTTTTTATAGATGTTCTTCATCAAGTTGAGATAATTCCTCTCAACTCTTAACTTGCTGAGAGTTTTTATCTTACTGAGTGGCAGATCTTGCCAAAATGCTTTTCTTCTTTAGCATGTTTGTATTGTGGATTACATTTATTGATTTTCAAATGTTAAGTCAGCTTAGCATGCTTGAAATAAGTCCTTCTTTGCAATGGTATTTAATTATTTGTTTATACATTGCTGTATTTAGTAGACTAATGTATTCTTATCGGGGTTTTTGAGCTCATAAGAGATGATCTTCCTTCCTTCCTTCCTTCCTTTCTTCCTTCCTTCCTTCCCTCCTTCCTTCCTTCCTTCCTTCCTTCCTTCCTTCCTTCCTTCCTTCTTGTACTGTTTCTGGCTGGTTTTGTTCTCAGGGTAATTGTGGACTCATAAAATGAGTTGGTAGGTATTCCAGTCTCTTCTGTTTTTTTGAAAGATGTTGTATAATATTGATGTTAATTCTTTTTAAGTTTTTAGTAGAATTCTTTAGTGAAATCATCTTGGCCTGAATATTACTTTTTTGAGAGTTTTTAAGTTATAAATTCATTTTCATTAATGGTTTTAGGACTATTCAGATTGTCTATTTCATTTGCTTCAATTTTGATATTTATTGGTTTAGGAGGAATTAGGTTATTTCTTCTAAGTTGTTGAATTTATAAGCATAAAGTTCTTTTATAATTTTCCCTTTCAATTTTTTTAATGACTGCAAGGTCAGTAGTAATATCCCTGATTTAATATCGGTGATATGTTTCTACTATCTTTTTATTTTTTAAGTCTTGCTAGAGGTTTATAAATTTTATTGATCATTTTTCAAAGAACCAGTTTTCAGTTTCACTGATTTTTTTCACTGTTGTTTTTCTATATTCAATTTTGTTGATTTCTGTTTCTTATTAATTCCCTATATATGTTGCTATGTTGCCAGTTTCTTGAGGTAGGAATTTATGTTATTGATGTAAAGCTTTTCCTTTTTTTCTAATGTAAGCATTTAGAAGTTGAACACAATATAAAGATTGAAAATTGTTAAAATTTTGAGATTGGTTAGAAGTATTTTTCTATAGTGGGCAAACTATTTCTATAAAGTGACAGAGAGTACATATTTTAGGCTTTGTAGGCTAGTAGATTCTGTTTAAACTACTCGACTATTCCTATAGTAAGAACACTGTTATAAACAATACGTAAATAAATGAGCATGGCTGTCTTGCAATAGTACTTTATGTATACAAACGAGGAGAGGATTGAATTTGGCTGATGGAAAGGCAGTTGTGGACCCATGATCTAAAGGATGAACAAACTGAGACATTATCGTGCAAATCTGTCTACCAAATTGGGTCATGCTCATATAGCTTTGGAGAATTTCTATTTGTTCGATTTAAAAGGTAAACTACTTAAATAATTACTCTATTAATTTCTTTTAAAGACAGGAAATGACAGTCTTCAATTACTACTTTCAATGCTATAAATCTTCTAGAACATAATCCTTATGGGTTCATTTATCACCATATGAGAAAAGTCTAGAACACAATATAATTTTAATGAGTACAGGAACCCAAAGAAATTCACCACTATATCCTCAGCAACTAGCAGATGCTCAATGAATATTGACTTAATAAATGAATTAACGCAATGCTTTTATTATTTATGTTTCAGGCTATAATTTCATGTTATGGTGGCTTTTGGATTAAGAGACTATAAATGGGTTTGGGACAATAGATTATTAATTATATTTTCAAATAACAAAAAGAGAAATTACCTTCTGAAATAACTAAATTATTCAGTCTTTAAAACAAGGGGTAAAATGTAACATTTATCTGAATGTATATTTTACATTAGTGTGCATACATTCAACTTCCAATTTTTTTGCTTCTAAAACAATTTAATAAAGAATATTTTATGACTAGAACTGGTTATTTATTTTTAAATGAGTTTCCCAATATAAATTGGCAATTAATCTTCATTTTAGAAGACTGTAGATGGTTTTATTAGCTTCATTTTACAGTGAGTATTTGAGAACCATAAAGTTTAAATATCTTTTTCAGAATGATAATTAGTGTATATGCATAAAGAGAAGAAACCACATATTCTGGTTGCTATTACATCTCACTTCCACTAACAGTTAATGTTTAGAAATCAAGAATGAGACATTAGAGATGTACCTTGAGAACAAGGAAATTGAGATCAGGAGAATGACAGACTTCTAACATCAAACTTTTTTTATATTTGCTTTTGGAAATGTCAATGCAAAGAAAGGTTAATAGAATAAATTCTAAAAAGTAATGTTCAGATTAAGCAATGGATTTTTTTATTAATGATCCTTCTGAGAGCAGTGTAAACAACATTATTATGACAAAACTTTCACTGAATTGAGGAATTAGGATGAGATTGAGCCCTGGCAACATCAATATTATGAAAACTGTTTTCATTAAAATGGGACTGGGCTAGAATAAATGCGAATTTTAGTTGTTGTAAGTGAGCTTATACTGAAGGGAAGGAGCCAGTGAAGATGGAGACAGGGAAGAAATGGGGATGAAAAGACAATACCTGGGAGTGGAAAGTGAAAGCAAATTGAATTTATAGATAGAGAGATGCTTGTGGTCTTTTGGTGGTGTGTTGGAGCTAGTTCACCATGGCTCTGGAAAGCTCAGTCAACATATCTGGAAATTTGCCAGACAGCTGATTTCACATTTGCAGCTTAAAAGTGGCCAGGGTAGGAATATTTACACCATGGTAATTAGAAAATAGCACAAATCGGAATTTTTGTTCCACTTCACTGCCAGAGGGCTAGTTTTAAGCATTTATCGGCACACCATTGATTATAAGATTTAGTTTATGGAAACATTATAAAATTAAGCAAATAATTTAGTATGTATTTAGCAGTTATACCCGAGAACAACCACTTTACAATGTCAAATCTATTTTATTATAAACAAGGTTGTAAAATGTTACCTTTAAAAGCAATACACCAATAGATTTTTATGTACCAAATATTCTGTCATAAGTCCTAAGGGTGGGAGACTATCCCAATATTACTCACACTGATACATATGACTTGAGAAAATTTTTCTTATTAAAGCATCAGGAGGAAACCGTAAAGAGGATGCCCTCTGAAAAACTGTTAGATGATATAAAAATTGGCTCTGTGATGATTAATTGAAGCCAATACTACAAGTCAAAAACCGACATAATATGATTTAATACAAGGTTAGAAAGGAAAGCAAATGCTATATTTATAAATAAAAATTATTTATATAATATGTTATTTAAAATAGTTACATGTAATTATACTAATAAACTACTATCAGTAGGTATTTTGTTGTTTTACCCCTAAGTTGTCATATATTCAAAATGGCCAGGTATCTTTTAAAATATCTTTATGTTTGAAAAATAAAGTATCATATTATTTTCAGGTTTCTTTTATTTTTAGGAATGCATTATAAATTTTACAGGCAGGATCAAGAATAAGTTGTATTCTACATCTGATAATTTTTCCATAAAATTGTAATATAGATCTTTGCCAGTTAACAAATAAAGTTAACTTCTCAAACTTCCTGTAAGTATTAATGTGAAAATAAATTGACAGTAAACATAAGTATTAATTCTTATTAATAAGTATTGATATGAAAATAAATTTATAGTAAGCCTAAATGTATTTGAACAATTGTTTATTTTGCTTGTAAGAATTTGGCAACTTGATTATTTGACAGACTATTTGAAAGAAGTAAAATGTGAAAGATAAAAAACTACTGGCCTAGTTTACATTTCTATTTGTATCTTTAAATCTTAGAAGAACAGAAATACGTAAGTGAATTTTTTATACTAATAATGCTAGTGTAAATATATAGAGTTGTAGGAATTATCTGCATGTAGCATTCACTGGATATTGACTTAACCAGTCACATATTTCTCCACAAATTGTTTCAATCACAAAGAATTTAAAATAAAATTCCATTTTGGGTTAGCTTGATTCAATCAATATTGATAATATCAAATCTATGGGCAATATAATGAAGTCACCTGGCCAATAGTTATTGTGTTTTCTAAATGAGTACTGTCAATTTCTTTTCTTCAATTCAATGACCTGACTTGATTTTGACATTATTCTGTATATTTTTCTAATATTATAAACTGCAATTTAAAATAGACTGAGATATAATCAGTCAGGTATAAATACCTGTTCCTTCAGCTTCCAGGTCTCTCTCTCTCCATATCCTCCAGGCAATGTGCAAATGCTCAGCTGGCAAAAGGTTGTCATTTTATTATTAACAATGCTTTATGGCATTTCAACCACTCAAGAGATGATTAAAATTACACTTCAGCTGGAATATTGTTTTTCAGCTAACACTATAAAAAAATATGTCACAGGAGGAGCAAATTTAGTAATGGAAGGTAGAAGTAGGGGTAAATTTTAAATGAGTTTTCTTATATGGTTAGCAGTTGACATTGACCCACAGAATTCTTCATCCATCTGCAATGAATTTTCTCACGTTCAGGGTCTGCAGCAGGATGGTTCAAAGGCTATTATAGCTTCCCACATTTTTTTCATACTGATAAATTAACTGAATTCATCAAAACCTACAAAACATTTTGTTCTCTCTCCTTTCATTCTATAAATACATTCTAAATATCTATCTAGTAGAGAATTTATTCCTACCTCTATCTTGGTCACATTCGTTTTTTTTTTTTTTTTAATCCTTCTAAAAGATAATCCCTAATCAGTCTAAATGAAGAAGAGTGGTGTTAAGAAAAATCTCCCTACCCAAAATGTTTAAGAACCCCAAATTATTAAGAACCTATAATACTTAAGAAGACAAAATCTCTAGGCTAAATTAGTGTTAACAGTATCAAGCAAATCAAGCAAAAAACTTCACACATGGTGATCAAACACTAAGAAGAAGTCCCCATGATCACCCTCAAACCTCATACCTGCTGCACATCTCAGTTGTGTAGTCCTTGAATTTTCTTCCCACCTGTCACCTTTAACATCGGGTGTCTTGAGATGTGGGTTCCTCAAAGGGAATTTGGATCTCTTCTTTTTGACCCCAAAGTGAAATACAATTTCCGACTCCCTGTAATTTTTTTTTTTCCTATTTGGTTTTTTACTTTTCCCGTTGTTGATAACTGAAACTAAAATTTAGAATTTCAATGACCTCTTAGCCCTCCTATCTTTACTTTCATTTTGATGACACCAGTACTAAGATTATAGAGTGGGACAGGCTGTGGATTCAATATAGATCATCCTCTATCATATCCTCCTTTAATAAAAATATATTTTATTAATTAGAAAATAATTGATTTAAAATATTGGAAGTAAAATCACAGAAAAAATGAAATTTTAAAAATTAATTTAAAATCACATCCATGTTCTTGAAATACATTTATATTGTTTCTTAGAAGAAGAATTTATGGATCAAAGGATATGAATAATTTAAGTCGTTAACAATATTGCAAACTTGAACTCCAGAAAGTTTATGCAATTTTAGAATTTTGGACTCCCATAATTTCTGTCGAAGAATGTGTGTCTGTTTATTTTTGTATCATAAATCACACATTGTGATGCCATGTTTGCATTTATATATATATTTATATATATTTATATATATATTTATATATATTTATATATATATTTATATATATTTATATATATATTTATATATATTTATATATATTTATATATATATTTATATATATTTATATATATTTATATATATATATATATATTTATATATATTTATATATATATTTATATATATTTATATATATATATATTTATATATATTTATATATATATTTATATATATTTATATATATTTATATATTTATATATATTTTTATATATTTATATATTTATATATATTTATATATTTATATATATTTTTATATATTTATATATTTATATATATTTATATATATTTATATATATTTATATATTTATATATATTTATATATATTTATATATTTATATATATTTATATATATTTATATTTTTATATATATTTATATATATTTATATTTTTATATATATTTATATTTTTATATATATTTATATATATTTATATATATTTTATATATATTTATATATTTTATATATATTTATATATATTTATATATTTTTATATATATTTATATATATTTATATATTTTTATATATATTTATATATTTTTATATATTTTTATATATATTTATATATTTTTATATATATTTATATATATTTTTATATATTTTTATACATATATATATATCTTATAGAATGTGTCTATGGTAGTCCGAATAATGCCCTCCCCATCAAATGTTCACATTCCAGTTCCCAGAACTTGTGAATATGTTGCCTTACATAGTAAACAAGACTCTGTGGTGATTAAATTAAAAATCTTTTTATATAGAGAATGTCATGGATTATTCTGGTAAGTCTAACATTATCATAAGCATTCTTATAGGAAGGAGGCTGGAGAATCATAGACACAGAAGGCAATATGATAATAGAAGCAGAGGTTATAGGAAAGAAGATACTATGCTACTGGTTTTGAAGATAAAGGAAGGAAACACAAGCCAAGTAATATAGGCATTTGCATTGTCTTAGGCCACTAGGATTGTGGTAATTTACCTCCGTTCACTGCAACCTCCACCTCCCTGGTTCAAGCGATTCTTGTTCCTCAGCCTCCTGAGTAGCTGGGACTACGGGCACCCACCACCATGCCCAGCTGATTTTGTATGTTTTTAGTAGAGATGGGGTTTCACCATGTTGGCCAGCAATAGAAATCTAATACTGTATCATGCCCACAAAAGTATACTTATATATATAACCACATACACATACACAGTCTGAGGAAAAACAATACTGTTTACCCATCACCTGATTACAAAATAGTACATCACCAATATTCAATTTGAAATTTTTATTAGTTCCTCTCCACCCAGAAATTAACACTTCTCTGAATTTTATCATTTATTTTTTCTTATTATTTGAATATTTATGCTTGTATACTGTGTTATGTTATTTAATTTTACCTATTTTGATATTCAGGTAAATAGAAACATAGTTTATTATTCTGAATACCCCGTTTCCCAATATTATGTGTACAAGATTTCTCAAAATGCACCTGTGGAAGTGTGTTATTTCATTTTCATTGCTGTATAGTATTGCATGTGGTATGAATGTATCATAATTTTATTCGATCATGATAATGTTTATGGGCATGCAGGATGTTGCCATGTTGCCAGGTTTGTTTGTTTCTTTTCAAATGTAAACAGTGCTGCTATGACCATTCATTAACGTATCTTTCTGTGCACATGTTTAGGAATTTCTTTAGAATATATTTGAAAGTGGAATTCTTGTGCCATAGGATATGATATACTCCTTGTCAAAGTAGTCACATTAACACACCAACAGTAGTGTATAAGGAGATTCTTAGCCTTTTAAATTTACGCCAATCTAGGGATCATAAAATCCTGTTTTATTGTGGCTATAATTTGCATTTGACTGATTAATAATACAGTTTAACATATTTTCACATGCTTATTGACTATTTAGCTTGCCCCACTGTGAAATGGCTAATCATTTCTTTTGCTCATTTTTAATTATTTTTATTTTTCTTATGGGTTTGATGTTTTTCAAAATTGTTCAATAAATCAAGCAAGCTCTATTCATATATATTTATAAATACATATTCTTTCAATTTGTATCATTTGCTGAACCAAATTTGTTATTTTAACATGAAGTTTTAAATCTTCATTTTTAATCTTGGAGTAAATTTTTGGAGTTTGATGATCCAATTTGATTTATTTTTCAAGTTAAAAAAAAATGTAAACCATGAAGCTAATTGTTTCTGCATCATTTACTGAATATTCAATTTTTACCCAGTTATCTGTAAACACATCTGACAATTCCAAATATGTTTTGAACATTTTTTTCTTGGCACTCTGTTCTACTTCACTGAGTTCTATGTTTATCCTTGCACCACCGATTTCTTCAGTCTTAAATATTAAAGCTTCATATTAGTCTTGATCTTCTCTCTCTCTCTCTTTCTCTCCTTCCTTCCCTTCCTTCCTTCTTTTTTTTTCTTTCTTCGTTTTTTTCTTTCTTTCTTTTCTTCTTTTTTTCTTTCCTTCTTTCAGGGTGTCTATGACACCAGGCTGGAGTGCAGTGGCGCGATCTCCGTTCACTGCAACCTCCGCCTCCCGGGTTCAAGGGATTCTTGTTCCTCAGCCTCCTGAATAGCTGGGACTACAGGCGCCCGCCACCATGGCTGGCTGATTTTTATGTTTTTAGTAGAGACGGGGTTTCACCATGTTGGCCAGACTGGTCTAGAACTCTTGGCCTCATGTGATCCGCCCGCCTGGGCCTCTCAAAGTGCTGGCATTACAGGCGTGAGCCACCGTGCCCAGGCAAAAACTCTTCTTTAAAGAGAAAATTTACTGTTTTATATTTTTGCCTTAGATTTATTTTAGTATGTTATGTATTTTAGCTACTAATATATTAATATGTTTTAAAAAATACAATTTCCTAAATGATTGCCACTAGTGTACAGAAATTCAGTCAACTTTTAAAATTATATATGTAACAACCTTGAAAAACTTACTACTAAGTTTATTAGTTTCTGGTAGTATCCCTCTGATCTTTTAGTGGTAACCTTACATTTAAAGTACTTATATGAATAACTGTAATTTTGCTTTTACCTTTGCAATGGCAAGTGCTCTATTTTTGCATGTAGATGCTCTTATTTCTTTGAGAAGTTTCTCCAGAATTAATAACAATATACATTCTGGGTTTCAACTTGATTGTAAAGGGTATGCTTCCAATACCTTTCCATCTAGGATAATTTTCTGAATATATTTTTATAGAAATAATTTTTCCATGTAAACAATGTTTTCTTCTCTTAGTTACTGAGATATTTTTATAATGCATAAATTAAGAATTTAATCATTTTTCCTGCAACTTTTATAATCATTTGTTTTTCTTTCAGCTGTTAGTATGGTAAATTTAGATTTTCTAATATTGAGCAATTCTTTAAAAAAACAAATATTTTCATACACACAAATTGACTCATTTTATTAATATTTTGTTAAATTCATCTAATGTGATGTGTGTGATTAGCCTTTGATTTTTACTTCTGATAATATTCTTATCTATTCTTACAGCCAAAAATGTATCAGCTTCATAAATGTTGCTATATGTTTCTTTTTTCCTGGAAGAATTTTTCAAATATTGAAATTATTATCTTCATCAAATATTTTGCAGATGATTAAAATCATTTAGGTTTTCTACTTTCTTTGTGGAAAATATCTCAAATGTTGAAAAAAATAAGTAATAGTTAATTGTAGAGTGCAGTCTTTTCTAAATCCATTAAATCAAGTGTATCAATTTTGTTGTAAAGTTTTCTCTTTTCTGATTTTTTGCATGCTTCTATTATTGAAAGAGAGATATATTAATTTATCTCACATGATATTTAATCCCTCAATCTCTTCTTGTGGTTTTGAACATTATTTGCCTTATATACAAGCAAACTGTTAGATATATGTGTATTTTAAATCCTTATATTTTCCTGGTAAATTATTTCTTTTAATATAATAAGGACTCTTAATTATTAGTAATAAAGAGAGTCAACATTAGTGAATTATTAATAACTTTTTTAATAGCATAAAGTCTATTTGGGGTAATTGTATTCTTATTTTCACTTTAAATAATCTGAATTTATTAATTTTTTTAATTTCTTAATTTTTTCTTTCCAGTCTAATATTCTTTTTCGTGTTTTAATTGAAATGTTTCATCCATTTACATTTCTTATGACATTTTAGAAATAGAACTATTTCTCTCAACTTATGTTTCTGGATGGGTATCTTTTTTTTTTTTTCAGGGTCTACTCTTACTCTTTCATCTGGGCTGGGGCACAGTGGCGTGATCAATGCTCACTGCAGACTCAGCCTTCTGGACTAAAGTGATTCTCCTGCCTCGACTCCACACCCTTTTAGCATTTGAGATATGGCTACTGTGCCTGAGAAAATTAATTACTAATTCTATTTAATTTAACTAATTTAAATTTAAATGGCTGCATGTTGTTACTGACTACCATATTGGGCAGAGACAGTCTATATAGACTCTGATTGCACTTTGTTTTATTGTTCAGTCTTTTTTATTGCCATCTTTTACTTTCCCTAACATTTTTAATGAATATATTCAAATATACAATAACATTTCAAAACCTTCACAGGGAAAACTATGTATCCTCTCCTATATTCTATTATTAACGTTTTATCTTATTTGCATATGCAGCTATCCATCTATTAATCCTTAATTTTAACACACGTCAAAAGAAATTGGAGATATCCATATATTTAGCCATACTCTGTTTTAAATCGGCATCACAAGACTATTCTGTCAGATTCTCTAATGTGCTTTACACTGTTACAAATAACATATTTGAAATCAATGACACATATATTTTCCTGAATCTAACCAAGCATTGATATTATGAGTATAATATTCTTGAGTTTGATGATTTTCATCATCATTACATTTATTTCTAAAATTCCCAAATAAATGTATTTATCCACTAAGGAGAAGTATAATCATCCCAGGAGAGGTGGGGCTTTGTCTCAATAAAGATGACCTGTTATGTTCCTTGAGAAAAGCATAACACCCAGATGGACCTTCTGGCACTGACTTCTACATCCCCTCCCCGATTAGAGATAACTTCCTTCGGGACGTCCTGCACCACCCGAATGACACATTAATATTAATATTGCTTTTTTTCTTTTTTTTTTTGCTGGGCCACAATTCTTGCTGACATTTAAATGAAATCTAATTGTATCTGTATTTCTGTGATATTCGTAGTCTGTACTTAAAACATTAAATTCACATAAATGACACTAAACAAATATTAAATCTAGTATTTTGTTATTTTAACTTTTACACACTAATTTTTCCAGAAATTACTTTTGTGTATGTAAATTTTTAAAGTATCCAGCCATTTCTTCTTTTTCAATCCTTTATTCACTAAAAAAAATTTTTTTAAAGTTGTACTTATTTTTATTACTTCTATGTTTGTTAGTTTTGCTTATTTTTTTCATTTCAGTGTTAATTCTGTTCACATCTACTTGAAAGTGATTTTCATGTATTAAGGCAGCATTTACCAAACCGTTTTTAAAAAACTATTTCTAGTAGAGCCCATTAGGTGCTCCTAGAGAAGCCTATTCCATTAAAAAGTGTTTTGAAAATTTTTGTCTATTAAATTTCCTTTGGAAACATAACAACATATTAATTTTGAAAACATACTTTAACAGGCCACTAACATGAAATCATAGTATTAAGGACATTCATCTTTTTTGTCCGTAAAAATTATTTCAGGTTATTTAATAAACCCAAACAAAAAACTGGTGTTATTTTTATTGAACGCTGTTGTCTCCTGTAATCAGACATCTATTCCTTCCTATGTATTGTAGTATTTTAATTATTGTAGCTTTGAAGCGTATTTTTAATTTTTTATTTAGCAATAATGAAATAGAAATTTCCAAAAATAATACACAAAATCCTGTGTAGCTTTTACCCAGCTTGCCCCAATGTTGACATCTTACATAACTATAGTACAATATCAAACTTTCAGCCATTATTTCTTCAAATATATTTTTCAGCTCTTGAACTCTTTCTCCTCTCCTTCTTGACTCATATGACAATACAAGTTAAATATTTTTAATTGTCCTATAGATAACTGAGTTCATAGATTTTGTTAGTTTTTCCTTTTTTGTTCAAATTCAGTAATTTCTATTGATTTCTCATCAAGTTCACTAATTCTTTCCTCTGTTATCTCTAATCTACTTTTTTTTTTTTTTTGAGACAGGGTTTCCCTCTGTTGCCCACTCTGGAGTCCACTGGCACAATCTCGGCTCACTGCAACCTCCATCTCCTGGGTTCAAGTGATTCTCCCGCCTCAGCCTCCTTAGTAGCTGGGATTATAGGCGCCGGCCACTGCAGCTCAGCTAATTCTAATCTAATTTTGAGCCGAGTCAGTTGAAGTGTTTTTTTTTTTAATTCAGTTATTTTATTTTTTAGTTTTATGAGTTCCCTTTGATTCTTTTTCATATCTTCCATTCACCCTAAAATCCTTATCAGATAATTTCATCTCAGTTATCTCAGTACTGGAATATTTTGAGTATATTTTTTATTCAAATTGTTCTCCAGGTTCTTTGTATGATGAGTAGTTTTTTATGGCATCCTGGACATTTTTGGAATTAAGCTGTGAGACTCAGAATACTATTTATTCTTGTTTAGCCAACATCACAGTGTTTAGGTGTAATAAAAAGCCTGCTTTGGGATTTATGTTAAGCTCACTTTGGGCCCATTTACACCACCCATTGAAATTGAAGTACTGATTGGCACAGAATCATTGTCCCTGAGAAGAAGCCAAAGTTTGGCTCCCAACATCTTTTTCTACATGACCTAAACATACACCCAGGTATTCGTTTCAGTTAAAGCTCCCAGACCTCAGTTTTTTGTTGCTGTTGTTTGTTTTTGTTTGTTTGTTTGTTTTTACTTTACTTAGTCAATAACTTCCATGAAAAAAATCTGGTCACAATAATACATCCCTGAGAAATCAAACTAATTATTTTCAAATAATATGAAAAGGGAATTAGCCTGATAATTTGATGGCCATACAGAAACTTCACTTTCTTTTCTACCTTAACTCTCTCTTTTCTGGAACACAATAATATTCTCACTTATAATTTAGGAAGTTGTATTCTCTCAATGTAATGAAAAGATGGAAAGCTAGTTAAGTTAGAGAAATACAATTACATATATACTTCTAAACTTCAATTTACTTGTAAACATTTCATTATTATATATAGTATATTAAACAAGATAAAGAGAAAAATGTGATTATCAATACCTACTGTTTTATGTATTTGATATCCATTGTATGTAAACATTAAGAGCAAAACAAAAGCAAAGCAAATGCAGGGCATATATTACCTATTTTAACTGTGAAGGAATTGATGCTTAGAAAATTAATTTGTCCAAAATCATACAATTAGTGATATACTTCCAGTGTGTTTTAATTTAAGACAATAGAAGGATTTTTCAGAACAACTTTACTTATTTTTAAGGAAGTATTTCCTTGATCTTTCCAAGTAAATAGCAATTGACAAAGCCATTTTGGAATATAACATATTTGAATTTTCAAAAGAAAAAAAACCTAAATTAAGTATTTCTAATGAGAGAACTTCGGATTTAATTCGTGTTTAAAAATAAAAATTAACAAAATATAGTTCCTACTTGGAAAAATAAATATATTTACCCAGGAAAGTGAACTTATATTTTCATTTTTCTTCATATCAACGTGTCCTAAGAAATTAAGCCACTTGCTACACATTATATGTCTTCAACATTAAAAAATTAGAACCATTCATGTTCTAGAAGTAGCAATATTATATTCTATTATTAAATTATTGTAAACAGCTCCCTAGTTTATAAGGGCTTAATCACCAATGCAACAGATATTTGAAGAGCTACATTGCCAGATTTACTTTATAATTTTAATTAACTGCTTTTTTGCCTTTCTAATTAAATTTGCTCTTGTTATTTTTGATGTTTTAGCATTGGTAGAGAACAAACTTTGCTGGCAAGACTCAGGAATATTTTCAACAGTAATGATCATTTTCAATATGAAAGAACAAGAAAAGAAGAAACAGAGTGTTCTAAATACTAAGACTATGTTAAACAAATTTGGGGTATTTTAAAAAATTATGTCCAGGTTATAAAAATAAATCTTGGAAAGCAGTTATCAACATTTGCCACCTAAGTATGTCAGTTTTATTTCATATTTTTAGCAAGATTATATGCCATGAAATTTAAGTAGTTCAATGTGGTATTTGATTAAAATGTGATTTCATAAGGAAACTTTGTATATGGGTCAACTATTGATCATTGTTATAAATGGACTCATGATTTAAAAAAAGTTAAGATGCTAATTACTGAGAACATAAATTTATGTAATTTTCTATTTCCTTTTCCTAAAAAACCAGTGTTCTTCAGCTATTTAACCAGTTGTATCCCTTTTGTTCATGTCAAAATTCTCTATCTTTTTCAAAATAAAATTCATTATTTTTCTTTTAATATTTTCTACCTATTATCACCATAAAGATCACTATTCAATACATTATAGCTGTTTTAATGTTTGTTTAGTAGCTTTGTCTAATACCTTCTTGATCGAGAATTATTTGAATTATTCTATATAGGTTGCTGAAGGCATTTAATTTAGTGAGTAATTTTCTAAAGTCAAATTTACTTCCTTCTCAGCCCGATCAGCTTCTATATGTATTCTAACAACTTGGGACTTAAACTCATACTCACAAGTTATTTTTCTTATGTTGGAGAATCATCATTTACACAAATTTGGTTTTCTTTTAATTCTATCAATGAACATACAAATCCTTTGTTACACTAAATAGCTATCATAGAAAGATTAATGTTTGACATAGGTTAAAATTAATCATTGTCCCTTTCATTCCCAACAGAAATGACCTTTTCCCATGTACCACTTTCCCAGTTACTTAGGTGGTAACTAGAGACTATTTTTCAGGAACTTCTGAATTTCACTTGTTTTATGGACATAAACATATCCCAGATATTATAGAATAAATCTTTACAGACGTAGGCTTCCAGGCGCCATTATGTGACACTGCTATCTATCCCCACGCTCCCAATGAAGCTGACATTGTGTTGTTTCTTTTTATGTCCAATTCCAGCCAGTTGTGGCACAAGAAAGATACATTCTTTTTTTTTTTATTCTGGGTATTAGAGCAATTAGAGAACAATGATAAAAGCCACACTGCCCAGTAATGTCCTGCAATTATTTAAGATTACTACCATTTTCCAACAAACTCTTTCCATAGCGAATATGCAAATATGAACAATCATTCTTGAGTGAGGGCACAAGCCCTCTGGTAGCATTACTGGTGGGTATAGTTCTTTATTAGTGTCAGTATTCAATTTCTCTATTCATTTGACACTGTTGTCTCTCCAGGCTTCTTTCCAGTTACAGCTTCTTTCCTGGAAGATAGCTCTCTCTAGTGTCCCTTTTTGGGTTAACAAGTATTGTGCTTCATGATGGCGAGTTTCTAGGTTGTCCTGATTTATTAGCCATAGATGAACTCCTATCACTTTTACAGTCTGTTTACCAAAGTGGAGCTAGTGCTTACCATGCCACTACCTGTATTGTTCCCATTGCACATTGATGAAACATGGGCAGTTTGGGAAAATGGTCTGAACCTCCAAGTATCAGTGTTCCTTGAGACTGCCAATTGATACATTAAACCCTCAAATGTAGTTCCATCTGAGTGTAGCATAACACTTCCCAGAGAATAAGTTGGTGTACCTTTGGATGGGAGCTGTCTGTAATAACAGGCATCAAATATCAGTGAACCAGAGTGGCTGTTTTGCCTATCATACTGCTTAGAACACACAGTGGTCCATGTGCAAAGGACACCTTCATTGGCCCTATGTGAGTACAGTGAACTTCTCCCTTTAATATATTCTTTTTCTTTTTTTAAAAAAAGGCAAAGCAAATTTTTTTTTATTTCAGTTGTAGGCATTAATTATTTAATAGACATAGTATTACTTAATCTTTAGAGCAACTTGTTTAATCCTTATAAAAATAGTAGGTACTATTTCTATCCCAACTTAATAAATAAACTTGGCCTGGATAACCAGGCCCATCAAAACCTATGACCAATATTATCTTAATTCCAAAGTCATTTATTTATGTATTCATTCATAATGGATATACATATTTTGGAAGTATCTGTGATAACAATACATTCATAAAATACATGAAGATCAAATAAGAGTAATCGGGCTATCAATCACCTTAAATATGTATCTTTTCTTCTTGCTAGAAACATTTGAATTACTTCCTTCTAGCTATTTTTAAATGTACTATTGTAAATTATAGACACCCTGCTGATCTATTGAACAGTGGATCATATTTCTTCTACCTAACTGAATATTTGTACCCAATAATCCCTTCATTCTCTTCTCCCCTGTACCCTTAAACAGACCCTTAAGCATATAAATATTTATTAGTAAACTTCGCTGTACTATCCTCTTCCCAGTTGTCTTCTGGCATTAGCTAAGGAATAATCAATAACTCAGGCATCAGAATGATATGATGTCCCATGATGGTGGGAGCAGTTTTGATCCAGGAGAACCCTCAAATTGGGGCTCAACCCAGGAGGGTTCTTGGCTTTGACTGACAGAGTAAATTGAAAGCAAAGCAAGTTTATTAGAATAACAGAGTATAGAAAAATGGCTGTTTGATAGACAGAGCAGGGCTACCCTCTAGGCAGAGTAACACCTGTGGATTGCTGACCAGCTATATTTATAGCTACTCCTTAATTATATGCTAAGTAAGAAATGAGTTATTCACAAAGTTTCTAGAAAAGGGATGGGGAGTTCCTGGAACTAAGGGCTCCTCTCATTTAAAACCATAAAAGGTAACTTCCAGGCATTACCATGGCATTTATAAACTGTCATGGCACTGTTGGGAGTGTATTTTAGCATGGAAATGCATTATAATTAGCATATCATGAGCAATGAGAGCAATGAGAGATTGCTTTCATCACCATGATCATTTATTTTTAATTTTGGGGGGTACATAGTAGGTCTATATATTTATGGGGTACATGAGATTTTTTCATACAGGAATGCAATGTGAAATAAGCACATCATGAGGAACGGGGTATTCATCCCTTCAAACTTTGATTCTTTGAGTTACAAACAATCCAATTACCCTCTCTAAATTATTTTAAATATACAATGCAGTTATTATTGCCTTTAGTCACCTTATTGTACTATCAAATGGTAGGTCTTATTCATTCTTTCTAATTTTGTTTTGTAACCATTAACCATCACCATCTCCCTCCCCAACCTCCCGTTACCCTTTCCAGCCTCTGGTAACCATCTTCTACTCTTTATGTCCATGAATTAAATTGTTTTCATTTTTAGAACCCACAAGTAAGTGAAAACTTGTGATGTTTGTCTTTCTGTGCCTGGCCTATTTCACTTAACATAATGATCGTCAATTCCATCTATGTTGTTGAAAATGACTACATCTCATTCTTGTTTATTGCTGAATAGAACTTCATTGTGTAATAGGTACCACATTTTCTTTATCTCTCATCTGTGGATGGACACTTAGGTTGCTTCCAAATCTGAGCTATTATGAACAATGTTGCAACAAACATAGACGTGCAGATATTTCTTTGATATACTGATTTGTTTTCTCTGGGGTATATACATAGCAATGGGATTGCTGGGTCCTATGGCAGCTCAACTTTTAGTTTTTTGAGGAACCTCCAAACTGCTCTCCACGGTGATTGTACTAACTTACATTCCAACCAACAGCCAATGAGGTTCCCTATTCTCTACATCCTCATCTACATTTGTTATTTTTGCCTCTCTTTGGGATATAAGACTTTTTAACTGGGGTGAGATGATATTGCATTGTAGTCTTGATATGCGTTTCTCTAATGATCAATGATGTTGAGCACCTTTTCATATGCCTGTTTGCCATTTGTATGTCTTCTTTTGAGAAATGTCTATTCAAATTATTTGCCTATCTTTAGATTAGATTATTAGATTTGTTTTCCTGTGGAGTTGTTGGAGTTCCTTATATATTTTGGTTATAAGGTTGTCACTTCACTTTGTTGATTGTTTCCTTTGCTGTGCAGATTTTTAACTTGATGTCATCTCAATTGTCCATTTTTGCTTTCGTTGCCTGTGCTTATGAGGATTGCTCAATACATTTTTGCCCAGACCAATGCCCTGGAAATTTTTCCCAATGTTTTCTTGTAACAGTTTCATAGTTTGAAGTCTTAAATTTAAGTATTTAGTCCATTTTGATTTGATGTTTGTATGTGGCAAGATAGAGGGGTCTAGTTTCATATATATTTTAGATATGGGTCTAATTCCATATACGTCTTAGGATTTTATTTTTTATTTTTGTGTAGAATGTCATTGGTATTTTGATAGAGATTACATTGAATCTGTGGATTGCTTTGGGAACTATGAATATTTTAACAATATTGATTCTTCTAATCCATGAATATAGAATATTTTTCCATTTTTTGTGTCTTCTGTAATTTCTTTTATCAGTGTTTTATAGTTTTCATTATAGAGATCTTTCACTTGTTTGGTTAATTTTTTGTTATTTAATTTTTTGTGTCACTATTGTAAATGGGTTTACTTTTTTGTTTCTTTTTCACATTGTTCACTTTTGACATATAAAAATGCTGCTAATTTTTGTATGTTGATATTGTATCCTGCAACTTTACTGAATTTGCTTATCACTACTAGTAGTTTTCTCGTGGAGTCTTTAGGTTTTGCCAAATATAAAATTATATTATCTGTGAACAAGAACAATTTGACTTCTTACTTTCCAATTTGAATGCCATTTTATATCTTTCTCTTGTCTCATTGCTCTAGCTAGGACATCCAGTACTATGCTGAATAGCAGTGGTAACAGGGGACATCCTTGTTGTGTACCAGACCTTAGGGAAAAGGCTGTTAGTTTTTCCCCATTCCTTGTATGTTACTAGCTGTGGGTCTATTGTATATGGCTTTTACTATGTTGAGATGTATTACTTCCATGCCTACTTTTCTGAGGGTATTTATCATGAAAAGATGTTGAATTATATCAAATGCTTTTTCAGCATTAATTGAAATGATCATATGGGTTTATCCTTTATTCTGTAGATATGATGTATCACATTGACATATTTGCATATGTTGAACCATACTTGCATCCCAGGGATTAATCCCATTTGGCCATGATAAATAATCTTTCTAATGTATTGTTGAATTTGGTTTGCTAGTATTTTGTTGAAAATTTTTGTGTCAATATTCACCAGTGATATTGGCTTGTAGTTTTGTTTTTCTAATTTGTCTTTGTCTGGTTTTGGTATCACGGTAAGACTGATCTCATAGAATGAGTTTTGAACTATTCCCACCTCCTATATATTTTGGAATACTTTGAGTAGGATTGGTAATAATTCTTTAAATGTTTGGAAGAATTCAGCAGTAAAGCCATCGGGTCCCAGGCTTTTCTTTACTGGAAGACTTTTTATTAAGACTTCAATCTCATTACTTGTAATTGGTCTGTTCGGTTTTTTGGGTTTCTTTCTGATAAAATCTTGGTAGGTTGTATGTAGGTAGAAATTTGTCCATTTATCCTAGTTTTTCCAATGTTTTGGCATATAATTGCTCATAGCAGCCAGTAATGACCCTTGGATTTCTGCAGTATCAGTTGTAATGTCTCTTTCTTCGTTTCTAATTTTATTTATTTGAATCTTCTCTCTTTTTTTCTTAGTCTGGATAAATGTTTGTGAAATTTGTTTACATTTTTAAAAACTCACATTTTTATTTCATTCATATTTTGTATGTTGTTTTCATTTCAATTTCATGTATTTTTGTTCTTATTTTTATTATTTCTTTTCTTCTACTAATTTGGAGTTTGGTTTGCTCTTTCTTTTCTTGTTCTTTAAGACGCACTGTTAGATTCTTCATTTGAAGATTTTCCTCTTTTATACAAGACTTATAGCTGTAAACTTCCCTCTTAGTACTGCTTTTGCTGGATCCTCTAGGCTTTGATATGTTGTGTTTCCATTATCATTTGCTTCAAAAAAAATTTAAATGTCTTAAATGTCTTTGTTACATTATTCATTGACCCACTGGTCATTCAGGAGCATATTGTTTATTTGTATATGTATAGTTTCCAAAAATTTCTCTTGTTATTAATTTCTAGTTTTATTCCTTTGTGATCAGAGAAGATGCTTGATATTATTTCATTTTTTTAATGTTTTAAGACCTGTCTTATGACCTAACATATTGGTCTATCCTTGAGAATAATTTATTTTCTGAGGAAAGAATGTGTGTTCTGGAGCCCTTGGATAAAACGTTCTTTAAATATCTATTAGGTCCCTTTGGTCTATAGTGCAGATTAAATCTGATGTTCTTTTGTTAATTGTCTGGACGATCTGGCCAACGCTGAATGTGATGTCTTTGGGATTAGTTGAGCCTTCGGACTCATCTAAAAGTTTCAGTCTTTAGGGCCTAAACTGCTTTTAAAGTTTACTTACAGACACAGAATACTGTATCCCTCAGTGGCAAGGTTTGCAGGCACTCAATTTCAGGCTGTTGGGATTGGTGAATCTCCTCTGCCTAGGGCTGGTTTAAATGTTCCCTCCATGGGCGGGCATCAGCTGAGTTTAATCTGGTTTTCCTTTCTGCTCTAACAGAGCGGCACTGAGTTCAGTGTCCCCCAGTTGCTGTGTTCTCCCTTCCTCAGTGCCCAGAGAGGCTCTCCATCCCGAGTTGCAGCTGCTGAGGTTGGAAGGGGCGGAGGGTGGAGCGTGGCAGTAATTCAGGACTGTTTTCTCTATCTTTTCAGTGCCTTTTTCAGATCTACTGCACTGAAGAAGGTGTTTTTTTCTGTGTAGATAGTTGCTAACTTGGTGTCCTTGGCAGGGAGACTACTGGTGGAGCTTCCTATTCCACCATCTTGCTCCACCTCTTTCACCATCTTGGTTTTAGCTGATTTGGGCCAGTTTCTTTACTGCATCCTGTTTTGACCAGATCCTGTTTTTGACCAGCAGGATCATGACTGGTGCTCAGAAAACAAGTCCTGCTGATCTCATACCTCAGTTCAACCCAAATCCAGTTACAAGCCACTGACTGTTTTGGGCTATAACAAACATAAGACAGTCTTCTACTTAAGATATGTGCTGACAATATCAGTAGTGTTATTAAAATCTGATGTTTTATATTGTATAATAAAATGTGTTAATATTTAGAAGATTAGCATGAATAGTAAACTTGATTTTCCAAATGGCCTATGATATTACAAAAACATTTATGATGAAAGATCCATTAGAAGTGCAAAATAAATCAGTGGGTTTTAAAGAGAATGAGAAATCATAGCTGTGTTTGCAGATTCCACATTGCAATTAATTATTAAGAAGTAGCTACTTTTTGGTTATGTTGAGGATCAAAGAAAATCTACAATTATTTGAAAAGATTGTTTAAAAACTCTCCTATTTTCCAATGACATTTATGCATGAGACAAAATTTTGTTCTTATAGTTCAACTGAAGCAACATAGCACAATAGCCTTAATGCAGAATCTGATGTAAAAATCAAATTGCCTTTTATTAAACCACACGTTAGAGATCACTACAAATAAACTAATTCTACTCCCTAACAAATTTATTGTTCTTGAAAATAATTCTTCATTAAATATGTTATTTATGTAACCTCATATTGAGATTGTTATTTTATCTTTTATTATTATTATTATTTTTTTTGAGATGGAGTCTTGTTCTGTTGCCCAGGCTGGAGTGCAGTGGCGCGATCTCGGCTCACTGCCAGCTCCGCCTCCCAGGTTCACGCCATTCTCCTGCCTCGGCCTCCTGAGTAGTTGGGACTACAGGCGTCCGCCAGCAGGCCCGGCTAATTTTTTGTATTTTTAGTAGAGACGGGGTTTCCCTGTGTTAGCCAGGACGGTCTCGATCTCCTGACCTCATGATCCGCCCTCCTCAGCCTCCCAAAGTGCTGGGATTACAGGCGTGACCCACCGCGCCCGACCAATTGTTATATTTTTAATGACATAATAAACAAATATTTTTAAATTTATATGTTTTAATTTTGGATATGGTATATATCAATGAACATAATCCACATAATCAAAGCTCTCTGGGGTCCGCAATAACTTCAAAAGAGCAAAGAGATGCTGAAGCCAAAATGGTTGACTCATTGGCCTGAACATATTAAACTAATGAAAAGAAAGGGAGTAGGAATCCAAACTCACCTGTCAGAGATTTACCTAATCAGAATAATGATCCTTTGTTAGATTTTGGACTTTAGTTTTGCTTAATTCTTAACATCAGGAAGACTGAGGCAATTCTAAAGGTTCTCATTTATCCTAGACAATTAAAACAAGGTACAAGCAATATGTTCATAAAAATGCAAAGGCAACAAGCCCTAGTTACGTGTAATATTTGTAATGATATTCTTACCAATTATAAATTCAGGTAAAAGCTACTTGATCATTAAATAATCTTTCCAGTCATACTTCCAATATTTAACATAACTCCTTTGCTTTTTTTCTCTCCACCATAGCACCTCCAAATCCAAAAAGGTTGATGTTAAAGCATTTTCAGACCCAATCTTTATTCTCTTTCAAGTAAATTACTGTACTTTGGGCTTCTGTTTTTAGTAGTGACTTAACTGAGACACATCATTTGCACAGAAATAATCGGCCTCCTGCTTATTTTTTTGGCTTTCCAAGACCAAAGTTAGTTAAGTCATCCAAGTCTGGGGATCACTCCCATCAAGGGACCTATCATTACTGTGTCAATGACATTGAATTCAGTGTTTCTCCCTGACATTCATACACCTAGATTAAAGTGACTTTGAATCCAGCCACATTCTCACTGTGGAATGCAGTATTCCATTTGTGGCTGGGGAAGGGGTGGGGAAGCTATCCCTCCCAAGGCAGGTCTGACAAGTCTTAAACTTTACTCAATGCCACAAATTAGATGTTACACTCTCAGAAGCATCTACTTACAGAAAATTGCATCCACATGGGGATTGGTTGTCCACACAAATAATCAGTGCCTTCCGTGATATCTTAAATGCATGTCTTAAGCCCCTGATCTTTAATTCTAATAGTCCATTTTAATTATGATTTACCAGGCTTCACTGAAATTATTCTATGAAATGTCCAAGTTTCTTACCCTCAAATGATTATTAAATGTACTTACCATTTAATAATCACTTGTTTTGACAACAGATACCTATATAGTCTTTCAGTAATCAGTAGTCTTTATTATGTTACTTGAGTGAATATGATACCTGTTCAGATAGTCCGGAGAAGACGGTCTTCAGATGATAGAAAAAGGCTTATCTTTTCCACTTTTCTCCTGCTACTATTTTCTATCTTAAGGTCTCATTTTAACCAGTACTATAACAACAGACAGAAAAGGGAATTTTTCACTTCTTTCCCTCTTGAATTCTATGAGCAATTAATACGCTTAGCCAATTCTCTGATTCTAAATCATTTTAGTCTATATTCCATTGAGAAGCTATTCATTACAATTAGCATGAAAGTTTTGCCACTTCATATGAAGTATGAACAGGCAGCCATCCTGACATCAATTCTTCAATATATTTTTCCATCTCCTACTTTATCTCACTAAAAAGTACCTTAGTCATTAATATTTGTGAACATGATAAATAAGACTTATCACTGCACCAATCTAAGCTAACGCAAATGACTGGATTATTATGTCAGATTCACATAAGGAAAGTTGCACCTTTTCAGTTACTCAAGCCACAAACTTTGACATCATCTTTGACTTAAACTCTTAACCTCAAACCCTCTTATCTCTATCTTTAAAATATTTATGATCCAGAGTCTGAAAAGTCTGACATCTCTTACATTGTATACTATTACTATGCCAATCTAAGTCACCAAAATATTTATTGAAATAATACCCTCTATATCTATTTCTACCTTATCTATTTTGAACACAGCAACCAACGGTGTATTTTACAGACAGTTCATGTTAATTATTTAATCAAACTTTCCAACTGCCTCAAAGTAAAAGCCAAAGTTCTTACCATAAATATAACTCTATTTTTTTTTTCGCTCATAACAGCTGGTTTCCACTCTGCTGTAGTCTGGCTGGTATCCATGTATCATGAAGAAACCCCCTCCAATAAACGCAACAATGCACACATGCACACTCAGCTTAGAGCTTACGTATGTGTTCTTTCTCCTCCTGGAATGGTCTTTCCTCACGTACACATACGGCTCCTTTCCTCTCTACCTTCATGTCTCTGTTTATTTGCTTCTCTATTAGAAACCTCCAGCTGAATGAGTAGCCACTGCCTCACCTCTAATCCAGCTGCTTTATTGTTTTCCACAGCACTTATCATCATCTGACCATTGTGGACTTGTAGATTCATTTGTTTATTGCCTATTGTGTCTCACCAAAATGCAAAATCTCTGAGATCAAAGACTTTGTTTTGCCTCTAATACTTTACTGCAAATATTAAGCACAAGACGACATTTTGACAAATCAAATATTTGTTGAGTAAATGAATGAATGCTTGCATGAATGCATGGATAAAAAATAAATAAATATTTTTTGAGGTAGCTTCAAATACTAATATCCTCAAACATTTTCCCACACGGTTAACCGAAAAACAAATAAGGTAAACCTGACAACTTTAAGTATGTTTTCTTCCTGTTTTCCCAAACACAAACACAGAAAATAAATATTTTTTAAAAATCTGTGATATAGGCTTTAATTTTATATTTATTTTAAAAGACTTAGGGCCTTTCAACCTAGAAGGATGAATATATGTATATAAGTTATCTATTTTTCATAATAAGCTTTTATCATAAAAATAGATTGCACTTTATTCCCTGAAGTACATAAAGAAAAACACCTACAATGCTTGAAGTTAGTAAAAGGAGAAACCATTAATAATGGATCAACAAATGTACCAATATTAAATTTAAAGCCCTGGGGAAGAGCTTCAATATGGCCAACTAGAGACATTTCATTAACATCAGGGTTTTACTTTTTTATACTAGGTAGGAACATTATCACAGATATTACATATAACTAAGTCATGTTGTCTTTGCATTTTTTAATGAGCACATTGACTTTACTTTGTGTTAACTGGCTATGATAAATCAGAACCTTTAGAATTGGCCCAGCTTTTCTGATATGGACTTATCTCTTCCACAAGGAACCCAAATAGTGAGTAGATAATCATACGTCAAATAGATCATCCAAGAAAGAACACTGGAATTCGACAGAGAAGTGACTGGAAACACCTAAGGCAAGGAAGGCAAGACAGCCTGCTTGGCTGGGATCATCTGGGACGTGGAGAGACTCCCCAGTGCAGAGTAAAGGTAAGAGACAGACCCCCAGCAGTCCACGTTTCCACCCTGGATGCCTGCAATCTTAGCCACAGGAGTCCCTTGACCCTCATGGATCCTGAGACTAACATAGGGAGAAGCCTAGAGAACACGTGATTGCACCAAAGAGAAAACATATGCTGAGTCCATGACACCTCCTGAGTCCTATGCAACTACACAAAGTTGACGTTTTGAGCCAGCTCCCAACAGAATGCACCTTGCCCTAAGACTCAACAGTACCTGTATCTTCATGTCGCTGGAGCCCCACGACAACCCACAACTGCAGCCACTACTGTAGCTAGCTGCTGCCACCAGAGATGAAGCAGAGGCCACCAGCAGTGACCCACTACCTCCAGCAGAAGCGCCACTCTGAATTTTTCCCACACCAAGACAGAGCCTCCCCTCCCCCTCCCCAGACTGCCATCACTGCAGGCTGCTGCCACTGGGCTGAAGCATGACTGAAATATGTGTTCCTCACCCACCTACATACAGCTGCTACCACCGAAAGCAACTCTACTCTCCTTAGTAGCAGAGTCACAATACAACTCCTGCCACCCTCCACTGAAGCAGTCTACTGGGGGCCTGAGGCTGACCCCACCCCATCCCTGCCTATCACAGCCAGTGCCTGAATGCACTATTGGGGGACCCCTGGCCAAGCATCACCACCTGCCCTGCCTAGAACATGCAGTTCAGGGTCCTGGGGGTTGCCCAGCCCAGTGCACAAACTATTGGCATCTGAGCACTTATCCTAGGGGCCTGAAGTTGGATTCACCCATCCTACCACTACTATCACAGCTGACACCTACCTGCACTCACCACTCGTGAGCCTGAAGACTGGCCAGCCCAGCCAATGGTAGCTACAACCAACACTAGCACATACCTCTCAGGACCTATAGGGTTGTCTTGCCACTACTACCACTATTGCCCATGCCACTTCTGCTGCCTAGGCACAGCAGAACATGCCCACACATTCAGCTTACCACTGCCACTACCAGCATCTGAGAAAATCACCTGGAGGCCCCAAAATTGGCCCACCTGGACCTGCTAACACTGGTGCCATGGTATGCTACCCTTGAGTCCAAGGACAGACATGCTTACCCCACTGCTGCCACCAATGGAGCCTGAAGACTAGGCCACCTGGTTTCTCTGTCCCCAGCAAAACTTCACCAAACCCTCCAATAACTGTACCATAAGCCACTGAGGAAATCACAGATACAATTGATGTTGTTTATAGCTGAAGAAATCACACACTAATGACATTAATGCATGCACTCAGGATCAAATCCAAAGTGTCCAACCCAACAAACATCATAGATATAACTTTAGGAAAATGTCTTCCCTTAGGAAAGTTACTTTAAAAATAGGAAAGAGTGACTGTAACACATGCACAGATATCAACCTAAGAATACAAGCAACATAAAAAAGTAAGGAAATATGGCTTATGAAATCATAGAAAAAGATTTTAAAATATAATATTGAAGAAGCTCAGAAAGTACATAATAATAAACCATATAATTAAATCAGAAAAGCAATCCAGGGTAGAGTAAGAAATTTGACAAAGAGATAAACATTATGAACCAAATGGAAATCTGGAACTGAAGAATTCATTGAATGAAATACAAAATATATTCAAAAGCCTCAAAAACTGACTAAATCCAGCAGAAGTATCTCAGGATTTGAAGGCCAGTCCTTTGAGATAACCAAGACAAAAATTTGAAATAAGGAGTTTTAAAAAAATGAACACAGCATATGTAACATATGGAACACCATAAAGCAACACAATCTTTGAACTTTTGGTGTCCCAGAAGGCAAAGAGAAAATGAAAATGATAGAAAACTTAGTGAGAGAAATAATACTGACAACTTTCCAGGACTAGCAAGAAATACAGATATCCAAATATAGGAAAAGTCTCAAAAGTTACCACTACAGAAGACCACCAAATCACAATAATAAATGATAAGAGAAAAAGAAAAAGGCTATCCAAAACAACCAGAAATCAATTAATACAATGCTAACAATAAGCTCCTGCATATCAATAATAACCTTGAATGTAAACTACATTAAACTTTTGATTTAAAGATATAGACTAGCTGAATGGATTAAAAAAGGACCCAACTATATGCTGCCTACAAGAAACCTCGTCATATTTGTAGACATATATAACCTAAAGTAATAAGATGAAAAAAGAAATATTTTAAAATGGAAATCAAAATTGAGCATGAGTAGTCATACTTAAGTTAGATAAAATAGACTTTAAGTCAAAAACAGTAAAAAGAGACAAAAAATTATAAAATGATAAAAGGATCAATTCGGCAAGAGGATGTAACAATTCTAAACATATTTACCCAACACAGAACACTCAAATATATAAAGCAAATATTACTAGATTTAAAGGGAGAGATAGGCTCAAATACAGTAATATTTGGGGACTTCAACACCATACTGTCAGCATTAGACAGAACACATAGACAGAAAATTAGAACCCTCACCCGCCAAAACATAGAAGAGATAGTAAAACAAAAATGCATTTTTAAAGGTAAACAAAATGGATAACCTACTTTCTAGATGACCAAGAAAATTACTTCTCCTCAATTATTTCAAAAAACTCAAGAGGAGGGAATTCTCTCTAACTTAGTCTACCAGGCCAGCATTAATCTGATACCAAAACCACACTAAGATGCAAGAACAAAAAAAAAAAAAAAGAAAAGAAAAGAAAACTGAAAGCTCATATTCTTGACAAACATATATGCAAAAGTCCTCAAGAAAATACTAAAAAATTGAATCTAACAGCACATCAAAACTATAATACATCATGATCAAGTAGGATTTATCCCAGGATGCAAGGATGTTTCAACATACACAAATCAATAAATGTGATAAACCACATCAACAGAATCAAGGGCAAAATCAGTATGATCTTCTCAATAGATACAGAAAAGCACTTGATAAGATTTAACATCTCTTTATAATTAAAAGTCTCAACAAACTAGACATAGAAGGAACATATTCAACATAAGAAAGGCCACATATAACAAACCCACAGTCAATATCATACTAAATGGGGAAAAACTGAAAGTCAAATTGTCCTTCTTTGCTAATTATATAATCTTGTATCTAGAAAAACCTATAGACTTTCCCAGTAAACCTTTTAGATTTGATAAACAAATTCAGTAAAGTTGCAGGATACAAAATCAACATAGAAAAATCAGTAGCATTTGTATACACCAATAATTAATTAGCTGAGAAAAAAAAGCAATTGCATTTACAATATCTATTAAAAAATAAAATATCTGGGGATAAATGTAATAAAGACGGTGAAAGATCTCCATGAGGAAAACTATAAAACACCAATAAAAGAAACTGAAGAGGATATAAATGGATTAGAGAACTAATATTGATAAAATGATCATATATCCCAAAGCAATCTACAGATTCAATTCAAAATCCATTAAAATGCCAACATCATTTTTTACAGAATTATAAAAAAAATCCTAAAGTTCATTGGAACCAAAAAATACCCCACATAGCCAAAGCAATTCTGAGCAAAAGGAACAAAGCTGGAGATATAACACTACCTGACTTCAAAATATATTACAAGGCTATAAAGAAAAGCAGTTTGGTATTGGTATAAAAACAGACATGGAACAATTTAACAGACTAGAGTTAAATAAAAAAACATGTATTTACAGCCAACTGATTTTTGACTGAGGCATAAAGAACATTCAGTGGGAAAGATATTTTCTTCAACACATGGTTCTGGGAAAACTGGATATTCACATGTAGAAGAAGGAAACAGCACCCTTATCTTTCACCATACACAAAAATCAACCAAAGATAAATTAAAGACTTAAAACTATAAAACTACAAGAGGAAGCCTACACAAATATTAATATTTCTGGATATTCATCTAGGCGAAGGTTTTATGGTTAGTACCTAAAAAAATACAAAAAACAACCAAAAATAGACAAGTACATCTCTATTAAGCTAAAATTTTTCTGTATAACAAAGGAAAATGTCAATAGAGTAAAGAGAAAACCTGTTGAATTGGATAAAACATTTGCAAACTATTAATCTAATGAGAGACTAGTGCTCGGAATATAAAAGGTAGTTAAAGAATCCAACAGGAAAAAAACAAATCACATTAAAAAGTGGACAAACAACATAAATAGACATTTCTCAAAAAAAGAAATACAAACAACCAACAGGTGTATTTAAAAATACATTATTTTTATTTATTAGTGATCAACATCACTAATAACCAGGGAAATGCAAATCAAAACCACACTGGGGTTTTATCTTAGCCCAGTTAGAATGGGTATTATGAAAAGACAAAAAATAGCAAAAGCTAGTGAGAATGGAGGAAAAAACCTCCATTTTCCAAGAAAGAAAGGAACTCTTATGCTCTTGGTGGAACTGTCAGTTAGTACAGCCACTATGGAAAATTGAATGAAGATTTTTCAAAAAACTAAAACTAGAACTACTATACAATTCAGCAATTCCACTACTGGGCATTTATCCAGTGGAAACCAAATCAGTATATCAAAGTGATACCTGCATTCACATGTTTATTGCAGCACTATTCACAATAGCCAAGATATGGAATCAACCTAAGTGTTCATCAATGGATGAATGGATAAAGAATATATGGTATGCGTACAAAATAAAGTACTGTTTGTCCATAAAAACAAATGAAATAATGTCATTCATAGCAAATGGATAGAACTGAAGGTCAATATGTTAAGTTAAAGAAGGCAAGTTGAAAAAGACAAATATCGCATGCTCTTACTCATATTTGGAAACTAAAAAGTGTTTATCCTGTGCAGGTAGGAAATAGAATGATAGGTATCAGAGGCTGGGAAGAGTGTGTGGGTGAGAAGTGGGGGATGAATAGAGGTTAGTTGGTACAAACACGAAGTCAAATATAAAATATAAATTATAAGGTTTGCTAGCAGAGTAGGGTGACTATAGTTAGCAACAATGTATTTTATATTTCAAAATAGGTAGAAGAGAAAATTTGAAACGTTCCCAACACATATAAATAATAAATATTCAGGTGATAGACACCCCAAATACTCTGACTCAATCATTACATATTCTATGCTAGTAACAAATACTCACATGTATCCCATAAAAATGTTAAATATATCTCAATTAAGAAAGAAAGAAATAAAATTAAAATCTCCTGTATGTCAGATGTCAACTAATAAGGAAAAAAAAAAAACATTCAAGCCACACTCTGGGAAAAGTTTTTTTTTTAAACTTTATGTAATGCTGCAACAATGCTTATAATAGGGGAAAAATCAAAACAACCTGTTTCTCAGTAGAGGAGTGGGTAAACTGTGCCTTATACAACACTGCTGTTAAAATGAAATTCAGCAAGATGTAAGAATGTATATGAATCTCAAAATAACATTATCCAAAAAAAGTTACAAAAGTATACGCATGTATGATACCACTTATGTAATTTAAAACACAGAACAACAGCCATAGATTATATAAGCTTGTGTGGAAATCATACATAATTGTTACCTCAGAGAAGGAAAAATAGGGAACTCAGAATGGAGCTTTAAATGTATCTGTAATTTATTTAAAAGAACCAACTAGCAGAAATTTTAACAAAATTTAACTTTCTTGATGAGTATGTGGTTGTTTCTATTATCTTTGTATCTCTCCTCCTCACCTTTTAAACAATTCCAAGCTTACAGAAAAATACAATTTAAATAACATTTTTTCTTAATCCTTTTGAAAATAATGCTGCATCAACAATAAATATTTTAGAATTTCTTCCAAACATATTCTTCAGTATAAACATCAAAAGAAGAAAATTAATATTAGTACCTGACTACTGTCTAATACTTAGGCTCCAATAAAATTTTTACAATTTTCAACTTTTTTTTTTAATTTGGAAAGATCCAGTCCAGAATCTCACATTGCATTTAGGTGTTATCATTTTAATCTTCTTGAATCTATATCATTTATTCATCCTTTCTTTTACTTTCGTGATTTTGACACTTTCGATGATTACAGGTTAGTTATTTTGTAGAGGTTTTTGGAGAGTGTTTGTTTTTAATATAATTAAAAACAAAATCTCCTCCCAACCCAGAAAACTTCTCCATAAAGCTACATGGGGAAAAATAATTTTAGTTTTATTACTAAGTAAGTATTAAACAAGAGTGTGATTCTCATCACAGGCAATCTGCTAAGACATTGCAGAGGCAGAAGGAAATCTCACCCTTTTACACAGCAAGCAGCAACAATCTATTACATATATATTCTCCTATAAACAATAACTAGTTCTCAAGTAAGAGACCTTGACAGCACATTTGTCACACATAGTTCATCACAAATACACTTGGTAGTTAGGATAACCATCTGTGTTTGTTAATTGGCATTATCTAAAGGAAAAATGAACTTCTCCTATAATTATGACAGGAGGTGGTTTTACAACTTGGATTGAGATGCCTACTCACCAAAGTTAGGCTGCTACCCTCCCACAGAAACTGAGAGGTAGGTAGGTGCCATCTCCATTGATGATGACATTTCGGATATGGTCCCCAGGTCGTTGAGAAACACATTCGCGGGTCTGTAAGGCTAGAAGGGGACTTTTTTTAGTTTTTCATAAATCTTATGTATATTTCAGAGATAGGGAAAAGACTTACAAGCTTTCTAAAGTAAATGTTTTAAGAAAAGGGAGTAGTCTCTTTGCTTATTTTCCGTGGGGAGCTTTTTCTTTTCTTTTGATTTTTACTTACTTTCATAAATGTTACTCAATTTGGATGTGTTTAATGTTTCCTTATTACTAGACTCAGATTCTGCACCTTTGGCAGGAGTAACATGGAAGTAATTTCATTTTCTCATTTAATCCTATTAGTTGGTACCTGATTTCATTGTGTCTCACTACTGGTGATGTTAATTTTGATCGTTTGATTAGAGCGATTTGTGATAGGCTTTTTCATTTTAGAATTATTTCTGCACTGCCTTTAAAATGAATAATAATTTTGTGGAAAATGTACCTTAAGAGAAGACTTATTCCTTATCACATTTTCAGTGTATATACATATTTATTTTAGTCAGTAGGGGCTTATAGTTTTCTGTTTTTATTCAGTGGGCTATAATTCATTAATACAACTATTTATTTTGATCCTCAATTATTTCTGGTTTGACCAGAGGAAGTCCCTTCAAATTGGCTTATGTTTCCTTCTAACATATCCCTATGTTGTTGGATGAATTCCTTACTTTCTAGCAAAAAATAATGTTCGAAAGTCATGTTGTACTTTTTCTGTTCCAACCCTGGAATCAGCAATTTCTCCAAGATGGTCTGGTTCTTTTTAGTGAAGAATTGTTCATAGAAACCAGTATCTGGATGCTAAACATGCTTGATACCATTTGTCTCTCACTGTTTCCTGTCTATTCAGTAGACACACCTAGGAAGGTGGTATGTGTGCAGCTATATATTTATATATCTATATTGAAATTATGAATTCACACTATTGTCTCCAGTTCAAATCCAATAACAGAAGGTACATTTTTGTTTTTAACATTTCTGTATTTTGTAATTATTTTTCTGATAGTGAGAAATCTATACACCACATGCTTCATAAACCTAATTTTGTGATGGGACTTCTTGTATTTAACAAATTCCTTATCACCACACGACTTCCTGTCCCCACTACTCCACCACGTAGAATCCCTGCTCAAGCTGGGCCACGGCTGCCAACTCCCCATTTGTATACCTTCATACTTACATGAAGTTCAGAATCATGTGTTAGGCAATCCTCTTCCATGGGACCCCCTCATCCAGCTAAGGCTGCTAGGCCCACTCCTGGAGTGCCCTCTATATTAGACATCCTCTCACCAAACTCGGGTTATTATTTTCCAAGGGAAGGTAAGTGAAATCCAAATAGAAAGGAGAGAGAGTTATTACATTTTTAAAATATTAAAATCCAACCACATAAAAAATACAACAGAAATTAATTTACTGGCATCATCCCATTACCCAACTACTCTCAGGTCACTAGGAAGACTCATAGGACTCAATATATGTGTAGCATACATGTAGTTCATGATTGTAATTTATTATAGGGAAATATTGTCTACCAAGGAAGCTAATTAAAGTTTCAGCACCCAGGATTTTTACTGGGAACTGGTCATATAGGCAGCCTCTGTCTAGCAAGTACTGAAATTCTAGACTTCCAGAAGGAAAGCAGATATTCTCCATAAACCATGTTGTATAAACAATTTAGTTCCAGTAAGCCACTCTTCATTTCTGGGACTTATGAGAACACTCCTAAATGTAAGTTCCAAGATTTTAGCCAATTTTGTACACAGGTTTTTGAATAATAGCAGTTAGACCTGCATGTTATGTTAACATTTTTTTTTGCACAATCATTGACCTTTGTTTGTCTTTAGTTGTAAATTATAACTTAATTGGCCTCTTTCATAAATTGTACATTTATTTTCCAAATGTCACCCCCATTAGATCAAGATATGGAACATTTCTAGCATGCCCAAATGTAGTGATTATTGAAACTTCTATTATTCGAATGAGCTGTAACTGTTTTTTATCTTTATGCAAATGAAATTATACAATATGTACTTGATATGGTTAGGCTGTGTTTCCACCCAAATCTCATCTTGAACTGTAGTTTCTATAATCCCCATGTGTTGGGGGGAGAGACCAGGTAGAGATAATTGAATCATGGAGGCACTTTCCCCCATCATGTTCTTGTGAAAGTGAGTGAGTTCTCAAGAGACCTGATGGTTTTATAAGGGGCTTTTCCCCTTTTGCTCTGCACTTCTTTTTGCTGCCACCATGTGAAGAAGGACATGTTTGCTTCCTTTTCTGCTGTGAGTATAAGTTTACTGAGCCCTCTCCAGCCATGCAGAACTGTGAGTCAATTAAACTTCTTTCCTTTATAAATTACCCAGTCTTGGTATATCTTTATTAGCAGCACGAGAATGGACAAATATAGTAAATTGGTACTGGTAGAGTGGGGTGCTGCTATGAGGATACCTGAAAAAGTGGAAGTGACTTTGGAACTAGGTAACAGGCAGAGGTTGGAACTGTTTGGAGGGCTCAGAAGAAGATAGAAAAATATAGGAAAGTTTAGAACTTCCTAGGGACTTGTTGAATGGCTTTGACCAAAATGTTGATAGTGATATGGACAATAAAGTCCAGGCTTGGGTGATCTCAGATGGAGATGAGGAACTTGTTGGGAACTGGAGCAAAGGTGACTCTTATTTATGCTTTAGCAAAGAGACAGGCAAGATTTTGCTCCTGTCTTGGAGATCTATGGAAGTTGAACTTGAGAGAGATGATTTAGGGTATCTGGCAGAAGAAATGTCTAAGCAGCAAAGCATTCAAGAGGAAGCTGAGCATAAAAGTTCAGAAAATTTGCAGGCTGAAGATGCAGTAGAAAAGCAAAAAAAAAAAAAAAAAAAAAAAAACATTATCTGGGGAGAAATTCCAGTATGCTGCAGAAATCTGCATAAGTAACAACGAGCCAAATGTTAATCACCAAGACAATGGGGAAAATGTCTCCAGGGTATGTCAGAGAACTTCACAGCAGCCCCTCCTACCACAGGTCCAGAGGCCTAGGAGGAAATAATGGTTTCATGGGCTGGGCCCAGGTCCCCCCTGCTGTGTGCATCCTTGGCTTAAAGAGCCGAGGTACAGCTCAGGACATTGCTTCAAAGGGTGCAAACCCCAAGCCTTGGCAGCTTAAACATGGTGTTGAGCCTGAAGGTACACAGAAGTCAAGAATTGAGGTTTGGGGACCTCCACCTGGATTTCAGGGTATGTATGGAAATATCTTCATGTCCAGGCAAAAGTTTGCTGCAGGAGCAGGGCCCTCATGTAGAATCTCTGCTAGGGCAGTACAGAACGGAAATCTGGGGTCAGAGCCCCCATATACAGTCCTCACTGGAGCACTGTCTAGTGGAGCTGTGAGAAGAGGGCCACTGTCCTCCAGACCCCAGAATGGTAGATCCACTGACAGCTTGTACTGTGTGCCTGGAAAAGTCACAGACATTCAATGCCAGCCCATGAAAGCAACTGGGAGGGTGGCTGTACTCTGTAAAGCCACATGGATGGTACTGACCAAGGTGCGGATACCCACCTCTTGCATCAGTGTGCCCTGAATGTGAGACATGGAGTCAAAAGAGATCATTTTGGAACATTAAGCTTTAATGACTGCCCTGTTGGATTTCAGACTTGCATGGGGCCTGTAGCCCCTTGGTTTTGGCTAATCTCTCCCATTTGGAAAGGATGTATTTACCCAATGTCTGTACTCCAGGTGTATCTAAGGAGTAACTAACTAGCTTTTGACTTTACAGGCTCCTAGGCATAAGGGACACACCTTGTCTCAGATGAAACTTTGGACTGTAGACTTTTGAGTTGATTCTGGAATGAGCTAAGGCTTTGGGAGACTGTTGGAAGGGCATGATTGTGCTTTGAAACGTGAGGACATGCGATTTGGGAGAGGCCAGGGGAGAGTGATGTGGTTTGGCTGTGTTCCCCACCAAATCTCATCTTGAATTGTGCTCCCATAATTCTCACATGTTGTGGGAGGAACCTGGTGGGAGCTAATTGAATAGTGGGGATGGTTTCCCCTATACTATTCTCATGGTAGTGAATAAGTCTCATGAGATCTGATGATTTTATCAGAGGTTTCTGCTTTTGCATCTTCCTCATTCTCTCTTTGCCTGCTGCCATCCATGTAAGACGAGACTTGCTCCTCCTTGCCTTCTGCCATGAATGTGAGGCTTCCCCAGCCACCTGGAACTGCAAGTCCAATTAAACCTCTTCCTTTTGTAAATTGCCCAGTCTCAGGTATGTCTTTATCAGCAGCATGAAAACGGACTAATACATGACCTTTACTTCTATGACATGATTCCTGTCCCTAAGACTTGGACTTTCTGGGAAGTCAAGTGAACTGTGTTGTCCACTATAGTGTCTTCACACTGGCATGATTTGTACTTCATCTTTCAGCACTGAGTGGACTCTGAAATCTTGGCTCAGATATTTGGGTTTTCATTCTGTAGCTCCCTCCTCACAGAACTTGGCACCAAATCCCATCTCTCTTGGTAGTCCCTTTTTCTTCAACCATGTGACATTGATGCTGTCTGTTGTTTTCTAAATCCCTGGACAGCACTTTAAAAGAAATGCCTTTAGGAATAAATCCTTGGTGAAATGGGGCTCACCTCTTGTGTTCTCTTTTTCAAGGATCACAGCCATGTTAGTTTCATTCCAGTACTGCCTACACAGCACTGTAATTTCACAGATTTTTATCAGCTTTTAGAGTTATTATTGGTGGGAAAGCAGGTCCTATATTAGCTTTTCTATCATAACCAGGAATGCAAAAATAAAAATAATTCCTGTTATTATAACAAACTATTACAGTTTTTAAATTATAATCAGGATTTGGATGTATGTCAACAATTTTTTGTTGGTTCTAAGAAGGGAGTTTAATGTTGTTGTTTTTGTTTTTATATCTCCTACCATCTCACCTTATACAATTTCTTACTTGTAACACAAGACAAGAAATTAAATGATGGAGATAATGTCCAAGAAATAGTAGGTTACAGTAATGTTTGATATCAGTTAGCAGACCTACATTCATCACATGTATTAAATTTGGAAAAACAGTAGCAAAGGGACTAAAAATTTTAAATAAACACTTTCAGACCTTGCATTTTTAGAAAACACTTTTTAAACAGAAACTTGATGTCAGACGTGTTAAATTAAATTTATCATTTAATTTAGAGATATGGAAATATCTCATGTAAATCTTAAGTGAAAAATTATATTATTTCTGTGAAAAATATTCACTTGAACTTTGCAATTATTAATGTTGGAGATATGCTGATGATTAAAAGATTTTATTGGCATCCTTTAATGTTAGGATAATAAAAGTCATAGAAGTAGTCTTGGTGATATAAAGGGAACAGGGAAGTCACCTACTGATAACATTTCATTCAGTAAGTGATTCCGAGCATTCAGCTTTTAGATTTGCACCTTGCAGTCACTTGAGGAATCCTCTTCAATTTTTATATTGCTTCATGCTTTTCAAGATGCTGACTTGAATCTGATTTCCCCATATAATGCACTCAATAGTACTTATTTTAACTTCCGGTGTCACGCAAAGTGAATCTAACCTTCTTGTACTCAACAATTGCTCAAGAATTTAGAAGATACCTATCATTGTCACTAAACTTCCTTCCTGCCTGATAAGCAGGCCCATATCATTAAATCAGTCATAATTTGCTGGTTTAGATGCTACTATCTTCCTGGCCTGTCTTTTTTGAATATGCCACCTGGTTTTGGTATTTCTTTTAAATTTTATACACAAGTACAGTCTGTATAGCATAGAGAACTTTAGAATATTTGCTTATATATTCTTGAAGACTATTTCTATTAATGAAACTAATATAATACATTCCAGAGTAGTTTTACAGTATTGTTTACTCTTATTGTACTTATATTTAACTAGACAATTCAATAATTTTACATTTACTGCTGCTATATTATAGGGCCCAAGTGCCTTTTACAACTTTTTGTATGTTCTATCTAGTTATTTTTGGTTCACTATTCCAACTTCTGATTGCATTTTAAATCTATTATTAACAAATTCATCATCTCCTCTTTACTTCTGCCAACTTCCTGTTGACTGGCAAGGTTTTGCCAGCAATGTTTATCTAAAAATCACCAGTAAACTATTGCATAACGTGTTCAAAAGAAGAACCCATGGCAACCCACCAGCCTTGTTGATCAGTATTATTAATGATTTTAATTAAAATAATAACATGATTAGAGCTACTATTTATTCTGCTCCCACTCTGTCAGGCATTATGTGTGCCTACATTTTTTAATTCATGTTCAATAAAAATTATTATTGAATTACTTTTATGTACAATCTTGTAGCAACACCACAAAATATGTATTGTATTTTGTCCATGATTTACTTGAAACGTAAAGTTGCTCAGCTATCAAGTGTAGGAGCCAGAATTTGGACCCTGTTAATATTCTCTAAAATTCAAGCTTACATTATTATTTTGAACTGCTTCCCACAAATCATAGACTTTTGATTCTGATTCCTACCATGTAGTCTAACACGTTTCTGACTCTCAATTGGCAATGGACATTCTATGGAGCATATTTTCAAAGGCACTGATATGTGCAGTATTACTTCACAGACTCCTAAGTCATTTTTCCTTAATGTGTTTTCCATGGAACACTAGTCTCCATAATAATTTGTTAAAAATGAATTTATTTTTTTAATTCAAACACTAAATGAATGGGCAGTCAACAAAACATATCTCTTCCCTGTGGATTCTGAAACAATTGGGCAGGAGACTTGTGTCAAATAGAGAGCAAATATCTGACTTGTAATTGGTAAATCTTGATTGGAAAACACATCTTGGATCCAAGGCAAAAATTATGCCTTCTACACTTTAATTTTCAGCAGCTGCAAAAATTGTAGGCCTCTTCCCTTACTAGAACAGAGCATGGTGTGGAAAGCTTATTGAGTTTATGAGCGTGAATGCCAATAAAAAGCTTGGCTGTGTTCATTCATTTTTTTCTCCCTATAGCATCAGTTAAAGAAATCACTTATTTTTAGCAAAGGACAGGAACAAGTAAGAGTAGGAAGGGCCTGAAAGTATTACTCTTTTCTCTTGAAATGTTATTCTCTCTCTAGAGTAAGTGGGGAGTGGCATAAATGACATCCTTTTCTAAAAAGTCATTAATGTTTGCTTTCTTAAAAAAAGTTAAAAAGAAGAATTTAGTACATCTGTTTTTAAATTTTAAACCTAAAGCCTAATTGAATGAAAAGGTTGAAATAATACGCAGATAGACTGAACCATAGATGATGTCATGTAGTCTATCTTCCTGTGAGATATGTAAGAAATGCTGAAGGATGGAAAAAGTTCCACTGTGGCTTTCTCATGTCCATGGGTTTCTCATCCAGTCATTCCTCTCTACCCTTCTTCCACATAACCTTAGGTCCTAACTCTGTGTCTCAACTCCTTTTACTAAAATGCCCAACTAATATTTAAGAATAAATTTCTTAGAACTATTTATAACCAATTATCCACAGAGCTAGCTGAGTTTCATCTGAACCCTCTTGCTGAATCTCCATAAAACACTGGCTCCCTTCTCTCTCAAGCGAGAATCCTTCTTCAGCAGCTTTCAGTTCGTGATGGTGCTGTGGTTGATTTTCTTCCACAGATGCTGGAATCCATCCTACAATAATCCTGCCACACCATTTTGTGGCTGTAATCATCTATACATGTTAATGCAAATGAATATGCACATATGTATGTGATGAATATGCACGGATATATGTGATGAATATGCACATATATACGTGATGAATATGCACATATATACAAGTGTCAAGTGTTGCACCAGCTGTTCCTTCTGCAGCTCATTGCCTGGCTGACTTCTACTTAGGCTTTGTGTTTCAGTGTAAGTATCATTTCTTTGCTGGACAACTTTCCTACCATGGCCTCACGCCTTTTTGTATAGAAACAGGGACTAATTCCATTGAAATAGGAACTTACTTTCTTCGTATGAATTAACCAACCATCAAAAAACAACTATGCCAGGCACAGTATTAGACTTTGGAGCCACAGTGTTGTTTAAGGAGGTTCCTGTGTTGAGTTTACAGTGTATTAGCAAATTCACCATTTTTGGAAGCTAATATGTCAATTCATTTAACACTGTGTAACAATTATCATGCGCCAGAAAATACTTTTAGTATTTTAAAAAATACTAAAAATAAGCCAGGTGCCGTGGCTCACGCCTGTAATCCCAGCACTTTGGGAATCCGAGTGGGTGGATCACGAGGTCAGGAGTTCAAGACCAGCCTGGCCAAGAAGGTGAAACCATGTCTCTACTAAAAATACAAAAAATTAGCCGGGTGCAGTGGCAGGCGCCTGTAATCCCAGCTACTCGGGAGGCTGAGGCAGGAGAATCGCTTGAACTCAGAGGGCAGAGGTTGCAGAGAGCTGAGATTGTGCCACTGCACTCCAGCCTCCAGCCTGATGACAGAGTGAAACTCTGTCTCAAAAAAAAAAAAAAGAAAAAAACCTAGCTAATAATAACCCTGTGAGGTAGGTACTACTGGATATACCTAAGGGTAAGTATATTCCTATTTTACAGATTAGGAATCTGAGATGAGATACGCAGAGGTCAAGTGTCTCCTCTCGACCAGTAAGTGGTGGAGCCAAGATACAACAAAGGACTTCTGGCCTGAATTTGAACTTTAAAACACTATATTCTGTAGCCTGCTATGATCTAGAAACAAAAGATTCTTTATTTTTACTTATATGAGATCTAGGGCTTCTTCTACAAACACTATTTTAATAAATCTGGGATCTTAATTATCCATAAAAAGAACCTTGCAAATAAAACAGACCAATAGATCTTAATCTTATGACTGTTAAAACTATCCCTAGGAAATGCTGCTATCAAACATATGATAATTTTATATTTAAAACACAGACATGAAAGATTGTTCTTGTTTGTATTTAGTAGTGAACATTTAAAAATTCAATTTAACCAGAAAATATTTATAAGGTAATAAGTCAGCTTTAAATTTTAAAGAAAAACAATCCAATGGCTAGCTAATGAGCAAACCAAATGAAAATAATAAAACTATATTTGAAGGAAGAGTAAAAGCCAGTCTCTATGCAAAAATGTCCAGATATGCAAATTATGCTGTGAAGTGTGCTCGGCATGCTAGCACATGCTTACAAACCTGGATTTCCAAGATGAGTACCAAATGAAACTGTGATTGACTTTGAGCATAAGAGCCACACATAGTCTAATTTTCCTCTGTAAACACAACTCAAACTACACGATGGAGGTAACATAAATGAATTTAAATAACACTACTTTACA
Organism: Homo sapiens; assembly: GCF_000001405.40. Classification (NCBI taxonomy): domain Eukaryota; kingdom Metazoa; phylum Chordata; class Mammalia; order Primates; family Hominidae; genus Homo; species Homo sapiens. The sequence goes on along the minus strand of NC_000001.11, from coordinate 191,967,925 downwards.
ATATACAATGCCATGTATTCTAATGCAATTTCTGAAGAGAGAAATATTTATCACTTAAAATTGTCGGTTATTATTTATTTTCAGCCCGAACCAATAGTCAGTAGAACCCATCCTGCCTTAATAGAAAAGCTGTATTAATACACTAAAAAAACAACATTCGTTTTCCTAGCAATGCTTATTTCTCCTTGTGCCTCTCTCTTCTTTATGTATTTATTTATTCATTTATTTTGGACATATCTGAATGTGTTTGGTCTGTGGCTCTGTGAAGAGAGGTGTTCTAAGTTATTCATCCCTGATTCTTTCAGAGCTTGTTTAGGCAACTAAATACAAATTAGGTAAATGTTAAAGTCAATTTAAATCTTCTCCCTTTTTGTATCTGCCTTCTCTAATAAAACGTTTTTTAATCCAGGCATTCATACCTTTAGGAGACTAAAGAAAAGTACGTACATTAATTCATGCAGATTTGATAAATAATTATGGACTGATGCCTACTTCTTCCAAAGAACATTACGGCTTTCAAATGTCAATTGAATGCTTTAATGCAAAGCAAAAAGTTAGGGCTAATCAAACATGAATGTACAAAAACACCATCTAAGAAATGGTTTTAAAATGTGGACTCCAGAGCACCATCACTAGATAATTTGACTCCATAGATCCAGTATGTGGCTTAAGGAAATACATTTTAATATGTCCCCAAATGATTCTAATACAAATGACCCAATAGCTACACTGTAAAAACAGCTACAATAAATAAGGTGGATATTTCTGGCACTATGCAGAGGAAGGAGGTTGCAGATACAGTTTTAAATGAAACATCTTCTTTATCAAACTGATATATGATAATAACTTTTAACATTGTTACTAAAAGGTAAATTTAATGTTTATATCATATTTGTAATATAATTATGTAACAGCAGCAATATTCAGTTAGACATATTTCTGTCTATGATATTGGCATCAAATTTCAACTGTTGGATACAAAATAGATGTTAAAATGAAATAGTCTTTAAAAATCATTCATCACTTTGCACTCATTTACAAAAAATACTTTCGATATTTTTACAAAAAATATCAAAAAGCATTTTTGATATTGCTAAATCTTTAATTCTATAAATTATTTTAAAATGAAACCACTGAAATTTATTTTCTATGACAGTTTTCTACAACAAATAAGGGTAAGAGCAAATGTTATAAAATACTCCCAAGTAGATATATAAACATTTAGTAACAGCTGATTTGCCCATGCAGTTCATTTTCTCAAACGATGGTTTCCCTACATAGTTGAGGTACACCTTCTCAAGGTGTTGCCATGATAGGAGCACTGCCCTTGTCAGTGTCCCAATCTTCTGCTTATTGTCGCATCACATTTAAGGTGAATATTGTATGCCCCTACTTTGCACATAAATGAAAACGCAATGTTCAGAGCCCTGCTTGGAGGTCAGTAGAAAATAATAGACTTTATCTGCTCTACTTTTCAGATAGAGCACTGTCTTTGACATATTGGAAAAACTTAATGCCTCATATTTTATTTTTAAAAAATAGATTTTGTGTTTATGTTGTTAAAAAGCAAACATATCAAATATTTTAAGTAGTTTTTTGTAACACATTGTAATTCACATAAAAATGAATTTTGAAATCCTTGAAAAAATATAGCTAGCTTTAGCTTAGTTGTATCACTCATCTTTTTTTCTATTTAAGGACTTGGTTCTCTTGAATATAACTATCACAGAAGGTAAGCTAGCTGTGCCTAATTGGATGTTTTGCTTACTAAATGCTCCTTTTAAGTTAAGTTACATGTGTAAGATGGTGCATCAAGAGTATTCCAAAAATAATTTCTGTGTACAGTAATCAGTTATATAACTGGAACAATGACAATTTCTGTAAGTTTGATATCTTTTGAATGTAGTATCAGAAGCAAAGATTCTATGTCTCAAGAACACAGTACACACCTTAAGTAAAATAAATCTTTTTTTCTTAAGTTGAATTGGATTAAACCTATGAAATAAGCTTCTTAAATCTGTCACAAAATTAAGATCAAAGGTCTACTCAAAAAGATTTTGACATAGCATATACCTCTATAAAAATATTTAATGTGTATTAAACTTTAAATTTTGATAATTTTGAACTTAATCCGGTTAAGAGCATATTGAATTTTGAGAAAGTAGAAACTGAAGCATAATTTTAGCAGCTTATGTGAGGTAATAGTCCCTATTTATGTTTAAATTTGCCAAAAACTCCAATATTCATACTCTTGGGGCAATTAAAACAAGTTTAAATTGAATCTACCAATATTTTAAGACTTATAAATTATTGTGGATTAAAGAGAAGTGTTTTATAATGCTCATCAATTTTTAAATTTTTTGATAATTTAATATTTAGGAAGTAGTGTGTAATCTAGCAAAAAAATATGTACTTATACAAATAAAAATTAATGCCTGTCAGATTGTTGTAGTATACATGATTTATGCTTAAAGTAAGATAATAAATAGAATATGTGAGAAAACCATGGTACCTGAAACTCAGCTGAACTCTCTGTCAATCATCCACTTCTTCATCATTTCTCATGTCTTTCTCTAAAATTTTGAGCGCAATGAACAGATTTTCCTACACAGGGGAGAACAAGTCTTGGTAAAGCATATATGATTAAAATAATTAACAGTAAATATAAACAAACTTTAATTACTTCTCATTTTTCTGAGAGACATATCTAACATGAACTTTAAAAATGTAATATGGAATTCATCAAAGACAAATGTTTGCATTCAATGTTTCCTGGGATAAATTTTCATACAGATAAAATAAAATAAAAAATAAAACTTCAAATGCTATTTACAATATAAGTGACAATACATAATAAACCTATGGATTGAATAAAATGGCCCTGTGCACATAGTAGATCCAATATCTGCCCCGGAGGGGAACTGGAAGTACTTTTAGAAAGGCTAAAAACACACACGAGTAAGTTTACTTAATACATATTCATCTTGCTGGATGACCTAGAATATTATAACATTTCTTGTTAGATTATTCATGAAATATGAATATCTATGCATTTTGGATGAAAGTTCAATCTTAGAAGATATCAACAAAATAGCTAATTTTATTAAAGAGACAGAAAGGCTAGAGTGTGGAGAAATAAAATGTTAGAACCACAACAGCTATTTGGTATTTCATGATTGGAAAAATCTTATCAGAGTATCATGTTTTTTGATAGGTTTCTTTTAGCTATCCTGGATTTTAATTTGAGAAGTAATTAAAAAAGAAAAATTCAAATAGTCCCCCTCAACTACACTCCTAATTTAATTATCTGCTGGCTCAAATTCATATTGAAGTCAAAGAGATGAAAATGAAAAATTCTCTTTCTTGAGATTAAAGTTTTCAACATGAAAGGAAATGCCAAATTGGAAAATCTTGTACCTAAAAACTATTACTATACCTTTGCATCAATTTAATGAAGTATGTAGCAACTGGAAAACAGTTATCAAGAAACAAATGACTCTCAAATGAAGTGAATTTTCAAGATATATCACTCCTGAAAAATAAACATGTAAGAAGTTCAGAGCATTGTAATAAAATACTATGTAAGAGATTTATAGATACAGTCTGTTAAAAAGGAAGGAAACAGAGAAAACACAGCTGGAGATGGATCATAATAAGTCATATGATATTTACTCTGTGCTGGTCACTGTTCTAAGTGTGTTACATTGTAAAAGTTGAAAGTAAAATGTGAGTAGCCAGAATTATTATTAATTCTATTATATAGATAATGAAATGAAGGCACAGCCAGGCTAGGTAACTTGCCAGATTTCACAGCTGCTAAGTGGCTGAGCCATGACACAAACCCAAGGAGTCTGGCCGCAGACACTGTGATGTTAATCACTATGATATACTATTTATAATGACGAGAAAGAATCTGAACAATGTCATCAGTAATAGCAACCCTTATAATTGTGAATTAGTAGATGAGTAAACCGAGATACATCAGCTTAGTTGAATATTGCAAGTGGCTCATAGACTCAGTCTCATACTGCTGCCCACTGTTTCTCTTGAACTAGGCCAAACAAAATTTGAGTTTCCAGCTTAAGATAAAGTTGCATCTGTGAGTGTTGCATAACTTTTATTTTTAATTATACTTTTGATTCAATCTGCTTCAGACACAGTCAAGCAGAAGTAGAAACGGTAGGAAAAAAAAAGAGAAGGAAGAAGAAAAATAAATGTCATTCTAAATGCCTACGGTGTGCCAAATTGATTTTTGGAGATAATGATTTACTGTCCTTGATATTAAAATTTGACTAGAAAGGTCTAGCTTATGCTAAATTTAACTAGGGAACCAGGCTTCCTTATTGATGTAGAGCACAAGGGTAAATAGAAAGGGAAAGGGCTGTGGAGCGGGGGAAAGAAAGAAGAACTGGGGTTCACTGTGGTATGATTCATTCAGTAAGCATTTAGTGAGGAACCTCTACATGCTAGGCCCCTTACCACATGCTACTCATAGCATAATGGTGATGTCACTCATCACAATACTGAAAATTGGAATTTAAAATAGACAAGCCCGATGGATGGCAGATGTAGGACATTGTTCTCTTAGAGCATAAATGGAACTTATTAGTGAAAGCAGGGAAGTTGTGTGAAGGCAATGGAAAGGGAGAGGGGCAAAGTGGGGGAAATACAGATAAATAAATATTGGTGTGCTATTAAAATGTAAAGATGGCTTTCCTGGAGTGTGGCTTGGGTGACTGGGTGGTTACACCTGCCATACACTGAGATAAGGGACAGTGGGATAAGATAGGGTTTTTTGTTGGTTTGTTTTTTTTTTGTTTTTATTATTTTAAACATGTTAAATTTGGGGTGAATGTGTTGATTTATCTTTGGGGAGACTAAGCAGATGAACATAAAAGTCTGAAAATATAGATGTGCATGTCTTAAGCTTATGGCTGAAAAAGTTGAAGTATGTATATAGGTGGGATTACTAAAAAGTGGTCATGGAGGCAAACAGGAGATGATCCCCGTGCCTTGCGAAACCTAATATTTAATAATTTGGTGATAAACCAGCAAGTGATACTGGAAAGTTGATAATCAAAAGTGTAGAAAGAAAATCACATGTAATTCATTTAGCAGAAGCTGATAAGGGAGTGTTTCAAACAGGAAGTAACACTAAATATTATATAATCCATATAACAGTATGTAATTCCAAGGGTTAAGAAAAATGTCAATGCAGCATGCCTACTGAATATGACATCAAGGAAAATTAATAAACATAGTAATAGTTGTTTGAGATGATTGATGATGAATCAGGTCTAATTTGGGAATGCTAAAGGCTTTGAGGTGAAGACATGAAGGCATCTCTCATGAGTTTGCTTATGATAAAGAGGAAAAGAATAGAATAATGGGCAAAAAGTGAAATTAGGTTGAGGGGGGTGTCCTTGAAACATGAGGAGAGCTCCACTTTGTTATAAATCCAGTGGATTTATTTTTGACACTCTGGCAGGCCAAAAATATTTGTAAAACAAGCCCACTTAAAAATATAAAAACCCCTAAATGCATATTTTCTATATAAAGATGGTGATCTATACATACTTAAGTTTTATAACATATAAATATACTATATATATTTTATAATATATATTTATTACATACATTTGGTAACATAGAAACATACGTGTGTGAGGGTGTATATGCACACTGTTACCTTACAGGAAAAGGAGGGAACCCTCAGAAGAAAAAGCAGAGCAGCACCAACAGGAATAAACTTAAGGAATTACAATGAAATGGAACAATGGAAAATATACCCTGCTGAAAGCAATGCAAATTTTTGCAACTATTTTGCAAAAAATAAGGATTATTTAGTAAAGCAGATGAGGCACAGACCCTAGGATCTAGAATTTCCACCTGTAATAATACATGCTAAGAGACAGGTATCAGATGTCTCTTGACACCACCAAGTCCTTTGAGTTTTAAGCTGTTGCTTGTAGTATTCTGGTGAATAACTTCGCTTATGAAGTTATTTAAGCTTATATCCAAGAATAGCGGGGTATCTAATCCCAGTTTGGGCCTTAGCTATTGTGTTATGAGAACATTAAAGTCATTTTCATAGCTTATTTTAATTTAGGGGCAGGTTTTTACAGCGTAAAGTTAAGCTAGATTAAGATAAGAATCTTAAAATTGCTTTACACCGAGTTTTATTAATTTGGTTTAATTTTAAGACGCAGTGGCTGGCATGAAATTTACCAACCTTATGTAATTTTCCAACCTGGCAGCATTGTTTGTAATAGCAACAAAATGAAACAAACAAAAAAACTCTGGTATTAACTTTTATAGATAAATAATGATATACACACATATATTTTATATATGCATATATAATGTGAATATATATACAATGCAGTATTAATAGTATGGAGCAATAGAGAATGAATCAACTGCAGCTACTTAAATTAACAATGTTGACTTTAATAAACGTATCATTAAAAAGTAATATTGCAGAAGTTTACAGTATGACATATTTTAATAAATGATAGACATGCAAAACTGAACAATTTATATTATATATTGATATATACAAATATATTTCTGTTTAAGTATAAATAAAAGCAAATTATCTAAAAATAGTATAGTTGCCACCTTTAAAGAGTAGTATTTAGAGATTAATTTGATCAAGAAGAGATCCTCAGGGCTTTAAAGATATTAATAATATTCTATTTCTTACAGCATTAAAGTCATCTGTGGGTGTTTGGCTTTTTATTATTACTCTTTGTCTCGTATATATGCAAGTGTTTGTGTATGTGTATGTTTGTGTTTGTGTTTATATATTTCACATATTCACTTCTGGGAAAAGTTGAAGATTCTTTTTATGAAAGTGTTTGAAACATGCCTATCGATTAAATATTCCATAGAGATAATACTGGAGAAATTCCTAAATGGAAATAAAATATGTTTTATGAACTCCAGTGTGACTTTGATTTCTATGGGATTATGTACTTATAGAAACCATCATTCTCAGCAAACTATTGCAAGGACAAAAAACCAAACACCGCATGTTCTCACTCATAGGTGGGAATTGAACAATGAGAACACTTGGACACAGGAAGGGGAACATCACACACCAGGGCCTGTTGTGGGGTGGGGGAAGGGAGGAGGGATAGCATTAGGAGAATACCTAATGTAAATGATGAATTAATGGGTGCAGCACAGCAACATGGCACATGTATACGTATGTAACAAACCTGCACGTTGTGCACATGTACCCTAGAACTTTAAGTATAATAAAAACTAAAATTTAAAAAAAGACTAGCAAATCAGGACTCTGACTAGCGTTAAAAAAATGATGCTTTTTTCTTATGAAGAACTTATCACTGTAATTGGTCTTACTGTTAAAATAGCCTAATTAGTTGATGTGGGGGGATACTAACTTACCATGACAAATCTATAAATTTCCTGGTGTTGCTTTTTAAATAAACAGAATCAAATAAAAAAAAGAGAAATGATCATAATTGTGTTTTCCCTAGTTTGTAACTATAATAAATTGAGGTTTTATTTTGGGGAAAGCATTTAAATTACTTCATCTTTTTGCTTGGTATATTTCACTTGCCAAAAATGGAAAACAGACATTTTGAACAGAGATTAAACATACACATACACAACTCATATACACATATACATACACTCAACTACAGGAAGATGTTAGACTTAAATATATTTTACTTTGAGCAAACCATCTTCTAGTTTCTGTCTGCTGTTTAAAACATAGCAATGTCTTGAGAATCAAAGATTGTTTTATTCCTCCCTTTGGATAAAAGCCAAGCTTATGCTTTCATTTATAAGTAGAGAGCAGTAAATAATTTTTAAAATGAAATACTTTAAAAGAAAGCCATTATCAACCTGCTGAATAAGGAAGCAATTCATATTTTCCTGGACCACGAAGGTCTTTAGAAACAATGAATAATAAGCCTAATTGTTGCCGAAGTCATTAGAAAACACACTGAAATGTTTACTCGGGCTTTCTATACAAGAAAATAGAATAACGGTGAGATTTATATATAATAAGGAATTCCAGTTAATATACAATATGCCTCTCAGTTCCAAATCCCTTATACCCTTTATGTTCTTTAAAGGTGAGCCTGATAGCTGCTGTTTCCAAATTCTAAACTATAAGCCAGTTTTCTTACCACCATTGTACATTTGCAAAGACGATACATAGAGAGACATTGAACATTGTAAACAAATTCCTACTTTCAATAAGTGGTTGAGAAAACTCACAAATGTTTTTCTGCCTTGGTGAGCTGGGTAAAATAACAAGAATGCAATTATTATTACTTATAAATATTGTTTTTGCCAGTATTTACTGAGCATTTTCCTTATGATTGAATTGCGCTAAATGATTTACATGGACTAATTCACTCAATCCCTTTTCAACAAATAATAACCATTATTATCATCCTTATTTTATAATTGAGGAAACAGGCTAAGAAGGCTTAAATAACTTGGCAAGTGCACATAGTAACCATGTTACAAGGCTGAGCCATGAGTACAGTTCTCTAAACTCAGCACACTCTTAATCTCTATATTGTCCTTTTTTATCAATAAGATCTCTCCTTCAAAGGGATGCCTTCTATCACCATTCCATCTGAACGGAGCTACTGTGAGTCGAGTCACTATCAACAATACAATGTAACCTTGTCGCATATTCTTCACAGCATTAACCATTACCTGCAACTACCTTGCACACTTGTTTTGTTGTTTATAATTCATCTTTCTTTCTCTGGTAGCATGACCTTGTCTATCAGGTTTAGTACTGTATTTGCAAGATAATAGTTCTTGTACATAGTAAGTACTCTGTAAGTAATTGTGGAGCTAATGAATGAACCACTTGGTTTCTAGTCATGCCACATAACATATCCCACATGTCCAACTGCCTATGTATATCTTAAACTAATAATTTTTGAAATATTTAATGTAATATGTCTAAATGTGAACTCATTTTTATCAACTCAGTAAATTAAAAAGAAAAAGCCTTTATTTCTTAAGTCTTAACCCTAAGAGTCATTTTTGTCTTTCTTTTATTTTTTAATCCAAAATACTAATTTATGTAGGATCAGCCTTCTAAATATCTCATGGTTCTTTTTACTTCTTTCATTCATTGCAATATCTATAGCTAAAGCTGCCATTGTCTCTGGATTGAATCTGTTCAACCGCTTTCTGATGTCTTTGCCTTCTGGTGTAATCTTCCTATAATCTGTTTTCCACTCTAGAAATCAAAAGGTGCATGTTTAGCACAACAGACTTGGAATTTCTGTATTTATAACAGTTTGTTGTGCCTGTCCTGTCTTTGGAATAAAATCCAAATTATTTTAACATGATTCAATATATTTTTCAATATTGAAATTGTACTTTTCCCTCTTCACTAGCTATCTTTCAGAATTCTCCATCTTACGTGAACTAGGAAATATAGGGTAGGGCCTTAGAGCACAGATTTCTGATTCAACTTCCCTAGTTCTACAAAGAGACTCCATCCACTTCTTAGTTCTGTGATATGGACAGACTACGTAATCCATGTTGCCCCAGATAACTTGACTGTAAAATGGGAGTGTGTGTATGTGATGGTAATAATAATTGCACCTACCAGGTAAGGTTGATGTATTAAATGAGTAAATAATGCAAAACACTGAAAGAAGTTATTTGCTTAGTAAATATCAGCTCTTTCTTTATAGTTCTAGGGTCCTATTTTTAGTTCTATGAGTATGTCATGTTTTCATATATCTCTGTAATTTTGCAATGATAACCATTCAGCTTTTGAATTCTATATATACACTCCACTTAATCATGTTTCTTTCCATGTTTCTTTCAAGTTTCAGTACAGACATTACCAATTCTAGTGAGCCTTTCCTTACCTCTCAAGAGACAATTGGATGGTTCTTCCAAGTGGTCTCTTGTAACCCCCTGTATATAAATGACTCTATCTATAAGCAACTGTCACAATGTCTTATTATTGCCTCTTTCTTTTTTTGTGCCTCCCAGTATATAAATTCCTTGAAACTGGAGACTATGCCTTGCCCAGAGTAATATTTAGTTATAACTCAATTCCTTGTAGCAAGAATACACTCAATCAAATGTCTGTTAAACCCAGTCCAAAAGAGAGCTCACATAAAAGTCCAATTGCTAAAAGAGAAAATTCCGTATAGAAGCAAGATCTTTTGATATTGCTCCTCATTGTCTTTGAATATTATGAGGCTCTACGTGGGGGGGGGAAGTGGGGCCTCACAGATGATGTCAATCCTTATTCCATCATTTTCACTCCAGAATTTTATGCAAACAGAAGCAATAGTGGGTACTAATTCTCTGGAGAAAAATTGAAATATTGGCAATGCTTGATTTGGCTTTTTCCCTAGGAGAACATGTGCCACTCTGACATTGAATTTAGATTAGGAAATAAGAGTCTGCTGATTAAAATCTTGTCCTAAGTGAAAATAGTGTTTGTAAACAAAGTATTTTCTGAACCTTAATAAGACCAAAGGAAGCAGTGCTGAGATATGGGTCATCTGCTTTTGTCTTTTTTTTTTTTTTCGTAAAAGTAAGCTGAGGAATTAATACAACCTGACATTTTAATATTATGTCTGTTTCTGTATGTTGGTGTGTGTGTATGTGTCTTTGTGAGAGTGAGAGAGAAATCATCTTTTCCCATGATTTGTAATGCATGCAAAATGATACAAATTAATCATTACTGAGTGTCATAAAAGTCCTCAACAGGACAATGTGCTAGGCCCTGTGAAATAATTTATCAATCAGAAGGGCAATCGTGGCTAAACAAGGTAATGTTAGTTTTGTTGAAATAGTTTGAGCTTAATGACCTTGTTAGGTTATATAATCAATGAGTATCCAACAATTTTCCAGGTAAAAATCTTTATTGTTTGCTTAATAAGTACTATGCTCATACTCTACACATTTATTCATTATTAAAATTAGATTTTATAAAAACTCATTGATATAGATAACTAAATCCATTTTATAGATGAATAGACTAATATGCCCATTTGTAAGATTATTCACTCCTTCCTTCATTCCCTCTTTCCTCCTCCTTTTAAAGGAAAATCAGTACTAGTAATTGAAAGCCCACTAGTTTTCTATTTCAATACATTTAATATTAATCTTGACCCTTTTAGCCTCTAATTTTACTATAATTTTTCATAATTCAAACATTACATCCATTCAGCCAATCAAAAATTCATTAGCTTGAGCTAAATTCATTGGTTTGAGCTCTAATGGTTAGAGCTGTGGATAAAACAAGATGTATTCTGGGGCCTCATGTAATATACACCCTGGATGGGAAAATGAACATTAGATGAATTATTAAACATAAGAATTCATAATGACAAATTGAATACAATAATAATTTTGTCTTTCAAAGATAAAATACAACATTTCTTGCAGTATTTCAAACCTCCTCTCTAGACAAAGTAAATGCAATTTATTGCAACTAGAGAACTCTAATGTGAAAATGTCCACAAGAATAATAAATGGAGGGCTCTTACTACTTTTTCTCATTTTTATCTCACCTTTAATTTTTATAATAATATGACTTATCATCCTAATTGTAAAAAATAGTACCAATAAGTTTAGATAGAACTTCATTAAAAGACTGCAAACAAATAAAAACCATGACTTTGTAAAATACCCTCTTTATTCAATGCCTATTTAATTCAATAGTTTATTTCCCAGTGTGTTCTGAACACTGTACAAATCTTGATTGGCTTTTAGCAACAGAATTAATTTAAATATAGAATGCCTCTTGAACCCATAAACCATTTTCATTAATGACTTCTAAATAATGGTTAGATTAACAGGCAAACACTTAATTACTGTCTCCTTTTTTAATCAGGCAAGCAATTCTAATGTAAACTGACAAGGCATTTATTTAGGAAGCTACTTATTTTAAATAGTCTCTGACAATTTCAAAGGTTTCCTTTTAAGCCTATGAAATGTATATTAGAGATGAAAAATAAACAATAAATTTGAGTAACATTTTTAACTTGCTTTTATTAATTTCTGTTTCCAAAATTTATGTTCTCTTGTAGATTGTGGATGTCTGAGGAAATGATATGAATCACGGCAGACGGATCTGCCTAAGGAAATCTAACTTTCCAATAGGTATCAAAAAGTGAGAGTTAATTCAGGAATTTATCACAACTCAGGATCTAGCCTTTAGCTTTTTCCTCTCTGAAAGTTGAACCTTTAGTACATTGATATATTGCCTCAAGTCTCAAGGCAGGATTCACAATATCCAAGCACACTGAGATGTTGCAAAAAGTTGGAATGCCAATAACAGATTTTAATGCTATGAAGCTAACATTTGAACATGATACTAATGTTTTTTGGCCAGTGATTTTTATTTCTGTAAGTAAGCCTTATGGGATGTGAAATTATATTTGGAATAATATGCACAAGTTATATAATTTTAATTTTTACTAGCATCAGGTTAAGTATCTGGCTATAATAATTTTATCAACAGAAATATCAGTATTTGACCAACTATATATTACATATGTTTAAAGATTCCATAAATACAAAAGTTTTTACAAATTAATAAAAAGCTCCATGTTTTGAATATTTAATATTTTCTAGCCATGGTAATAAGAGAGTTCCAGGTAATATTTTCAAAGACATATTACCAAGTAATACCAAGCAAAATCAATGTACATAAAGTGAGCTAACAAGTACAATGGACGGTTTTTATGTTCACAGTCGCCTATCATTTCTTGAGCATTCTTTCACTTTTTGAACAAATTCCCATATTATGAGATTTGCCTCCCAATGCAGACGTCAAAATTTACTAGTCCAGGCTTTCTTGCTACTAGGGCTGAACTATGTCCTATTTTTCTCCAACAAGATATTCCAACATGATACTTCATTTAGAGGGGACTACGTGAGGAATCTAATAAGTATGAAATCTATCACTGGAAACATGCATGTTAAAGAACATAAGTATTGGTGTTCCCGGAGTCTAGCTCCATGCTTATTAGTGCCACTGATGATTTCTATCTGTGCTACAGATCTCAGAGTATACGGTTGGCCCTTAAACAACACAGGGTAGGAAAGACTCCCTGTACAGTCAAAACTTCTGCCTATAACTATTGACTCTTCCAAAACTTAACTACCAATAGCCTGAGTTGACCAGAGGCCTTATCGATAACATAACCAGCTAATTAACACATATTTTGTATGTCGTATGTATTATTAATGTATACTATATTCTTACAATAAAGCTAGCTATAGAAAATAAAATGTTATTAAGAAAATCATAAGGCAGAGAAACTATATTTACTATTCATTACATGGAAGTGGATTATAATAAAAGTCTTTATCCTTTTTGTCTTCACATTGAGTAGGCTGAGCAGGAGGAGGAAGAGGAAGGGTTGATCTTGCTGTCTCATGGGTGGCAGTGGTGAATGAGGTGGAGAAGGTAGAATGGGAGGCAGGAGACTCAGGCATAGTTGGTATAATTTTTATTGAAAAAAATTCCACATATAAGTGAACCTATGTAGTTCAAATTTGTGTTGTTCAGGAGTCAACTGTAGTTGCATTCTGTTTCTGGGTACATATCTTTTAGTTTCACATGCTTATTTCCCTGAAGATTTTGTGAGCTGTCTAAAAATATTCTTTAATATGTTGTTTTCTCCCTATACCATTCATAGCAAATCCTATTCTTTGTAATTAAGAATGCTCACTGACATATCAAAGTTACCCAGATCCTAAGACTATAATTTATGTTTTTCCAAGATTTCAATCTGCATTGTCAGATTCTGAAATGACTGTGTATGTGCTTATTGTATTAACAATCAACCCATAGAAGTAAACAATTGTCCACTGTCTTCAATAATCTGATTTGTTTAACAAGGTTTTTTTGGAAAATTGCCAAACTATACTGGGAAAATATCAGTGGTAGTGAACTTATTGGAATCAATGGCTTTTCTTAACAAACTACTTTCATCGTTCTCAGGCTGCTCAGGCTGATTTTCCATAAGCAGTGCTTGCAATAAGTATATATATATATATATATATATGAATATATATATGTGTGTGTGTGTGTGTATATATATCTACACTCTTTCCCTCTTTTCATTTCATTTTCATTTCCTATCTGAAATAAATATGGCTCCTGTTGTGTAAGGATATTTCTAGTCATGCAAATACTATATTTATAAAAGCCATATGTGTTGAAATTCCATTTAGATATGACGAAATGACAGTTCTGTAAAGATTTCAGTTGCTAGAAAACTTAAATTCACAAAAGACTACTTAAGGATTTCCACAGGGACTTTTATCTATTGTTTTCTTCTCAAACTTTTTTTTATTTTAGAGTAGCTGCCTTCATAATAACAATTTTAGAAAACCTTCAACAATAATGTCACAAATATTTAACAGTATTATTATTGTAAGAATTTTTATTACACATTGAATTTTCAACAATATTTGAGATTTAATCATTTCTGTAAACTCACTTTTAATTTGAACACCAAGAGACTTTATGTGAAAAAAAATTGTGCATTTCAGCGAACTTACAAATGACTTTCTGCAACAAATTGTTTGTAAGCATCTTTAATTCTTGGTAGTCTCTTAGTTTTACATTGTTTATTAAATAAATATATAGTGCTTCCCCCAAAGATATGTATATCTTTCAATATGAAGCTCAATAAATAACAGCCGTAAATGTTGACCAGGTAGATTTTGTATTTAAAAATAATTTCAAGAACTTCAGAAAATATTTTCCAGTTGAAAAAAAAAGAGATTTGCTCTAGACATAAGTGAAGAACAAGGACATAGAGTGTAACTTTTGAAAAGTAAGTTGTTATTCTAGAATATTCTAGAATAGATTTAGATTTACAAAAAATTTATGGAGCTAGAACAAAGAATTCATATATGCTCTGTACCTAATTTTCCCTACTGCTATTTATTATGTTATTATGATGCATTTGTCAAAGTTAACAAATATTGCTATATTATTATTAAAGAAATTCCTAGTTTATTTAGATTTTATTAGTTTTTATGTAATGTTCTTTTTTTCTGTTTCATATAATTATTACCATATTACATTTAAAACATTAAATTTCTCATCATTATGTATGATGCTCAATAGGTTTTTCATGCATCTTGTTTATCATGTTGTGGTAGTTCCCTGTTATTCTATTCTGTTTGCTCAGGGATTTTGTCATGAATTAACGTTTAATTTTATCAAATGATTTTTCTGTATCAAATGATTTTTCTGTGTCTAGTGATAATATCACATATTTTTTTCTTTAGCTTGTTGGTGTGTTGAATTACATCGATTGACTTAAAAATATAAACCAGCCTTGCATACTTGGAATAAAATCCATTTAGTCTTGTGTAACTTTTGTTACTCATTGTTAAATTCTATTAGCTACTGTTTTGTTGAGGAATTTTGCATCTGTGTTTATGAAAAATATTGGTCCTCAGGTTTTCCTTTTTAGTGACGGTTTTATCTGGTTTTGGTATAAGGGTAATGCTGTTCTCAGGCAATGAGTTAGGAAGTTTCTCTGTGCTTTAATTTTCTGGAAGAGACAGAAAAATGAGTATCTTTTCTTTCTTCAATGTTTGTTAGAATTTACCAGTGAAATCATTTGGGCTTGTTGCTTTGTTTTTTTTTTTTTTTTTTTGCAATATTATTATTGATATAATTTTTAACATAAATATGAAGCTATTCAGGTTATCTGTATCTCCTTGTGTGAATTTTGGTAGTGTCTTTCAAGAAATTGTTTCATTACATTTAAATTTGTAGGTATAGAGTTTTCATTGTGTTTCTTTATTATCCTTTTAATGTGCATGGGATAGTGACAATCTTTCTTTCGTTTCTGTTATTGATATAGTGTGTCTTCTCTGTTTTATGAAATTTGTCTGATAGAAGATTATGATGTTATTAATCTTTCAAAAAATATCTACTCATGTTATTGATTTTCTCTATTGTTTTCATTTCTATTGATTTCCATTAATTTTTATAATTTTTTTCTTCTATTTGCTGTAGGCTTAAGTTGCTTTTCTTTCTCTGGCTAAAGTTTAAGCTTAGATTCTTGATTCTCCATCTTTCCTTTGTTCTAATATATGGATTTAATGTTATATTTCTCTTGAAGCATTGCTTTCACTACAACCTGAAGATACTGTAAACTGTATTTTTACTTTATTTCAAAATATTTTTAATTCATATGTCTATTTCTTGGAAATTTACTCATCTACTATTATGTACTGCCCCTTTTATATATGTGATATATATTTTTTGTTCTGAAGTCTGATTTACATGAAATTCATATTACAAAATTTAAAAATTATTGGTAGGATGGCATATTGTTTTTATCCTTTTATTTTTACCCTATCAGTCATTATATTTGAAGTGGGTTTCTTATTGACCATATACAATTGTGCTCTTTTTTTTTAAATCTACTGTAACAATCTCTGTATTTTAAATAGTAACTTTATATGTGATATTTAATGTGATTATTAATGTAATATGATTAATATCTACCATTTTGGTGACTATTTTCTATTAGTTGCATTTGCCATTATCCTTTCCTTTGTCATTTTGTTTTAATTGAACATGTTATAAAATTACATGTTGCCTCATCTCTTACAATATCAATTGTATCTCTTTTACAAATTTTAGAGTGGTTGACCTAGAGTTTCCAGAATACATTTTTAGACTAACCTAAGTCCATTTTGAATTAACATTTTTAGGGTAGCGATCTTATAACAGTTATCCCAATGTTTCCCTCCATCCTTTATGATATAGATGTACCAATGTCATTCACTCTACTTATCCATATGTTAAAATCATCCAGTCTATTTCTATTATTATTTTAAATGCCTATCTTTTAAATCAATTAAAACTAGGGGCTGCGCACGGTGGGTCACGCCTGTAATCCCAGCACT
This sequence comes from Homo sapiens, assembly GCF_000001405.40. Taxonomy (NCBI): domain Eukaryota; kingdom Metazoa; phylum Chordata; class Mammalia; order Primates; family Hominidae; genus Homo; species Homo sapiens. The sequence goes on along the minus strand of NC_000001.11, from coordinate 191,950,996 downwards.
TTTGGAGGCCGAGGCGGGCGTATCACAAGGTCAAGAGATCGAGACCATCCTGGCTAACACGATAAACCCCGTCTTGACTAAAAATACAAAAAATTAGCTGGGCGTGGTGGCAGGCTCCTGTAATCCCAGCTACTCTGGAGGCTGAGGCAGGAGAATGGCCTGAACCCGCGAGGCGGAGCTTGCAGTAAGCCAAGATCGCCCCACTGCACTCCAGCCTGGGGGACAAAGCGAGACTCTGCAACAACAACAACAAAAAAAAGAATAGGAAAGATAAAATTGTTTATTTTACCTTCATTTCTTCCTTCCCCAATGTTCTTTTCTTTATGTAGACCCAATTTTCTCACCTGTATAATTTCTTTCCCCCTGCAAAAGTTTATTTTTATTTTAATTTTTTTGACATAACTTGCAGGGAGGTATTCTGGAGATGAATTTTCTCACTTTTTTTGTTTGGTTTAATAAAGTTTTTATATCTTCTTCACTTTTGACTGCTAATTTTGCTGAATATATGGTTCTAGGGCCTTCTCCCCCAACACTTTCAATATTTTACTACACTCTATCCCTGTTTTCATTGTTTGTGACAAAAAGCCCAGTTTAATTCTAATCCCTGTTGCTCTGCAAGAAAGATGTCTCTATACCACCCCCTGTATTCCTCTAAGAATTTCTCTCTGACTTTGCTGTTGGCTTTCTGCAGTTTGGTGCCTATATACCCAGGTGTGGATTCTGTAGGGCGGGTGTGTGTTTCTGTGTGTGACAGATGGGGGAAGGTATTATTCTCTTTGGTATTCTCTGAGTTTCCTGGATCAGTGTCTTTTTTTTCATTATTAATTTAAAAAAGGGATTGGTGATTATTGCTTCAAATTTTTTTTTAACTCTGAAATCTCCTGGTATTCCAATGACGCCTATATTACATCTTTTGAAATGGTCACAGTTCTTGGATGTTCTTCTCTGTTTTTTCTTTTTTTCCATATTTTTTCCTTCTTTTTTTTTCTCTTTACATTTTAGTTTAGGAAGTCTCAATTGACCTATCTTCAAGCTTGCTGGTCTTTCCTTGGCCATGAGCAGTCTCCACTGAAGAGCCTTTCAAAAGCATTCTTCGCTTCTATTAAAATGTCTTTGATGTCTAGCATTTCCTATTAATTTCTTCATAGAACTTCTATCTCTCTGCTTGCCTTACCCTTCTGTTCTTGCATATTTTCTACTTTTTGTCTTAGAGCATTTAAAATATTAATCATAATTATTTAAAATTCCTTATCTGACAATTACAAAATCTGTGCCACTTATGAGTCTGGTTCTGATGCTTTGTCTATTTAGACCGTGTGGGGTGCTTGTTTTTGTTTTGGTTTGGTTTGACTTTTTGCCTTATAACTTCTTGATAAAAGCCAAGCATATCATACTGAGTAATAGGAACCCAGGTAAGCAGGACTTAAGTGTGGGATTTTATGTTAATTTGGCTAAATGTTAGGTTATGTCAAATGTTTGCTATAGTGATAGGTACCAAAAAGTTTCGAATTCCTCTAGTTTTCTTGTTTTTGTCTCCCTTCCTGACTTTGAACTCTAACTTTCACCTAAGAACTCATCTTCAGTTATCATCTGCTTCACCCAGGTCCTTTGCAGGGACCTGGGTGAAGCAGATGATAACTGAAGATGAGTTCTTAGGTGAACACATGTATACCTATGCAACAAACCTGCACCTTCTGCACATGTATCCCAGAACTTAAAGTAAAATTTAAAAAGGGAGAAAGAGAGAGATCATCTGTATCTTGTAGCTTTTCCCACTGTAATCTATTGTGATTAAATTGAAACCCTGTTGGTGTGATGGTCAGTTGTGGAGAATGGAACATTCAATAATCACAGAATTAGATCTCAGTTTCTAAGTGTACTATGACTCAGGGATGTGACCTTCGTGTTTCTCTAGTGATGTGGGGTTCTTCCCACTCAGGTGAGACAGGAAGGCTAGAGGGGCCTGGATTGGGAGGAATGTCTTCCTCTCACTGGGATAAGGCACTAGTAAAGTATTTCGTCCAGGAAAAGAGGTCTTCATTAGGAGAATGCTGGGTGTATTTCACAATGATTATTCTTACCCCATCACATAAAATGGGATCTTCTGATCTTTACAGTGAAAAACTTGTAGGGTTCCTGGAGATAAAACTCATAAAAGTATGGGGGCCTTTCTATGACTGTGGCCCCCAGGAAGTTCTCACTCTCATCCTTGTGTTCTATATTTACCTGCAAGCAATTTGTCAACATTTCCATTTAAGTGTTTCCACTGGTTTGTAACTATAGCATCTCTGCTCTAGATAAGCTTATTCCAGCTGTGACTCTGAATTCACCTGTCTCTCCAAATTTCCAGACGGGAGTTTCCTAGGACCTCAGTTCTCTGATGAGTTCAAGAGAAGTCATTGATTTTGTTGTTCAGCAATTTCCTATTTTAAGGATGAAATGTCCAAGCCTTTTACTTGTTAAAACTAGGAAAGTCTACACATATTAAATTTTAAAACACAAAAGTAGTAAATAAAGCTTATTATTTCTTTGCCCATCCTGTGCCCATATAACGATGAGCAGATTTTTTAAAATCATCATGAACTTTTATCAATACAGATATTTTGCCATTAAAAATAAATATTAATTGACTAGTTTAAATTTTAAAAGGAACTTTTCCCAAAATTAATAACTAAGGTACTCTAAAATTTACCTAATACAGAGAGATTTATAATTGCCAGTAGAGTTATATAATGATTCTTATGGCATTTGTAGCCTATATTTTATTTAAACAAATGTTCGTTCATTCATTAATGTTTTCAGATATTTATCACTTAAATATCTTTTATGTGGAACTCCTCTAGGCACTTAAAATACAGAGGTGAACAAATTATTTCTCTAGCAAGAAAAAAAAGAATCTATAGCTTTCTTTATAAAACACATAGAAATATAAATATGTGTTCCACGTCTTCTCATTTCACAAGGACCTTTTAACAACATTTTGCATAAATGCTTGAGAGCTGGCTGCCTAGTTTGTAGATTCTAGTGTAAAATGAAAATGCAGTTTTGAAATGCAAATCAAAGGCAAAAGAAGATACATGATAAATATCTGAATGAATGAATGGACATTTGTTTAAATAAAATACAGGCTACGAATGCCATAAGAATCATTATATAGCTCTATTGGCAATTATCCACAATGAGATACCATCTCACACCAGTTAGAATGGCGATCATTAAAAAGTCAGGAAACAACAGGTGCTGGAGAGGATGTGGAGAAACAGGAACACTTTTACACTGTTGGTGGGACTGTAAACTGGTTCAACCATTGTGGAAGACAGTGTGGCGATTCCTCAGGGATCTAGAACTAGAAATACCATTTGACCCAGCCATCTCATTACTGGGTATATACCCAAAGGATTATAAATCATGCTGCTATAAAGACACATGCATACGTATGTTTATTGTGGCACTATTCACAATAGCAAAGACCTGGAACCAACCCAAATGTCCAACAATGATAGACTGGATTAAGAAAATGTGGCACAATATAAACCACGGAATACTATGCATCCATAAAAAAGGATGAGTTCAGGTCCTTTGTAGGGATATGGATGAAGCTGGAAACCATCATTCTCAGCAAACTATCGCAAGGACAAAAAGCCAAACATCGCATGTTCTCACTCACAGGTGGGGATTGAACAATGAGAATACTTGGACACAAGAAGGAGGACATCACACACAGGGGTGTGTTGTGGGGTGGGGGGAGGGGGGAGGGATAGCATTAGGAGATATACCTAATGTAAATGACGAGTTAATGGGTACAGCACACCAACATGGCACATGTATACATATGTAACAAACCTGCACGTTGTGCACATGTACCCTAGAACTTAAAGTATAATAATAAAAAATAAATAAATAAATAAATAAATAAAAAGAAAATGTAGGACTCTTCATTTAAAAAGCAGGAAAAAAAAACCTTTTAAAGTTACTACGATATAAGGCTTTATCCTTTTTTCTGCTGTCTCTCTCTTGACTCACCATGTTTGATCATTATTTAATGCCTTTCCTGGTAAAATAAAATAAAATAAAATTATTTATATGAATTTTACATCTTATCTTTACATGTTCCCATGGCAGTTTTAAAGAACATTTAACTTGTATGTGGAATCCCCAAATTTACGTAATACATACAATATATATGTATGTTATTACTAGAATAGTGAAAACAGTATAAAATCTAACTACACTTTTTTATTTCAATTTTTGATACAAATTCTACCAATACTTTCTACCTTTGCTTTAATGATACGTAAAGAAGGGCTGAAAGAAAAATAAATTATCTTCCATTTCTTTCTGTGTCATCATTTTCAGCATTACTGGTTCACTAACTCTGGAAAGAAACAAAAGCAAGAAAGAATATGATAGGGTTTCCTTGTTTATTCATGTTTTATTTTAAGAAAGCTGTTGCCTTCAGCTGTGAATGAACTTTTCATCTGAATAGAGATCTTGGCTTCCTGAGTTGTCAGCACCCCCATTTATTCAGTCATAGATGTAACATGCTTCCCTTGTATTTACTTTGAGTTTTGGGCAGCTCCACACATTGTGGGGTTGCTAGAGTCTTGTGCTCACTGAGCATGTTAAAAGTTGTAGACGGCTGGGTGCAGTGGCTCCCACCTGGAATCCCAGCACTTTTGGAGGCCGAGGTGGGTGGATCACCTGAGATCAGAGCTCAAGACCAGCCTGGTCAACATGGTGAAACTCCATCTTTACTAAAAATACAAAAGTTGGCCAGGCGTGGTGGTGGGTGCCTGTAGTCCCAGCTAATGGGGAGGCTGAGGCAGGAGAATCGCTTGAACCTGGGAAGCGGGGGTTGTAGAGGCCAAGATCCCACCACTGCACTTCAGGCTGGGTGACAGAGCAAGACTCTCTCGAAAAAAAAATTATAGACAACTGGGAAATGGTAGACACGCACATTTCATATATCTCCTGTGTTCACATGCATACCCTGTTCTCCCACTGTACTTCATCTATGAAACACTAGTTCAAAATTAAAATTATTAGGTATTTCATGATGGTGACAGCAGAGTATTAAACCAAGCATAGGATTCTTCTGAGCATATGCCTTGTGTGGCAGCACAAGTGGCATGTCCATGAAGCCAGCCATGCATGGTCGGTCAAATGCACTTGAAACATTTTCTTCTCTTGGCTTTTGGACTCCCTGGCCTTCGTGCATTTCTTCAGCTTCCTGATACCAACCTATTGGTATGTTCCAGGATTAGGCTTCATATATCTTCTCTTCTCCATCTATATCCATGCTTTAGTTACATAACCGATTTCTGAAGCTTTGACATAGCTGATGACATCTAATTCTGTCTATATAGCCCTGAATTATCTGCTAAACTCCAAATTCATGTATCCAACCACATGTTCAAACCCTTCTTCATTTATTCAATAGGCATCCCAAAATCACATGGCCAAAACCAAAATATTTATTCTTTCCAAAGTCAGAACTTCTCAGTCTTAGTAATCTTGAGAATGGCACGCCCATTTACTCTCACCAAAGGTGTTGATGTCCTGCTTGACTTTCTTCTTTCTTTGGCATCACTAATAAATCTATCAATAAGCTCTACCTTCACAATATTGCACCAATGTAGGCACTTTTTACCACTACCACTATTACTGATGATACTTTAAGCCAAATATCTCACACCCCCGAACTACTGCGACAGCTTCCTAACTGCTCTCCAAGATTCCTCCCTTATTTCTTAAAGTCTATTTTTCAATCAGTAGCCAAAGCAATTCTGTTTATAAATAAATCAGATAAGATTGCTCCCCTTGCCTGAACCTCCACTGGCTACCTTTGTGACAAATTCATAATCCTTAGCAGGTTACAGAATCCTTCTGGCTCTTTCTCCAAATCCATCTTTACACTCTCATTCAGCTCTAATTTCGCTGGTGTCAAGTATTGCACCAGACAGCTAATGAAGCTAAAGTTTCAGAGCCCCTCGCTTGCACAGGCCCTTTCTGAAACCCTGGGTGGTGCCCTGAAAATACATCCACCTGACAAAAAGGAAGATACTTTAACTACAATTGGTTAGGACCTTTTTTCACATTACCTTATCCTTTTACATATTTGCTCCTGCCAGGTGACAATGGAGAACTCAGGACATATTTTTTCTTTTTTCTTCCTTTTTTTTTTTTTGGCAGAGTTTCACTTTATCCAAGCTGGAGTGCAGTGGCACGGTCTCGGCTCACTGCAATCTCTGCCTCCTGGGTTCAAGCAATTCTCATGCCTCAGCCTCCTGCGTAGCTGGGATTGCAGGTGCCCGCCACCATGCCTGGGTAATTTTTTTTTTTAATTATTTTAGTAGAGATGAGGTTTTACCATGTTGCCCAGGCTGGTCTTGAACTCCTGAGCTCAAGAAATAAGCCAATCTCGGCCTCCCAAAGTACTAAGAAAAACCCTTTTTCTTTACAATCATTAAAAATGCCAGCAATGTCAATGTGGTCTCCAATAGGAAGGTTCTTGGAAGGCTTTTTTTATTTTGGAACAGCTAATAACCTGACTACACATAGAAGTAACTATGAATACATATGTACGGGGGCAGCGGTAGAGGGGTTGGGGGGACAATTATGCCAGTCAAGCTTTGCAACACAAGAATAATAATAGTTCACAAACTCAATACAAATAAATTGAACACAAATAAATTGAAACAAAACTTAAACAAAATCAAAATGCTTTAAATACAATCAAAAGATGGTTTTGAAATATTTCACCAAAACAAGTGTGAAATTATAGATCTCTGATTTGATGTATATAAAGTACTTTTGCATTTTGTTCAAATTCATTACAATAGAACTGAGAAATATTAAGATACAATTTTACAGTCTCTGAAAGAAAAATGATAGGGATGAGTAAAGAAATCAATTACAATTATTTTGATATCAAGGAGCAAAATGAAAAATTAAAAAATCATATCCTATCAGAGCAGTAATTAACTGAAAGAAATTGACACATTTTGAAAAGAAGTAATGAATACAATCCTTAGTTGTTTGATAATCCAGTTATCTAAGATGAGATAATAGTTTGAGCAGAATATAGAAAAAATTTAATTTTCTGCTGATTTGACATGAAATACTGATATTAACAAAGACAACATGAAGCTGATAATATAGCACTATAGGAAGTACACATCTATGAAAAAATGATTAATTATCGTTGTCAGTTCAAAGAGTTTTTAAAATCAGTTACTCTACAAAAATGATTAAAATGCTGTGAAGTTTTATAGCTTGTACATGTAAAGAACTTGATAGAAGGTCTCAAACATGTGACAATAATCCTAAAACTTCATATGATATTTACAATAGAGTGAAACAAACTTTTCTAATCCATCAATAAAGAAAAACAACCATGATCAGTTATGCTAGAGGGAAGAATTAATAATTTTTCCGTTCTCTCTTTAGAAAATCATGACCATATGGGAAGGGTTCAAGAGCATGCAATTAAAAATTGTGGAACAAAATAACACAAAAAGCGTCATACAGTTATTTATTTAATGACATATTATGGATTTCTTGAATTTTATAGTGTTTGTGTTATTTATCAGCTATTTTATATTTCTAATTTATTGTAATTTATTTTCTCATTTCAAAGAACTACTCATTTATAGCTAACTTTGTTTCAACTGGCATTCTTCACTTTAAAAATAACAAAGTCAAAGCCTCAGGCTCACAGAGCCTAGGTTTATCCCAGGTAGCCCCTAGCTTTGCTACATAGATATGATACTTATAGTACCTTCAGACTGGAGGCCTCTACAACTCATCAATGAAGATTTCCATGATGACAGAATCAAAATGTGAAGTCTTCCTTCTGTCACCTTCCAGTCACCCTCTATCCTTGTCTGTATTAATACTTTTTTTTTCCTGGCACTTACCATTTTCTATTGAATGCAAGGTCAGTAAGAGAAGTCCATTGATTGTTTTATTTTATTTTTTAGAGAGGGTCTTGCTCTTTTTCCCAGACTGGAGTGCAGTGGCTTTGTCATGGCTAAGTACAGCTTCAATATCCCGGGCTCAAGCAATCCTCCCACCTCAGTCTCTGAGTTGCTGGGACTATGGGTATGTGCCACCAATACCCCACTAATTTTTTTATTATTATTATTATTTATAGAGACAGGGTCTCCCTATGTCACTCAGGTTGATCTTGAACTCCTGGCCTCAAGCCATCTTCCCACCTCAGCCTCCCAAAGTGCTGGGATTACAGGTGGTAGCCACTACACCTGGCATAATTGAATGTTATAATGACAGCTGTAACTCCCAATTCCAGATCAGGGCCTGGCTTGTGAGCCATTAGAAAATGTGAATCTGGAACATAAGATATTCTACATTATACTCTTAAATACATTCTGTATTTATGTGTACAGATATTAATATACAGACAGTCCCTGATTTATGATGGCTACGATTTTCAATTTAACCATGTGTGAATGCAAAAGATATACACATTCAGTAGTACTTCAAGTGTCTATACAACCATTCAGTTTTTCACTCCATACAGTATTCAATTAATTACCTGAAATATTCAATAGCTTATTATAAAATAGGCTTTGGGTTAGATGATTTTGCCCAACTGTAGGCTCATCTAAATGTTCTGAGCACATTTAAATTATGTTAAGCTAAGCTTTGATGTTTGATAGGTTAGTTGTATTCAATACATTTTTTATCATGAGTTTCTTGGGATATAATGCCATCATAAGTTGAGTAGCATCCATTATCTTTTTTTTTAACTCTTACACTACCACATGTAAAATTAAGATTATGTTAGAACTATAACGTGGCAAATTAGTGTTTGGCAAAAGTTTTAGAATAACATTAAGCAACTACGTAACAGCTATTGTACATGAAGCACTGCATTAAGGCTTTGTTTAAATGTGAAAAAAATGTAGAATTTTAAATGGCCTGTACCCTAAATACTTATAGTGTATGATGGGAGACAAAATCATACGCATCAATCAATTATGCATTGCAGTAAAGTTAATAAAATGAAAAGTATAATAATTTTTTATAATGACTTGGAAAAAAATGAGAACAGAGTTTCAGCCACTTTAATTGCTTTATTTCACTAATGTGATTGGAATTTGTTTTTTTCAGCCAGATGTTATTAATAAAATTAAATTTTATATAATATAGCTTATTTGTTACCGCCAATTCCTGGATGAAGAAGAGTAAGAACATGACCATTTTATCAGGGTCAGTACAAGACCTAAGTCTTGTAGGAAAAAAATATACAAGACTCACATTACTTTAAATATGGAATGAGCAAATAAGTATTTTCCCCCAATATTCTAAGTGATATATCTTGAAGTTATAGAACATTAAGAAAAATATTTCTACTATTTTGATAGTGAGATCTAAGGAAGAATCTTGATTACGTATTTATTTGTTTTTTTGTTATTGTCAGTGTTGGTTTATTAAAGCAGGGATTGGAGTAACTGTCCTCTCAAGATGACTTTCTTGTGGCTGAAGGTGGGGGCACTTTCTTTTCAGAATGGAGCATTTTTCAGATACTCAAAAGTGTGGCATTGTAGAACTCAATGTTTAATATTTAGTAATAATAAAAGCTAATATGTAATTATACTTTTAGTTCGCTTATTAAGGTGAAATAATGCAAGTTTGAATGGCAGTTTTATATGAATTACAGAATAGTTTTTAAAAAAATTCTGTGAAGAATGATGTTGGTAGTTTGACAGGAATAACATTCAATCTGTAAATTGCTTTGGGCAGTGTGGCCATTATAACAATATTGATTCTTCCAATCCATGAGCATGAGATGTTTTTCCATTTATTTGTTTCATCTCTGATTTATTTCAGCAGTGTTTTGTCATTCTCCTTGTAGAGATCTTTCATCATCTTGGTTAGCTGTATTTCTAGGTATTTCATTTTCTTTGTGGCTGTTGTAAATGGGATTGTGTTCTTGATCTGACTCTCAGCCTGGACATTATTGGTGTATAGAAAGGCTACTGATTCTTTATTATTATTATTATTATTATTATTATACTTTAATTTCTGGAGTACTTGTGCAGAATGTGCAGGTTTGTTGCATAGGTATACACTTGCCATGGTGGTTTGCTGCACCCATCAACCCGTCACCTACATTAGGTATTTTTCCTAATGTTATCCCTGCCCTAGCCCTCCACCCCCTGACAGGACCCAGTGTGTGATGTTCCCCTCCCTATGTCCATTTGTTCTCATTGTTCAGCTCTCACTTATGAATGAGAACATGTGGTGCTTGGTTTTCTCTTCTTATGATAGTTTGCTGAGAATGGTGGTTTCCACCTTCATCCATGTCCCTGCAGAGGACATGAACTCATCCCTTTTTATGGCTGCATAGTATTCCATGGTGTATATGTGCCACCTTTTCTTTATCCAGCCTATTATTGATGGACATTTGGGTTGGTTCCAAGTCTTTGCTATTGTGAATAGTGCCACAATAAACATACGTGTGCATGTGTCTTTATAATAGCATGATTTATAATCTTTTGGGTATATACCCAGTAATGGGATTACTGGGTCAAATGGTATTTATATTCTAGATCCTTGAGGAATCGCCACACTGTCTTCCACAGTGGCTGAACTGGTTTACACTCCCACCAACAGTGTAAAAGTGTCCCTATTTCTCCACATCCTCTCTGGCATCTGTTGTTTCCTGACTTTTTAATGATCGCCATTCTAACTGGCATGAGATGATATCTCATTGTGGCATTTCTCTAATGACCAGTGATGATGAGCTTTTTTCATATGTCTGTTGGCTGCATAAATGTCTTCTTTTGAGAAGTGTCTGTTCATATCCTTTGCCCACTTTTCGATGGGGTTGTTTGTTGTTCTCTTGTAAATTTGTTTAAGTTCTTTGTAGAATCTGGATATTAGCCCTTTGTCAGATGGATAGATTGCAAAAATTTTCTCCCATTCTGTAGTTTGCCTCTTCAATCTGATGATAGTTTATTTGGCTGTGCAGAAGCTCTTTAGTTTAATTAGATCCCATTTGTCAATTTTGGCTTTTGTTGCCACCCCTTCTCCCAAGTGCTGGGATTACAGGCAGGAGCCACCACTCCCGGCCTCATTAGTGTTTTCTAGGTATACAATCATATTATCAATAAAGAGATATACTTTGGGTTCTTCTTTCTCCTATTTGGATGACTTTTATTTCTTTCTCTTGCCTGATTGCTCTGGCTAGGACTTCCTGTACTATGTTTAATAGGATGATGAGAGTGGACATTTTTTCTTGTTCCAGTTCTCAAGGGGAAAGCTTCAGGTTTTGCCTATTTAGCATGATGTTGGCTGTGGGTTTTTCTTGGGTGACTCCTATTATTTTGAAATATGTTCCTTTGATGCCTAGTTTGTTGAGGGATTTTATCATGAAAGATATTGAATTTTATCAAAAGCTTTTTCTGCATCCATTGAGATGATCATGTGGTTTTTGTTTTTAATTATGTTTACGTGGTGAGACACATTTATTGATTAGCATACGTCAAAACCAAAACATAGCCTAAAGAGTCAAAGCAATTTTAAGCAAAGAAAACAAAGCCACAGGCATCACACTACCTGACCTCAAAATATACTATAAGGCTGTAGTATCCAAAACCGCATAGTACTGGTCCAAAAACAGACACATAGACCAATGGAACAGAATAGAAAACCCGGAAATAAAGACTCACACCTACCACCATCTGATCTTTGACAAGGCCAACAAAAACAAGCAATGGGGGAAAAAAACTCCTTATTTGCTAAACAGTGCTGGAATAACTGGTTAGCCATGTGCAGAAGAATAAAAGTGCACCCTTAGCTTTTACCATATACAAAAATTAACTCAAGGAGGATTAAATATTTAACTATAGGACCTCAAACTATGAAAATCCTACAAAAACCTAGGAAATACCTTTATTGACATTGCCCTTGAAAAGAATTTTTGTCTAAGTCCCCAAAAGCAATTACAACAACAAAAAAATTGACAAGTGAGAACTAATTAAAGTAAAGGGCTTCTGCACAGCAAAAGAAACTATTGACAGAGTAAACAGACAATGTACAAAATGGGAGACAATATTCACAAACTCTGCATCTGATAAAAGTCAATATTTAGAATCTACAAGGAACCTAAATCAACAAGCAAAACACAAATAACCCCATTAAAAATGGACAAAGGACATAAATGGACACTTCTCAAAAGAGGATATATAGGAGCCAGCAAATATATGAAAAAAATGCTCACCATCACTAATCATACGAGAAATGCAAACAAAAGCCCCACAATGAGACATCATGTCACACTTGTCAAAATGGCTATTTAAAAGTCAAAACACAAGAGATGCTGGTAAGGCTGCAGAGAAAAGGAAACACTTATACACCGTTGGTGAGAATGTAAATTAATTTCGTTACTGTGGAAAGAACTTTGGAGATTTCTCAAAAAATTTACAATAGAGATACCATTTGACCCAGCAATCCTATATATATATATATATATACATATCCAAAGGAAAATAAATTATTATACCAAAAAAAACACATGCACTCGTATGTTCATTGCTGTGCTATTTACAATAGCAAAGACATGGAATCATCCCAGGCGCTCATCAAAGGTGGATTGCATGAAGAAAATGTAGCGCATACACACCATGGAATACTACTTAGCCATATAAAGAATGAAATCACATCTTTTGCAGCAACATGGCTGGAGTTGGAGGCCATAATCTTAAGTGAATTAAAGCAGGAACAGAAAACCAAATACCACATCTTCTCTCTTATAAGTGGGGGCTAAACATTGAGCATCCATGGACATAAACATGGGAACAATAGGCATGGCAAAGTACTAGAATGGGGAGGAAAGGAGGAAAGCATGGGTTAAAAACTACCTATTGGGTACTATGCTCACTACCTGAGTGAAATATACACATGTAACAAAACTTCACATGTACCCTCTGTACCTAAAATAAAAGTTAAGGAAAATAATGAATAACAGTTCCATCACTTGGCCAGCTCTGTGAACTTGGGTAGTTTCTGTTACATCTCCAAAGTTTACCTTCTTCTTTGTAAATTGAGAATAACAATTATTTATTTCTTGAAGGACTGTTGTAAGGAAGACAGGACATCATCAATTTCAAGCATTCAACATAGAATTTTACATATGGTAAAATTCAACTTCGTAAGACTTTTCTGTCTTTAAAAATTTTTGTGGGTACATAGCTGTATATATTTATTGGGTACATGAGATGTTTTGATATAGGCATTCAATGTGAAATAAACACATTATGAAGAATGGGGTATTCACCCCCTCAAGCACTTATCATTTGAGTTGCAAACAATTCAATTATACTCTTTAAATTATTATAAAACGTACAATTTAGTTATTATTAACTATAGTCACCCTGTTGTGCTATGAAACAGTAGGTCTTATTCATTCTTTCTAACCATTTTGTTTTGTACCCATTAACAAGCCCACCTCCCCCATAACCCCCCACTACACTTACCAGCCTCTGGTAAAAATCCTTATACTCTCTATGTCCGTGAGTTCAATTGTTTTCATTTCTAGATCCCACAAATAAGCGAGAAAATGCAATGTTGGTCTTTCTGGGCCTGGTTTATTTAACTCAAAATAATGATCCTCAGTTCCATCCACGTTGTTGTAAATGACAAGATCTCATTCGTTATGGCTAAATAATACTCATTTTTGTATATGTACCACATTTTCTTTATCCATTCATCTGTGGATGGACACTTAGGTTGCTTTCAAATATTTGCTATTGTGAACAATGCTGCAACAAACAAAGGAGTGCAGAGATTGCAGACATTTCTCTGATATAGTGATTTTTTTTTTCTTTTGGGTATATACTCAGTAATAGGATTGCTAAAACATATGGTAGCTCAATTTTTAGTTTTCTGAGGAATCTCCAAACTGTTCTCAATAGCGATTGTACTAATTCACATTCCCACCAACAGTGATACAAGAGTTTCCTTTTCTCCACATCCTCACCAACACTTGTTATTGCCTATCCTTTGGATATAAGCCATTTCACCTGGGAAGAGATGATCTCATTGTAGTTTTGATTTGCATTTCTCTGATGAGCAATGGTGTTGAGCACCTTTTCATATGCCTGTTTGCCATTTGTACGTCTTCTTTTGAGAAATGTCAGTTCAAATCTTTTGTCTATATTTTGATCAGATTATTACGTTTTTTTCCATAGAGTTGTTTGAGCTCCTTATATATGTTGGTTACGAATTCCTTGTCAGATGAGTACTTTGAAAATGTTTTCTCCCATTATGTGGGTTGTCTTTTCACTTTGTTAATCATATCATTTGCTATGCAGAAGCTCTTTAACTTGATGTCATCCCATTTGTCCATTTTTTCTTCGATTGCCTGTGCTTGTGCTTGCTCAAGAAACTTTTGCCCAGACCTGTGTCCCAGAGATTTTCCCCAAAGTTTTCCTGCAGTAGTTGCATAGTTTGAGATTTTGGATTTAAATCTTTAATCCATTTTGATTTGGTTTTTGTATGTGGTGAGAAATACAGGTCTAGTTTCATTCTTCTGTTTATGGATATCTAGTTTTCCCAGCACCATTTACTGAAGAGACTGTCTTTTCTCCAGTGTAGGTTCTTGGCACCTAGGCCAAAAATAAGTTCACTGTATGTGCGTGGGTTTGTTTCTGGGTTTTTTATTCTGTTCCCTTGGTCTATGTGTCTATTTTAATGCCAGCACCATGTTGTTTTGTTTACTACAGCACTAGTAAAATGGGCTTCTGGGTCAGGTGGGGACTTGGAGAACTTTTCTGTCTAGCTAAAGGATTGTAAACACACCAATCAGTGCTCTGTGTCTAGCTAAAGGTTTGTAAATGCACCAATCAGCACTCTGTTAAAATGCACCAATTGGCCCTCTGTAAAATGGACCAGTCAGCACTCTGTAAAATGGACCAATCAGCAGGACGTGGGCAGGGCCAAATAAGGGAATAAAAGCTGGCCAACCAAGCCAACAGTGGCAACCCGCTCGGGCCCCTTCCATGCTGTGGAAGCTTTGTTCTTTTGCTCTTCACAATAAATTTTGCTGCTGCTCACTCTTTGGGTCCGCACTACCTTTATGAGCTGTAACAATCACCACGAGGGTCTGTGGCTTCATTCCTGAAGTCAGTGAGACCACAAACCCACCATGAGGAAAAAACAAATCTGGACGTGCCAACTTTAAGAGCTGTAATACTCACTGCAAAGGTCTGTGGCTTCACTCCTAAAGTCAGCAAGACCACAAACCCACCAGAAGGAAGAAACTCTGGACACATCTGAACATCTGAAGGAAAAAACTCCGGACACACCATCTTTAAGAACTGTGACACTCACCGCTTGGGTCTGCAGCTTCATTCTTGAAGTCAGAGAGACCAAGAACCCACCGGAATGAACCAATTCTGGACACAGTGTGATTCATTCAGTTCTGTTCTTTTTGCTTAGGATGGCTTTGGCTAGTCTGGGTATTTTGTGGTTCCATATGAATTTTAGAATTGTTTTTTCTATTTCTATGAAGAACGTCATTGGTATGTTGATAGGGATTGCATTGAATCTGTGGATTGTGTGGGGGAGTTTAGTAATATTTATTCTTCCAATTCATGAACATGGAATATTTTTCCATTTTTTGGTGTCTTCTTCGATTTCTTTTTATCAGTGTATTATAGTTTTTTGTTTTTTTTTTTTTTTTTTTGAGATGAAGTCTTCCTTTGTCACCCAAGCTGGAGTGCAGTTGTGCAATCTCAGCTCACTGCAACATCTGCCTCCCGGGTTCAAGAAATACTCCTGCTTCAGCCTCCTGAGTAGCTGGGACTACAGCGATGTGCCATCATGCCTGGCTAATTTTTATATTTTAAGTAGAGACTGGGTTTCACTATGTTGGCCAGGCTGGTCTCGAACTCCTGACCTCATGATCTGGCCGCCTAAGCCTCCCAAAGTGCTGGGATTACAGGTCTGAGCCACCATGCCTGGTCAATAATTTTTTATCATTGAGATATTTTACTTCCTTAATTAATCCTAGATATTTAATTTTATGGGTGATTATTGTGAATGGAATTACTTTTTTAAAATTTTTTTCACATTATTTACTGTTGGCATATAAAAATCCTATTGTTTTTTGTGTGTTTATTTTGTACTGCAACTTAACTTGATTTGTTTATCAGTTGTAAATTTTTTCTTGTGGAGTCTTTAGTATTTTCCAAACCTAGGATTATGTCAACTTCAAACAAAGATAATCTGACTTCTTTCTTCCCAATTTTGATGCCTTTTACTTTTTCTCTTGTCTGATTGCTCTGGATATGAAATCCAGCACTATGTTTAATAATAAGGGTGACGGTGGGTATCCTTGTCATGCTCCAGATCTTAGGGGAAAGGCCCTCAGTTTTTCC